>NC_000020.11:23835553-24463756 GCF_000001405.40 Homo sapiens | reverse complement strand
CAAGCCCCCCACATGCCCATAAGGACGTGGCGGCTCTTTCTTTTGTTGTCCTGTATGGCTGGCCCTGCAGTTGTTCTGCTCTCTCCTGACCTCAGTCTTCCACTTCTTGTTCTTAGATTGTCACTTGACCTGAACACAGACTTGGCCTTACATTCTCCTGGGCATTTCTGGCTATCATGGGTAATGACCCAGCCTGTCCACACCAGAGCCTGCATCCTCCTTGTGTCAACAAAGTGGCTGTCCTCATGTCCCCCAGAAACCTGCCTCACCCCTGTCCTGCCTGAGCAGATGGCTTCTCTTTGAATTTTATCTAGTTAATAATTTCTATGATTCAGTTAATTATCCCATAATACATACCTATTATTATGACTGAATGTGGTATCATAATCTTCAGTATCTTTAAGAAAATTGTAGTTCAGCTGAAAGCTGGAAAACATGCTTGTTCTCAGGACCATTAGAGATTAGGGGAAAAAAAAGAAAAGAGAAAGAAAAATCTTAGCTTTACAAAACTTTGCTACAGGATGACCTGTGAGGCCAGAATTTGTAGCATATGCTCAAAAACTCGAGCTTCCAAAAATGGATACAGACATCGACTTCAATCTAGGCACCAAGCGAACAGTGCAATGCACCTCTTTACTAAGATAAAGGAAGACTGTATTTTTTTTTTTTTGCTGTACAAGTGTAGCTCTAGCATCAAGAAAAACTAAGAGGTTGGGATTCTTGAAAATATTGCTGGTGCAGAACTAAGCATTTAAACGTCATTAATTATTAGCATGGTTGCTGGCACTTTCTAAAAGGCCTAAGAACCCATTTTTTGGCTCAAGAAGACATATTTCTTGCTGCATTTGCTTTTTTTCTGCGAGCGAAAAAAATTCTTTTGCAAAAATAACCACTTGTGTAATTCTGCAGCATGTGAAACTGGAGGAAGGAAACACAAAGGTAAGCAATTTCATTTTTGTGATTCTCTGTTTATCATTCATATTTTAAGAAAAGAATGCCTTTAAACAAAGGAACTTACTCAGGCGAGTGCCTGAACCAAAGGCAACTCTCTGCAGCATGCTGGCTTCTGTTCCCTGGGCAGTTGTCATGCAGATCAGCACTGGCCCACAAAGAACCCTTATTTTGCTTCTGCACAGCTGGCATGGCAGCTGGTCCTTAGGGGCATTCCTTTAATGCAGTTTGCTTGCTATCAGGCACCCAGGTCCCACAAGGGTCTCCTCCCATAGCATGTATTAAGCATGGCCTCACATCATCTATCCAATTTGGGGGTACAGGACACATTTGCCCTGGCCAGCAGCATAAAGAAGAGTTCCTTCTGTTCAAGAGCCACCTGAAAATACAGAATTGATTGAAAGAGGACTCATCAGCTAAGATAGACCTTGTCAAATGTACATAAAGCTTTTCTCACCCGCAGCCATGGCGAAAAAAATAGCAAAACAAAGTGATTTAACCAATAACGAAGAAGCTGTTGTATCCACAGTGGTAGAGTCACACTTTGGGAGGCCCAGTCCCCAGATGTATTCTTTCCTTGCCTCTGTGTTTGTCAGTTGGCTTGGCGAGTGTTTGTTGGTGTCTGCTACTGGACAGATACAGAGCAGCTGTTGGGGGCACAGGAGCAGGTGAGCCTGGCAGGTATGGCCCTGCCCAAAAGGACAAGTAAACAGCAGTGATTATGCAGAGTGATGACTGCTCCAAAGGGGAGAGGAAGGGCTCCTGGGGGAGCAGAGAGGGAGGGGGCCCCATGAAGACAGGGAGTAATCAAGATTGCTGAGACCTGAGGAGCAGGGGTGGCCTGTGTGTGGGTGCTTGTGACCCTGGGGGTGGGGGAAGGCGGTGCTCCTAGGGGCAGTGTTGCTCTTTCTGATTTTTGAGTTTGAAGAAGCATGGAGCACCAGAGTGTAGGATGCGTAAGGTGAGGCCAGAAAGATGGGTAGTGGTCTCATCACTAAAGGCCTCACACCAGGTTTTAGGAGATTGGGCTTCATCCTGGGCTGCAAGCAACCTGTGAATAGAGTGATAGAATCGGATTGGTATAGGTAAGCTGTGAGTGATCTTCCCCAGACTGCAGAGAATGGTGATGAGCCTTGATGATTCTTCACTTGCTTTGAAATAGTCACACTGATGTTTCTCACACTCTTTGCAATGCAAACACCTGAAGGCATGGGCCATGACTCTCTGTTAGGGTGGCCCCTTGAATCCCCATTTCCTATCCCCCTTTCCTGGCTGCAAAGCTAGCCCACCCTGGAAGGAAGATCCATTGACTACATCCCACTTCCTGGGAACATGACAGCGGGCCTGCCCCCCTCTCTGTGGGCTGCACCCTCTCCTGTCTGGAGCTTTGTTATTTATTCACCTTTTGTGCTTCACTTACTGGACTGGAGGCTTTTCCAGTGTAAGGACTACATGTGTTGCACAAGTGTGTGTCCCAGTGTGCAGGTGCATGTGCGAGTATGAAGGCGGGTGTGGGGGGAGTGTCTTCATCTATCTCCAGACTCCCAGCAGCATCACCCTGAGCACGGCTGTTCCAGGTTAGAGCTGAAGAGCTTCGGAGAGCTGCACATGGCACCACATGAATGTTTTGGGATATTTGTACTGCAACAGTGCTTATTTCTTACAATTCATAGATATTTTGTGTCTTTTTTCTTTCTATACAAATATATTTGGTAATTAATAACTTGCATTATCTCTAATAATAATGTACTTTGTCCTGTCAAGAAACTGTTTAGACTCCCCAAAAGCAAACAAGTAGAAAAATACATTCTTAAAAAACAGTATACATTTATTTCTCATAATTCTGGAGGCTGGGAAGTCCATGCTCAGCATGCTGACAGGCGAGGACTCTCCTCCTGGTGGAGGATGGCTGCCATATCACTGCATCCTCACGCGGAGCAAGAAGAGGTCAGTATCTTCCTCATCTTACAAGCACACTGATCTCATCATGGGCGCCCATTCTTGTGACCTCCTCCAGCCGTAAGGACCTCCCGCAGGCCCCAACTCCGAATACCATCACATTGGGGTTTAGGGTTACAATGTATAAATTTTGGGGGGAGACACAGACATTCTGTTCATAACATAGTGTAAACAAATAACAACTGCTAGCCATATGCCATGGCACACACTTGTAGTCCCAGCTACTCAGGCAGCTAAAGCAGGAGAATCACTTGAGCCCAGGAGTTCAAGGCCAGCCTGGACAACATAGCAAGATCCCATCTCAAAAAAAAAAAGAACCCAATTGCTGCACTGAAAATTTTATTTATTTTTTACTTTTTTGTAGAGAAGTCTTGCTACGTTGCCCAGGCTGATTTCAAAATCTTGGCCTCAAGCAATCCTCTTACCTCAGCCTCTCAAAATGCTGGAATTATAATTGTGAGCCACCATGCCCAGCCTGAAAACAGAATTTTCAACAGCAACATGTCTTTTTCCTGCAAACCACCTAACTGTCCCCTAGTTATCAAGGCAAAGGCAGAGCCCAGAGAAGTAAGCAGGGCACCCGCAACTTCATGGGGGTGGCACCCTGAGGCCTACCTCTGCCTTACCTGCCCCTCAGGAGGCACGTTGGTGGAGAGGGTTGCAGGGGCAGGGCTTTGAGCCTGCACCTGCAGTGGTCTCACAGCACAAAATGCGCAGCCCACCAAGGTGGGTGCAGAGTTCAGGGCCTCCTCCTACAGGGACAAAGCTGCAGAGCCACTCTGCAGGTGGGCAGGCTCCCTGGCTCACTGACCTCCCCACCTTAGCCTCACTTTACTAAGCCAGCAGCCCTTTGTGCTTAGACAGTGGGTTCTGATTTGTCTCCCTCTGGAATTTCCACTGATTACTTCTGCCTCAGTTCTCTCTCCTTTCAGCCTCTCCAGATCAACTGGACCCGCTTCCCTCCTGCAGAGTCAAAGGGAACGTGAAAAGGGAAAAGTCAGGACATGCCCAGCAGCCTGAGTGCTCCAAGGTGACAGGGCAGGCTGAACCTCCCAGGTGAGTGGGCTAGAAGTTTAAAGGAGCAATACCAGCAATCCTTTTTTGCTGAAGAAGAAAGGATATCACATCTTCCCTTTATTCTAGCCCATTGGGGACTTGACCCCCATGGGCAGTTAGTGCCACATAAATAGCCTGTTAACAAAACCAGAGTAGTGAAATAAGAAGGATCCAATTTCTACTATAATTGTAAAAGAAGGCTCTGCTGGAGATCCCTTGGCAGCCTTCACTTTCCTCCTAGATCAGGACAGGACTGGCATGGTGGAAAGGTGGCAGCGTGGTGACCAGGAGTGAGGGTATGGCCAGGCTGCAGCTCCCTTTGGCTGCACCATCTACGGTGGAACAACCCTGGGTGGGTCCCTTCCCTCTCAGGCCCCAGGTGCGGCATCATTGCAGAGTAAAAGAATCAACATAGGTAAGAAATGTGGCACAGCCAAGGTTTTCAGTGTGTGCCCATTTGCTGTTGATGGTGAAGAAGAGGCTTCGGCTGACTGTGGGATGGGTAGGGGAATGTCTGATGTTTGGGACCCACCTGAGTTCATCACGGAGCCACCCATGATCTGGGCTCAGCACTGACCAGAGTCTCCTTCACATAAATTCTCTTCTACTCCTAAGGAGACGCCTCCTCCACAGGTACAATGACCCCTTTTGCAGATGAAGCCGTAAGGCTCCTGGGGTGGTGCTGGTGTTCCAGAGAGGCACTAGCTCACACTCACAGATGGGGGCTCACTCTGAACCACAGTCTGAAACCTGATGTTGTCCCTAATTCCTTTGGCATTGACTTCCCCAGCTGCTATCTAGCTCCCTTCTTCCCCTTCCTTGGTCTTTGGACTTGACATCATTCTTCTGTATCAGACCTCAGTGTCTCTCAACAACAGTCTGGAGCATGATCCTCACTGTCCTGCTTTGAACAGCCCCCTCTCAGTTGAGAATAGAACCCTGCTAAGTATAAGCAGGAGAAGGGGGCAGCACTCAGGGCTCACCACAACCTTTGGAACTGAGAGCCAGGCACCCAAAGTCACATTTGGAAACTGGAAGAAATGCTCTCTGCATCCAGGCCCCCTGACTCCCAGTTTTCCTCCTGTCACAGCCTGTCCCTCATCCACTGACCTTGGAGGGCTCCATCTGTGGACTGTGTGTAAAAGTGAACAGATGACAGTTCCCTGGCAGGCATCTCCCAGGCTTGGACCCGGTGAGCCGATCAGATGGATGGGGATGTGCACAGCCTGCTTTGCACTTTTCCTTCTCTGCTCCTGGGGCAGTGCCAGGGTTGTGTAAATCAGGGATCCAGTGTCAGATTCTGCAGGAAGGAACCCCATCCCTTCTGAAATTTCCATACCTCTTCTGTATGCTCCTTTGTCACTCCTATCAAAGAAAGATTCATTCATTTTTTACAAAAAGGAAAGAAAGAAAGAACAGAGCAGGGAGAAGGATAAAGCACCTTGACATCTAGGCTAGTGGAGCAGGAACTCGAGCTCACAAGGAAGGAGACAGAAGATAGAACCTGCTTTTGCTCCAGATTCAGTGAGTCGCAGCTTGATCTGTTTCTCAGTTATTTGGTATTTGCAAAATGAGGATTCTAATTTCCAGATTTTACCTAACACAGAAGGGCAAGGGGAGAATGAATAAGTTTGTGTTTCTGCAGAGTACGTGTGTGCTAGAAGGTGCTGTGTCAATAACTGGAAGAAACAGAAATAATATGAGCTGGATATTTGGGACACATTGTATGTCTCTTGATGGTTCTGTGTTGACTCAAATTCTGCTTGAGCAGAGGAGTGTTTTGAATCCCTTGAAGCTGCAGTGAATGCCACCTTTCCACCAGGATGGGGCATATATTTCACATGTGGAGAGCCATTCTAGTTGATACTTCATTATTTTCTTCCCAGCTCTGTAGCAAGAACTCTGAGTGTGTCTGCACCCATTCATCACAGCCCACTGAGGCAGGGACAGTATCATTGCCATTGTTCACATCAGGGATGGATTCTGTAAGAGGTTCCATACCTCCTATGAGTCAGTATGGAGCTTCTGGGCTGGAGAGAGCCCTCCCTGCAGCATTCTGATGCTAGGTTCAGGCTTCTAAGGGTTGACCTGCCTCAACTCCCCCAACATAGAGTCAAGGGCGGTGTTGAAGATCTTCTCATCCTGGTCTCATCCTCATTTTCATGTACTTTATGAACTTCTGTTTCCAAACCCTCCCACATAAGAGCCACTCAGGAAATGTTCCTGGCTGTCATGCTTTATCTGTTCAGAGCAAATTATTTCAGGGGGGACCCTGTGTAATCCTGCAAGACAGATGCCTGGCATGTGGACCATGTACCCTTCCTTACAGTCTTCTGGGGCTTCCCTTCCTTGTCAGGCTGGGGTTTCCTTTGTGCAGTAGGAACCCTTCTGTATGTGCAGTATGTCAATTATTCTACTCCTGCAGTCTTTGAATCAGCCATGATTTTTTGGTAAGAAGTCTTTATTTACCTGTGTGGTTACTGGCTGTTACTAGCTTACTATTTAGTCTTCTCTGGAGGTGAAATACTCTAATTGTGTCAACTTTCTTTCAAAACCTACTTTCTAATCCCCTTAATCAATTTCACCTCCCAGATCCCCAGACCTTCTCATGAGGTCATGGGGCTCCAGTCACAGAGACACAGCTCTGGCCCCACGTGGGGCATTGTACTAGTGACTGGGGCTGAGTATCCTGGATCCTGGTGGTCTCCACCCTGATGCCCTGTGATGCCTGTGTCTGATCTGTGTGCCCACTCTGCAGTTTCTGCATGCTTTTCTTCTAACTGCAGCCCATGCTCTTTCTTCATGGGGCTTGGGCCACGGGAGCTGCTTAGCCTCATTGTTCAGAGAGCTGCAAGGGCCTGTGGGCGCATATCCTTCCTAGTGGTCAGTAACTCATGACTGACAGGCAGGAGTGGGAAAGTCCAGCTTCCTTGCTTCAAGGCAAGACAAATTCGGAGGGCTTGCTTGCCCTCCAGAGGCCTCTTCAAGATCAGGCTGAAGATCTCCCTACAAGATTGTTCCTGAGATTGAGCCTGGCTTGACTTTCCCCTTCCCCACCCTCCTTTCCTGCTCCCTCCCTGACCTCCCTTGGCGCCTCTCCCGTCATCAGTCACTTGCCTGTGGATTCTCATCGGAAGTCTGATTCTGGGAGAACCTGCCTAAGACACTTGGATCTTGTGACTTGCTCAAGGTCTCAGAGGCTATCTGAATAATCTCCTCCCTGTGGCCTGAGCTTGTTGTTCACCCATCCCTGTGCTGGGGTTTCTCACTTGAGCTAGTGCCTCTGCCAGTTCTAACTTCCTGAGACTACAGCTAAGACACATAAAGGGAAGATGCTCTGAGACAGCAGGACATCCTGCTGAGGGGTCAGAGTGCTTGGGGCCAAAAGGCTGCTCTGACACTTATTAACAAGAGTGTGCATGGGTGTGACTCTGTGTGTGTGTGTGTGTGTGTGTGAGAGAGAGAGAGAGAGAGAGAGAGAGAGAGAGAGAGATGATCCCTGGGCAGGTCACTTAGTCTGAAACTGAAATGGAGTCATCAACAGCATCTCTTCATCATGGATCAGCTGTGGGGGGGTTCCATGACATCATGCATAGAATGTCTTGGTATGGAGGTGACATTTGCATTCAATATACATTAACTGTCACGATGCATTAAACACTCTCTGCTGTCTGCGCTTTTTCTGTGTACAATGTAGCCCTAAAGGCAATTGGGAATGTTGTTAGGAGAATTGTATCCCAATCAGGGATTTAAGAGGACCTTCTCCTGTTCCCCTGGGGATGGGAACAGGCAGAGGGACTCAAACAGTAGGAGACAGTGTCCCTGACATTCTGAAAAGAGGACAGTAGAAGCTGGAAGACACACAGACTGCTTCTGAGGAGAAGGGAGGCAGGCACTCGAATTCATGGGCTGTGGGGTTCACAGAGCGGTGAGCACAAGAATCTGTCACCCGCCTCTGCAAAAGGTCAACGCGGATGGCTTCGGCTCCCCAGGGGACAAGAAGACATTCGTCTCTGGAGTCAATGGTAAAAACAAAAAAATAAAAATAAAAATAAAATAATTTACTCTTCCCTTTGGCTCATGCAGCAAGTGATGCTTTATAATTAGAGGATTTTTCCAGGGAAGGAACGTCAGGAGTTGATGGCACCAGTGCCTGCTTATTGGATGCCCACACATCAGACGAAAAAGGACAAAACACTTAGGGAAATAAGAAGCCATTTAGAAAATAAATCCCCGGGGAATCTTTTGAATTTCAATGGGCCGAGGACAACTGCCATTTTTCTATTATATTCTCCTTTCTTCACCTGCAGGCAGACCATACTTTTCCAGGGCTGGCTGAGCCTGGGCTGTTCATGAGCAGACACTCCTGAGCCGTCCTGGAAAAGGGAGATCTGAGTTTATGGGAAACAGCTCGCCTTCAGATAAGCAGGCAGTCAAGAGACACAGTTCACTCAGCAAACACTCGGTAACTTCAGCATGTCGTCTTAGATGCTAGAGTAGAAGATGATTCAAGCACAGCTTCTGCCTGGCAAGGGCTTGCAGTCTAGCAGTGGGGAAGAGACGAAGCCAAGAACATCCAAAGCAAAGGGAGAAACTGCTGTGAAGGAATGCAAAATGAGGGACTGGGGGTCAAAGAAAGGAAATTGTGTCTGGAGCCCAGGGTCAGGACCAGGCACAGCCCCCACCCTGTGGGGCGAGCCCAGGGCCTCCAGCCCAGCCAACTGGGGTGGGGTCCTGGGGTCATGCCGCTGGTCTCCCCACAAGAACCTTATTATGAAGAATTTGGTCTAAAAAGACGTTAAAATGGTACATACCTGCAGACATTGTGTTTTATTATATTTCACTTAGCTTTGTGATCAGTTTAAATATTTTCATGATTTAAAACATTTTCCCAGAAATAAAATTCTATTTTATTACCTCATGAATAGGGAAATTAAGGATTTAAATCAAGATGGCTTGCTTTGGCATCTAGATTCAATGAAGTGGTTAGTTAGTTGTCTTTGTGGCTTGGAGTGGAGAGAGCGTCTACGAAAAATTTTCTGATCAGCTCCTGAGCCATGCTGTCACAGCCAGATCTTTGTAGATGGAGCACAGGTGGCTGGTGATGATCCCTCCTCAAGTACACCTCTCTTTGTATCTTGGTGAAGCGCTCATCTAAACAACTTGTTATGTGCTTTCCTAGCCAACCATCTTCTACATGTTTAACAAAATCAATATATTTTTTATGATTGTCTCTAATTAGGTTCCTGATTTTAATTTCTAATTGGATATAGCATCGTTATGTTGCATTTTTTAAGAATAAATCATTTGTTTCACTAATACATTCATATTCTTAATATGTTTCACTTCTTGCAAAAATATTAGGTTGATTTATTAAACTGTGCTTAATAGATTGGGTTATATTATTAATCATGCAATAGTTTTATGTTAAAATAAAAATTAGTAGCTAATTTAGAGAAACCTGAAAACTTTCAGACTCTGCTTCCCCATTGATTGTGGAGGCAACTGCATAGTGCTTGATTTTTTCTTTCCTCTTGACCATATGGATTTTCATTTACTCTTTCTGAATATACTTCTGTTTGCATGGATTCAAACTTGCTTCTAAGCTTTCCTTCTGATTAATACTGAGAGCAGAAACCAACAGGACTTCCTGTTCACGTGTTAAGCAGTATTGGGACCAAGCAGAAACAAACCTCCCAAGAAGCAAACAGAGCAGGAAGTTGGGAGAGTGCTCCACAGAGTCCCTCTTCTTGGAACGTAAGGCTCAACTCAAGAGTCTTCTCACCAACACCTCATTTAAGACCCTCCCTTTGCTGTGCCCTTTAATCCTAAACTCTGTTGTCAGACTCTGCCAGTTCCAATCAATTCCTCACTTTTCAAGACTTGCCTTAACAATCACTGAGCTCAGGCCCTGAAACCAATGCATAGGGTCCCCTGACTTTGCCCTTCTGAGAACTACTAATACCATCAAGGTGGAGGTTTTTCTTTTTGCAGTAGGTCTTTTTCTGGGGTCCTTTCAAGGAGTGGAGTGGACAGTATCCGGACGACGACAACTTTTCTCCAGGCTGTAACCTACATTCCAGTTGATTCCCAGCCTTGGAAGCACATTTGATTCACATTAGTAGTTTTAACAAATCCTGATACCCAGGCTCTTCCCCAGAACAATTAAGTCAGAAATTCAAGGTTTTGTGGGTGGGGGGTGGGGTGGTGGTGGGCCTTGGCATTTGTATTTGTAAAGCTCATTTGTGAATCTTATGTGCCTCCAAGGTTGAGAACCACAGATGGAGAAGGTGGACATTCGTCACTCAATTATGTAATCACTCACTTTTAACAAATGTTTTTTGACTGCCTTATCCATGGCAGGCACTTCTTGGCACTGGAAGTAAAATATGTACAAGACTGGCTGGTCCCTGTACTCAAGGAACTTATGTTCCACTGGGGGAAGAAAGAAAGGAATCCCAAGATGACGCCAAGTGTTGTGAGACCATAAAGTCAGGGAGATGTGCAGGTGCAGTTCCTGGGGATGTCGGGGAGTGTCCCACTGCATGGGGGACCTGCCACCTGAAACCCCAGGATGGGAAGGAGTAGCTGTGGGAGCATCCAGGAGAGAACACACCAGGTAGAAGGAAGGGCAGGAGTTCAGACCCTAAGTCCGAGTGGCCTGGGATTATTTGAAGAACAGAAAGCAGGTCAGTGCAGCCAGACCGCATTGGGACTAGAAGAGAGTGGCCTCAAACCAAGCTGGAGAGTGAGTGCTGGCGGCTGATGCTGAGCTTTGCAGGCCGTGGTCAGCGTTTGAATGCTCCTGTGAGCACACAGGGAGCCTTGGCTGGGGTGTGGGCTCAGGGAAGGCCCTCAACAGGCAGGGCAGGCTGATCTGACCTATCCAACAATACCACCCTGGGCTGGGCTGCTGCTGAGAGAATGGCCTGCAGGGAGCAGGGCAGGACCTAGGCAAGCGGTCCAGAGATGACTACACAGTCCAAGAGTGAGGTGATGGTAATGGACTGAGGGTGGGGAGAACAGGACATATCTGGCACGGGTCAGAGGCAGAGCCAGGAGAACTTTCTGGTGGGTGAAGGAGGGCTGGAGGGAAAGGGGGCCACCAAGAGTGGCTCCACGGTGTGTGGCAGAAGCTGCCCGGTGCCACCTGTGGCTCTGGCCATCAGCCCTGGGGCAGAGGGAACTGTGGCATGGCGGGCAGAGATCAATGGAGGTGGAGCAGGAGTTCCAGTGGCTGTTCCATGGCAGAAGAATGAGGCAGGGGTTGGAGCCAGAGATTGGGATCTGGGAGATCTGGGAGTCTTTGGCATTTGGACCCATTGACAGATGTACAGCTTGATGACATTGCTTGGTTTAGGAGTAAAGAGAGAACAGAAAACGGCCTGGCCAGGTGCTGCAACACAGCCACATGTTCCTTGGGAGACAGTGAAGTAGAGATCCTCAAAGGAGACGGAAAGCCAATGGCCATAGAGCAGGATATGGAGGGGGTGCCGTCCTAACAACCAGGGGCCAGACATGTAGGACACCTGAACACCTTAAGGCAGAGAGGAGGCCCTGCACTACAGGGATACAGCCAGCCCCGGCCTCGCCCAGCCCCACCAGCTGCCCCACACCTCAAGGTCATATCTCCCTAGTGACGGAGCCGCCCTGAGGGCTTGGAAGAGGTCACTGGGGGCCTGGGGGCCTGGACTAAAGGGAGTTCTGTACAGGGGTATGGCTGGAGGACAAGTGGAGGGAGTGAGCAGGGAACAGCCTCTCTCTGAAATGAAACGAGGGCATCTCCCGAGTGTTGCCAGAGCCATGCCCTATATAAAAGCAATGATTCCCACCTCGACTGCCCTTGGAAAGTGGGTTAGGCACTGGACTCTTTTCAAGATAAATCGGGAGTGAGGCTTGGCGGAGAGGATCTGGATCAGCAGATAAACGGGAGGTAGCAGAGGAAGTTGGGAATGAGCACATGAGTGAGGGGTCCAAGGGAGTGCCTGCAGAGCAGTGCCTGGTGCCGGTCGGGAGGGGCAGGAGTGTGTGTGAGTGAGGGAGTGAGTGTGTATATGTGAATGTATGCATGTGAGTGCATGCAAGTATGTGAGTGTGTGAGTGTATGTGTGAGTGCATGCAAGCATTGTGTGTGTGTATGTGTGAGTGTATGCATGTAAGTGCATGCAAGCATGTGAGTGCCTGTCTGTGCATGTGGGAGTGTGTGTGTGTGTGTGTGTTTTGTGAGTGTGTGTGTCTGTGTGTGCAGGCAGCAGCAGTGGTGAATGGCTGAGCTGGCAGGAAGGCGCTCTTTGGCACCAGGCTGCAGGCTCTGCCATGGGTCTACCCAGGCCATCATTTTTACTGACATGAGTCAAGAGTCTCATATTTAGGCACAAGCACAAATTCTGGGCATGGAGGAACCAGAATGCATTGCTGATTTTTACTATAAGCTTCAAAAATAAAAATCCTCTTGAGAAGCCAGGGGTCAGCACCAAATTGAGAAGAAGAAATTGACCAGGAGAAGCCTGGCTGCTCTTTTGAAAGGGACACAAAAAGGAGAGGCCCTGTGAAGAGGACAGTGGACACAAGAAGGATGTCTGGCTGTGCACCGTGGGGAGGGGGCACGACCTGGAGGGTTCAGCGCCAAACGGGGGCAGTAAGGAGAGCAGGACTAGGCATTCACACATGCGAGTATTCGGGGTGCAGATAAGTCCTAGGAGCCTCTGGCGGAAACGGCACTGCTGGTGTCTGTCAGGAAGAGCCCAGAGCTCCTGGGGAAGCCCTGCCAGTGCCCAGCAAGGCTGCAGGACCAGCCCTCAGCAGCCAGAGCAGTGGCCCTGGTGCTGAGTGGGTTACCATCTGCACTTGGGCCCTTTCCACTCAGAGACTGGGACCTGCCATGCGCTACGTCCACCGTGCCCCTTTGTGTTGGACATGCATGTTGTTGGCAGTGCTTAATGCATACAGAAAGCTCTCTACAGCATGTTCAAGTGCATTCTGCCAAGGATCTCATTACTTTTGCTTCAGCAGAAGCTACATGGCCTTGGAACACCATCAGGAGCTCAAGGGGGACATTTTTCAGCAGCTGATGAGCTGGACTGCCACCCACCTTCCTCTGAGGAATATCAGCCTCATAACAGTGTAACTGACATTTCTGTCTAGTTAATTCCCATTAAAAGCATCACAAACCACAATGAAAATAAATAAAAGGTCTGATTTATCCAATTAAAAACATACTGAGATCTGGGGTATCTCCCAGGAAATGTCATAGAAAGATGAAAGCTTACTACTTCCTATCAGACACACCCCACCAGTGGAAAGGCAAGTAAGATGGGTAATAAGAGGAATACCAGATGACTAGGAAATGCTAACATGTTCACTAAACAAGGTGATTATGGAATTCCAAAGGCCCAAGTGTGTGTGCTGCAGAAACAGCGAGTGGGTAGGGCTTTCCTAAGCCCGGTAGCAGGTATGGAAATGTACTAGGTTTCAAAGGTCTCAAAAGCACAGGGAATAGGACACTGAAAGTGCAGGTAACAAAAGAAAAACCAGGGAAATGAAACTTCACCAGAATTAAATACTTTTGTGCATCAAAGGACACTATTGACAAAGTGACAAGGCAGCCAAGCCATGAAATGGGAGACAATATTTGCAAATTATATATCTGATAAAGGGTTAATATTTAAAATAGGCCTGGCGCGGTGGTTCATGCCTGTAATCCCAGCACTTTGGGAGGCTGAGGCAGGTGGATCACCTGAGGTCAAGCACTTGAGACCAGCCTAGCCAACATGGTGAAATCCCATCTCTACTAAAAATAAAAAAATTAACCCGGCATGGTGGTGTGTGCCTGTAATGCCAGCTACTCAGGAGGCTGAGGCAGGAGAATTTCTTGAACCCTGGAGGTGGAGGTTGCAGTCAGCTGAGATTGCGCCACTGCTCTCCAGCCTGGGCAACAGAGCGAGACTCTGTCTAAATATATATATATATTTAGGGATATGGCTTATATATATATATATAATATATATAAATATATGTATTTTATATATGTATATTTAAAATATATAAAGGGCTCCTATGACTCAACAGCAATGAACAGCCTGATTTAAATATGGCAAATGTAGACGTTTCTTCATTGATGATAACCAAATGGCCAATACGTTTGTGTGTTCAACATCATTAATAATCAGGAAAATGCAAACCAAAACCACAATGAGATACCAATTCACAGTCACTAGGATGGCTATTACAAACAAAACAAAACAGAAAATCACACATGTGATTGAGGATGTGAAGTTGAAACTGGAACCCTTGTGCAGTGCTGGAGGGAACGTCAAACCGCTGTGGTAAATGGTATGACCATCCTTCAAAAAATTAAAAATAGAATCACCATATGATCCAGCAATTCCACTCCGGGGTATCTACCCCAAATAACTGGAATCTGAGACTTTAACAGATATTTGCACACCCATAATCACAGCAGCATTATTCATAGTAGCAAAAGGTAGACGCAAACCAATTGCCCATCAGCAGCTGAACAGATATGCAAAATGTGGTGAATACATCAAATAGAATATATTCCGCCTTACAAAGGAATAAAGTACTGATGTGCTATGACGCATGGTGAACCTGGAAGACATTATACTAAGTGAAGTAAGCGAGACAAAAAAGGTCAAATACTGTGTGGTTCCACTTAGGTGAGGTCCCTGGAGTTTTCAAATTCATGGAGAGAAAGTAGAAGGGTGAGTGCAGGAGCTGGGGGGAGCATGGAGATAGGAAGTGACTGTTTAATGGGTATGAAGCTTCAGTTTGGGAATATGAAAATGTTCTTGAGATGGACATTGGTGATGGTTGAACACTAATGTGAATGTACTTAATGTCACTCAGCCGTGCACTTAAAAGTGACTAGAATTGTAACGTTTATGTTATGTGTATTTCATCACAATAAAAAATAACATAGAAGTTGCAGAACTTCAAATGTGTGAAAAAATGTGATGTAGGTGAGGTTTTTTTCCTTGTGAAGTGATGTGTTTTCCCTTTTGAAGTTGCATTTGCAGCTGGGAGATGAACCAGTCCCCACCCGCTTTTCCGGGTGCTCGGGGTCCCACCTGCCAGTCCACACTGAATTGTGATTGGCTTCATGTGCAGCCCTTACCTGGGGCGGTTATGTTTTAAATTAGCACAAAGAAAAATGAAAATGAATAAGCTGGGGGAAGACTCCCTTGCTGACTGTGAGTGGTCGCTGACAGGAACTGCCCCTCGGCCCCACAGGACTGTCAGAGGCCACAGGCTGGAGGCATGTTCTGGGTGCCAGCTGTCCCAGGAGTGGCCTCTTGCTCTGGAGACACCTCTGGCTTTTACTTTTGTTTTATTACCCTCTGCGCACCCCCACACCCGCCCTATGAGCTGAGGTGCAGTCTCCAGCCCACAGCCTTATCTCTACCCCCATCTTGAGGCGGAGCAGTTCTAGCAGTCACCCTGTCCCCAGGCTTTGACTCTGCTTTGAGCCCACTTCTTCCATGTTTGCTAAAGCTTGCGGCTCATCGGACCTGATGCCACAGCCTAAGGCCTCAGACTGTAACCGAGTACCCCATTTTCCTAAAAGTCATCTTTACCTTTTCTCTTTTTCCCTGTGTGTTCACTTCTTACTTAGCTCTTTAGGAATGCACCTATAACCGTTCCCTTCTCTCCACCAGGCACTCCCTGCACTGCAAGCTTATCTCTCTGTATGTTTGCTTGGAAATTCAGAGGACCAAATGTTGAACCAAACCAGGAACCCTCTGGGTTTCACCCCACCAGGAGATTGCCTCGAGACAATCGTCAACTTACAATCTAGCTCTGCCCACGACAGCACCAGCCAGACCACCCGATGGATAAGACATTGAAATAAGTCATGCAGACCCCGCATCTCCTCCCCAGTCCCCTGCATGCCGTTCATGCCAAGTTCCCCTTTAAAGCCCCTGCTTTCTGCTTCTACAGGTGAAGCTGTTCCCTTAAGGCAGAAGCCTGTATCCTCTTCCCCTTAGCCAAGCTCTGGAATGGTCACTTTCTCTCTATCTGACCTCTCTCTTGTTAACTGGACTCTGTAAGCAGTGAGCAGCAGGCCTTGCCTTCAGTCCAAGCCCCTTGCAATCCACTGCTCCAGGTATGGTGACCCTAATGGGCTTCTGAAGCAGCATGAGTGACAGGAGAATTTGGAGACAAGGACAACTCCTTTCCTCCCTTCAGACCCACCCAGGTGGAAAACAACTCATTTTCCCCGTTGCAACAGCGATCAGCATCGGAGTGTGTGCCTGTGAAGGCAGGGGGCTCAGGGCAAACAGGCAGCCCGAGGGGCTCTGCTACCAGGTGCAGGGTGCATGACGCCTTCCAGCTTCACCACAGAAGCCAGCCTGTAGTCTCCCACCTCATGGCAGGTGGAGGTGGCCCACTATTTAGGGAGCAACTTCCAGATCTGAAGTTCCTGTTGAGTTCACCTTGCAGGAAAGGAAGGAGCCCTGTGGAGAGGTCAGTGGTGTAACCTTTGCTGTGTCAGACACAGGTTGAGGTCAATGGGGAAGGAGTGTGTTCACACAGGTCCAAGGTAAGTTGTCCCCTAAACTGTACCTTCCAGGCAAGAAGGAGCCAATTATCTGGAGAAGAGAGTGATGTTAATTAGGTAATATTTGACTTGAATGAGAAGAGTGGAGATGAGAGGTTTGGGGTAAGAGGTGAGAGGAGGGCTGAAGTCAAGGGCAGCAGCTTGGATGGAAAGACAGGAAGTGAATGTGAGGGCTGCTGGGACAAGGAGGAGAGGCAGCCTGCCTGAGTGGAGGACACCTGGCCCTGGGGGGTCCTGGCAATTGAGACTCATCTCCCACAAAGCCGCTTCCTGAGCTAGGAAGGGCTGGCCTCCTCAAGGTCATTCTTGCTACAGGGGCAAAGGGATTCGTGTGGGACTTAATGTTGTTCTTGTTAATCCTTCCAGATAGAGCAAAACCCAAAATAAAAAGACCAACAATACATGTGGCAGAAAATCCCCTCTTGGGAGTCACAGTGTATGGAAATCCACATGGAAAATGCATGACCAAATAGCAGTTGTCCTCCCTAGGGTTTAGTCATTTAAAGACAATTTAGTTGAGTTCCCTGCAAGAAGTTCCTTCTTTTTCACTGCAGCTGAAAACATGAACTTGACAATGTGATGTGACGCCAGGGGCAGCTCGCAGTTACTCTCAAGTGCGTGCCCACTCCCTCCTCGACATCGGAGTATGCTGCTTCACTGCTTTCCCGCTGCGCAGGCTAGAGAGGTCAGCACAGACAGCACTGATGGTGCAGGGCACGGCAGGGCTCTGGAAGCCCCACCACTGCCTCAGGGGCCTGATGAGAGAGCCTAGTGCAGAATGGGAGACCATCAATTGTTGGGAAGTGGAGCCGCTAGAGGCCAGGACTCTCAGTGGCTGAAGGCCTCTCTCTTCCTTTCATACCACTCCTGGGGCTGGTGGTCCAGGGCTCTTGCATCCTGGAGGCCATGAGAACTGTGAGGTCCACAAAGAGGCTGCTGTGGCCAAATGCATTATCATGCGAGGGAATGGGCTGGATAAAGGGATCATTGAGAGCAGTGCCAGCCCAAGACCAAGGCTGGGGGAGTGGGTGTGTGCCACCATTCAAGTCCCAGAAAACAACCTGTTCTTAGGGAAGCAAGAGTCTTAGTAGGGGTCTCTGACACCCACTGGGCCACCTTCTTGGTGTCACTGTGTTTGGTATATTTCTCCAGACAGGCAGGTCAGCTCAGTGGGGGCACAGAAAGCTGTGCCAGTGAGCATCCCACTCAGTTCAGGGAGGGCCTTGCCTGCTGCCTTGGCATTTGAGCAGCTCCATGTCCACCTTGCCACAGTTAGCCACAAAGTCTTCTGGAGGGCAGGATGGTGTAGACTGTCGTCCCGAGCCTCTCCATGATGCCAACATTGCTAAAGTTGCTCGAGGGCAGGGAGGACAAGTGGCTCATGGTGCAGGAGGTGTTGCTGAGTCTGGTGGCAGCTCTGCTCTCATTCCTGACTCCCACGACAAACACAGACTTCACAGAAGTGGCAAACACGCTGACCCTGCGGCTCCACCATTCAAGGGAGCCCAGCTTCTCTAAGGCACTGACAGCTCTAGTAGTCTCCGCTGCTCATTACCGTTGCATGCCGCAGGCGGGGGATGGGGAGTTGGGAGGGGGGCTGCTCATAGAGGATGGAGACAGGTCCTTAATCACAGGCTTCCTGCCCTCCGCTTGAAGGAGCTCTTGAACTTGCCTTGGGTAGGACTGCACTAGAGCATGCAGACCATGTAGTTAAAGTCTATGCCGGGGTCCTTGATAGCTCTACTGTCCACTTTGTCAGTGCTGGAGGCAGCCCTGAAGAGCAGGTGCCCAATCTGAGCCCCACATGCTACAGCCATCTTTCCAGTCTTGGGGAGCTCTAAACTTCCCTCCTGTCTGGTCTACACTGCAGTGGTCTTCTAGAAAACAAAAAGAAGGGGTGGTTGTCTTTTGGGTGCCTGGAAACTGCTGCTTCAGCTCAGGAGAAGAAATCCTCCCCCTTTCACACCCAGCCCAGATGAGGAACACCCAGTCTGGCTACATTCTTGGGAGTGGGTAGGAAGAGGGAAGGGGGCCACTAGCAATCAGAGTAAGATATGAGTTTGTGTCAGTAATATTTCAGCTCACTAGGTGTATATTAAGTCCTTTGAGTGGGCAAGAATTATTAGTAATGACCTACCTAACAGGACCTCAGCCCCAGGAAGCCCAGCCTCCGGTCCTATTAGGTAGCTGAGTACGGACCAGCCCCCCTGGGGGCAGGGGTCTCAGATGTGGGCGGTGATGTCCACTTTGGCTGTTGAAACACTGGCCACCCAGTGAAGATGTGGCCAACATGGCTAAAGAAATGGAAAACCTGGGCTCAAATGTAACCTGGCCTTTACACTTTTCCAGGTTTCCTTTGGATGCAGCAGAACCACTTGTTGCTTTGTACACATTGCCGTCAGTGCCGAGACACAGCAGGGACCCCTCTTAGGGGGGGCCATCCCCCAGCTCCTAAGTGCGGAAATAAAGGAAAATCTTGAGTGCCTTCAAGGGAAATTCCAGACACCCAGCTAGCTCTGACAAGTAAATGAGCAACTTGATAAGCAAGAAGGCAACAGTAGCTTAAAACAATAGCCAAGGAAGTTAAAGTCACAGGGGATACCATGTTAACATATGACCCTGAGTTGTTTTTCAGAAAACCACACCCCCCAACAAATGGACCTGCTGGTACGTGGACCCCATATAAGGGGGACTGAGGAGTGAGGTCTGCCTGCCTTTCCTTGCTCTCAGTTTCTTCTTGAGGAGCCTGGAGGTCATGCCCACAGGCCAGAGCTAACACTCTTTTCTGCTGACCCCCAGTCTAGACAAATGTTCCTTCCTTAACCTATCGCAAATCAGAAAATCTTTAACTCTACCTACAACCTGTGGACCCCCACTTGGAGATGTTCTGCCTTTTTTGGTCATTGATTGATGACTTGGCCTGTGACCTCTGCCTCCCCTCCTTTAAAAACACTTAACTGCAAGGGCAGCTTTGGTCTCAAGCCTGAGCTGCCTGATTCTCCTTGCGTGGTGTTCTGCCATAAATGCCTGGGTTTCTGTTGCTGCAGTCCTGATGTCAGTGTTTGGTTTTGCTGCACAGGGCAAGAGGACCTGAGTTTGGTTTGGTGACAGTACATATGGACCCTTAGCCTCTGTCATTTGTATACCCGCCTGTCTCTGTGGGGAGTCGTGAGCTGTGGAGGGCAGGAGCATCTCTCCAAACCTGGCTCAGCAATGTTTGCTGACTGGCTAAATGCTGTGTCCACTGGTAACTCTAGGACCCCCTTCAGTTAACTCACAATGCTATGATACAGATGGAACATGCTGCCTTTCTACGAGTAGTTGCTCATGCTTATTAGCAAGGTATTATGTAAGTATCAACTGTTGTTACTCCTCTTCTGGATGATTACTAATTTCTGCATTTCTCTCCCTGGATCCTTTGTTTCCTTGGGCGGCATCCTTAATCTGTGGTAGCCCCAGGCCCAGGCTGCCTGCTGGGGGCTTGAGGATCCCTCCTGGGAGCCTCCTTTCTAAATACTGCCTTTCATTGCCCATCTAGCAAGGTCTCCAGGTGCAAAGGCTGCTTCCAGTCATTTCCAGATGAGCTGTAGAGGGAAACACGCCCCCAAGGAGTAGCCTGCTAGAAGGCAGATAGCCTGCTTGCCACTAGAATCCCCTGGGTCTAGGAATCTGCATTTGAAAGGGGAACTGTGATTTCAGTGGAGGCAGCCTTAGCCTGGGGTGCATTTGGAAATCCTGGGCTACTGCAAAGACATGCCTTACAGTCTAAGTTTCTCATAGGGAAAAATGTGACTTGATGCCTTTTCTTCACTTTACAAATACTTCTTGAAGTGACTTTGTGTGCTGTGGCTGATGGAATTCTAAGTTGGCACCAAGAGTCCTGCTCATCTTCCCTCAGTCACTTAATGAAACATGAATTGAGGTTGGGCCATGAAGGAATTCCGCAGAAGTAATGAAGGTCTCAGGTGAGTTGGTTGTAAGATGGGGAGATTACCCAGCAGGCCTGACCTGGCCACAGGAACCCTTTCAATCTGTCTGCAGGTCACAGCCAGGAAGGTCAGGTTGTAGCTTGAAGTGAATTCAGCAGGGGTGGGGTTCTCCACTGGAGATGGATGGCCCACATGGCAGGAAGCTGGGCGTGGTCTCTAGAAGCCAAGAGTGGTCACTGGGATCAGCTGGAAAACAGCTCAGTCCTGGAGCTGCAAGGCTGAATTCAGCTGAGAACTCAATGACCCTGGAGGCAGATTCCTCCCAGACAGGCCGGCTGACACCTTGCAAGACCCCAAGCAGAAAATCCAGCCATCTGCCCAACCTCTGACCAACAGAAATGGGAACTATTAAATGCATGTTGTTTTGAGCTACTTGATTTGTGGTAGTTTGTTATGCAGCAAGGGTAAACGGTTGCAGTTGTCACTCACAGGGTTCTGACCCGCTGGCAATCAACAGCTCATTCTACCTGAAAGGCCTGGAAAGTCTACGGGAAAAGAGAGACCAGCAAAAAATGATTTCAAGGTTTTGTGGAAATTGCTGTAACAGAGACAGCGCAATGGGCATGAGGACTGAATTAGGTGCTTAGAAAACGGAATCAAAAGGAAACAGCCAAGGCTACTGATGAACATTTTGGCAGCTTAATACAGCACTTAACTGCCCAGTGTAGCACCCATACTGCAGTGTGGAATTTAGGTTCCTGTACTTGCTCTTCTTACAAGCATAGACTTCAGTATGTGACAAAGGAAACAGATGGAACTTTCTAGGAAGTTCTATCACATCCAGGCCTCATGCTCTAGAAAGATTGCTGTATGTTGAGCAAGTATAGCTTTGTTCCTCCAAGTAAAGAAGCAGTTTACCTGCCATACAGCAGTTAAAATGGCTCCCAAATGTACCTGGTCGGCAAACGGTAAGCCAGCCGTTATTGACATTATGTTTGCATCACACTTCTAATTACAACTGCTTTCCCAAACCATCCCACACACGTGTGATCCCTTTCATGTTTATAAATTCCTTGAGAGGAAGTGACTATTGAAAGCTGCATTTGTAGTTGTGGACTGGAGGATCAGCTCAATTCACTCACCCAAGATTGCACAGCTGCTCTGGTAGCGAAATGGGCTCAAGTGTAGGGACTCTGGCATCACCCCCTAATGCTCTCTTCTCTGGTCAGCCAGTACCTCCTGGATAGAACACCTTCCCCAGCTTCCCTTGTGTTCCACGCCTCTCACCAGCCCCCATTAGTCCAGGCAAGACAGAAGATTTCTTCATTAACGTGCCATGAATACACAGCATATGGACACAGAGGCAGCCGAGGCTGTGTCAGTGCACACAGTCATTACTTTAGCTCCTAGCAGATGGAAGAGGCCCCTGCCTTCCCACACAGAACAAGAGCTGCCCACAGGCACCAGGCGTATTGATGCAGGGCCTGATTACGAGGGTGCCCTGCCACGTTCACTGCGATTGAGGCACTCAGCGTTAGTGTATGATTGGTTTTCATGGCGAACAATTGCCAGCTGGTTTCACAAAGTCAGCTCTGTGACTTGCTCAAGATTGGCATGAAAAAGAGAAAAGATGAGAAATACATTGCTCTGATTCACAGAAGGGACTCTTTGACCTAAAATATGGGTGTGGGTGGAGGAGATAGGCAGCCAATGAGAGGGTGTTTGCAATGCTAGAGTGACAATGGGAAGAATAGACATTTAGAACTTAGTTATTTTCCATACCCTCTTCCTTCATGGATGGTAATGAGCTTCAGAATACTCATGATTGGGTACCTTAAAAGCAGAGCTTTTGGTACCCAGATGGGAATTTTCATCTATTGAGTCCTTGCCTTCAAAATGAATGCTGTTTAGCATGTCTCTAAACTTTCATAGAAAACAGCTTTCAATGACCATATTACTAGCACCTGTGAATTTTCAGGGAGACACTTTGGTCCCAGTTTGGAAAAAGGCGGGTGGCATAGTGGGTCTTCTTTTAGATGAGGAGCCCTGAATGTTTCCAGTGAGGGATACTATGCAGTCTGGGGAGAAGAATGCCAATAGCAGGTGCAATAGGAAGAGATTGGTGAGACATCATATAGGGTTCACAGTCAAATTCATCTCTGGGGACCCCACACAGCATAAGTGACATCAAAGACTTCACTGAGTCCCTCCCCAGTGAAGTGTGGAAAGTTTGAGCGATTTAAACAACTCCTCAGTAGTGAGCACCACACCGGCCAGATGGTTCCCACATTGGGGGCATGGGAGCCTTTCCTGATGGGGAGAGACAATGCATTTTCTTTTTTTATAATAATGTTCTTTCTGTTGTCAGCTAGCTCATTGAACAGACCACAAGTTTAACACTTAACGGAAGTGAGGTTGAATCCTGGTGGTCTGTACATGACCCTGGGGCGATGGCTAATCTTTTCCTCTCTTAGTTTCTACATCCACAAAGCAGGGACACTAATTTAAAGGTTGTTATGAGAATAATCAGGGTGGCCACCAAGCCTGGAACCACACAATGCATGGTTTATTGATACTATATTATAGTAGATGATAAATAATAGTATCTCTTTTCAGACTTTATGGTCACACTACACTCTTTTTGGTTAAGTGAGTAGAGAAACAAAAATCACCATGAATCAGTTTTAATTATAAATGGCATTGTGTCCAAAGCATTAGTGAAGAGGCTCAGCCTCTGCAGATGTTTTCTGGGGCTAAGGTCAGGGACCTACACCCACTAACTAGCAAATGGCCTGGTCTTTCTCCAGAGTCTGAGGTCTTAGCCTCCCATCTGAGCTGTGTAAAGGCTTGAGAGAAAGGGGTGTGCAGCCTCCTGGTCCCCAACAGCCACACATACCCCAGGCACAAAGGACAATTTGCCCTAACTGTTATGTGACACCAGCATTTCTTGTCTCCCCAGCTAAGTCCAGAACCACATGTCAGCTCTCCTCTTACTAAACTACTCTGACATCTTTCAACAGCACAGCTGAGGAGCAGCCAACTCTGTACCATGGGGCCTGCAGGAAAGCCTCTGAGCTGCTGTGGCAGATTGGATTCTCCTAAGCTGGCTGCACCAGCTTTTATCCCACGCCCTGCTCTGTGCATGGCATGATGCTCACACTCCTCCCTTTGAATCTGGGTGGGACCACAACTACCAGGAAGTGAGGCTGTGGAACCTCCAAGGCAAAATCCTAAGAGGTGGTATAGCATCTGCCTGGACACTTGCATACTCAATCATGGAGCCACCACCGTGCAGTGAGGAGGCCGAGCAGCCACATGGAGAGGTCACGTGCAGGTGCTCAAGACAGCCTCAGCCAGTATCCAGCTTTTTTCAACCACCAGGCGGGTGAGGGGGCCAGCCATGGGGTGAGGGGGCCAGCTGTCAGGTGATTTCATCCCCAGCCTTCGAGCTGTCCCGGCTGATATGATGTGGAAGCAAACAGACTCATCACACCCTGTGCACATTGCAGATTGGTGAGCAACATGAATGTGTTAACCTCTGCTAAGTTTTGAGGAGGCGTGTTCTTCAGCAACATGGCTGGGACACCTGCCCTTGATAAGGTACTGCCAATTATGAACCACACAGACATCAGCCTTCACTGATCTTCGGAGGACAGTGCCAGGTATGCAGAAGATGCCCACTTACTGTTTGTTGAATGAATGAACAAATAAACTCATGCATGGCAGCTGCCCATTCTAGCCACATGCACACACATATGTATCACATCCTGTCTCCCAGACTTCTCCCATCTTGTAGCAATGGCTGTGGTTCAGAGAGGACAGGGAGTAGCTATTCCAAGTAAGTTGGCTTACAGAATAATGATGACTATTACTAAACATATTATTAAGAATAATGATGGACTATTACTAAACACATTGTTATCTAATAAAAAAATTGTGACACCTTAGAAGACATTACTGTACTGCTTTTTAAAGACACACTTTGTAGGTTTGGGGAAAAAATGTGGGTTTTGGGAGTAACTAGAGAAGGAGTAAAATCAGAAGCTGGTGGTCAGCTGCTTCACCTCTGTCCTTCTAGCCACCTTCTCTATAAAACACAGAGGGATGTGGGTGAAGGTTTGAACATAGCTCTGGCATAAGATAACTTCTCAGAAAATGGTACAGACTATTTTTTGAAGTATAGGTGTTTTCAGTGAGAACTGAGTGTAGCTCACATTCTTGATGATAGTAAGGACAGATAGAGACAGCATTTTTGCCTCAGCAGTTCTCTTGTGATACCATTGCCCAAGGAGCACCAGAGGCTTTCTGCTGTCTGACAGAAGTTGTTTCTGTTGGATCATGGGGGTAAATCAGGGCTCTCTGTTCTTATGGTGATTTCATCCCAAATGTGTGTGGCTCAGAATCTTTCTGTCCACTAACTGGCTCCCAAACAGCATTTTCTTCCTGCATGTAGGCAATACTTATTTATAAGTTCTGTCCTGCTTGCTCCCGTCTAACTTGGGATTGGTAAAGAGTCTCTTGTTGATATATTCTGCTGGTATTGTTTTATCAAAATATCATTATTATGTATTCAAAGTAAAGAGTGGTTTTGAAAATAAAAAACAAAAAGGAAAAATGGCCAACTGAATAATCTTGGATGGTTGGTTTTCAAGGTGTGGTGATGGTGAGTACATCCTGTATCAGAATGTTAAAAGCCTCAGTTGACGGACTGAGAGTTGTGCATTCATGCCAAGGACTGACTCTCCTCTGAGACTATGCCAAATCAGTGGCTTCAATTCCAAATAGAGAAGAGATTTGGGAATTGGCACCTCACGATGTGCAACACCAAATGACCTCTGTAGCAATTTAAGTCAAAACTCCTCATATATGATGGAAAAATCCTTTGGTTCAAATGTTGAATGAAAAGGAGTACAAAAGACATATGCAATATAAATGCAAATGATGCCTGGAAAAAAACAGATGGTTAGGAAGGTAACAGGAAGATTGAAAGTGGATCAGCATGTAACTGGTTGTTTTGGATAGTGAAACACCGGTGGCTAAATCTATTTTCTTACTTTGTTTGCCTGTTGTCATTTTTGTTGTTGCTTTCCTTATCTGAGCAGAAGTCAGATCTCTCTCATGTTACATCAGGCTGCTCACACTCTTAAACTTATACTGGGGAATGGCTACATCCCACAATCGCCTGTGCTTGTTTTGCCTTAGTTCTTGATGTCTGGATATGTCATAGACATTTCTTCGTTGCTGGAAAACATGTTACTCTCAGTCTAACAATGACTACTTCAAACGGCAGGACTGGAGGAGTGCGAGATGATTCTACAAGGCTTCCATGGTGAAGTGCTTGTCTCGTGACCTCATGGTCTCTTCTTATGAAATGAGCTCACCTCTGCAATAAGAGCCACTTCCAGGCTCTGAATTTCCCTCTAGCTCTAGAGATTATACATAACCCACATAATCAGCAGTTGCTTTATAAATCTTGCAGCAGGACTTTGGCCAAAAGCAATAAAAGTCTCACATAAAAAAGTAACAAACGTTCAGAGGGAAGGGGATCCTTATTTTTACTACAATCATTAGAAGAAGTTGGATGAAAAGGAATAAGTGAGGCTTGGGTGAGGATGGGACAGAGGCCAATGCATCCATGTTGGGTGAGAGCCTCAGCTTGGGACCCCATCATCTGGCAAGGAGCCCTGTCCTTTCAGGGAAATGGACAGAGATGACACAAAACACACTGAAGAGGCTGCCTGGGCTCCACCTGCAAGGATGTAATTGGCCACCTCCTATGATCACTGCATTTATCCACACCTCAGCAACTGGAAAACCACCTTGAAAACACTCTTTGAACGGAGTTTCCATGTCAATGACACCACAGAGGCAGACATCAAAGACCCAACTTAGAAGGAGGATTCCCAGGTTCCTTATCTGGGGCCCTGTTTCCACCTGGGTGGTGACGTCTAGACCCAGGTTGGTCAATCTGGTGGAGAGCACTGGTTGGCCTCCCAAACCCCGTCTCAGCTTTCTTATCTGCCATGAGACTGAAAACAAGCAAGCAAGCAAGCAAACAAACAACCTAGACTCATTTCCCAGCATCTATGGCAGCTCAGAGGCATCGCCATGAGTCAGTTTGGGCCAATAAAGGGTAATGTGAAAGTCAGCTGCAGAATTTCTGGGGAAAAAATAATCCTCCCCAGTAAATGGAGAGAGGCCAGGATGAGGAGCATTTATTTTTCTTGCTGCCAGTCCCCTCCCAACACCTCCAATCCAAGTCCTGTCCCTGGACATAGCTGTCTGGAGCTGACCAGGAGACAAAAAGGTATTAGAATAACATCCCAGACCCGAGGATGGCTTAGCAGAAGGATGAAAAGAACTAGGATCATTGGTGACACCATATAACCTTCAGACAACCGAGCTGCCTGATGTCTTATGAAGTGAGGTGAATCATAAGGGTGCCGTGTGAACCACGTTTAGTTATGAATTCTATTCCTTGCAGCCAACATATCCCATTTGATAGGATATGCCTTAACTAAAACTTCCCTTTTAAGACTATGTTAAAAGAATCTGGGTCTTTCTTCTAATAAAAGATGCATGAAATATAAAACATATGGAAATTCAGCTTATTATCACATATGGATAAGCTCTTATGGAAAAAGATTTAAATGAAGTTAAAAGTATAACTAGTAACAGAAGTATAAAGAAGGCCCTTCTTCACAAATGAATATGTGTAATTAGTAACAATAGTCCTTCCTTATATGTCTAATCATTTTGCAACTCTCACAGGAGAGTAGGCAGTAGAGGTGGTAACCCACTACATAGTCCAGGATTTTTTTCTGTAAAGGACCAGAGAGAAAAGATTTCAGGCTTTTGTGGGCTGGACGGTCTTTGTTACAAATATTCAGCTCTGCCGCTATTGAGGAGAAAAACAGCCACAGACAATACATAAACAAGTTAGTCTGGCTGTGTTCCAATGACATTTTATTTACAAAAACAGGTGGTGTGCTGAATTTAACCCTCAGGCAGTAGTTTGCTAATTCCAGAGATAGATTCTAGGAAAGAGAAGACAACAGACCTTTGTCAAGGGTTAGGCATCATTGAAAGTTTTACATATATTTCTCTTAGTCCTCCCAGCAACTCCATGAAATAGATAGCCAAGGTTCAAGGAGTTAAACAAATTGTCCAAGGCTATATGCTTAGCAAACTCCAGAGCTGCAGTTCAAACCCAAAGCTATACATACAGCACATTTTGTGCTCATTTTGGAGAATCCGTGCACTCCCTCCTCAACCCCAGAAGTGATAAAATACGACCAATAAAATATTTAGGGCAGAAACCTAAAAACTATCATGCTTCATAATTTATTTTAAGGTGGACTTTGATGCTTTTCTTCCTCCCACATACCTGCTAAAACAATTGCTTGGTTTGAGGAGTTATTTTGTGTTACGAAGGAAGGAATACTTGTAAGTGGGTGTAGGGAACTACACACCTGGCATCTGCTATAAGCACCTGCAATTTTGCACCTGAGTGTGGTTCAAGGCATGGTGGAGGCAGTCTCCATTGGCCCCTGCATGGTGCCTAAAGATAGCATGCACGTGCACATGTGCACACACACATACACGCCACAGTATCTAATGGGATGGGCTGGGTAGTAATTCATGGTGCCCACAGGAAGCATGCACACACACACACACACACACACACACACACACATACATGCATAGTATCTAATGGGATGGGCTGAAAGTAATAATGCATCATGCCCACAGGAAGCGTGCACACGCGCACACATGCACACACACACACACACACACCATAATATCTAATGGGATTGGCTGAGTAATAATGCATGGTGCCCACAGGAAGCATGCACACACACACACACACACACACACACACACACCATTCACATCTAATGAGATGGGCTGAGTAATAATGTATTCAGCCAGCACCATGTCAGTGATCATTTAGTCATTTCCAATTTCTGAGTTTTTGTTATAAACCAAGCTACAATAACATTCTTGTGCATATATCTTTCTTTCCTTGTGGAGTACCTAGGGCCCAAGCACCCTCCAAAATGTCAGCCCCATTTATACTGCTTGAGAGAATGTTTCTCTTTATTGAGGGTGTAGATGGTAGAAGCCAGGCTCAGCTCCAACGTTTACCTGAGTACTTTTATAGAACTAAGACTCTGTACTCCTGGAAAAAGAATATCATAAGCGGCCGGGCGCGGTGGCTCACGCCTGTAATCTGAGCACTTTGGGAGGGCGAGACCGGCAGATCACGAGGTCAGGAGATCGAGACCACCCTGGCTAACACGGTGAAACCCCATCTCTACTAAAAAAAAATACAAAAAATTAGCCGGGCTTGGTGGTGGGTGCCTGCAGTCCCAGCTACTCGGGAGGCTGAGGCAAGAGAATGGTGTGAACCCTGGAGGCAGAGCTTACAGTGAGCCGAGTTCACACCACTGCACTCCAGCCTGGGCAACAGAGAGAGACTCCATCTCAAAAAAAAAAAAAAAAAAAGAATATCATAAGCAACGCCTCAAATTAATAAACTTTAGGCATTATTTTCTCCCACCCTTAAAGTCCCTTCAGATCTCCTCAAGGAAAGAAAAAGGGCAAAAGCAGAGTGTTAACACCAGCAGCAAGGAGGATACACCAGTGATGGAGGCCAAGGCAGGAAGGCTTTGGCGAGAATGTGAAGATCTCCCCTCTTAGATGGTCTTGAGTCTGTAACTGTGGGCAGTTTGGCACTGCTTTCCAGAAATAGCAGAATGAGGCAAGGGACACCTGACTTCTTGTCTCTGGGGTTTTAGTTTCTCCAGCCCTCAGCTCAGTTGTTTTGATATATATGTGTGTGTACATGTTTATCTTGTGTAATAAAACAAAAAGAAAAAAAAGTTAGGGTTAAGATGACCGTGGTGTAAGTTACATACAAGAAGGTTTTGCTTTATTTTATTTGCTTTTCATAAATTTACACACCATGTATGAAAAAAGAAAAATCTGTATGTTACGTTCAGTCAATGACTGTTGTCAATATTTGAAAGGTTTGCCTGTCTGATGAGAGAAGCCTCATATTAGCTTCACTGCCATTGCCCAGATTCCTTTTTTTTTTCCACGTGTTTCCCAGCCATTTGAATTGCTTATTCTGGAAATTTCCTGCCTTATGCTGTATAACTTTTTTCTCTCCAGTTATTGTTATTTTTCTTTCTTGTTTTAGTACCTGTTTTATATGGTAACAATAGTATCATTGTGTCCATTACATATGTTCAAAATATTCTTCCTCAGTCTGTTTTTATTTTTAATTTTGTTTATGCTTTTATTGTTCTTCAGAAAATGTTGATATTTTGGAGGTCACATTTATTCATCTTTTTTTCATTGTTTCTGGGTTGTATGTGTTGCCTAGATGGCTTTCTGCACTTTAAATGTATATATCTATTCTACTCAAGCTTCTTCTGTCTCCTCTACACCTCTTACAAGTGGTGTGTGTGTGTGTGTGTGTGTTACTATCTAACCCAGTGTTTCGTTGTATTTGGCTGACTAATCTGAAATTTAAAAATACATAATACAAGGTAAAATCCTACTTTTTTTTCTTCAGAGTTGTATCACTTTCCTATTGCTGCTGTCACCAATTACCAAAAACTTTGTAGCTTAAATCAATGCAAAGCTATTCTATCACAGTTCTGTGGATCACAAGTCCAACAAGGTCTCACTGGACTAAGCTTGAGGCATTGGAGGCTGTGAGGCAAGGGTCTGTTTTTTTGTGTTTCCTGATTTCTGGAGGCCTCCTGCGTTCCCTGTCTCGCTGTCCACCCTCAATGCCAACAACACATCTTCCCCTGACCCTTCCTCAAAGTCCCTATCACTGACTATGGCCAGGAAAGCCTCTCTGCTTTTAAGGACTCCTGTGATTAGTTTGGGCCCACCTGGTCATCTGAAATAATCTCACTATCCGAAGGTTCATAACCTTAATTGCACCTGCAAAGTACCTTTTGCCATTTAAAGGAATATATTATAGGGATTGAGTGTGCACATATTTGGAGTCTACTAAGGTGCCTACCACAAAATGGCGTGGGATTTTCTGAATAAACATGTTGAATAATGCATCTTTCCCTCACTGTTTCCAAATATCATGTGTCCTTACATGTGAATCTGTTCCTGAACTGTCTGTTCTCTCCCAGGAGGCTGCTTCACTCTATATTGATACCATACAGATTTAATTACTGTATCTTCATAGTTTGCTTTCATATCTGGTAGAGCAAGTATCTCATTAGTATTACTATTTTTAAAAAAACTCCTTGCTATGATTTTACATTTTATCTCCCATATTAACTTTATAGATACCTTGCTGAAGTTTATCACAAATTATCACAGGATTATGATACAGGTTATTTACATGTATGAAGCAATTCATGAGCATTTACATTTTTCTAATAACAGGGCCTCCCTTTTGGGAACAAGACACATTCTGCATCTCTTCCTTTGTTCTAGGGCGTTCTGTAAAGGCGTTTGTGTAACAGCTCTGTGTGGGTATGGATATCTAAACCTTCAGGCTGTGCGTTTCCTAATTTCTTTGTTCCTGGGTATTCATTTCATCACATTGTTACTCTTTTTACTGAGATTTCCTTTTTCCTGATCATTGCTGGTGAATAGAAGAACGACCGATTCTTACAGACTGAGTTGTTATCAAGTGCCCTGTTCCATTCCCTTATTAGTTCTAGTACTTGGTTGGTTAATTCTACTGGAGTTTTTAAGTAGATAAATATTTGGAGTTACAATTTCCGAAACACAAATTAAGGTTGTTAATCATTTCCTTTCCATTAAACAGTTTTTTCCTAAGGCTCTTTCACAGTGAGTTGGAAAAGCAAAGTTAAACAATTTTTTTGAAGGCCTGTGGATTTACTCCGTTCCCAATTTATTAAAAAAATGAAAGAAGAAAGGGTGCGGAGTTTGGCTGGCAGGCTGGGAAGGGGACTTTGGACTGGGAGGATGTAGTTTGTCTGGAAGGCTGTGGGGGCAGTTTGGTCTGGAAGGTTGTAGGTGGAGTTTTGGCTGGAAGGCTGTTGGGGAGTTTTAGCTGGCAGGCTGGGAAGGGACTTTGGACTAGAAGGCTGTGGGGGAGTTTGGGCTAGAAGGCTGTGGGGGGATTCTGGCTGGAAGGCTGTGGGGGGAGTTTGCCTGGTAGCCTATAGGGGGAGTTTGGTCTAGATGGTTGTTGAGGGGAGTCTGGGAGGCTGTGGGGGAGTTTGATCTGGGAGGCTAGGGGGGCAGTTCTCCTGGGAGGCTGTCGGGGGAGTTTGGGCTGGAAGGCTGTGGGGGGAGTTTTGTCTGGGAGGCTGTGGGGGTAGTTTGGTCTGGAAAGCTGTGGGGGAGTTTTGGCTGGAAGGCTGTGGGGGGAGTTTTTGCTGGAAGGCTGTGGGAGCAGTTATGTTTGGGAGGCTATTGGGGGGAGTTTGTCTGGAAGGCTGTGTGGGGAGGCTGTCTGGAAGTTTGTGGGGGAGTTTGTCTGGATGGCTGTTGGGGGAGTTCGGTCTGGAAGGCTGTGAGGGGAGTTTTGTCTGGGAGGCTGTAGGGGGTGGTTTGGAAGGCTGTGGGGGGAGTTTGTCAGGAAAGCTGTGGGGGGAGTTTGTCTGGAAGGCTGTGGGGGGAGTGTGTCTGGAAGGCTGTGGAGGGAATTTGGGAGGCTGTGGGGGGAGTTTTTCTGGGAGGCTGTCGGCGGGGAGGAGTTTGTCTGGAAGGCTGTGTGGGGAGTTTGTCTGGAAGGCTGCGGAGGGAATTTGGGACTCTGTAGGGGGAGTTTGTCTGGAAGGCTGTGGGGGGACTTTGGGCTGGAAGGCTGTCGGGGGACTTTGGGCTGGAAGGTTGTGGGGGAATTCTGTCTGGGAGGCTGTTGGGAGAGTTTGTCTGGGAGGCTGTGGGGGTAGTTTGGGCTGTGGTGGGAGTTTGGAAGGCTGTTGGGGGAGTTTGTCTGGAAGGCTGTGGGGGGAATTTGGGCTGGAAGGCTGTGGGAGAGTGTCTGGAAGGCTGTTGGGGGAGTTTGGGCTGGGAGCCTGTGGGGGTGTTTGGGCTGGAAGGCTGTGGGGGGAATTTGGGTTGGAAGGCTGTGGGAGAGTTTGTCTGGAAGGCTGTTGGGAGAATTTGGGCTGGAAGGCTGTGGGGGAATTTGGGCTGGAAGGCTGTGGGGAATTTGGGCTGGAAGGCTGTTGGGGGAGTTTGTCTGGAAGGCTGTTGGGGGAATTTGGGCTTGGAAGGCTGTGGGGGGAGTTTGTCTGGAAGGCTGTTGGGGGAATTTGGGCTGGAAGGCTGTGGGGGAATTTGGGCTGGAAGGCTATGGGGTGAGTTTGTCTGGAAGGCTGTGTGGGAGTTTGTCTGGAAGGCTGTGGGGGAGTTTGTCTGGAAGGCTGTCTGGGAGTTTGTCTGGAAGGCTGTGGGGGGAGTTTGGGCTGGAAGCCCACAGTGAGCTTGTGCAGGTGTTGGTGCTTCTAGGCATTGGATGCTCCTGTTACTCAGGTACTCTGAAGGGGACATTCCAGGAAAGAGCCCTTCTGTGGGGAGATTTTTCCACAGCAGTTGTCTCCCCAGGTGTCCTCGTCCTCTTCTTAGGAGCCTGAACATCTGTCACAGCTTGGGGGGATTAGGGAATATCCACCCTCACAGGATGCGGTTCTCCTCTCATTATCTTTCCACATCTTTGTACTCTCCTCCCTCTTCCCGGGTAACTGAAAAATATGGAGACCATTATTGTACTGTGTATTATAATATCATACCAAGAACCCATGTATTCCAAGTTCATCTGTATGTCCCCATGTGGTGGCCTCCCTCTATCTCATCATGTAAACCACGGTGCTGTTACGTGTCTTAAGGTCAGGTGGTTAGCACTGTGATATTTGCACTCAGCAAACCTGTAGAGAAGAAAAGTCAGCCAAATGGCCTGGAGAGGAAGGAGTAAGACAGACTTTCTCAGGAGCTACCTGGATATACATACGGGGCAAGATCTGTGCTCTGAATCAGACACACTCATCTATTGACTGTGGAAACGCGTCTCTCGTTTTGCTCCACTTTCCAGAAGAGCTTCATGTTTGTGTCTGCGTGGCTCAGTACCTATCACTGCGCATTCTGCTTTTCCACACACACATGTGCCTGCGGGCACATGCATGTGTATAACCTCAGCAGTGATGTTTTAGGTTCTCCCATCCTCTTTCTTGTTCTCTGGATGCTTTTTTTTCCTTATCAGCCTGTTCTTGTTTCATGAATGCAATGTCTTTATTATTCTCACTGCTGATTACCAGTGAGATGTGTTTTAACCCATTTATGCCTGGTGTTCCGTTATTGGAACACTAGGCTTGTGGGAGTTATTTATATCCTACTGCTCAAGATCATCTCCAAGGTCTGATTTTTCACAGAAAAAATTTGAAACCTCCAGAACAAATGGATTAAGCTGACCTGTTCCTACATTTAACATAATTTCAGTGGGTCTGTTTGCTTCAGGTTGATTCCTCTCTTTGAGAAACTAGGTCTTATGTTTTATACATTCTATTATGTATAATACAGATTATAATTATATATAAGTATATATGCATATATAACTATATGGTATGTGCTATAATGTTTATAGGAATTTATAACTTATATTTATAAATAAAAATATGTAAGTATGTATGGTTTTAAGTATATTACTATGTTATACTTATCTATCATAACCAATTACACTAATTGGTTCATTTTACTATTGGCTTCTGTATTTTTTTATTTCTCTTTCTCTTTTCCTAGTCACCTTCTTTTGAGGCAATTAGTGTTGTCTACTATCATTTTATTTTTATGTGGTTGTTCTAGGAATTTCGATATGCAGCTTAATTTCCTATAGTTTACATACAATGAACATTGTATCACTTCATATAAAATGTTCAAACATTACAGAAGAATTTCTTTTATCTCACATAATTCATACTTTTACAGTATATATTCTTGTAAATATGCTATGTCTCCCAGCATCATGTTATTATATATTTTTTAAACATTAAGCTATCTTTTAAGGATGCTATAAGAACAATAAATATAATCTTTTATCTTTACCCACTTACTTGACATTTCCAGTGCTTCTTTTCCTTCCTGTAGATTCATTTATCCATCTGGCTACCAGTTCCCTTCAGCCTGAAGGAATTCTTTTAGTATTTATTGTCGCGGAGGTCTGTGGGTGACAACTTTTCTCAGCTTTCATTGTTCTGTAAATGTTTTTATTTCATCCTTATATTATAAGGATATTTTTGTAATATATAGGCTATGGAGTAACACCTTTTTTCTTCTAGCACCTAGAAGCTGCCATCTGCCTGTCTTTTGATCCATTGCTTATGAGAAGTACACTATTATTTGTATGGTTGCTCCCCAGAGACAACACATCTTTTTTCCTCTAGATACTTTCACAGTGTGTCTGAGTCTAGTGATTTCATTGTATTTATTCTGATTGAGATTTGCTAATACGCCTTTATCTGTAAGTTGATGTTTTTCTCCATTAATGAAAAAAAATTCAGCCATCATTTCTTCACATATTTTGCTACCCAATTCTCATTATCCTTACCTACTGAAATTCCAATTACCCAAATGATATTATGCCATAGGTAATTTATGCTCTTTTCACATTTTCCAAACATTTTTTTCTTTCTAACCTTCAGGTTGCATAATTTCTATTGGTCTGTGATTGATTATGTATTGTAATTTTCAGTTCTAGAATTTCTATTTGGTTCTTTTGTAATTTTCATTTTTTTTCCACCAAGATTCTCCATCTGTATATTCATTACATTCAACTTTTCCTTTAAGTCTTTGAACACAATTATAAGTGCTACATAAATACTAATTTCTATATCTGAATCAGCTTTGGGTATGTTTCTATTGACTACTTAAAAAAACAAAAAAACCAAAAACATAAACAAACAAAAAACCACTATATTGTTTTAGGGCAGTTTTAGGTTGACGGCAAAATTGAGAGAAAGGTACAGGAATACCTGTATAATCCATGACCCACACATGCCCAGCTTCCCCCATTGTTAACACCCCACACCAGAGTGGTGGATTTTTTACAATCAATGAGCCTACACTGACATGTCATTACCACCTAAAGCCCATAGTTTGTATTAGGGTTCAGTCTTGATATTGTACATTCTGAATTTGGACAAATGTATGCAGACATATATCTACCATTATAGTATCATGCAGAGTATTTTTACTGCCCTAAAAATCCTCTGTGCTATGCCTATTCATCCCTCCCTGACCCCTAGCCCATGGCACCTTCTTAACCCCTAGCCTTTTCCAGAATGTCATATATTTGGAATAAAAGCTACATACAGAATGTAGCCTTTTCAGAACGGCTTCTTTCACTTAGTAGTATGAACTTAAGTTTCCTTCATATCTTTTAATGGCTTGGTAGCTTATTTCCTTTTAGTGTTGAATAATATTGGCTGGATGTATCACAGCTTATTTATATGCTTATCTACTGAAGAACATCTTGATTTCTTCTGAGTTTTGGCAATTTTGAATAAAGCTGCTATACTTTCCATCTCTGTTTACATTTCTCTTCTGTCTCTTTTATCTATTAGAGCCCTTAGCATATTGATCATAGTTGTTTTAATTCCCTGTCTGATAATCTCAATATCCCTGCCATGTCTGATTCTTGTTCTGTCACTTCAAACTGTATTTTTTTGCCTTTCAGTATGCCTTGTAAATTTTTTTGTTGTTATTTTTAAAAGACAGATATGATGTGCTGGATAAAAGGAATTGCTGTATCTAGGCCTTTAGTACCATAGTGGCAGGGCATCCGGGAGGGGAATTACTCTGCAGCCACATAATCAGGCATCATCCTTTCCGGGAGCCTGTGCCTCTGGACTGTGAACTTTACAGGTGTTTTTTAGTTTTTTCTTGCCTATGTTCTTTTCTCTAGATTATATGTAATATTTTTCTGGTTTTTTATATGTCTAGTAATTTTTAATCACATTCTAGATATTGTGAATTATATATTACAGGGAATCTGGATTATAGCTCTTACTTTGAAAGATGTTGGGCTTTGTTGTGATAAGCAGTTAAATTATTGACAGAGCCTATGGAATCTGTTGACCTTGGTTTTAGTGTTTTTTGTCCTCTCTGTTCAGTATTTTTCTCAGACTTAGAGCATGAACCCTTATCTCAGGCATGATTTTATTAATAAGGAATGTCTTTTTTAGATTTTGACCTAAATTAATTTTTGCCAAAGGCAAACATTTGGACTAGCTCTGGGTGCTAGCTTGAGAGGTTATTTTTAATTTATTGCTTTTTTGGGTATGTTTTAACCATGTGAATATAATCTAAAAACATGAAAATTGCATAGTTAATTCTATGCAATAATTACACTATTTAATGTGTTATATTCTTTTACTAAGTATGCTACATGCAATATCATAAATTCCTGATGGCTTTCAAATGAAAATGGTTTTCTTTTAAATAACATAAAATATTTGGTTTTAGCTTAAAAAGTATCTGAAGGAACTCAATGCCAGACAACCAGTAGGAAATTAATTAATATTTTCAAATGAAAAGTCAATATACTTGCCCTAAAGTCTGCAGATGAAAGCAACAGAAATGCAGAAAATTAAACCTGCAAATGCTACCAATGTACTAGAAGGAGTAATATCTAGAAATCAAATTGAACATTCTAGTTCATGTTAAGGAGGAATCTTGATGGCTAGAAAGATCATGAACTGAAAAGGCACCACTTTACAAGAAGGAATCCCACAGAATATAATTATTCAATGGCATGGCATTTATTCTATATATTAGAGTCACATCACAAATGAAGAAGTCAAATTAATACTCTCTCTGTCACCTGCTTTCTAGAGAGGCCAACACCACATTTAGAAGTCCCTTTGCTGTCAACAGTAGTTGACATGAAAACAAAGAGAACTATTTATCATGAATACTTTTCTTCACAGGATTAAAAACTCTTTGATCAGAATAATTTTTAAGAAAATCTATTTACCTATGTCAAGATACCAAGTGAAACTAAAAGAGGATGGTTAATTGGAGAACAAAAAAAATTGATTTGAGATACAAATCTCCAATTTATTAATAGTGCAGCTTTGGAAAGTCATTTAACAATTTTAAGCCTCACTTTTCTAAATGTTTAAAAAGAACAAGAATAGTACCCTTAAGACCCAGCATGTTGCCTGGAATATAGCAGGTGCTCAGTAAAATTTGCTGAAGTAAATATTGATTAAGACATACTCAATGCTTGCCTTAGTCTATTTTAAAGAAATGTCTGAGGCTGGGTAATTCATAAAGAAAAGGGATTTATCTGGCTCATGATTCTGATGTCTGGAAAAGTTCCCGATTTCCATCTGCATCTGCATTTGTTTAGGGATTCAGGCTGCTTCCACTCATGGCAGAGAGTGAAGGAAAGTTAGTTTATAGAGACCACATGGCGAGAGAGAGGAAAGAGAGAGGAAGCAAGACAGAGAGCCAAGCTCTTTCTAACAACCAGGTATTGAGGGAACTAATAGAGCGAGCACTCACCCCAAAGGAGGGCATTCATCTATTCATGAGGGATCCACCAATGACCCAAACACCCTCACCAGGCCCCACCCCCACAACACTGACACATAGGGGATCCAATTTCAACATGAGACTTGGTGGGGACAAACAAACTATATGCAAATGATAGCAATGCTATTTCACCTGCACACATTTTCTCTTTCGGGGCACAGAGGAAAGCTTTGACTTGCTGCCTTCTCTTGGTCAGAACTTGGTTTGTTAGTGTGCTATATTTTGGTTATTCATTATGTCGTGGTATCTCAGTTCTGTTTTACTTCACATTTCCCTGAAGACATATGATGTGGACCGTCTTTTCATATGCTTTGTGCCATCTGTATATCTTCTTTGGTGAGGTATATGCTAAGCTTTGGTGCCTTTTTATCATCAGGTTGTTTGGGTAGGGGGCATGTGACTGACTTCTGACCCAGAGGGTGTGGGCAACAGCAATGAAAACCTTCTAAAACTGGCCCCTAAAGCCATCTCCACTGTGTTCCTGCAGCTCCTCCCTTACTGTGCTGTCCTTGGGGTCACAGGCTCCGGATTGTGTAGCTACCAGATGGACATGACAACAAAGCCTGCAACAGACTGCGACATGGCTAAACCATTGAAAGATTGGGGTTTACTGGTTCCCACAGTAAAGCCTATCCTACCCTGCCTTAATTAACGATCTTATAAGTTATTCTGAGAATTAAAAGGAACAATGCATTTGAAAGCCATTTGGAAACTGTCCAGCACTGTTAAAATATAAAGTGATAAAATCAATATATTTATATTAATTTATATTCCCATGGAGGGCATTCCCTTTGATTTGGAAAATCCAACTTAATACAGCATAGGTAAAAGATGTCCCATAGGAACTTTTCATTGAAAGCACAATTAGTTGTTGCTACCTAGATACTCAGTGTCATGAATATCTATAAATATTTCAAAGCGCAACCAAAACTTCATCATAAAGCATTGTGATTTTGATTATAACTCTTTATAACTCCCTAGAGTAATGACAGTTTTCATAGGCTTTGCCTGACCTTGCCTGGAAAACACATTTGTTGTGGGGAAGGAGGGCATGTGCAATTTATCTATTAGCCTTCCTTCAGGAATCTTCCAACATTTCAGTTAAATAGAGTAAGTTCAAGAGATCTATTGTACAGCACAATGAATATAGTTAATAGCAAGGTATTCTTGAAAATTGCTGCAGTAGATCTTAAGTGTTCACACTACAAAACATGCTAAGTATGTGAGGTAATACATATGTTAATTAGCTCAATTTATCCAGTCCAAAATGTATATTAATAAGCTCTTCAAAACATCATGGGATACACGATAAATATATACAATTCTTATTTGTCAATTTAAAAATTCATGATAATAACAAAGACTCTTACAGAGGATGGTTCCATTCATTCACTAAGGTGAGTTTTTTTGTTTTCGTTTTTTTTTTCTTTTTCGAGACAGGGTCTTGCTCTGTTGCCCAGATTGGAGTGCAGTGGCACAATCACAATTCACTACAGGCTTGACTTCCCTGGCTCAAACTATCCTCCCACCTCAGCACCTCAGCATCCTGAGTAGCTGGAACTACAGGCATGCACCACCACACCCAGTGAATTTGAGTTTGAATTTTAACTATGGGAGTAAGAGACTCAGTCAAGAGGACCTTTGCAACTCTGCCCACTTACCCTGAGATTCGGGTCAGACTGAAGGAGCATGTTGCATGCAAATTCCATGCTAGGGCTGTCCTGTGAGGGGTCTTGCAGACTCTGCCCTCACCTGACCTAAGACCATTCCTGACATGAACAGCAGGGCTTTGATTGAAAGTTAATGGGACTTTTTGGGGGATTCCCAATGAAAATGCAGCCTGCAATTGGCCAGCCTTGAAATCTGGTGATCCTGAATGAAATGTTAATTTCCATCATTTACATTCTTTTACATTTTGCACAAAAACGTAAGTGATTTCCATATTATTTCAGGGTTGCATGATTTAAATTTGCATAGCACAAGTGCACAGCGCTGTAAGGACGTGAACATGAGGGAGTGGGAGAAAGCATTGCAAAGGAAAGCAAAGGAAAGTGCGGTCTGGTTCAAGGGCTTCATAAATGCACAGCTTTTCTTCCCTGCTGACAAAGCCTAAATAATGAACGGTGTCTGCAGGGCCTCTGGGAGGGCCTCAGAGTGACAGCTTCCTTCTCTAGGAACATCAGGACGCATTTCCTCAAGAGCAGTCACAGCGCTCCTGAGGTGGAGGCATTGCAGGAGTATTTAAAATCCCAGCATCAGAGGGAAACGCCCAGTGCCGAGTGCTCACTGGTGCTCAAGTCTGTGATTTCCCCTGTCCCTTCACCAACCTCTCAGCTCAGGCTCCAACTGCCGAATGACATTGGTAAGAGTCTGCTTTTGAGATTCTGCAGTCATCATGTATGTCTTTTTTCTTGCCCAGGCTGGAGTACAGTGGTGTGATCACAGCTCACTGCCGCCTCCAACTCTTGAACTCAAGTGATTCTCCCACCTTAGCCTCCCAAGCAGCTGGGACTACAGGTGCATGCCACAATTCTCTAGGAAATTTTTTAAAAAATGGTTTGTAGGGACAGGGTCTTGCTATGTTGTCCAGGCTGGTCTGGGACTCCTAACCTCAAGTGATCCTCCCACCTCGGCCTCCCAAAGCCACTGTGCCCAGCCACCCATGCATGTCATATTGTGGAAAAGAATCTTTATCAATTAGATTGATTTGTTTTGATTCCTGACTGTTGTGCTTTTCCTTCGATTTGGTCTTGAGGTGTCTTTCTGGAGAATGTCTATAAACTCTAACCCTGCCCTGATGGGAACCCAAGGGATGTGAGTGTGGACATTTGCAGCATTTGCCTTGCATGGAGTACTTGTTATCCTGGTGAGCTGCCTAACGCCTAAGTGAAAGGACATGTCACCAATTCTCACAAGGAAATGTGTTTAAACTGGCAGACAACCTTATGGCTCTCGTCTGACCTGTGTCCGGTTTATTCCTACCCAGACAGCCACTCTCTAGGACGGCCCAGACAGGAGGAGAGTTGGGTTGGGGTGTGGGTCAGGGGAGATGCAGGAGGCAACAAAAGAAGACACAGGCAGCAACACAAGCACCATGTCACTTACAGATCCCAGGGAGAGGGCAGCGCGCCCCACGGGGCCAGCAGAAAGTGGGGAGCTGTCTGGGTCGCGAACGCTCACCTGGATGGGGGTGAAGGGAGAGAGAGGGACCTGAGGCCTAAGCCTTTATTAGGGTCCAGGGTGTTTCCCAAGCAGGTTTCCCAAGGGGACTTCTCACTGGTGGGTTTAGAGCAACCAGACACGGGCTCCGTGGGGTCCCTGTGGCTGACAGGTGGGCATGGCAGCATGTCTGGGAAGTCCCTGTGGGGTGCGGAGTCAGTGCAGCTATCAAGTGGGCTCTGTGCGGCTGTCCCACAGGGCGGTGGTCACCAGGAGGCGGGTGTACAAGGCAGATATCTGGGTCGGCCACATTGAGGAACCAGGAGGGGGTGGAGCCCTGGACACCATGTCAAGGGTGACTAAGCCCTGCTTCTGGTAAGAGAGGGTCCAAATTAGATTCAAAAATGGATACTGAGGCAACACACAACTCTAAGAATTCACTACACTGACTTTCTATCAGAACTTTTGTTTCAAATCTGAGAGTGTATTTAAGACACACAGCAAATGCTTAGTATATAAACATCCCTCCTCTCCATCTCTTCCTTCCTGTAGCCTCTCCCCAGTCCCTCATCCACCACCCCAGCCTGTCAATAAATGTGATGTTTATGAAAAATAACAATAAAAATTAATTCAAGCAAAAAACTGAGGGGATCCCTGAAGAATCACCAATGACAATCCCATTTTGAGCCCCAATTTCTAATCCTGATTCCGTTCTTCCCACTGTGTCTGGGATTCCCTAAGCACAACAGAAGACGAACTTCTGAGTTTTGTTTTAATGCTGCATCTTCAGAGCCCAACACGATGAGAGCACACAGCAGGCACACTGAAGACATGCTTTTGTCATCCTCTGCAGGTGGAGGCCAAGAATTCTTAATTTTTATTTTGCAAAAAAAAAAAATAAGAAAAAAGGGAGAAAATAAATGAGTAAGGAAAGACAAAATGGAGGAAAAAGGGATGAAAGAAAGGAAAAAAGGAAGGAAGAAAAGAAGAAAGGAAGGAAGGAAGGCAGGGAGGAAGCCAAAGTTCCCAAGGAGGAAAATATATTTTCAATGTATGTGATGCCTGCATTCCGACACTTTTACTCATACTTACCGCCCCATCTACTTTAAAACTTTATGCCAGAAATATAATTTTTAACAATTTAATTTATATTTTGAGGCAGAAAAGTAAAGGTCCAGTGGGGCAGAAACCCCATCCCACCTTGGGCAGCAGAGCCCAGCTCCTGCCCCGCCCACTGGCGCTGGGGGAGGCTCCCCGCCTCACCGCCCAGGCTCCTGGCAGTGTCCTGTGATGAGCGAGAGTGCTCATTCCCAGCCAGCCTCACATGTGTCACAGCGACAAACAACGAAGAACCTGCCACTCTGTGGGGTCAGGTGCAATACTAGATGAAGACGCAGCTTCCCTCCTAAGCAGGATCATTTACCAGCTTGACTGCCTCCTTGGTCTGGTCTCAGCAGAGACTGAGGTTCCCTGTTTATGGAGGATGCGCAGACTGTCCTCTGGCGATGGAAGCCAGGCAGAGCTGCCCACCTGATATTGGTGATTCCAGTAAACACACGCAGAATTACCAGAGAGGCTGTCATCAATAGGAAGCAAGATTTCCCCTTGTTTAAAAGCCATTTCCAGGAAAATCAGTGGAGATCCCACATGCACAGCCGGGGTCTTAGACATGTCTCTCAACCCAGTCCCTCAGATCCCTCTCCTTTTGCTGGATGATGGCCCGACTTCCCCACAGCTCTTTCTTGCTCAGTTCTGTCCTAATTGAGTTGGAGAGCTGGGATGATTGGGCATGGAGCCAACATCCTGGCACAGGCCAGTTTGAATTTGTGGCCAGTCCTGGCCTGGGCCTGTGCTGCATTTCTGCAGTTATCTCCATTATGGCCCAGGTGCATGGGCTGGGGCCTGCATGGCAACACTTCTGCTCTCTCAGAATAGTACCAGTGCCGAGGAGGCCTTCCCTTCATGACGTTTGTGAAGCCATTGTCAGCACCCTGCATGGTGTGATCGAACGCTGCTGGAAGCCAGGACTCTGTGGGTCTGGCTAGTTACTGGGAGCCCACCTGAGAAGAGAAGTCAGAGTGTGAGACTCTAGGGCGCAGTCACTCTGGAAGGGCAGGAGGGTTGCCTGCAGGCATGACCTCTTCTGCCAAAGCTTGCATCCACCACTGGGTGTGAGGGGAGGGAGTGTGGCCCTGTGATGCTACCGGAAAGTGTCTTCCCCCAATTGCCCTTGGAGACATCCTGCTCCTAGCCCACTGGGCATTACTGGGCCAATAACATACCTGAGATGCGGCCCAGACAACTGCCTGGCCCTCTCTGCCACTCCTGACCCCAAAAAGTCCAGAGGATCCTGTCACTGGCAGCACAGTCCAGCTGCTGTTGAACACAAATCCCGTCCCACTCTTCCCTGGCCCATCAGCCTTCGTCTGCGAGTCCCTGGAGCAGAGCTGGCAACGTCACAGGAGTCCTGGTTTATATGCAGGTCCTGCTACCTTCCCTTATCTGCAATCGGTCGGGGCTCCCTGCAGTTGATCAGTTATGGGCCAAATGGCCAATGGGGCCTAGACCTGCTGTCATAGACAGGCCTTTGCCCACACTCTGGGTGGTCCCTCTCTCTGTCCTGCCTCAGATCCTTTGCATCCCTGGCCTCCCCCTCCCCCACTTCACTTGGGACCTTTTGCTCAGCTCCATGTCACAGATAGGACCCCACAGGAAGGTTCCTCTGTCTCTATCCCTGCCTCCTTCTACTAGGTCTGGCTGATATGTCCTACCCTTCACATGCATTTCTGCTCGGCAGTCATCACAGAATTTCTCTGGCTTCTTGGTTAGTGTCTAGCTTCCCCACTGGATTATAAACTCCATGAGGCCAGGGTCATATTTGTCTTCACCCTGCATCCCAGTACCTAGCAGAGCCACAGCCCACTGAAGAGGCTTAATTAACCCATAGCAAATGAAAGATCCACAGAGCTGTGGATTCTAAGGACTGAATGTAACTGGGTACCCTAGTTCCCAGCTTCACTTCTTTTAGGGCAGAGTCATCACCAGGGCACTGTGATGGTCACTTGCAGCCACCCTCCATGGCATTATGACAGGCACAGACCAACTTCCGAGCCCGGTTAGGCTCTGTGCCTGGAGGTCAGCCTTAAACTCACAAAAGAACCACTTGGATTGAGGCCCCAGCATGTGGGGCTCTGGTTTCTCCAGGTGGGAGGGAACAGGAGAGGTTGCTGGGGCCCTGGGGCCGTGGCCTTGATGTCAGCCTGGCCCAGCTCCTGCTGCCACCCTCCTGCTGACAAAGTGCAGCTCCATCCAACCCCTGGAATCACTTTCAGAGTATCTGGGGACACTCTGATGAGTGAGGACAAGAAAAATGAGGGCAAAGCTTGATGCTCTGGCCCAGGAATTCAGGAAAAAAAGGAAGAAAACTGTTAACTGAATCCCAGATTGGGTCCTAGTTTAGGAATGCAAAGAAAAGCCAATGGTGACTCCATAAAAAATTCACTTAAATGGAGATTACAGAATTCTAATTCCCTGACAGATAGAACAATATTTTTCACTCTTGCAAAGCCTAAAACAAAGGGTTTCAGAACTTTGAAAGAATGTGCTTTCAGATAGAACAATATTTTTCACTCTTGCAAAGCCTAAAACAAAGGGTTTCAGAACTGTGAAAGAATGTGCTTTATCTGATTTGATTCTCCCCCAGCCAGGCATTATGATATTCATGTGAGTAACAGCCCAGTGGAGGCCGAGAAGGTTAAGGAGTTTCCTAAAATAACACAGTCAAAGAGGAGGTCGTGAAGGCCCAGGCCCCTGCCTCTGTGCACATTGTTTATGTCTGTTGGACAATTTTCCAGCAATACCCCATGTTGCACATGAAGGAGAGCAGATGGTATTTTTTAAGGCTAAATTTCAAGATTTTAATCTCTATAACAGGTACCATTTCTATCATATTTTTAAAATTTATTTATTAATCAGAAAATATGCTTATTGTAAAATATTTGATAAATGTTGAAAAAATATAATGAAGAAAATAAAAATCACCTATAACCCCATTCATTATTCATATAATAGATAACCAGTATTCATAGTTTGGTTTAACTCCTCCTAGTAATTGTTGGTAGAGGGAAGTTAAATCTACACTTTGCCATTGTATTTATAATAAAGTAAAGGGTTTTCAGATAGAATTGAGTAGAGGTTGGCAAAATATGGCTTGTGGGCAAATCCAGCCTACATCCTGTGGGCCTGTGTTGCCTACAAGCTAAGAATCATTTTAAATTTTTAAGTGGTTGAAAAATCAAAAGGATAACATTTCATGACATGTGAAAATTACATAAGATTCAAATCACTGTTCGTAAATAAAGTTTTATTGGAACACAGTCATGTGCATTCACTTACATATTGTCTATGGCTGGTTTTGTGCCACAGTGGTAGAATTGAGTAGTTGTGGCAGAGACTGTAGCACTCTAAAGCCTAAAATATTTACTATCGGGCCCTTTAAATAAAGTTTGTCAACATCTGGTTTAGAGCAAGCATTTTCCAATACCCTTAAATGCTTTTCAAAAATAGACAGCAAAAATTATTCTTTATATAGTTTTGTGGAATGAATTCTACTCTTCTTCTCACTCATTCTCTTGCTCTTAAAATATTATTTTTTTTACAATGGTCTTAAAAAATTCAATCCTATTTTAGGTATCAATGAACTCTCCTCTAGAAAGTGATGCTCTAATTTAGGATGGACAAGGGGCCCCAGAAGAGCTGGGTAGCAATGCAGTATCCTAGGCCTCATCTCAGAAACCAGTTGGTGGTGGGCCTGCATGCAGATGAGATATTTATGGTGAATGGAGTGAGTTTCCATTAGAAGCTGCTGGTGTGCTGCTCCTCTGCTGACCGCACACATAAATCAGCGTGGAGTGCCATTCCAGAAACACTGGACGTGAATGTCCCTGGCTCCGGAGATAAATGTGCTTGGGCTCTGATGCCTGGGACAGACAATAAAGGGCGGAAACCCTCGGAGCTCGGTTCCTGATAATTCTCAGAGCATGCCACGTATCAGAGTTTCACGCTTAGACAAAAACTCCCGCCCGCACCTGTGTCTTCAGAGTCCACATTTGCAGTCTTGCTTGCTGAATGACCACCTTCTCTGTTCATCTGACCCCCGGGGTGTTATAGAAGGCTCAACATTTCTCTCTCTGCCCCTGGGACACTTGAATTATTTTAGTGAGAGCTTGTTGCTCTAATATTTAATATGCAGAAGTGTGATTTTTCTCCTTCTGTTAATATAAAAAGGAGTTTTGAGCAACGAAGACTTTAAAACACGACCCACTCTGATGCATAACCAGCTTCTTTCCAAAGACCTAACAGTTCAAACTGGGAGATAAGGCATGGTGTGGTGAGCTGAATTCAAGTCCTAGCTGTAAGAATTTGGGCAAATTGCCTAATCTGTAATAATGATAATAATTAGCACCATATGTCTATGCATCCATCTCATTGCAATGATAAAATGAGGCATTACAGTGAAGTGTTTAAGAATCGTCCTAGGTCAGGTTCCCTGGAAGCAGAGCTTGAGTCATGATTTATGGAGGCAGAGCTCTCAGGAGAGAGCCACAGGATAGTGAGGGACACATGCCAGGGAAGGGGAGCAGCAGAGTGGAGACGTGGAATGTCAGCTTCATCCCACGTCCATGGGTGCTCCGGACTGTGAATGATCTCACAGCAGTTGCCCATCCAGAAGCAAAGGGGGATGAGCTATCAACCCCTGTGTCAGTCAGTTGTTGGCTTTGGGCCCCTCCTGGGGAGGATAACTTTCCTGAATGTCTAGAAGGGGTTCAGGTTAGCAAGGGCAACCCAGCAGGGAAGTTTGCTTACCCCACAACAGCTGGGCAGGGGTTCATGAGCCCCATAAAGGCTCCCCAACGACATCTGCTAAAACAGTCGGTGGTACAAAGGCAGGGTTTAATAACAATGAGATTAAAAATGGGAACAACAACAACAGGGAATGATTGACCCAGGAGGCTGAGATGATCGCAGATCCTAAGTTAGGGATATTAGCAAGAACGGTATTAGCAAAATTTTCCAAATGCATTTCAATTTGAGTGACCTGCTGATGAATACAAATAGCTTAAGTTACCTGTAGGTGAATAAAAATAGTCCTCTTGCATTTGTGTCATGCTTCAAAGTTGATGAAGTACTTTTAAAGCTTGTTTATTAGGACAGCAAAGCATAGCACATCATACTTTTCTTTCTTTTTTTTTTTTCCTGAGAAATGTGCACCTGAGGAAGGCTGAAGGGAAGGAACTCAAACTGGAAAGATGAATGGGTTATGATTCCCTGAGCCTCTTTCCTGGCTTCTTGGCCAGATTCTCCCCATCCTTCAAGGCCTGACTTTTGTTGCCTCACTTATAAGATCTTTCCAGTGGCCCCAGCTGAGTTTAACCATCTCGCCTGAGTCTCCGTATCGGGGGAACCAGCCCCCAATATTTCAATGGAGGTTCTTTTCTATTTTCTCTAAGTGTCGGCCAGTCTGAGAAATAAAGGGAAAGAGTACAAAAGGATAAATTTTAAAGCTGGGTGTCTGGGGGAGACATCACATGTCGGCAGGTTCCGTGATGCCCCCCAAGCCGCAAAGCCAGCAGGTTTTTATTATGGATTTCAAAAGGGAGGGAGTGTACAAATAGGGTGTGGATCACAGAGATCACATGCTTCACAATGCAATAAAATATCACAAGGCAAATGAGGGCAGAGTGAGATCACAGGACCAGGGCAAAATTAAAATTGCTAATGAAGTTTCATGTCCCACTGGGCATGCATTGTCATTGATAATATCTTATCAGGAGACAGGGTTTGAGAGCAGACAACCGGTCTGACTAAAATTTACTAGGCAGGAACTTCCTCATCCTAATAGGCCTGGGGGCGCTACGGGAAACCGGGCCTTATTTCATCCCTTATCTACAACCATGTAAGACAGACATTCCCAGAGCGGCCATTTTAGAGACCGTGCCCTAGGAATGCATTCTCTTTCTCAGGGCTGTTCCTTGCTGAGAAAAGGAATTCAGCGATATTTCTCCTATTTGCTTTTGTAAGAAAAGAAATATGACTCTGTTCCACCTGGCTCCCAGACAGTCAGACCTAATGGTTATCTCCCTTGTTCCCTGAACATCGCTGTTATCCTGTTCTTTTTCAAGGTGCCCAGATTTCATATTGTTCAAACACACATGCTTTACGAAAAATTTGTGCAGTTAACGCAATCATCACAGGGTCCTGAGGCAACATACATCCTCAGTTTATGAAGATGACGGGATTAAGAGATTAAAGTAAAGACAGGCATAGGAAATTACAAGAGTATTGATTGGGGAAGTGATAAATGTCCATGAAATCTTCATAATTTATGTTCAGAGACTGTAGTAAAGACAGGCATAAGAAATTATAAAAGTATTAATTTGGGGAACTAACAAATGTCCACGAAATCTTCACAATTTATGTTCTTCTGTCATGGCTTCAGCAGTTCCCTCTGTTTGGGGTCACTGACTTCCCACAACATCTCCGTGCACAGCTGTAACCTGGAATGGTCCACTCTATTTGGCTATGAACTCTCTGCCTTGCCTGGCTTTTTAAAATAAACTGTGGATGCAAGGTCACAGGTCTTTATTGGCCCTGCATCCTCAGCCAAGCAGACCAATGCCATCCAGAGATATGATAGAGAAATCCAAGGAATGAAAGCTTCCCTCCCAAGCCTGGTCCTACAATCTTTGCCATGAGAGTCCCAGTGTCCAGGACCCAGAGTGAACCTGACATCAGAGTTGGCAGAAGTGCTGTAAATCCTGAGGAATGCAGGTGTCAGGGCTGGATGCAGTTCCAACCAATCTTTTTTTGTTAGTCAATGCCCAAATTCAGTCAAGATTTTCAAGACACCCTAATTGCTCTTCCATTTGTATGGTCATTTGAGGACCTTTCTTCCATAAAGCTCCCAATTAGGTCTGCATCCCTGATAAGGGCTCACCAGCATTGGATTTGGGGCCCCTGGATCCTCCCTGTTAAGCCTGGTAGCATCAGCAACATCGAGAAGCTCTCCAGGAAAACAGAATCTCAGCTCCACCCAGACCTGCATATCAACCTGCCCTTGAGCCGGACCCCTAGGAGAGTCATGTGCTCATCAACCTTTAGAAGCTCTGCCCTGTGTCAGAGGTTTTCCAATTTATTTATTGATTAATATATTTGGCCACACAGCATTTTCTTCAAATAGAATCTCAAAGTGCAAGGTAAATATGTAGGGAAGATGAAAGTAGAGATGCCTTGTTAGAAGCGCATCCCCTCTTGTTTCACAGGGACATGGAGGGACCCCTGCACAATCTCAGTAGGACACTGAGTTCCAGTAGGACTTGGTTTTATTTCTCTAGAGTTATCAGAGCACCGTTCAGCTACTATTCAATCCTCAGTGTTGATAGAAGTGCTAGAAGGCTGGACATAAAGCCAGACTTCATGGGGACCATCTTCTTCTGAATTGGTCGTCGGAGCTACCAAGAACACTGTTGAACTTGGCTTTGTCCTCCTGAGGTCAGTCTCACCTAGAATGGGGCTGGACTTAAGCTAAAAGACATAAGGAAGCAAGCCAGCCCTTTCCCATTGGTTAGTTGGTGGGCAGTGTTCCAGCAGGGAGCTCCACGCTGTGTTGAAGATGAGAAGCTGATCCTGAGTGTGGCAGGTGCTCCGTGAATCACAGAATTACATTTCAGAGGTGCCTGACACTCTGCCATGGGCATTACAGGATGCTTCTCATTTAATCCTCATAACCACTCCAGATAAATTCTGTCGTCCTCTCCATTTACCAATGAAGACACCACAGCTTGTGGAGGGTAGGTCACCTGCCCAGGGTTGTACAGACCATGCAAGCCAGGGGCAAGTTCAAACTTAAGTCTGACTTCAGAGCCTAGGCTCAAAACCAGCTTCTGGATGATTTAGACCTAGACACGTTCAAAGACCTAAATCTTATTTTTTTAAATTAAAAACTTTAAATTGTTATACTTTTTTAGACATGGAGTCTTGCTCTGTTGCCCAGGTTGGAGTGCAGTGGAGTGATCAGAGCTTGCTACAGCCTCCAACTCCTGGGCTCAAGTGGTCCTCTTGCCTCAGCCTCCCAAGTAGCTGGGACTACTGATGTGAATCACCATGCTCAGCTTAAATACCTAGAATGTGAAATAGGCATTTATGGAGCAGGGGTTTTGCAGGGGTACTCTGTTCCTGTGCTATGAATAGATTCTGAGTTGGAGAAATTCCAGAGTCTTGCATTGGCTTGAGACAGATGATGAAGGAACCCCAGAATCAAACCCCATCACCATCCCCAGGAGGGAATTCAATAGTGAGAAGAGATGATGTCCTCTGGGCAGGGTGTGGGGTGGACCTGGACCAGTAATGACCACAGCGCAGGCTTGGCAACCAGCCTGAATCAGGCTGTGGAGAACCCTCCAAAACCCCCACAGAACTTGTGATTAGGTAAAAGCCAGAATTTTGGGAACTGTTCACCACAAGAAGCAATGCTTGTGCAGAGCTCAGCCTGAGCTTTGGGGTCCCTCAGGAGTCTTTGTTCCAGCTAGAGATAGGTTCATATGTCCCTACTCCCCAGGAGTCACAAGCAGCTCATCTTTGGGTGGGGGCCAGTGGCAGAGGCAGAGGCAGAAGGGGTTTGTGCTAATCCTTGCATTTTGGAGGTGAGTGGAGAGAGGGCACAGTGGTGAGAACACACCTAAGACCCAAGCTGTCCAGTGGCAGAGCTGGACTTGAACTCAGGTCTTCTGACTCCTAACCCCATGAGCCTCCCAGGTCATCAAGTAGTCCCTAAAAGAGAACCCCATGGATTCAGCCTTAGGCCTGTGGCGCTATTGGTGTTAGTAAGAAGTACCCTTGGAAGCACATGAGGTTATTGCACTGCATCTTGGAATGTGAACTTGATGTGCTTCAAACGAGAGGAGGAAAAAGAAGGAGATGCCCCCACATCTTGACTTTTACATCTCCCTTGGGCCATGATCCTCAAACTCGACACCTCATTAAAATCAGATGGGGAGTTTTTAAACTCCCAAACCCAGACCACTCCCCAGGACTGTAACATGAGGATCTCTGGCAGTGAGATCCAGGTATCAGGAGTGTTTAAAGTTCTCCAGGTCGTTCCAATCGGCCACCAGGGCTGAAATCACCAGCCCTTGCAGGATTCGCCTTTCCATTCCATCTCGATGTCATGATGCCAGAGTGACGGGGGATGGATGCCCGATTTGGTGCTGTACTGCAGACTCTGGGTGGCCTTTTTATCCTGTCTAGGCATTGGCAGGGCACGAGGCTGTCAGCCAAGCTAGACTGGCAGGTAGGATTCAGGCAAAAAGACAAGAAGCATGGCAGGGTGACATTGTTGGCCAAAGTGAGACTGTTGTGCGAGAGGAACACACACAGGCGAATGTAGGTCCAGGTCAATGCATTCAGGGCAGGGCCCAGGGAGCTTGTGTAGTGGTTTAGGGCCAGATCCTGAAGCCCAGATGAGTCAAGGGCAGTTCCTTGACATAAGCGGGAGAAACCGAGCTGCATTGTTGGGTGTAGCTCCCATCTGTCCTGCTCGCCCCCTTTGGGACCTCTCATCTGATGGAGACTCTAACCTTTCAGGGAGTCCTGGGGTTGAGCTCACACCCAGACCCGCCATGGTCTCCCTGCTCTGTTGACCCAAGACAAAACCTCCACAGGTATCCTGGTGGCTGGGAACCTGACCAGGGGTCTTGGAGTCCCCGAGTGTTGTTTATTCCTCCATTGCTGCATACAATTTTAGTTTTGCCTGTCACTTTTGACTTAAAGGTCACTTTTGGTCATCATGTCTGAAGAAGTAGATTTCAACAGAAAGAGCTTGAGTTCCTTGTACATGAGCCTATTCCCCAAAATAGAGAGTTAACGTTTCAGTTTTAAAAATTAGAACAGCCAAGTAGAGCTGCCAAAAATAATGAATATTCTGGTTTGAAGACTAGCAGGAAAATCCCTTACTGCATGCACAACAGAAGGACTCAAATTAATTTCTTTGGCATAAAAATTATTTTTCAGCTTGGAGAGTATAGCTCAGGGCAGAACTCTTCTGTCACCTGTCACGTGTAAACGTGAGGAAGGCTCTTGCTCTCTGGCACAGAGTTGCAGGCTGGTATTTTTTCTGGTGTGATATTTAATGTTGGTAACTAAAGTGAGGAGTAGACTTGGGTGCTGTCTGGGGCTACAGATGCTTTCTGATCAAATACATACACGCTGAGTAAAGGCTCAGGAAGCACGGTGCCAGCTTGCTGTATTTGTTCCGGAGTAATTTGGTCCATGCGGTGGGACGCATGAGCGGGGGTGCATTTTCTTCACCATATGGCTTCAGCAGCATCAATGGGCGTTTCCACTCCAAGCTGTGTGCGTGCTTTGGGTGGGAATGTGTGTGCCTGTTAGCACTGGTGGTATTCAGGTGAGAGGCTTGTGGTAGACGCAGCGAGTCCATCCCACGTCCATTGGCTCATCTCTGAGTCCACCTGCAGCTGCAGGGGCGGACGGCACCTCACCTCTGCCTGCATCCCTGCCTGAGGAATTTCTTTTTTGCAGGGAGGGGGTATAATATATTTTGTAGATAGATATATATATATACACACACAAATGATATATCATTTTATTTATTAAAATTTATTAAAATAATATATCATTTTAGCCTTTTTAAGGTGCACGATTCAGTGGCTTTAAGTACATTCACAATACTTTGCAATCACCACCACCATCTAATTCTAGAACATTTTCATCATCCCCAAAGGAAACCCTATACCTACTAAGGAGTCACCCCCATTGCCCCTCCCCTCAGACCCAGAAAACCTCTCATCTATTTTCTGTCCCTATGGATTTGCCAGTACTGGATATTTCATATAAATAGGTTTGTACTATATGTGACCTTCTCTGACTGGCTTCTTTCACTTGGAATTATGTTTCCAAGTTTCATGAATATAATACCTTTCTGAGAAAACAAAACAAACCAAATTTAAATGGTCTGATGTACACAGGTACGGCTGAGTAGCTAACTTCATATTCTGTCTTCGGCACTCTCCGCCTGAGGGATTTCTGCAGAGTGGTGGCAGCTCCCTCAGCCACTTGTAGGACATCCTAGAAATGCCAAGGATTTAATAAACTAGGGGCCCTCCTAACTAATGAAGGACAGAGGCATTTCATAAATACCCCAAGTTCCCCTTCCCCCAGCTGAGGATTTTATCCATGGCCCCCGGCAGGATGGAGCCTCAGTTGCCTGCACTGTAACTTGTATTAGCCCCCTTCATCTGCTTTCACACTTTCCTTCTCCCTCACTTTGCCTCCCCCCTTGTCAGACTTCCTGGGATCCCTTCCCAAAAAAACTATGCAGGGTCTGCTTTTGAAGGGAGCCTTAAACTAAGAACGGGCTTGACCTGGCACTGAGGAAAAGCACGAGAAAACTGGACAACCTGTCATGTGAGGGCCAATTGGAAAGCTGGATATTTCAAGGCCACGCTTAGAATGCAATTTATGATCCAACTGCCTTATTGTTGAAAGTGGAGAAAATTGGTTAAATCCCCCTCATCTCTAGTAAAGAACCAATAGGGAAGAAATAAGAGCTGCTCTCTCCTTGTGGTTGATTAAAAGATGAATCAGGGATTCTCGGTTTTCATGAAAGACTCAATCGAGCTGGGCTGCACAGGCAAAAAGCAAGGCATGATGTGGTCTAGAAAGAGCTAGTGCAGCAAAGTCCTTCTCACGCACTGCCTCTCTCACAGGCGGTGCTGGGGAGTGGGCTGCAGGACCCCCACTTGTTGGTAAAAAGAAAAGTTTTTAGGTTTAACATCAGTTCATGATTTATTCCAAAACCTGCGCATGTGTTCTAGAGGACTGGTTCCAAGGAATTGGATGTATTTCATGCCTGTAATTCTTCAGGAAGCTCCCACCGAGGAGTGTACCTGATCTTCTCCTGCAGTCACTGGGTATGGAACATTGGTGCTGTCACATCTCAGACACTGCTAGGGGGTTCACCCTAATGTGGCCTTTTGGATGACTTTTCTCACATTGTGAAATAGACCAAGGAAAGAGAGAGAGCTGCTCCTTAGATGCATTTATAAAGTGCTTCCTGTGTAAACTGCTGGCTTCAGGACTCCAGAATCATGTGACCATCATGGTGTTGTTAAGATCCTGTTTGTTATAGATCTTTAACAGCAATGTTAATATTATGAAATGGACCAACGAAAGAAAGAGAGATGCTGCTCAGGAAAAGTCAGTGAAGTCCAGGCAAAGAGCAAGAGCTGGAAGTTGGGAGCTTTTTTTTTTGAGAACGGGATCTCTCTTTGTTGCCAGGCTGGAGTGCAGTGGCGCGATCTTGGCTCACTGCAACCTCCACCTCCCGGGTTCAAGCGATTCTCCTGCCTCAGCCTCTTGAGTAGCTGGGACTACAGGCATGCGCTGCCATGCCCAGCTAATTTTTGTGCTTTTAGTAGAGACAGGGTTTCATCATGCACTGAGGTTAGGGGTGCTTTGTTATTCAGTAAAAGCTGACTGATACAGTTGTGGGTGGGAAAGAACAAGTGTAGGTATCTTAAAGGAGAGGAGATGGCCAAGGCTGGAAGTATCCTATATCACCTCCCAGAAGTACCCTATGGCCAGGGCTGGAAGTATCCTATATCACCTCCCAGAAGTACCCTATGGCCAGGGCTGGAAGTATCCTATATCACCTCCCAGAAGTACCCTATGGCCAGGGCTGGAAGTATCCTATATCACCTCCCAGAAGTACCCTATGGCCAGGGCTGGAAGTATCCTATATCACCTCCCAGAAGTACCCTATGGCCAGGGCTGGAAGTATCCTATATCACCTCCCAGAAGTACCCTATGGCCAGGGCTGGAAGTACCCTATATCACCTCCTAGAAGTACCCTATGGCCAAGGCTGGAAATACCCTATATCACCTCCCAGAAGTACCCTATGGCCAAGGCTGGAAATACCCTATATCACCTCCCAGAAGTACCCTATGGCCAAGGCTGGAAATACCCTATATCACCTCCCAGAAGTACCCTATGGCCAAGGCTGGAAATACCCTATATCTCCTCCCAGAAGTACCCTATGGCCAGGGCTGGAAGTACCCTATATCACCTCCCAGAAGTACCCTATGGCCAGGGCTGGAAGTACCCTATATCACCTCCCAGAAGTACCCTATGGCCAAGGCTGGAAATACCCTATATCACCTCCCAGAAGTACCCTATGGCCAAGGCTGGAAATAACCTATATCACCTCCCAGAAGTACCCTATGGCCAAGGCTGGAAATACCCTATATCTCCTCCCAGAAGTACCCTATGGCCAGGGCTGGAAGTACCCTATATCACCTCCCAGAAGTACCCTATGGCCAAGGCTGGAAGTACCCTATATCACCTCCCAGAAGTACCCTATGGCCAAGGCTGGAAGTACCCTATATCACCTCCCAGAAGTACCCTATGGCCAAGGCTGGAAATACCCTATATCACCTCCCAGAAGTACCCTATGGCCAGGGCTGGAAGCACCCTATATCACCTCCTGTGGCTCCAACATAACTGAGAGGAAGGGTAGGAAATGGAGCTTTATCACGAGCCTGTGAGGAAGGTGGAACTGGGCTGTGAATTGTGGCACTACCACTGCCACATCTGTTTTATAGATGAATAAACTGAGGGTCAGATAAGTCAAATGATTTGTGCAAGGTCATACAAAGAGAAGTGGCAGATTTAGGATATGAACCATGTTCTATGTGACCCCAGCCCTGAGTGGTTACCATGACGCATTTACCTCCCATGCTCCCTCCTTTTCCCCTCTTCTTGGCTCTCCACTGCTGTGTGGAGAAAGACATAAATTCATCACTCAGCAAACCTGCTACAAATGAGATTAGGAGATGTTCTAAAGATGTTTTGTAAGGCCACCAGATTTGATCATTTCTTTGCAATGTAATTAGAAGATTTCATGGCTACCATATTTACATTACATGTTGTAACTCATGAAGCTTATGGGCATTGCCTTCTTTGGTCTGTGAGGTTGTTGTGATTATTTTCTTATCAAACTGATGAGAAAACTGATGTTCAGAAAAGCCCTAGCTAGTAAGGGGTGGAAGAGGACTGGAACTCATGCTGTACAAGCAAGGATTCAAACCTCTTTCCAATAAAAACAAACAAAAAATCAGCTGTTGGACAGCTTGTTTTGTGTGCCCTCCAACATAAACATGCTGGATGGGGAAGCTGTCCAACATGTTTTGCATAGAGGGCACACAATAGATTATTTACCTCTTTGCAAGGATCTCTAGATAGAGATCTGTGAACAGGAAGGATATCGTGTATTGTAAAATCTTCTTTAAAAATTGTTTACAGCCTGTAATACAAGTTCAGATAAGAGAAATGTCAGAGAAATAAGCTCCAGGGAAGAGTTCTTGACCAACAGGGACCTGAGGTTCTTTAGAAGAGGAGTCAGATCCAGATGGGTAGAGAGACTGGGCTGGACAGGACTGGCAGGCAGACGCCCGAGGGAGATCATGTGTTCTGCAGACCGCAGGGAGGTGTCTGCTCTTGGCGAGACCTGACCTGCCAAGTGGCAGGGATGTGGCTCCATCCAGGGATACAGTGTCCCTTGCTCTCACCCCATCACACATACTCCTGACTCACCTCTGAGGAGTTCAAAGGTCTCAGCCTCTTGCTCTCTTCCTCTCTCTCACTTCCTGTCTCTGTTTCTCTCTGCCTCTCTCTTTCCCCACCCAAGTTTCAGTCCTCAGCTGATCTGAAGGGAGAAATGATGAGAGGGAAATGAAAACTCTCACTGTTATTACATTTCATTATCACCGTGAAAAGCAATGTAATAAAAAGCAACTCAGTTCAACTACTAGACAGAGATAATATGGAAAATAAGCAAATCAGGCTCATAGCTGTGATGAATTAATAATTGATGTGCTTAATAAACCTGCAGCTGCCTCTTGTGTGAAACTTCAAATGTCCCATAAAATGAATGAATGGTTTTTGTCACCAAAGCTTAGTCATTGAATTATATTCATAATATATTTCCGCACATCAGTGTACATATCATACAAAGGAAAAGAAAGCAAACTCACCACAAACAGAAAGAGGCCTATGAACTAAGAAAGAGGCACTAGTGTCAGATGTTTGCAAGACTTGGGAGGCACCTCACACACACCTTGTTGCTGGCTCCTTGCAAGGCAGCCCAGGGAGGCGTGGTGGGGTTGATAAAAATCAGGAAAAAAAAATCTCATATTTCTCATGGATGATTATTTATTAATTTCATGCTGTTCCTCAAGGTTTAATCATCTTCATGCCAATTTACAATGGAAAATGTAATTATCGTGTGACTTTCTTCTGTGAAAATTGAGTTGACTCCGACTGGATTGAATTGATGGAGATTTGGAGTCCTCTTGCCCATTCTTGTGGCTGAGGGTTCTGGAAGTTTCTTCATGCTGTCACCATGCAGCAAACGAACATTAATCACATAGGAGACCACAGGGAGAGGACAAAGAGAGAAAGGGGAAAGTTCAAAAAGTAAATACACACTTGCAGAGCTAAGCAAAGTATGACTCATTAGATCAGAAAGGCCCACTGACTGCTGTGGTGGGATATGAAATGAGATCCAGTGGAGGAGACTTTAGAAAACTAAGAAGAGAGTGACATCCTCAGAGCTTCCAGGTGGGCTGGTGGTAAGAAGGAGATGAATGAATGAGAATCCAATTGACAGCAGGATCCTTCTCATTGACAAGGAAACAATGGAAACATATATTCAAATGATGTCTGTCATAGAAAAAAAGAGAAGACTGTTAACCTGAAATTCTATAGCCAGATAAAGCTTTTTTTTAAAAAGAGAAGACTGTTAACCTGAAATTCTATAGCCAGATAAAGCTTTTTTTTCTAATAGAGGGGTTAAATACATTTTTTTAAAATAAAAAATTCAGAAAATTTACCATCCCTTTGAAAGACTGCTCTAAAAGTCCTCTTTAAAACAAAATTTAAAAAAAATCACTAAAAGATCTCTAGAAAGAGAAAAATCAAACTCAATACTTAGAAAGGGACATAGGAACAAGAATAAGCACATAGTCATGGACAAGAGCAGTGGCTCATGCCTGTAATCCCAGCACTCTGGGAGGCCGAGGCAGGCTGATAACTTGAGGCTAGGAGTTTGAGACCAGCCTGGCCAACATAGTGAAATGCCATCTCTACTAAAAATACAAAAATATTAACCAGGTGTGGTGGTGCGCATCTGTAATCCCAGCTACTCAGATGGCTGAAACACGAGAATCACTTGAACCTGGGAGGTGGAGATTGCAGTGAGCCGAGATCGCCTGGTCAACAGAGTAAGACTCTGTCTCAAAAAAAGAAAAAAAAAAAAGAAAAACAAAACAAAAAAATCATAGACACTGCAATTTTTTGGTACACTTGATATAAATTTTGTTATAAAAAAGAGATAAAAAAGCAAACAATAATTTTGTGATTAAAATGAACAAGCAAAACACAGAAAGGAATTTTCTCAATTGGATAGAGGACATCTATAAAAACCCTGCAATTAACATGATACTTAATCATGTTAACTTTCCTCTTATGATCAGGGACAAGACAAAGATGTCCACTCTCCACTCTCAGCACCCTTTTCAACATTATACTGGAGGTCCAAGACAGTGCAACCAGGGAAGAAAAATCAAGAGAAATAAAAAATAGAAAAAGAAACAAAGGGGATACAGAATGAAAAGAGGTAAAACTGTCTTTATTTGCAGTTAAGATCATCACATGCATATAGAAAATTCTAAGGAATCCACACACGTTAAAAAACCCAACTAGAACCAATAAGTGAGTTTAGCAAGTTTTCAGGATACAAGATAAATATACAAAATTCAATTGTGTTTCTATATACTACCCATGAACAATCCAAAATGAAATTGTGTAAACAACTCTATTCACAATTGCAACAAGGTAATAAAATAGGTAGAAATATATTTAACAAAAAAGTACAGGATTTGTATAGGAAACTATAAAATATTATTAAGAAAAAATTAAAAAGCTCTAAATAAATTGAGATACATTCCAAGTTTGTGTGTGGGGTGACTCAATATTGTTAAGATGACAATTTTTATCTAACTGAGCTATAGATTGAATGCAATTACTTTAAAAATCCTGGCAGGTTTTTGCAGAAATTGACAAGATGATCCTAAAATGTATAAAGAAATGCAGAGGACCCAACATAGCCAAAACAATTTTAAAAGATAAATAAAATTGGAGGACTTAAATTTCTCTATTTCAAAACTTATTATAAAGCTAAAATAATCAAGACAGTGTGAAGCTGGTATAAGGATAGACATATAGATCAATGGAACATATTTGAGAATCCAAAACTAAATCCCTACATTCATGGTCTACGGATTTTTGACAATGGAGAAAAGAATAGTCTTGTTAACAAACTGTGTTGGGAAAATTAAAAATCCACATGTTAAAAAATGAGTTTAGATCCTTACATCACAATATGGATTCATAAAACAACCCAAAATGAGTCATAGACAAAATGTAAGAGTTAAAAGTATAAAACTTTTAGAAGAAAACAGACGAGAAAATCTTCATGACAGTTTGTTTGGCAAAAAGTTTTTACCTATGATGCCAAAAGACTGATCCAGAAATAGAAGTTTGATGAATTGGACTTCTGCAAAATTAAGAACTATTTTCCTTCAAAAGACACCATTAGGGAAATGAAAAGACAAGACCAGACTGTCTTTTTGGCAAATCATATATCTTATGAAGGATTTTATATCCAGTATATATAAGGAACTCTTACAACTCATTTCTAAGAGAACAAACAACCCAATAAAAATGGACAAAATGTTTCAACAGACTTCACCAGAGAAGATGCAGGAATGGCCAAGAAGCACAAGGAAAGATTCCTACCATCATTAGTCACTGCAGAAATGCATATTGAAACTGTGGTTGGTTGGCTATAATGAAAAAGACTGACAGTAACAAGTCCTGACAGAGATGTTAGAGCACTAGAAGCCTCATCCATTGCCGGTAAGAATATGGAAAGCAGTTTGGCAGTTTCTTAAGAAGTTAAACATATATTTACCATATGGCCCAGTGATTCTACTGCTAAGTGTCTACTCAAGAGAAGTGAAAACATATATCTGCACAAAGATATGTATGCAAATGTTTAAGCTGCATTATTCATAATAGACAAACATTGGAAATGATCCAAATGTCCATTAACTGGTGAATGGATGAACAACAGTGTGGTCTATCCATGCAATGGAATATTACTGGGCAATAAAAAGGAATGAAATACTGATATATGCTCCATATGGATGCACCTTGAAAACATTACGCTAAGTGAAAGAAGTCAAACTTAATGACTACATATGGTAGGATTTCATTTACCTGAAATGTCCAGAAAGGGCAGATTAGTGACTGCTTGGTGCTGGGGGTTGACTGAAAATGGTCATGACTATTCTTTTCATGGATGGTGGTGAGGAAATGTTCTAAAAACTGGATTGTGGTGAAGACTGCAAAACTCTGAAAATTTATTAAAAATCATTGAGTTGCACTTTTACTAGGGGTGAATTTTATGGTATGTAAATTGTAACTCAAAAAGTGTTAAAAATGAAGACAAAGTGGTATCTGTAAAAAAATACTTGCAGTGCATACAGCAGACAATATTATTCCTAAAATATAAATACCTAAAAATTGGCACAAGAAAGACAATCAACACAGTAAGGATATCAACAGGAGAAACACATAGAATGGCTGAGAAACATATGGGAATATCCTCAACTTTGCAATAATCAGAAAATAACAGCAGCACTGAGGTATCATGAGATTGCTAAACACGAGATGAATGAGAGTTGATTCTGAGAAGTGGGTGCCCTTATTCACTGTCAGTGGGACGGTGTGTGTTTAAAGACACACACACACACACACACACACACACACAGACCTACACACACTGTCATACACTATTAAAAGAGGGGAGCAGCTAGCAGAAGACCCCTGGCAGGAATGCTGTCCTGGGCATCTCTTCCTGTCACAGTTCCCACAAAGGGTGAGTGGCTGGCATCTGCTCCCATCCATGGCTTGGTTCCTGTGCCAAAGCAAACCTGCTGGGACCGTATGTGGAGCCCCAGGTCCTGGGACTTCAAGTATGCAGACTGCTGACACAATTGTGTTTATGCTGTCATAACAGATGTGAAAACAAGATTCTCCCTGTGCCAGGGCTGACAGGGTGCAAGTAGACATATTTGAACATAACATGGCCGGTTAGTTGGCATGCTGGATTCTAATTGCTAAAAGCACCTGGGTCTATGAGTTGAAGGCTACACATGTGAGAGGCAGGCTGCCCATGCTGGCTGCCTGAAGACTTGTCTAGAGGCCTGAACACCAGCACATTGGTTGTATTTGTTTTGCTCGACTTATTACAGGAGCTGAACTTGTTTTTTTAGCACTGTGAATTACTTTTTGTTAAAAATGATCTAATTGAAAAAATTAAAGGACAATATAATAAAAAATACTGCATTCATAAGAGTAACGGAATTATAAAATGTTAGTACTAAAGCTAGAAAGAATGCATAAATCTTGTAAGTATAGAACTACTAAATTTTGCTGGACAATATTCAAGAAGGCTTGAAAAAAGATGAAGTTATTTACTATGTGCTTGGATAAAAAGACTCAATATTTTCACAAATATTCCAAAATTAGTGGTGGCATTGGTGGTGTAATGGTGAGCATAACTGGCTTCCAAAATTAGTTTCAAATTCATTGTAATCCCAGTGAAAATCATAATAGTAATTATCAATTTGGCAAGCTAATTCCAGAATTCACATAGAAAAGAAAAGGCACAAGAATATTTGAAACAATTTTCAAACAATATACAATGAATGTGGACTTGACCTACTAAACTTTATAAGAATAATGTTGGGATAAATGGCTTCTCTTTTGCTACAGTCCTACTTAACATGACTTGTAAAAACAAATACCAGGTGCATTAAAAATCTAAAAGTAAAAATAAATGAAACAAATCTAACCCCATCTCTAGACAAATAAAAATCAGTAAAGAGACAGAACATTTATATCACTGGGGCTAAAGAAAGTTTTTTTTTTTTTAAGTATGCTTAACACAATTGTTATGAAAGGAAAATTAATAAATTTGATTGCATCAAAATTAATGTTTTCTCTAGAACTAAAATCTATATTAGAAATAATCCTAAAAGATGAGAGGCAGGGAGAAAAATCCTTGTGAAATACATTACAAGGTATTAATGGCTAGAACGTAGAAAGAAATCATGTAAATTCATTTGAGGAAGAGAATCTCATAGAGCAGATAATAATGAACAATTCAAAGAAGGAAAAATGGGAAACCAACAAATCTGTCAGCTGAGAGGGTCCATACAGACTGTTGGAGAGCTATTCCGAGAAGGTATAGGCAGTTGCTTAAAAGAGTGTGGTAGGTCTTTATATATCAATGTGGACAACATCTCTAAGATTAAAAGTTAAATGAAAAAGACACAACGAAAAATAGCAAGTTGCTTGTGATACCAATTACTGAAATGAAAGCAAAAGAAAAAGAACATGTGTAAAGGTATAGAAAAATGTCTAGAAGAATAGTCAGCAAATCAGTTGCAGTAATAAATCCCTGGTTTTCCCTTTCATAATTTGACAAAGTTGAAAACAGTGCTGTTCCGATCTCTTGGCAGAAACTCTACAAGCCAGAAGAGAGTGTGAGCCAATATTCAACATTCTTAAAGAAAAGAATTTTCAACCCAGAATTTCATATCCAGCCAAACTAAGCTTCATAAGTGAAGGAGAAATAAAATCCTTTACAGATAAGCAAATGCTGAGAGATTTTGTCACTACCAGGCCTGCCTTACAAGAGCTCCTGAAGGAAGCACTAAACATGGAAAGGAACAACTGGTACCAGTCACTGCAAAAACATGCCAAATTGTAAAGACCATCAATGCTAGGAAGAAACTGCATCAACTAATGGGCAAAATAACCAGCTAACATCATAATGACAGGATCAAATTCACAGATAACAATATTAACCTTAAATGTAAATGGGCTAAATGCCCGAATTAAAAGACACAGACTGGCAAATTGGATAAAGAGTCAAGACCCATCAGTGTGCCGTATTCAGGAGACCCATCTCATGTGCAGAGACACACATAGGCTCAAAATAAAGGGATTGAGGAAGATCTACCAAGCAAATGGAAGGCAAAAAAAGCAAGGGTTGCAATCCTAGTCTCTGATAAAACAGACTTTAAACCAACAAAGATCAAAAGAGACAAAGAAGGCCATTACATAATGGTAAAGGGATCAATTCAACAAGAAGAGCTAACTATCCTAAATATATATGCACTCAATACAGGAGCACCCAGATTCAGAAAGCAAGTCCTCAGAGACCTACAAAGAGACTTAGACTCCCACACAATAATAATGGGAGACTTTAACATCCCACTGTCAATATTAGACAGATCAACAAGACACAAGGTTAACAAGAATATCCAGGACTTGAACTCAGCTCTGCACCAAGCAGACCTAATAGACATCTACAGAACTCTCCATCCCAAATCAACAGAATATACGTTCTTCTCAGCACCACATCACACTTATTCTAAAATTCACCACATAGTTTGAAGTAAAGCACTCCTCAGCAAATGTAAAAGAACAGAAATCACAACAAACTCTCTCTCACACCACAGTGCAATCAAATTAGAACTCAGGATTAAGAAACTCACTCAAAACCATACAACTACATGGAAACTGAACAACCTGCTCCTGAATGACTACTGGGTACATAACGAAATGAAAGCAGAAAAAAAGATGTTTCTTGAAACCAATGAGAACAAAGACACAACTTACCAGAATCTCTGGGACACATTTAAAGCAGTGTGTAGAGGGAAATTTATAACACTAAATGCCCACAAGAGAAAGCAGGAAAGATCTAAAATCGACATCACAATTAAAATAACTAGAGAAACAAGAGCAAACACATTCAAAAGCTAGCAGAAGGCAAGAAATAACTAAGATCAGAGCAGAACTGAAGGAGATAGAAACACAAAAACCCTTCAAAAAATCAGTGAATCCAGGAGTTGTTTTTCTGAAAAGATCAACAAAATTGATAGACCTCTAGCAAGAGTAATAAACAAGAAAAGAGAGAAGAATCAAATAGATACCATAAAAAATGATAAAGGGGATATCACCACCGATCCCACAGAAACATAAACTACCATCAGAGAATACTATAAACACCTCTATGCAAATAAACTAGAAAATCTAGAAGAAATGGATAAATTCCTGGACACATACCCTCCCAAGAGTAAACCAGGAAGAAGTTGAATCCCTGAATAGACCAATAACAGGCTCTGAAATTGAGGCAATAATTAATAGCCTACCAAACAAAAAAAGTCCAGGACCAGACGGATTCACAGCCGAATTCTACCAGAGGTACAAGGAGGAGCTGGTACCATCCCTTCTGAAACTATTCCACTCAATAGAAAAAGAGAGAATCCTCCCTAACTCATTTTATGAGGCCAGCATCATCCTGATACCAAAGCCGGGCAGAGACACAACAAAAAAAGAGAATTTTAGACCAATATCCCTGATGAATTTCAATGCAAAAATCCTCAATAAAATACTGGCAAACTGAATCCAGCAGCACATCAAAAAGCTTATCCACCAAGATCAAGTTGGCTTCATCCCTAGGATGTAAGGCTGGTTCAACACACGCAAATCAACAAACAAAATCCATCACATAAACAGAACCAAAGACAAAAACCACATGATTATCTCAATAGATGCAAAAAAGGCCTTTGACAAAATTCAACAGCCCTTCATGCTAAAAACTCTCAATAAAGTAGGTATTGATGGAACATATCTCAAAATAATAAGGGCCATTTATGACAAACCCACAGCCAATATCATACTGAATGGGCAAAAACTGGAAGCATTCCCTTTGAAAACTGTCATAAGACTGGGATGCCCTCTCTTACCACTCCTATTCAACATGGTGTTAGAAGTTATGGCCAGTGCAATCAGGCAAGAGAAAGAAATAAAGGGTATTCAATGAGGAAAAGAGGAAGTCAAATTGATCCTGTTTGCAGATGACATGTTGGTATATTTAGAAAACCCTGTCATCTCAGCCCAAAATCTCCTTAAGCTGATAGGCAATTTCAGCAAAGTCTCAGGATACAAAATCAATGTGCAAAAATCACAAGCATTCCTATACACAAATAACAGACAAACAGAGAGCCAGATCATGGGTGAACTCCCATTCACAATTGCTACAAAGTGAATAAAATACCTAGGAATCCAACTTACAAGGGATGTGAAAGACCTCTCTAAGGAGAACTACAAACCACTGCTCAATGAAATAAAAGAGGATACAAACAAATGGAAGAACATCCCATGCTCATGAATAGGAAGAATCAATATTGTGAAAATGGCCATAGTGCCCAAGGTAATTTATAGATTCAATGCCATCCCCATCAAGCTACCAATGACTTTCTTCACAGAATTGGAAAAAACTACTTTAAAGTTCATATGGAACCAAAAAAGAGCCCACATTGCCAAGACAATCCTAAGCAAAAAAAAAAAAAAAAAGAAAAAAAAAACAAAACTGGAGGCATCACACTACCTGACTTCAAACTATACTACAAGGCTACAGTAACCAAAACAGCATGGTACCGGTACCAAAACAGATATATAGACCAAAGGAACAGAACAGAGGCCTCAGAAATAACACCACACATCTACAACCATCTGATCTTTGAAAAACTTGACAAAAACAAGAAATGGGGAAAGGATTCCCTATTTAATACATGGTTCTGGGAAAACTGGCTAGCCATATGCTGAAAGCTGAAACTGGATCCCTTCATTACACCTTATGCAAAAATTAATTCAAGATGGATTAAAGACTTAAACGTTAGACCTAAAACTATAAAAACCCTGGAAGAAAACCTAGGCAATACCGTTCAGGACATAGGCATGGGGAAAGACTTCATGACTAAACCACCAAAAGCAATGGCAACGGAAGCCAAAATAGACAAATGGGATCTAATTAAACTAAAGAGCTTCTGCACAGCAAAAGAAACTACCATCAGAGTGAACAGGCAACCTACAAATGGGAGAAAATTTTTGCAATCTACCAGTCTGACAAAGAGCTAATATCCAGAATCTACAAATAACTTAAATTTATAAGAAAAAATCAAACAACCCCATCAAAACGTGGGCAAAGGCTATGAACAGACACTTCTCAAAAGAAGACATTTATGCAACCAACAGACACATGAAAAAATGTTCATCATCACTGGTCGTCAGAGAAATGCAAATCAAAACCACAATGCCATAACATCTCACACCAGTTAGAATGGCAATCTTTAAAAAGTCAGGAAACAACAGATGTTGGAGAGGATGTGGAGAAACAGGAACGCTTTTACACTGTTTGTGGGAGTGTAAACTAGCTCAACCATTGTGGAAGGCAGTGTGGCGATTCCTCAGGGATCTAGAACTAGAAATACCATTTGACCCAGCAATCCCATTACTGGGTATATACCCAAACGATTATAAATCATGCTACTATAAAGACACATGCACACGTATGTTTATTGTGGCACTATTCACAATAGCAAAGACTTGGAACCAACCCAAATGTCCATCAGTGATAGACTGGATTAAGAAAATGTGGCACATATACACCCTGGAATACTATGCAGCTATATAAAAGGATGAGTTCATGTCCTTTTTAGGGACATGGATGAAGCTGTAAACCATCATTCTGAGCAAACTGTCTCAAGGACAGAAAACCATACACTGCATGTTCTCACTCATAGGTGGGAATTGAACAATGAGAACTCTTGGACACAGTGTGGGGAACATCACACACACCAGGGCCTGTCATGGGGTGGAGGGATGGAGGAGGGATAGCGTTAGGAGAAATACCTAATGTAAATGATGAGTTAATGGGTGCAGCAAACCAACATGGCACATGTATACATATGTAACAAACCTGCATGTTGTGCACATGTACCCTAGAACTTAAAGTATAATAATAATTTTAAAAAGTGCTGTTTTCAAGTTACTGGGTCTGATGAGAGGGAGAGGAACATTAGTGACGCATACCCGTTTTCCCACCTGTTAAAAGCAGGCACCACACTCACTTTGTCTTCATCAGGGGAATATTGTGAAAAGCTACTCTAAGAAAACGTTTCTCAAACATTAATTTCCATGATCATCAAATCAGCCATTTCAGAGGATGCATGTGTTTAATTGGCTCAGATGGTGAGAAATGAAAGTATTGCCTTCCCAGGCTGGGGCAGCATCCACAGCACTCACCTCACAGCCCCGAGGCTCCAGCCCATCTCCTTAGGAGCTGCAGAGGCTTCTCCTCACAGGGAAACAAGGTACGCTCCCACCAGGAATAGACATCATGCAGAGAGAATAGCTCCTGATGAGTAACTCATTCTTTCCACAAGTCCAGGATCCATGAGAATATAATCAGCAAATCTAGTGTGACCCACTGACTTGTAACAAATGCAGCACCTCCTCAGATACCAGAAATAAAGTCATCACTAGGCTCCTGACTGCATTCATAGAAAAGAACCACTCGCTTTGGCCCAAATTGGATGAACAAATTCTTCCTGATTTCAGTGAGGCATTTACTTTTTGAATGTGGACATTAACCAGAAGAAGCAGTAGGAACAGTCTCAGAGTTAGGGAAGTCACTCTGCCTTCGCAAAGCACTGCAGAATTTACCAGGCATTTGCCACACACCATCACCTCCAGCTGTCAATACACTCCTGAGAGGCGGACAACTTTGGAGTTGTTTAGTGTTGCAAACCTTGAAACCACCAAATCAGGAACTTGTGCCTTCATCGCCTTCCATGGCCCCTCCCATGTCATTTGCACTGTCATATACTTGCATCACCTGTATGATTGAAATAAAACATTGGGAACCTGGGGAAGAAGAGAAATTAAACCTGGGCACGTCTCCCTGTGCCTTCCACGTGCTGTCTGTCTCCAGAGAGGCTGCCAGGCAGCTGCATGTGGAGTCTGTGCTTGTAGTCCAGCCAGGGCCGAGCCTTACAGTAGCAGATGCTGGCGAGGCCCAGCCCCCTGACCCCCACCACCTCTGGTCTCAGTGCCCCTGAAATGGGAGGGACATCTCAGGCACCCAACAGATTCCCACCGCAGACCCCAGAGGCTCCTTGCTTTCTCTGTCTGTGAGGAAGTCTGCTCACCTCGAACTGAATATTCCCAGGGGTGATACCCAGCTAGTTGGTGTCCGTGAAGAAAGCCTCAGCTCTCCCTGTCCCTTGGCAGGGCGGTCCTCATGTGTGCTCTGCATGCTTCCTGGAGGTCCAGGCAGTAAGCCTGGGGCCCACCTCATGGGGACTGCTCCCTTGCTTCAGCTTGTATCCATGCTCTGTCTCGCTCCTGCTTCCTGGGATCATCCTCCACGTAGATCATCTGCATCCTGCATCCTGGTCCTGTCTCAGGCTCTGCTTTGGGGAAACTAAAATCAGTGCAATGCACACGATTTATCTTATTCTTGTTTGTGCCCCCAAGGGCTGGGGGTAGAGTGGATATTTATGGAATGACTTAATGGACAGCAACTCCACTTTCTCTATTCTGTGTTCTTAAGTAGTGGCCAAAGGCAGTAAACGATAATTTTTCTTCCCTTCCTCGAGGTGATAGCACTACTTTCCACAGCTGCAAATCCTGTCTAGGGTGTAGGTAGTATGTGCCCAAAGAGACATGCCTTTGTTCATAAAGAATTGCTTTTTACAAGGACTGGGGATGTTGTCTTCCATGCATGGGGGCAATGCCCTGATCTAGCAGTCTAACATTTCACAGACAGCAAGGTGTCAGGGAAATCTCAAACAGAACTCCAAAGCAGAAGTGCAGGTGCTGCTCAGGAATTGGAAGAGCCAAGTACAACTTCTTGTCTGCCATGTGCTGTTATTGCTGCTGCATCAACCCCTGCTACCATCGGGAGAAGGGACTGGACCCCAGGAACTGTACTAAACGCTTGACACATCTTTTCTCATTTTACTCTTAGAAAACCCCTGCTGGGTGGGCGCTGTAGTAACGCCTTAAGGGGCATTTTTCTGCTCTGAAATTGTCAAATGGGACCCAAACAAGACTCCATCATATACCCAACAACCAAAAGAGAATTCTGGGGAGTGGACTTGCTAATCTGGAGCTTTTAAAGACAGGATCTGGCTGACTCTGCTATGCCCAGGCATCGCCAGCTTCCTGATCCCAGGGAGGAGGGAGCTGTGGGGTCAGGCTCTTCCTCTCATATCATGCCTGGAGACTGCCGGGGCTTTTTTTCACCTTGGGGTGCCTATGTGATGAACATTGGAAACCCAAGGCAGGACTGAGAGAGGGACAGGGGTCGGGCAGCCTGGAGGGTTGTCGTGGAGAGGATGAGGCTAGGCTAGAGCCCCCTACCTAGGAGCAACCCGGGCTGCGGGGCACAACCAGCAGAGGGAGGGCTGCAGGAGGCGAACCATGACATGGTGGAACGAATGCTTGCTTCTTACCTCCTGTCTCGATTATGAAATAAGCTCCCTATTTGTTACCCAGGGCTGCTGGCACAAGGGCACTTTTTCACTACATCCTTTAATCCATGCATATAAGTTTTACATTTAATTCCCCATTATAATAAACTTTACAATTAAATTTCAAAGGAAAGTTTAAAAAGGAAAAAAAGGCTCTTTTGTGCTGTCTTTCCATTCTTTAAAGCTGTGGCTGGCAGCTTCCCTCCCTTCTGCTCTTGCCTCTCCTCTCCTGGTCTTTCTTCCCTCATCTGCCCTCTCTCTTCCCTCCCCTTTCCCCCTTCTCCCTCCTGTTCTTCCCTCTTCTCTCTCTTCTCCCCCACACCATGCCCAGTGGCTGTTTTGAGTGCTTTGGTCTTCAGCCTTATGCTGCTAAAAGGGGACAGGATCGCATGTGAGTGGAGTTTGGACTCAGGTGTTGAAGACCTCTTGCAGAGACCCCTGGTCTGTGTGCCTGACCCCAGTGCCTGGCCCTATCTAAGAGACTAGGTAGACTTCAAGTCTGGGCATGTACTCAGCCAGACAAGGAAGAGACATCCATTTCCATACGACATCGCCCCATGCATACATCCTCCTCTACCTCTCCCGGGAGATGTTGTCAGGGACTGTGCTCAGGATGGAACTGGGGCATCGGAGGGTCTCTCAGCCATAATGTCACCATACACACAACAGCTGAAGAGTCAGGGACAACAGAAGACAATGAAAAATAGTGAATGACAGGACTTGGTGTCCTTGCCCACATGTGAGCTTGTCCTCCTGGGCTCCTGATGGCCATCCAGGGACCTTAGCATGGTCACTGACATTGTGCTGGGAATTTGCCATCTAAATGTCTAGATGACAAGGGTGAAGTTTCTGGAAGGGCAGGGATGCCTATCTGCCCCCAGGTCTGCCTCAGCATCCAGGCGTCTAGGGACTGACCCAAGTGCCCTGTCCTTTCTGGGCATGGCTGGGCATTTAGCAGTGGGGGTGTGTACAGCCCTGCAGGGCCAGAGGCTCCCTGCTCAGCATAAGGAGAGAGGGGAGGTGAAAGGTGCATTTCAGAACACCTTGGTTTCCCCATGACTGCTAGGTTTTTTAAAACATAAAACAAAACAAAAATTCATAAAGCAGGATTGTGTCTGCGTGATTCCATGGTCATCTCTTTTGATGCATTCCAAGTCCTGGAAAGAGGAAGTGGTAGTTAATGATGCGGACCAACGCTGGGTGTCAGAAGCAGACAAGGTCTCTCATGAACCACAGATCACACTCCATCATCTGTCTGAACCTGGTCTTATGCTGCAAACCCAGGCCGTGCTTGGCCAGCAGGTCTTTCTGCCTCTAGGCTAGCACTCTGTTTCTAACAAGGCTTTTCCATTTGCCTTCTATGAGTAAAATTGTTGGCTCATTTTTGAACTGGAGAGGCTGGGGAGTTTTGGAGGACCTGGGGTGGATTGCGATACCAGTGGAGAGTCCCTAAGTGGGAGCCATTCTGTTCTATATGGTAATAAATGTCATGAACAGAGATTTTTACTAGGTAGGTAGTTATTTCCATTTTAAAATGAGTAGAAGATGGCTCAGGGACATTAAGTTACCAACTGGAGTCCCCAGCTTATATGAGGCTCAGATGGGACAGGTCTGGAGAAGCCTGCCCTTGTGGAGAAGACTACTGCTAGGGCTGGGATGCCAAAGAGGATGTTTAGGTGACCTAAGATGCTGAGGTGGCTCAGAGGTTCATATGTGCCTGGCTTGGAAAACATGAAAATACCTCGTGTGGATGAAAGATCCTACAGTGCCTGGAGCATACTCCAGGAGAAAATGGAACACTTCCTATGATGTTCACAAGCCCACTTCTGAAATCACAAGAGCAGAACCATGGTCGCAAAGACGCCTCTCCATCCAGCATCCTCCCATCGGAGCAGGACAGCCTCCAGGGCGGAGCCCCTCCAGGAGGAAACAGGAGTAAAGCTGCAAATCCCGTGCCAGTCCCTTCACAACGTCCTGTTTGGCTGGTACTGTCTGAGTTTCCTCCATCTGACACCTGCTTCTTGGCTCTGCCACTTGCATGTGAACGATTCCTTCCGCTTTGACCTCCAGGCAGCTGCTGGTTTCATGGGTGCCCTGAATGACATGGCGACGGGTCTCTGCTTTCCACTCTAAAGTCAGTGTTCTCTCAAGGTAAGGTACTCACATGGATTTTTGAGATGATGAAAGTCAAAAACCTTTCTTCCTAACCCAGGTAATGCCAATAGAGGAGATCTTATATCTCAAGTGCCTTGCTTGAGTGGTGTGGCTCTAGCTATAAATTCAATTCCTGAGTAGCTGGAAACTAATGCTTTAGGGCTGAATTACACAGAATTTTAGTGTTAAGGATAAACATTACTTAAAATTGCCTGGCTTAATCACCAAGATTTTAACTCTTTTCCAACTTGGGAAATGTCTCCATTTACTGGAGAAATAAATTGATGAAGTACAGAAACCCTGCAAGGGCACGTGAAGAAACGCTTTCCCAAGTTAAATAGGATCAAAGAGCAGATGAGACCCCATGTGTTGCTCTCTTCCAAAGTGGACCGCTGGGTCCAACTTTAATGGTGAAATGCTTTTCATCTTCCAGTCTAGCTGAGCACTCAAAGTAGACTTGGTAGAAATCTTTCCAAATTTTTGGTCTATATTTTTACTGAAAGATCAGTACTTGTGGCAGAATCAGACATTTGCAGTTACATCAAAGTGTCTTCTAATTTAATAAAAGTAAAGAGTAACAGTTTCATTTGGGATTTGAACTTGACTCAAATTATCCATGATTAAATTCTATATTTGTTGACTAGTTAAATAATGCAAATAATGTCATCCTACTCAGGTGCAATAATTGGTTTCATTGATTTTAAGCTAATATACTTTAAAAATCATGAAAAATCTCTAAAATTGCATATAATGTGTGCAAAGTTATATATTATATATAATTTTTATATATAAAATTGGTGCTTGGGCTAAAATTTGTGCTTCCTTGGGCTTTAAGTACCCACTCAATGATATTGGTGTGTACCTAAAACCACTAATACAATTTGATTAGTAACTTTTAAGGAAATGAAACTTCCATTTCATCTGAGGGGCATGGAATGGTAAGAGAATGAGACTGGGTCAAAATCTCAGCTCTTCCAGAGGACTTGGGTCTCTAGCTGGTGGATGCTGAAAGTTATTACAGGGGCATGAGGTGGCACGATAGGTTTTAATTTTGTAAAGATCCCTCTGGCTCTAGCATGAAGGTTCTGTTGGAAGAGGATAAAGGTAGAATCAGAGGGAAGGTGGGAGATGAACAAGTCAGGGTCCCAGTAGGAAAGATCCCATTGGCCAAACCCAACTAGGGGCCAAAGGGCAAAAGATGATACATGCTTGCCCCCTTGGCATAAGCACATAGCAAAGGTCTAGCAGATTTCTGCACAGAGGGCTGCAGATCTGGTCTTGATGACAGAGAGGAAGAGGGCTTCAACCGTGAGAGCAATAGTGAAGGCGGAGAGGAGTAAAAGAACTTGAGAGACATTTAGGGGGATGAACAGCCATGAGAGCGATTGCTGGACATGATTGTTATGAGTTCAGGGAGGGAGGTGTCAGATAACTCCCAAATTTCTGGCTTCCTTTGTGGATGAATGGGGACATCATTCATTGGGATTAGGAGCACCTGTTACATGCCAGGAACTTCCTCAACATTGTTTACATCATTCCCAGAACACAAAAATCTAGTAGATAGTATTTTCCCCATTTTGCACGGAGGGAAGCTGAGGTTTAGACAAATTAACTTACTGGCATCAAACAGCTAAAGAGTGCTGGAATTAACATTAAAACTCAGGTACAGTAGAACCCCAAATCAATGCTCTTAATCACCTTGATCCCTGGCCATCTTAGTACAGAAAATGCATGAGTAATATTTTAGTTAAGAACAAAATAAGGCTCTGTGAAAGCCTCAAGTTGAAAAATCCATTTGAACTTTTAAGGAAGTGGCTCAGCGTGAATGCAGTACCAACAGAAGATAGGGGTGGGGTGAGGGGAGTACTCCGCTTCAGGGACTGGCAAGCCTGGTGGAGGAAGTGGCTCAGAGTGAATGCAGTACAAGAGAAGATGGGTGTGGGGTGAGCAGACAACTCCAACTCAGGGGCTGGCAACCCTGCTGGAGGAAGTGGCTCAGAGTGAATGCTGTACCAAGAGAAGATGGGGGTGGGGTGAGCAGACAACTCCAACTCAGGGGCCGGCAACCCTGCTGGGTGCAGAAGTTGCTCTGCATGAACTGCCTTGCCACAGTCAGGTTCTGAGAACCCCCTTGCTCCCTTGTGAGAGTTTGGAATTAGACACTGGGAGGCCAGGCATCAGGACTTTCACCCATCATTGTAGTGAGCCATGGTCTTTCTAGAGTTTAGAGGTTATTCAGGTCCCTGTGACTGTTTTGGTTTAAGACCCTCATTGGCCCTGACTGCTCAGAGAAGAAAGTCCAAGTGAGCTTACCTGGCCTTGAAGCCACTTCAGGGCATCCTCCCATCCTCCCTTCCCAGTGTGAGTTCCCATCAGGCAACCCCAGCTTCCTCTGTGCACTGTGCACGTCCTGACACTCAGCCTCTGGCCCCTCAGTGACTGCTCTCCAGAATGCCTCTCCTTCCTTTCACACGTTCACATCCTACTGACAAAGCCACTCCTTGTTTCTTCCAGCCGAACTCCATTCTTCTTGACTCATGGAAAGTACTATCGTCTAGGACCAGTGGTGTGTGGCAGATGTTTGGCAACCAGCTCTCCAGAAGGAGTGGGAGTGGCTGGTGGAAAGACCAACTTGTAGCACTTGGCAATTTCCGCCCTCTCACCGTGGCCAATTGTAAGCTACCAACAGTTTAACAATGGGTTTAGAGTTCTGGCAATTTGAACAGCTGGCTCTCACCAAGCACCAGCACACTGCTCCTGAGACTCACCACAGAGATTTAGCTGGTGTGGGGTGTGGCCTGACTCAAGGGTTCTACAAAGTCCCCCAGGGTGGTTCTTGTGTACAGCGATGGTAAGAACGCTGACCACATAACAGTACTCAGTTGCATAGTGACATCTCTGGGAGCTTAAGACAGTTCCAATCTTACCCCACACTTCCGGGGATCCTGATTTAACTGGTCTAGGGGCCCAGGGCCATGGTATGCCTACTGCTTCCCAGGTGATGCTTAGGTATGCCCTAGGTCAACAGGCAACACCACTGCCATTCCCTGTACCTCTGTTATCCGTGCTTCTCTTCTATCGTGGTTGGCTACACACAGGTCTCATCTTCCAGTCAGGCTGTAAACACCCAAATCATGGGCCCTGAGGCTTTCAGAAATGAAATCATATCACAATAAAAGTTTATTTAGAAATGAGCCACATTGATGCACAAAACACTCATTTCACATCTGCTGAATGCCTGAAGGAGAGGAGCTTGCTGCCTGACTCTCCAGGGCTCTGGCCTCAGCCTCACACAGCCCTCATGGTGAGCTTGTAGAGGTCCCAGGAAAAACTGACACCTGCTCAGGAGCTCTCTGCAGAGCCCTCCTCCCTGTCCGTGTGCTTATCCTCTAATGGAGGGAACCCATCTCACACCTGCCTCCATCTGCAGCATTCACTGTCTCTGTCACCTGGTGAAGCTCAGGAGTCCAGGGCGGTCCTGCCTCCCATCTATGCAGCGAAGAGGATCATTCACACTGACTTTGCTGCACTTGGTATTAACCCCACACCTCGCCCCACTGCACCATCGAGCTGCTAAACGGCATCTCCAGGTAAGCTGCTGGGTCTTCAGCTCTCAGTCCCTCCTGAATGTGAATGGTTCATGCCCAGAGGAACCTGAGGTCACCTTCTATATGCAGGCAACTCAGGGGAACACAGTTCTAGCCTTTATGCATAGTTGGTTGGAGGTCCTGGGGAGTCAGGGTTGGAGAGTGTCTGGAGCAAGAACCAGGGATTGGCATTTGTTTTCCTGAGCACCTGGCATGACAGAAATAGGAAGCTGCCTAAGCTGTTTACATTCGATTCTTGGCCCTTTAATTGAGCAGCGTTGACTCTGAGCAGTAATGATTTGTTCTTTTATTTTATTTTATCTTATTTATTAACTGCTCTTCCCTTCACCACAGTGTGGGCATGTTTCCCTTCACAGTTTCACAGCCCCTTGAATCTGTTTAAAATTCACAGTGGAATTAGAGAGGTTTCAGGTGCCCTGGTCAGAAACTACATAGCTTTTTCCCAGGGGCATGGTTCAGAGGATCTGAATAGAAGGAACCAACTAACATTTACTGATCACCTACTCCATGCATGCTAAGCAGCATCTAGGGCTTAATTTAACTGGCACTACACTGTCATAACTTAAGTACAATTGTCCCCATTTAATTGAAAAGAAAACTGAGGCTCACAAAATTAGCAGACAAGCGTCTGAGTCAGATTTGCAGCCATGTTTCTCAGGCTTGTGGGGCCTCTTCACTGCACATCAATACTCGAAATGCTGCAGAAGGCCTGTGGACCTGGAGCAGCAGATTATGAATTTCCCAAAGTGTGTCCTCTGGGCACGCATCGACCAGCTTAAGCGTTGATTTCATAAACATGAGGATTCCAGGGCCCTAATCTGTCTTCATATTCAGTAAGTCTGGGGGGTTCAAGAATCTGTATTTTTAACAAGTAACCCCTCCTAACATTTTCCTAAACATGGAACATTGAAGCAAGTAGATTAGAGAATATTTGTGAGCAAAATCTTCACTGAAGCTTACTTCAGTGAAGTCATTGATTATATGAGATTGATTATATGAGATTTATTTCAGAACTTAAGCCAAATGATGCATCCTTTGAGCTATTCAAAGAATCATGTTTGCTTAGAATTCAATGAATACAATTTCAAACATTCAGTCAGGAGCCATGAGTGCAGTCCTGTGTCCTCTGCTATGAAATTCAATGAGTCTGGGAAAGCCCTCGTCTTCTCTGGATCCTACAGGAAAGGAGATGCTTGCTATAACCTTTGCAGCCCAGAGCTGCTTCCAACAATCGTCGAAGTGGAGGAGTGAGTTGCCCCTGACAATGAGGGAAGTTGCTACTTCAATGGCTTTTGTCCATCAACAGTTGTGGTTTGAAAATGTGCACCATCAAACACCCCTCACATGCTGGGATTCCCTTTGAACCAAGAATATCTTTTTGGTTTTGAGATCAAGAGGCTAAATCTAATGTCAGGAGAGTCTAGAGAATCCTGTTTAAAGGACAATGTCTTTAATCCATCTTGTGCTAATATAACAGAATACCTGAGACTGGGTAATTTACAAAGAAAATAAATTCATTTCCTCACAGTTCCGGTGGCTGAAAAGCTCAAGATCAAGTCGCTAGCATCTTCTGAGGGCCTTCTCACTGTGTCCTCATATGGTGGAAGGTAGAAGGACAAAGAGAAAGAGAGAGAGACAGAGAGAGGCTGAACTTGTTCTGTTATAAAGAACCTACCCTCAGGACAACAACATTCATGAGGGCAGAGTCCTCATGGCCTAATGACCTCTTAGAAGTCCCACCACTCAATCCTGCTACATTGGGGACTAAGTTTCAAACACAAACTTTTTGGGGAACACATTCAAACCATAGCAGACAAATTGAGCAATTCCATTTCCTAAAAGCATTTGTGGATTGTTAATAAAAAATTACTCTTTGCAGTGGAGAAGTCTCATAAAACCAGCTTGCACTCTAACATGAGCAAAAGCTCATTGAATTAGTTAACATGGAAGGCAGGCTAGAAACACATTGGTGTCTTACTGAGGAACAGAAACGTTGTGTGTGACAGGCCGGAGGGCCTTTCCTATGTCTGCAGCAGGTAGGGCAGGTCAGAGACAGAAATGCTTAGATTCAAAAGTGGACCAGGAAGGCTCAGGGATGCCCTGGCACTGGTGCATCATCAGGAAGAAGTGTGAGCTCTCCTTGGGGCAGTATTCCTGGGAATGTGGCTGGAGCAGAAATATGAGGTTGTAGGAAAAAGCCTGTGAGCCCCCAGGCCTGTATATGCTGTGCCCTATTCCCTCTGACCCATTCACTATGATTTGCTTTGCAGGGTCCCCTTCATCCCCTTCCACACAAGCCTTGTGCAGCGTGTCCATCGGAACTTTCCAAGTTCCTTCTGAGAACATTTTAGTAACCTCAAAAATTATTGGAAGATGAGAGCTCAGTTCCACCACAACCTCTCACAATGAAGTCAAGTTGCAAATGAAATTCTCCCTCACAGGCAAACATATTTGGGCGGTCAAGCATGAGATGCCCATGTGACCTGCATGCTGCCTTGCATGAACTCCTCCAAGGCAAAGATGGTGCAGTGCCCAATGGCAGCAGGCTTTGTGCAGCATTTCCAACCAATCCTGCTTCATCAAATAAACTATGATTTCTCACTTCCCTCGTATTGACTAATGATCCTTCCTGTGCACATAGACTGAGATGGGAAGCACTGAAAAGTGAGCTCCGTCTTCTCTGGGTCTTTCAGATGCAAACTAGCTACCTACAGAGAGTGCAATTGATTAAGGACTGCACAAGTGGATCTTGGACCACCAGTGTGCAGATTAAAACAGATGCACACACACACACTCACACACACACACACAAAACACACACATACACTGTATGCTGTTGTGCTCTGGAGTAAATCACACATGCTGCATTTCCAGACTGTCACTTGCATCATCGTACAAACAAGTTCTAGGGTCTCCCACTCCAAATACTGTTTCCATGTTCTCCCTTTCCATTCTCCCTTGAAACCACTGAAATCAGTCCTCCAATATTATGGCTTCTCTGAGACCGCTTTAAGACCATTGACGATTTCAATGTTGCTGAATCCATTAGACATAATTCCAGTCTCTGCCCAATCTTCTGCTGCATTCAGCTTCTCACCACCTCCTCCTACTAACATTCCATAAGGAAGCCTCTGGCATTGCTCGCCCTGGCCGCCTTCTTTCTCAGAGTCCTATTCAGAGCCTCCTTTTCTATAGTGCTATTAAAGTTTGCAGATCCTTACAGGGCCTGGTTTCTCCTCCAGGCACACTCTCTCTGGGAGAACCCGTTCATCCCTATAGCATTAACAAAGATTTCTGTCCTAATAACTTCCATCCTACCCCCAATATTTTGGATATTGTGATGGTAGTCACTGCATGTACGTCTCTTCCATATCCTCAGCCCATTCCTCAATGGCCTTAGGCCTTTGAAGTCCCCAGATAATATAAAGGAGAGACATCAACTGACACCATGACATAGAAGATAAGGCTGCATTCGGCATTGTTTCCTTGGGGATGAGACAGAACAGTAGAACTCTGGCTCAAGACCAGCTCACAGAAATCAGAAATGACCTTCTATCAGCACCAATGTCACCAACTCCCCACCTTCCTTCCTCCTCTCCCTAACACCAGCCCAGCAGAAAAGTCCCCTGAGGGGAGGTCCCCTGTCTAACTTGCTCTGTGAACTACATGCTGTCTAATATTCAGCATGAGTTTCTCATATGTTTGCTTTGGGTTTTGGAGATCCCACATTATTTACATTTTTACGTCTGAAGACCTGGCTTTCCTTGTTACTGTTGAGAGAAAAACAAGCCAGTTCTATACCAATTTAGTTGAGGCAACAGCAAGAGTCGTAAGATCAACAGAAAGGTCCCAACCAAAGATATCGCTGCCAAGTGACAGTTTGGGCACTGCACCCAACTGAGCCATGTCCGATTTTGTTACTTGATATACTGTTTGAATTTGGGCAAGTTGGTGGGTCTCACTGAGGCTTAAATTGTGGCGAGTAACAGGGCTCGTTTTGGGACCTTTTGCTACCATGGGATGTTGTAAGGCTGAAGTTAAACAATATGTGAAAGTATTTAGCAGAATGCCTGGAATGAAGTAGAAGTACCTGCCTAATAATCCTCAAGTCTTGTGGGTGAAAAAGGAAGTGACTGGTGGATTCACAAGTGCCCTGCTCTGTTTTCCTGAATATAGTGACCCTGAGTCTTTGTGGGCTCAACCCCTGCAGGACCCTCCCTATCAATACTCCTTGGCAGGGTGAACAAAGCAGTGTTGTCTAAAAAGCGGGGGAGGAGGGCGCCTGGTGGGCTGGAGAGCGAGGGCCTGGTTGATGCACCAGTGTAAATGGAGAGCCTGAGCAATAGTTAGAGTAGAGTAGACAGAACAATGCTAACCTTGGATTCCACCAGCTAAGTACTCGTCTCTTGGGGTGATATTGATTCAACTTCCCACATGCTGTAGATAAGGAAGAATGCCCTCTGAGAGTCAGTGAATAAACTAGCACAAAATGGATGGCATTGGGTCAGGTGCCATGGTGCACTCCTGTAATCCTAACATTTTAGGAGGTCAAGGTGGGAGGATTGCTTGAGGCCAAAAGTGTGAGACCAGCCTGGGCAACATAATGCGACCCCTATGAAGGAAGAAATGATGACTGGTGCTGTGGAAAGAGAGCTCTATTAAAAAAAAAAAAACATGACATCGGAAAGACTTATGCGACATCATCTGAAGAGATGACAATATAGACTGACCCCAAGTCAAGGAAAAATTTGACTTAGGGTTTTAATATAGCTTTAAATAAGATGTGTTAATCAGTTAAGAGACAGAAGTGTTGGTCAGAAGACAGTGTGTAAATATCATATCAAGTGTCATTGAAGCAAATGTTGAAAGCATCCATCTATGAACTGCCCAGGATCTGGATGGGAGATCTCTAGCTATTGATGCTGCTTGAATGATCCAACGCTTTCTTCTGATTTCATGCCCTCCAGAGCAGGCTTTGTGATCAAAATGACGATTTTGATCCTTTTTGTGCATACAAAAGTCATTTGCTAAAGATGTCAGGGTGAGCTGTCTGGTCAACCTGAGGATTATAGTTTTTGCTATAGGTTCCTCAATGGCCTCCTTGTTTATACATCTGGATCTTGTGAGCTCTGCAACTGTGCATCTGTACCTGAGTGGCAGGTTTACACTCTGAGCGTTGATAAGATTAGATCCTTGAGCCTATAAAGCTGTTGAACACAGGCACAGTGAAATGTCATTTGACAGGCTTTTTGGCAGTCTGCCCAGCTGGGAAAAACAGATTGGCCCCACTTTCATTCAAATCACAGGTCAGGATAGAGGCTGCTCACAGATGCTCAAACAATGCTGGGAGCCATCATCAAAAATCCACAACGAATGATTCTCACTTTGCTTTGTCCTACAGAGTGCAGATCCTTCATTCCTGCACATTAATGAGACTGACATACACAGTCCATCTTGTCCCAGGCCTACTGGAATGCCACAGCATCTGCAAGCAAACAACAAAATAATCTTGGTTAAGAAAAACAAGTATGAAGCTCTCCATCTATAAATCACACGGAGACCTGGCAGGGTAGAGTATACCAGAACCGAAACTGGAAACATAAATTGTTTTTTTGGAGGCAGCGTGGAGCTATTACTGCCTGCCAGCATCCAGTGCTGTCAGATACAAATTTATCGCAGCACCGCACAGCCACTGCGTCACCCAGATGCTTGAGCCAGCACGTGGGCCACCACTGTGGCTCTGCAGACTGCCTCCTCTAGCCCCAGCCAGTGGGTTTGTAGGATCTCAGAGTGGGGACCAGGTTTATTCATTAGGGGGGGTGTCAGTGGGTTCTGTCTCCAGTGGAGATGGAGTGGGCAGCCAATGTGGACAACAGGGAGATTGGGAATAAAGATGGACCCAATTATTTTTAAGAAAAACTCTCAGGCAGGTGACTGAAAATATTTTTAAAAGAAGGTGCAGAGGATGACATACTGTGTGATTCTTTGCTCAACCAGACGCTTGTCTTGGTAAGCCATACGCTCAGAAAATCCCGATAATCTGCAGAAGTTTGAAACAGCTTAGGGAAAGCAGGCAATCAGCCCCCGTGAAAATCAGAAGCAGGGAACAGCTGAAACAGAAGTCATGACCCAGCATGGAGCCTCTGCTTCTTCATTTTCCAGGCACTGGGAACCACCTGGCAGCTTTGGTTTCTATCTCATGGGGCTTGGCAATCTTTTGAGGTGCTTTACTTCCAGAATTTCCTCCTAAACGTATGCTCCTCCTTCCACCCATTCAAACATGCAGTGCATCAGAGGATGAAGGTGGGGGTAGAAAGAACAAAGCTTAAGAGATTTCCTGGCTTTCGTGTCTACACCCTGAGCTCCTGGAAGATTTCACAAGAAATGTGAAAGAGGGAGATGGACAGAAATTTTGTGGCAGAAGCCAAGGGTCCTGGGAGAAACAAGGGTGCAAGGAACTTCTCTGATACTAGAGACAGAGAGGAGATTTTCCTAGGCTGATAGGGGAGTGAGAGCTGTCCAGGAGTCAAGGGAGGTCTCTCCAACTTAGAGCAGTGGAGAAGATTGCTGGATTCTCTGTAGCAAGCTAGGAGGTAGCTTGGCCCCAGAAAGATGCATCTGGGACATGAGGTACCTCACAGATTCTCTCACTCTGCTGTGGCCATGGACATAAATCTATCCCAAAGGCAGGGGCAGCGGCCTTCCGTGGAAGCCTGAGCAGGTGGATAAGGATGCCTGAGTTTCTCACCCCACACACCTCTTCCTGCTACTTTGTAGCTCAAGAGCTTGGAAACACGATGAATTCCCATTGGTAACACTCTAAGACTTAATGAGATGTGTTTCCAGCTAAATCAGTGAGATGGGATCTAAAGTCCAAATTGAATTGGAAGTTGCAGATAGAGAGCTACCCTTACCTGAAGTACCCAAGATTCCATGTTTCTTAGGTCAAGAAGAGAGCACCTCTTTCTCACTTCTTTCACTGCCAGATGGAGAGGAATTAATGCAAGGGACCTGACGTGAGTGGCCCCCCAGGGCTACAGCCTAATGCACAGTGGGCTTCTTCCCATAGAAAGTTAGGTGTGATGGTAGCAGGAAGCTGGAAAGGTTTAGGGAACAATACAGAGTTCGCCCAGTTGGTTTAAATGAAGAGACTTTAGTGAAAGGACCATTTAGAGGTAAGGAACAGCGTTATGGAAGAAAATCAGGTGTGGTTAAGCACCTGCAGCCAGCAGCGACAGGAGGTTATGTTACTGTCCTTAAGGCCTCGTGAACAGAAAGTGAGAGAAGTTTACTGTAGCCTGGTGAGCTGTGAGCTGTGGAAAAGGTCATCCAGTGGGAGCTGCATGTGCAGATGACACAGTCACCATCAGGACAAGGTACTGGGACGGGGAAGTATTCAGGAAGAAACACCTGGTTTCTCTCTACTCTTGCTCTCCAGTGCTCTTCTGGTGCCTATTGGTCAGACCTAACCAGAAACCTGCAAGTCTGGAGTTAGCCTCGTGGTCTGCATGTATCCTCCTCGAGCACACAGCGTGGCAGAAAAAGTTGTAGAATGAATCTGGGGCAGAAAACAAAGAATGATGAAGGCTGATGCCAAGGTCTAAGTCAGGTGCATGGTCCAAGCTTACACCTTCAATTTCTTTTGGGCATACACCTACCAGTGGGATTGCTGGATCATATGGTGGCTCTATTTGCAGTTTTTTGAGGAGTCTCCAAACTGTCCTCCATAGTGATTGTACTAATTTACATTCCCACCAATAGCGTACAAGGGTTCACTTTTCTTCACATCCTCATCAGCATTTGTTATTGCCTGTCTTTTGGATAGAGGCCATTTTAACTGGAGGGAGATAATACCTCATTGTAGTTTTGATTTGCATTTCTCTGTTTATCAATGATGTTGAGTGCCTTCTCAAATGCCTGTTTGCCATTTGTATGTCTTCTCCTGAGAAATATATATTCAGATATTTTGCCATTTTATGATCAGATTATTAGGTTTTTTCCTGTGGAGTTGTTTGAGCTCCTTCTATATTCTGGTTATTAATACCTTGTCAGATGGGTGGTCTGCAAAATTTTTTCTCCTATTCTGTGGGTTGTCTCTTCACTTTGTTGACTGCTTCCTTTGCTGTGCAGAAGCTTTGTAACTTGATGTGATCCCATTTGTCCATGTTTGCTTTGGTTGCCTGTGCTCAATGAATAGTTCAAGTCCTGGAACCAAAATGATGTTCCCTGGAGCAGGAGGGCAAATGAATAAGAAGGACATCTGGAGAAATTTCAGGATGGGTTTGGAAGCTGTAATCTTAAATTGGGCTTGGAGGATGTCATTTTATTTGCAGCAGGTCAGTGCATCCTCAGGGGACCGAGGGGAGCTGGAGCCACACAGTCTCTATGTGTTGTTTCACCAGAGCTGCATGGAAGCCTGCCCAGCAGCCACTCCCAGGGCATGGATTCCACAGCCCGGCAGCCTTGTCTTTGCCTTCTGCTGAGCTGCGGCTTGTCTCCAGCATCCCACAGCCCAGCTTTTCTGATGAGTGGGAATGTTGGGATGAATCCCCAGAAAGTCTTTATCATACATGTTAATGTCTGGACCAAAAGCTACTTTAGCCAAAACAATGAGTCACCTCTAAAGCACTTAACATTCAGTTCACTTTCATCACCCGTAAAATGGAAGTTAAACTCAGGTCAAGATATCAAGAGGGAATGAGAGAGAATGTATAATTTGGGGGCAGAAAATAGGCTAAGAATATGCTGGCAAAAGAAAAATAGCAGAGAGTTTGGCAAGAGGCAAGAAGGGAAGTAACTGAGTCCAGGAGAATGGTGTTGGACAGAGGGAGAGGTCCAGGGAGAGGCGGGGAGGTAAGGAGAGGCTGTAAAACTCAGAGAGGCTTCTGAGAAAGGAGAAGTGACAGACCTTGAAGTGAGATTACACGCTGTGAAGAAAAGAAGGGGAGGAAGGTGGTGGAAAGACAGCTAGAAAGTGGGGTGGGAAATGGTTAAGAGAGAGACAGAACCATAATTAGGAGAGAAATTCGTGACACAATATTCCTATAAAACAGATATTTGGCATAGGTTCCTCTGGAAAATGTGACTAATTGTAGCTCACATATATTAAGTTAAAATTCATTTATTTACAAATGCTATAATTTGAGGCTGAATATAATTTCTTTATAAAAGTCAAGCAGTAAAGAGTTGAACTCTCAAGGAAATAATTAGGACAATAATAATAATTTAAAAAGTCAGGCACCAAAATTAACCCAGAATTAGAATAATAATGTGGGATCAGATGGCACCAGAGTTGGGATGGGACTCCAGTCTCATCATTTAGCTGTCTGCCTGTGAGCAGCTGGCGGCACATGGAGCTCAGAGCTCAGGGCAACTGGGGGTAATCTGCAAACACAGGACTGCTTGTGCGATGGGGAGGTCTGCATAGGGGCCTTGCTGCTGGGCCGGGGAGTTGTCAGTTCAAATGCACATGCACACACACATACACACACACACATATACACACAAATATACTACACACACATAGATATATATACCCACAAATATACATGCTATATATATATATATATACATACACGCACACCCACACATATACACACACATTTCTATACACACAAATATACACACATATATACACACACATATACACACACAAATATATATGTACAAATATAAACACTGTATATATACACACACCCACATATATGCACACAAATATATATACACAAATATACACACAAATACACACACTATACATACACACACACATATACACACACCCACACATATGTACACACAAATATATGCCCATACATATACACACACTATATATACACTCATATATACACACCCACACATATATACACACAAATATATATATACACTTTACATACACACAAGTTATATATTCAAATATACACACACATATTTACACACACTAATATATATGTACAAACAAATATACTCACTATATATACACACACATACCCCCACATATAACACACAAATATATATACACACAAATATATGCACACACATATATACATATGCATACATATACACACACAAATACATTTATATACACACACAAGTATATATGTCCACACAAATATACACACTATATATATATACACACATCCACACATATATATACACACAAATATATGCACACATACACACATAACACATTTATATACACAGAATATATTAGTCTGTTTTCACACTGCTGATAAGGACATACCTGCGACTGGGAAGAAAAAGAGGTTTAATTAGACTTATAGTTCCACATGGCTGCGGAGGCCTCAGAATTATGGTGGGAGGTGAAAGGCATTTCTTACATGGCAGCAACAAGAGAAAAATGAGGAAGAAGCAAAAGCAGAAACCCCTGATAAACCCATCAGATCTCATGAGACTTATTCACTATCACGAGAATAGCACAAGAAAGACCAGCACCCATGATTCAATTACCTCCCATTGCATCCCTCCCACAACATATGGGAATTCTGGGAGATACAATTCAAGTTGAGATTTTAATGGGGACACAGCCAAACCATATCACACACGAATATAGATATACTCAGAAATATATTATACACACACATATATATACACACACAAGTATACACACAATATATATACACTCACACATATATACACACACCCACACATATATACATACACAAACATATATATACACACATATATATGCACATTTATATACACACACATATATGCACATTCAAATATATGCACACACATATACACATTTATATACACACAAATATATATACAGATATACACACATTTATTTACACAGAAATATATACATACACAAATATACACACATATATTATACACACTTTTATATACACGCAAATATATACATGCAAATATATATATACACAAACATATATGTGAAATATATATATGTATTTGACAGATGTTTAATGTCCAAATTATGGACAAAAATTATTAACATATAGACAGACCACTGAACATAAAATTGGGCAGAAGCCTTGAAGAAGTCCTTCCTAAAAGACCATCCGAGTGGCCGATTAGCATGTGAAGAGGTACACTGCCACACTGACCAACAAGGAAATGCAAATATGCACACATATGTATGAGATGTAAATATATTTGTAGATATAATATATACATGCATACACATTTACATTTTCCTGATGACCACGATGGTAATTATTTCAACCAACTGTTGAAAAGGATGTGAAGCAAATTCTGCTACACTCCTAATGTAAATTTAAATTTGTGAAACCACTTGGAAGTATGCTTGAGAATGTCTGTGGAAACAGAACACACACATAGTCTATGACTCAGCAGTTCCATTCCAGAAATATGTACATGTTTTCACCAGAGACATGTACAAGGATGTTTATAGTGGCATTTTTATAATAACAAGAAATTGGAAACAACTCAAATGGCTATCAATAAGAGAATGGATACAACTGTCATATTTTTACAGGGAAATACTACATAACACTAACAAAACACATTACTGCCAAATGTCACAATATGAATCAATGTGACAGAGAAAAAATTAATGAAAAGGAGCAGGCACAAAAAGTGTGTTGTGTATGATTCCATTTGTATGAAGCCAAAGAGGTACAAAATGAACCTCTGAGGAGAGAACCCAGGGTAGTGGCTACACTTGGAAAGGGGGGTGATTGGTCAGAGGGGCATTGGGGGAGGGCTGTGGGATGTTGGAAATGTTCCACATCTTCATCTGGGTAAGATTATACCACTTAGAACTTTATCCAGCTGCGTGCATTTTGCTTCCTCTTTTTATGATACAATGTGATGCAAAAGTTTACTTAAAAATAAAACAAAAGAATTGATGGATTTACTTTTATGCAAAATATTCTGATTAGGTTATGTGCTTTTGTCAAAAATCCCACAGAAATGCTGTGGTGGCCCTCCCAGTTCATGTCTGGATGGATGTAGATATGCCAACGCCATGTTAATGCCCTGTGTTCACCTGGATCCCTTGATTCAGAGGTGCCTTCCAGGTTTTTTCCCTGTAAAGATATTATTTTCTCCGTTGTAATTAATATACATCTTCTGGAGTGATACACTGAGAATATGCAAATATCCTGTTTCTCATTATATTTTTTCCCATTTAGATTCAAATATGTTTCTGTATTTTAAAAAATCATAGCATCTATATTACCAATTTATGATCATAAAGACATAACCATTTCTACAAGTCTGAGTTGAGTTGACATAATTCTAGCAAAAAAGCTACAAAACCAGGCATCTTGGGTAGTCTACAATGTATGATGGTGGTGAATGCGTTGTGTATTTAAATAACTTTCAGTATCTTCACTCCATTTGAGGGCACCCAGAATCTCCAGGTGGAAAAGTCCTGAGTGTATCCCATTTTTCTTTTCTAATTCAATTCTAAGTGAAAAAAAAAAAAACTGTTAAGGCACGTGGGTAAACAATTCCAGACTTTTTAAAATCATGCTTGCATCATAGACCCTGTTTTCCAAGCACAGAGTCTGAATACATCTCACTTTGCTTCAACTGTTGACCCAGAACGTTCCTGACCTGTGACTTCCCTTCACCTGTACCCAGCTCTAGCATGGGCAACAAAAATGATTAAATTTGTATGCATTCGGAAATTTTTAAAACAATGATGACTGGAAAATAAAAATAATGGTAACTATCATCTATATTCCAAATAAATTAAGGTGTCTTAAGAATGCCTCTGTCCTGTGCTTTACCCCTAGCATTATGCTGTGTCAGATCTTCCCTTCTAAGATTGGAAAAATGGGTACAAATGAAGCGATAATTACAATAAATATAATTTGACCAAACTCACCCGTGAAAATGACAACAATTTTCAAATTAGACAATAAAGTGTAATTTTGGTTTGCAAGTAGCACACCCAGAACACAATTTTGGAAAGAAAATTGAAAGCAAGAAAATAGGATAAGTCATAGCAAGCTATTACTAACCAAGAATAACTGGAATAACTACCTCAAAACCAGATGGAACACACTTTTAAAGGTAGAGAGGGCCAAAACCTAATGACAAATAATTTAATTCATCAGAAAGGCTTAATAATTGTAAATATGTATATGCTTAATAAAGTAGCCTTAAGAAGTATAAAAACATTGTAGAACTTCAAGGATAAATCCACCATTATTCTGTGAGATTTTGATGAATCTCTTTACGTTAATTCTAGGTCAAGCAGACAACCTAATTAGCAAGAATATAGAACGTGAACAACAGCATTAGCAACCTTGACCTACCGTCCCTGACCTAGGTAAAATTTCACTTTTCCTTTCAATTCTTTCATGTCTTTATGATGTAGATCTTTTTTCATGAATACAGAGGCAAAAATTCAAAGCATAATATCAGCAAATCGGGCCTAACGGTTTATGAAGAAGAAATTGAGTTTAACCTAGGTATGAAAGGAAGATTTAATGTTAGAAAACTTGTACAAAGTAATTTAGCATGCTAAAAGTTATTTTTAAAATGATCATTTCAATATTTATTCACAATAAGAAGCTCTTAAAAGTGGAAATAGAATGTAAAATTTCAATCTAATAAGTATCTATTAGAAGAAAAAACTAAAGTGAACATTATCATTCTAAATGGGGGAATGTGGAATGTGAAAGGAATACACTTGCACATTAGGACCAAGATAAGGATGCCCATGTATAAGAATTACAAAAAAGCACTGTTGACTGGAGCAGGAGCCAGGAGGCTGGAAAATTCCCACTCTCAGGAGAGCTGTTGAGTAGACTGTGGGGTGTTCACACATTGGGATGTCAATATGGATGAGCTTCAGTGGTACACAGCAGCACAGACACGTCTTACCATGCAACACTGAGGAAAACATAGTCATTGCTCTAGATACAGATGCATGGGTCTTTGGGAAGAAACAGGTAAATGCTAGCAAAGAAGAGATGCTTCCAGAATGGCAGCATAACCAGTCCCATGGAACTGCTTCCCTGTGAAACAACCACAGCTAGTAAAGACCATCTAATAGTTTACTATTCAAAGTCTCTGGAGATTGTCCCAAGGGCATACAGCCAAGACTCCTTTATTCAGGAAAATCTTCTAAAATGAGATAAGAACAGTGAGTCTGTGGCGCTTGAGATATTACTGGTTCCTCTTATTCAGCCCCTCACCTCTGGAGGGAGAGGACCTCCATTCTAGGGGTGCAGCCCAAGCTCTGGCTTCTGAGATTTATCTCAGAAGTTTGTTGTGTGTGTTCACCATTCATTCCTTTTTATTGCTGAGTTGTATTCTGTTGTATGTTCATGATTTCAGTCCTAATATTTTATTCAACATATCTTAACTGAATACAGAACACTGATTGGATGTGAAACTGTCTGCACAGGGTTAACAAGAGTTCTGGACAGCAATAGAGTTAGAATCACGCACTAATCAGGCTGTACTTTGACCCAATTCCTTGCAACCAAAAGTCAGGCAGCATTAGACTCTGACCATCTGTATCCCCATTGTTCCTGTAGGTAGAGTCTCTGCTGCTAGAATCATGAGGCTTTTGTTTAAGAAATGCATGAAATGTTTTTCAGATCCTGAATTCCAGTTGACACCAAGCAGTTTGAAGACCCCTACAAAGGAATGGGATCAGCATGAGAATACAGTTTTTTTTCCTCTGTCCCATAACCCTGCACTCTTAACCAATCAACCGTCTCCACACTTTGGCTCCATCTAAAACCCTTAAAATCCTTAGCCCCAGACTCTTCAGGGAGACGGATTTGATGTTTCCTCCCATCTCCTCATTCGGCAGCCCTGTAATTAAACCTCTTTCTCTGCTGCAGCCTGGTGTCTCAGCATATTGACTTCCCTTGTGCATTGGGCAATGGCCCTATTCCACTTACAGAAGTTTTAGATGAGAAGCCTTTTCAGAGCCACAGGCACTCCATGCCAGTTGGTCTTGGCCCCAGGGGTTAGTGGAGCATGTTCCTTGGAGAACAGCAGTTGGTTTCCAGCATGGCTCTCCCAGCTGCCACTGTGAAGCAGAATGTCGACTCTGATTTTCATTAGATCAAAGTACACCTGAATGTTTTCCACATGGAAAATGTGATGTGCTGTGGAGATGTGACAATCATCTTCCCTGCAGGGCAAGATGATCCTTCTAGAAGGGCATCTGTTTGTGTAAGCGAAGCTGGGATGTGCAAGTGGCCTTCTGCGGCCTGTCATACGTTGGCCTCTGGTAACTTCTGTTTTAAATACAAGTGATTAAGGAGACTCTGTAGAAGTAGAACTAATGCAATGTTACACCAACTGAAAGTGTATTTTTACTCTGTGTGATTGAATCATTACAGGCTTTCCCCTGTAGTGATTACAGCAGCGTCTTGAAAGCCAGACTCCCAGCAGCACTGCTGCAGGACCACGGACTCGTGAGAAACGTTTTCAGTGGTGTCTATCTTTTGGCTTTGTTCTCTAGTTAGGATTCATCACTTTATGTTCCATTGTGAAAATGAAGACATATATCAGCTCTGAGAGTTATTCACAAACTCCAAACATGTTTGCCTACAATGTTCCACTGCTTTGAGGCTAGAGAGAAGAATGCTGTTGAAATCCCTAAATCCCAGCATGTCTTGAGGGACACCATAGAAAGATGACTCCATATTCCAGACAACACCTCCGTCCGCGTCAGCCACTCAGGATCATCTGGGATTCCAACTGTCAGAAACACTAATTTCAGAGTGAAAAACCATAAAGTAAAAGAAAAACCCATACCCACAGGGTCACTAATGACAAAGTGGCTGAGTGCCAACAGCGTAAACAACATTTAACTTAGTTAAATTAGGTAAAGTTTAGCTGAGTCTTAACTACTTAAGATTAATTACTGCATAAGAAAAATAAAAGTATCCTAAATTGTACAGCTCAGATATAAGGAATTTGACAGACATCTCCTAAAACTTGGCAACAAGATTAAAATGTATATGACATTGCCAATTATCAGTTATAAAGCTAAAAGAAACACTTAAAACCAATTAATAAGACAAAAACTTTTCATCAACTGTGTCAAGAAAACAGCAAACTCATCTTTCCATTTTCTCTGTGGAGAAGGATGCTGTGAAGTCATTGACGGTGGAGAGGGCCCCAGCGGGCAGGCATTAAGGAAGTACGTTAGAATGGCTGTCGGGCAGCTGGTTCATAGAAATGTGGCATTTTCCCAGAATTTGTGATGTTTGTAGCATCTGCTGGCTTTTAAAATGTATGAGCTGTGATTTCTCTTCTCACTCTAAACAGATAGTCTTTTTCTTAAGAGGATACCCATATTGGAGAAACTTCAAGTCCCATAAATCTGGGTCTATCTGTAGTTTTCAGCTTGTTATTTTGCTAAGCAATAACATTAGAAACTAAATCAGACTCAACCAAAGTGACCTACCAGCTATCTGCATTTTCAGTTCATAAAACAATAATATTTTAACATGAAAATAGGAAAAACAGTTGTTACTGAGATAAAAGGGCACCTTAACAAAAGATGTATGAAAGCACAAACATGCTGCCCTTGTTTCCCCCTTGCTTTTCTGGGGAACCTGAAACAGAGATGATGTGTCCACCGTCTGGCCAAAGCCACCTGGCCCCCAAGCATCCATTGCCCATGAGGCAGAAGGTGGGCCCTGACATCACTGCCTGCCATCCAGATGATCTATCCATGGCCTCCCAGCTGCACACCCAGCACCCGACAGGCCTCAAGGCCAGACCTACAAGGCCTGAGCACCTCCCCTCCTCAGGACTGTCTGCACGTCCCTCCCTGTTAGAGTGACCCAACTGTGAGGCTCTGCTGCTGCCCAACATGGGGATTTTAACCCAGAGGGCAACAGCTCTCCTGTTCTGGCAGGTGCTTCAGTGATCAAAGAGGGCCCCTGCTTATCTCCAGGAGTCTCAGGGCATGGAACTGGGCTCTGCCTCTAACCCCATTTCACTTTAGCCAACAGCCTCATTCATCATCAGCCTCCCTGCAGGGCCTCAAGCACCAAGATGAGGGCCATGGATTACTTTAAACACTTGAGTCAGGCAATAAGATCTAAGTGGACCTGTGCTCCCGTTCCCACCCCTGCCAAAGGAGTGAGTAACTGAACTCAATAACTTGGCTTGGCCTGGGCTCTGTTCCCAGTGAGCGGCCAACATTGAACCAGAATCCATGCTCCAGAGGATGCTCCCAGCATAGAACCAGAATCCTCCCTTCAGAGGAGGCTCCCGGGGCTTTGCTACTAGTACAAAAGATGGTAGGAAGAAGCTCTCACTGGTGAACTTGGTCGTTCAAGACAGCTGGCCCTACAGTCTGCTGGAGACCCTCACCTGCCTTTGTGTGAACATGGCCTGCAAGCCTGGGACCTGGAACTGCACAGATGATCCCGGACTGCCCTGGGCCAGCTGCTGGGTGGGGGATTCTTGGCCCCCCGGTCTCCTGTAGATGATGTGCCATACCCTCCTGCTGGGCTCTGGCTGTGTTTGTCTCAGGTGAACTTTTCATCCAGGATATTTTCTGAGCACTGGAAAAACTGGAAGCTGAGACTCCCAAGGTCTGCTTACTAATAAAGGCTGTGAGCCTGACTTTCAGCAGTTCCCAATACTTACCCAAAATAATCAAATTGGGTAAGACATCGTCCACTTCACAATGAAATCTTGCTTGTGGAGGTTTCCTCTGAGAGAATGGGGACAGCCACCAGGGATTCCCTCCATTGTGGGAGGCCCAGGGCTCCTGGCGGCTGTGCTCCACCCACCGGGGGATGACCCTTGGACCTTCGTGTTGCACATGTGCTCTAGCATGCTGGGACACAGCTGTGTTGTTCACATCTGTGTGCTGCCCACCTGGCTGGACCAGCTGGCATCCAAGGCTGCTCTCCACAGCCTGTTTCAACCCAGCGGCAGGTACAGCCTTAGCCTCTGTTGTTCTAATTGCTGTGACTAAAGCACCAAACTTCTCGGATTAATCCAGAACTGTGCCCCCTGGGTGGCAGGGTGCCCTTGCTGAGCCTAGTTACCAAGAGAGGGTGTGGACTGGACAAAACATCTTCTGGAATGCACTGGGTCTAGCCCTGTGTCATGGCATTCACATTTAATGGATAAATTTAAAATAGCAATAATAGTAATGATTAGCTGTGATTTCTTGAAAGCTTTATGGACCCTGATTTTTGCAGTTCTCGAGGTGTTTTGAGGACCTCAGGGGGTCCCTGAAACCCTTTCAGGTGTCCACAAGGTCCTCCCTTTCCCACCCACATGTCAGTGGAGGCTGGGTTTTGTGCACAGACTGTGTTCAAAGCAACACGTTGCAACAGATTGAGTAAAAAAGTGGATACGAGATTCCAGCTTCTTTTATTAAGGTAGACATTCAGTGAAGAGGTTTGCAGAAATGTAAAGCCAACATCACTCTTCTCACTTTTTTGAACTTTGGAAAATAGTTATTTTTAATAAAAATATGGTATTTATGTTAGCAGGTGGTGGGTTTGTTATTATTGTTTCAAGGTGGATTAATACATATTTACAACAGGTATTAGTTTTCATTGTGAATTTTGATCAATATAAAGCCCTTGGGGGATCCCAGTGATTTTGAAGGGTGCAAAGTGTCCTGACCTGGGCCTGTCTGTGAACCACTTCCCTATCTGTAGAGTTGTTATGAGGTATTATTATTGATTTCTATTTCTGTATATTATTTACCAATGAAATGGCTATTACAACATTGAACAGAAGAGGGAACTGAGGCACAGACAGCAGAACAAATGCTCAAAGTCATTCGCTGCAAGTGATGGGGCTGAGATTCCAACCACAGCTGTCCTGCTCCAAAGGTGACACAGAGTCACTATTTTATAATTGGAGAAATCTCGCAGATCTGTGTAGCTTTTAACCTAGACATGTTGAATTATCTCCATACTGCAGATGTGACGTTTCAACACATGCACTCAGTAAATAATATAAAACTGAGCTCTAATTAAAGAGCACAACTTCAATTATTCTGGAAACTTAAGCATATTCTAGGTGGTATTTTTATATTACACACTTCAATTGGTTGATTTTAAAAGATTTATAATCAGGGCTGAATGATGAAGGATTAGGGATGTGAACTGAGGGCGAGAGATTAGATTTGTGCCTTACCAAATGAAATATGAAATTGAAAAGTTATTTAAGAATGTGGAACCTCTACTGAATAGAATAACATAGAATAACAAAGTCAATACTCAGTGGGAATACCAAGTTTTTGCTTCAAAACTGTGAAGGGATGAGAAGCAAGGCTCACAGTGAAATATCTGCATTTCATCACACTACATTTCGTCAGCATATCAGATGCTCGAAGAGTAAATGAAGGTGCCCTCATATAGGATTTGATTAAATAGGACCTCGTTCACAGGCCTGCTGTGAGTACTACATGCACTCATATTTGTGAATTCCTCCACGCATGGCCCTGGTGGTCCCACACCAAGTAATGCAAATGCATTTGCATGAACATGCATAGCTCATACAAACAAGAGTTTTGATGTATTTGCTCTATTAATTAACCTTTAATTGAGGTTTCCGGTGAGGCAAAAGAGCAACCACTTAACTGTCCAATGGGCTGGCAGAGAAGATGCAAAATTAAAGTGAGATTACTAAAACCAGCATCCTGGAGGTCATGATCAGTGATTAAAAGGAAACTTCAGTGACTCAGAAAGGAAATCTGTTCACCAAGAGTGAGACAGGGGCTGGGTGGTCTATGCAGTGCTGGGGGCCACCCTTGGATGAAACAAACCTGGTCATGGCTTCTGCTCTCCTGGAATCCGGCACCTGATGAAGGTCTCCAAAGGACGATGAGCTCTGGGAGAGGAAAGTGGTGGTGTTAGCACAGGGTCATCCTGCATTCAAGGAAGATTCTTGTCTTTTTGTAACCACATGAAGTGCACATCCACTGAAGGATGAGGCACCACCAGCAGCACGGTCATCATGCTTGGACTACAAGTGCTGTGTTACCACCGCAAGGAAAGTTAGATGGGAAGTGGAGCCTTGTCAGATATCCTTGGCTCCCTCTCAATCTCTGGTTTGCTTCCTCTGATTGGCCTTACCCTCCCTCTCCTGGGGGCAGCCTGTGGATAGAGAGGGTGTTGGCCCTTCTGGGGATCCCAGCAGGTTTCCATTCCCCTCTCTCTTGCAATCCACACTTTGTTTTCCATACTCACCAGGAAGGAGCTTCTACTTACGACTCAGGCTGCTGGATCATGTCTCGTGCTCTCCCTGCCTATGGCTCATCTAAGCTCTAGCTCCTGATACACAAGGACAGCTTCTGGGTTTTAGAAATCCTTTTCTCTCTCCTTACTTTTGCCTTTAATTCTATGGTCTCAATATACAAAGACTTCAAAAAATCCAATTTCACAGCCAAAACTGATTAATGATTCCACTGTTTTGACTGGTATCTATCTTTATATTGAAGAAATGAAACTCTTCCATGGTGTAGTGGGGGTTACACAATGCATTAGAAAAGAAAACCGATGAGAGATATACAGGTGTTAAAAGTTTCATTAATAGTGTATCCTTTGCATTAACATAAAAACGAAAGTGGCAGAAAATGAAGTAGTAACAAAAACTCAAAGAGATGGAAGATCATGTAAAAACAGGTTAAATATGAGGGAAAAACTAGGACAAACAGAACTATAGGAATAACTTAGAAAATTTTGCCGAAAAAATGTGATGATAGGTTTAAACAACTATAAAGCAAAACAATATGTTCTACAAAAAATGAACAACAAAATAAGCCCTTAAAACAGAGACCACAAAAGTTACATTTCCCAGAACGGATTCAGAACTGTAAGGAGAGACAGAAATGGAAGCCCACCAGACTTTGACACCTGATAAAAATGAAGGGGATCAGTGTTTTTGTGGGCAACAGAACAGCTCCTTTGTCACAGTAAAATCCAACTGATGGATAGAAAGTGTTCCCGAAGTCCTTGCACCTAAGCACTGGTTGCAGAAGTTTTCATAGGATTCCTTCTGCCCAACAGCAGAGGATGAGCTGTGTGTCTAAGCAGAGGCGTGAGAACTGGACAAGGCTGATGGGCGGTGCCATCCAAAGCCCTGGGTTCCCGTGTTGGTTTTATCACTGTAGAACTGAGGGATCCTGGAGCAGTCTCTCCTCCTGCTGAGATGCCTCATCCTTAGCTGTGCATGTGTAAAACCGGGAAAAATAGGAAGGCCAAGCTCAAAATATTTGCCGTGAGATTAACTGGGATCATGAGAAAATGTGTGGCAAAATCCAAGTGCACACAGGTAATCAAAGCCTCATGCTCATGAAACATGTTGGGAAAGAGGAAAATATACTTCTATTGAGACCAAGGAAAGCAGGTGGGTTCCCCTGCTCTGATCTTCTGTTAGGACCATGCAGTGGCAGAGCAGCCCGCAGAGCTGCTGAGAGATGCAGAGTCGCGGGCACCGACAGGGAGAATGACGTGGCAGAGACCGTACGGTGGAGATATACGCTGGGAATGGCAATGGCCCTTTGTTAAAGGCTGCCAGAGGGTGTTCATTCTGTAAAGAAAGAAATGTGTCTTATAAATGAAAAGGGAACGTGAACAGTGACTAAGGCTGCAGCCGTTTAAAAACGAGATGGTAGGAGAAAGAGCAGAGCTTCAGATGTTGAGAGGAATGCTCACTGTCAAAGCATTAGTCTGGAAGTCCATATTTCCGTACGAGTCAGGAACAGAGCTGACCGGAGGACTAGAACACATTCTCCAATGAGGAGTCAGAAACAAAGGGCTAGAAAATGCAGTGATGTCAGTGTGTTGCATTTATGAGAGGTTGGAATCCAACACTTACCAAAATTGTTGGTTTTGGTAGTAGGCGCAATAGATAAGGAATACATATAATTGCAAAAACGTTTAACATGGTTTTGAACTCTGTCATCATCAAGTAAAACATATAAATGTAAAATAAAAGAAAACTGTAAAGGGCTATAAAAATCCACGAATTTCAACGTGTTTGTTGATGTTTTTGCTAATAAAGTTTTGAGGCTTTGTGTGTATAAGTTATATTTAAGTTAGTGTAAGACAGGCAGTTGCATAGGTGTGAGACTTTCAGGCATTACAAAAACTACATCTTTGATTTTAAATAGTCCCTAAAGGATTAGTGTACAAAGAAAGCCTCAATGTGTCAATTTTATACACATGAAAGTACATGGTTATTAATTAAAATAATTTCTTTGTACAGCTCCTCAGATTCTGGTGCACCCTACAATCTGCCATTGTTCTCTGGCCCGTGGTATCTGTGGAAGTTCAGTGAAGAGAGAAGCCAGGCCCTGAGGCTGGGGTTTCCACAATCTCCTTCCAGGTTCTAGCTTACAGGTGCAAGTAGTCTATGTATTTCCACTGGTTTTCCATCTAGCCTGGGTTACCCTTCCAGTTAATCATTTATAACCAACACTGCGGACCTCTGGATGGCATGCTTCCATGAAGTCGGTGAAAATGTTTAGGCATGGATAAAATGTGACCTATATGTGCATTGCCATCTGTAAGTTTGGACTATTTGGGTCAATGAAGAACCCATGGCAAATTCTCCTATCACTTTCTCATTTCACAAGTCAATGTAGTTCTTCAAAGTGTGCTGTGCACTTTTTATTTTTAAAATTCTTTAAAATCAGGATTTAATTCCCAAGTATGTTTCTAACATATTTAAAATGCAGCAGTTTTGTTAGCACTTGAATACCTGTGCTTGTTATGAAAAGTAGATGCAAATATATCTGTTTCATACGGACTGGCGAGCGTCATGAGCATTGGAAACAGTGGTTCTTAAATCCCCGATGTTCCTGCCTCCAGAGGCTGCTAGATGTGGTCAGTTCCCCCCAATAGGTTAGCCTCACTTGTCCTCCACCTTCTGTAGTTAGTCAGCTCTGCCCGACCCATGTTACTGGCAAAACGCCTTCATGTCTCCCCACACATGGCTCTGTTTCACTGAAGTCCTGTGTTGCTTCAGAAAGGTTTTCAGATGGAAAGGATATGCCTAAGCTCCCTATCTCTGTGTCACCATCCTATTTCAATTCACTACAGTGGGGCAGTGCAGTGAAGACATATCTGTGTCACAGATTACTAGCAAGTACAAAAGGACACATTTTAGCCAAGAAGGTGAATTGAAGACTTAACTTAAAATCAAAATGTGATATGTTTCCGAGATACAATAAAATGTATTTGCTATCTTTGGATAGCAAAGCAAAAAGCAAATGATAGAAAAATACTGATGAATTAGATTACATTAAAGTTAAGAACATCTATTCTTCCAAAGACCTGTAAAGGGCTGGGAGATAAACATACATGTGCAAACGAATGCAGAAATCATCTAAACATGGAGCATGATAAGGGCTGTTCAGAATATGAAGAAGGACAGTGGCACAGAGAGAAACGGGGTGGAGAGCGATTCACCCCAAGTGGATAAATGCAATAGGTTCTGTCTTGCTATAACCTTCCAGGTTATCTTTTCTGTTTGAATCCATCTGGGACTTCAGGCCTACTGTGAATGTTGACACTGAATTTCCTCAGCTGCTCTTATCTGATGATCTCATCATCACAATCTACGGCAGCTGCTACATAAACGTTTGTCTTTTTGGCTTATTGTCTTTGCTTTTCCTCCCTGATTTAAATCCCTTGTTGGTTTGCTAAGTCTCTAGATTAAAACAAACAAAGAAACTGATTCCACTCACTATCCACCCTCCCTCCCTCAACAAAGCTAATCAGTATTCTGACTTCCTGTCCCATAGATTGGTGTTTGTACACTTCATATAAATGGAATCATTTGATATGTGTTCTTTTAAATCTGGTTTCATTATATCTGTGACATTGATCTAATTGTTCTATAGAAGTAGAATATTTTTTTCATTTTCTGTATAAGCATCTCACTATATAAGTAAGCCACACTTTTAAATTTCTTCTGGCATTGATGTATATGTAGGTTATTCAGTTTCCTTGCTAACAGTCCTCCTGTGAACATTCTTGTACACGCCATAAATACCTGAATATAAGTTGTTGTGTCATGAGGCATATGCATGTTTGGATTCAAGAAATACTGCTCAATGCTTTTTTCCTAAATGTCAGGCCAATTGAGAGTTTGAGTTGTCCACATTCTCATGAATGCTTAGTATTATCAGGATTTGTATTTAGCTTAGTTTAGGCTATTCCGGTATATGTCTAATGACATCTCATTTTTGTTTTAGTCTACATTTCCCTGAAAACTAATGACATTAAGAGCCTTTTATATAAGTTTGTTAACACTCTGGATAGCCTCTTTTATCAAGTGTTTATTCAAGCCTTTAAACCCATTTTCCCATTAGGTTTTCTTTTTAAATTAATTTTTGGAAGTTGTTTTTTTGTTTTTTTTGACAGAATCTCTCTCTGTTGCCCAGGCTGGATTGCAGTGGCATGATGTCAGCTCACTGCAACCTCCGCCTCCTGGGTTCAAGCAATTCTCTTGCCTCAGCCTCCTGAGTAGCTGGGACTACAGGCATGTGCCACCATGCTTGGCTAATTTTTTTTTTTTGTATTTTTAGTAGAGATGGAGTTTCACCATATTGGCCAGGCTGGTCTCGAACTCCAGACCTCAAGTGATCTGCCCGCCTCCATCTCCCAAAGTTCTGGGATTACAGGTGTGAGCCACAGTGCCTAGCAATTATTGGAATTTTTAATAGCTGCCTTTGCCATCCTCATTCTCTGTCCCGAAGCTTTCTTTTTCACTTATTTCATGGTGTCTCTGATGAACAGACACAAATGCAGCCCAATCCAACAGTCTTCCCTTATTACAGTTCATGTTTTTGTTCATGTTTAAGAGAGCCTCTCTTCACTGTAAATTGATACAGGTATCTCCTATATTGTATTCTAGGAGCTTCTTATTTTTCAAAGTTATGTTTTGAGGACATGGTACTTCTTTTCTTTCTGTGAATATGTACACATATCTGGAATATAAGAATGCAGAGAAATCAAAAGAAATGTTTATGCAGTGAGGGCTGCGCATACCTGGAGACCGACGGCGAGCGGCAGCGCAACCCCTGCCACCACACACAGCTGTACCGGCAAGTTTCAAAAACCAAAGAAGTAGGGAGCTCTCAGTATTTCACAAAAAAGGACAGCGAAATAAGTTCCTTTAGAGATGAAAAAACAGTCAGCATATCACCAAGATAATCTCTAGGCAACCAAAATCTTGTCAACCTAAAGCATGCCTTATGCTAGAAAAGCTGAGTTTCGCTTCTCAAAATCAAATGCATCCCTGACATGAGGCTCTGGAACTTGTGGAAAAAATGCTTTTCAAAAGAAAAAAAAATACACACACACACACACACACACACACACCACGCCTTGGTCTACTAAAGTTTGTTGTTCTTTTTGGTGACACAAAGGAGAGGGAGGAGGTGGACCACACTCAGAAGCGGCTTTTCTGCTTCAGCGCTTCTGTCCACACACACACACGTGACGTTCCATGTCTAAGAGTCTGTGAGTTTGTTTTCCTCCTGAGGTAGAACCTGAGGTGAGGATTTTTCTGTAGGTTATCTGGGAGGTGATCCCAGGAAGCTCCCCTGGGCAGTGGGGAAGTGATAAGGGAAAGAGAAGCTGGCCAATAAAAGGCATGCTATCCAGAAAAGTATAGCCATAGGCCATGGCAGCTTAACACCCCTCAGAAAATTTAGTTTATTGGTGTGGCACAGACTTCTCAGGGTTATCAGTCTGAGGGACATGGGAGCTGGGGCCTTCTTGGCCATGCCCGTCAGCCAGCAGTTGAGGGCAAGTGGGGGAAGGTGTTGATTCTCAGGCACCTTTTGCCATGAGCAAAGCAGACTTTCAATGCCAGGCAGAGTCCTCTTGGTGTGGAGGCCTGGCTGCCAGCTCTGTGATGGTGCAGGCTGTGGGGACATGGGTTTTGCCACTGCAACTGCTGGAGTTAGGAAACTGAATGAAACTCCCAGGGGACACTCTCAGGGGCAGCACAGCTGGGTATAAAATGGAAGAATCCAGGGCTTCACCTCTCAGAAGGCAAAGGCTTATTCCTATGTGGAATTCCATACAACAAAACCAACAAAAACAAAATCAACTCCTGCCCTGTGCACCAGCTGGATTAGTGAAGAGACATATGTTCAAGTGAAAAAAAAAGGACACAAAGGAGTACACAGTAAATGACTCAACTTAGAGAAAGTTCATAAATACTAATCCATGTAAATAGAAGTCAGACTTACTTTTGGAGGAGGGGTAGTAAATGGGAGGGGGGTCTTGTCTATTTTTTCATTTGCTTAATTTGTGTATTTAGCAAGAAAAAAAAATGAAGAACAAGAATAAACCAAACACAGGCATTTATGTAGCAACATCATGACCTTTCCATCTTGCTCCACACAGTGCCGGCTGCAGTGGGGCATGGACCAGAAAAATAAACAAAAAACTGATGTAAGCTGGAAGTGCATGGGCCTGGGCGTTAGGAAGCTAGGATTGCAGCCCCAAATCTCTTACAGATCCTCTTTCTTCATAGACAAGACCCACTTATTCCCCTGGGAGTTGGCTGTGAAACATGTAAGTGATAAGTGGATTCTACCAGCAAATTCTCATAATTCCTTTCATATATTTGATCAAAGTCAGCCACTATTACTCCCTACCCATGTATGCAGGCTCAGGTCCTTCTTTCTCCTGGAGGAATCTGCCCTTCAATCTGCACTGGCTCTGTGACCTGCTTGGCCAATAGAACATGGTGGCAGTGAGGTTGTGACTCCTCCAGGCACAGGCCTTAGGAAGCCCGGCAGTGACCACTCTCACATCTGTAGGGAAACCAAACACCCTGCTGTGAGGATGCTCTGGTTAGACTATTGAAGGATGAAACACTTTGAGTGAAACCTTCTGGAAACTTCCAGCCCAGCCACCAACTGAATGCCACCAAGTGAATGGCTTCAGTGGGTGCCACATGGAAAGGAAGATCTTCCTAGCCACCCTTGCCTGAACTCCTGGCTCACAGAATCATGAGAAGTAGTAAATTGTTGCTGTTCTAAGCCGAGTTCTGTAATGGATTGTTATATAGCCACAGATAATGGAAGCATTGGCAAAATATATAGGCAAAGTATAAGATGTGTGTTGTCCTTCATGACACGTGTGACTTGCTCTTTCTAACGCTGGGGTTTGGACTTTTTCCAGCTTGTCCTTGGTGCACTGGCAGATGGGCCTCCCTCCCAGGCATTGTCCCTCTGGCCTTTGCAGTTCATTCATGCTTAGCTCTACCCCAGCTTCAAGGGGAATAGGTTGTGCTCAGTGGGTTCTTGGCCACTGTTTTCTATTTGCTAAATTTCCCAGTGCTGGCTCTCTGCAGCCCAATCCTCCAATGGCTCTTTAGCCAACAATGATGGGTGGTTCTGGCTCCTCTACCACTGACGCTTCCACATCCTAAAGGAGGGCCCTGCATGAACTTAGCTCCTAGGTCCCCGCCAGCTCCTATGCACAAAGTTGTTTGATTGCTTAAGCCTCTTCCTTTCCTTTCCTTTCCTTTCCTTTCCTTTCCTTTCCTTTCCTTTCCTTTCCTTTCCCTTCCTTTTTCTTTCTTTTTTTATAATTTCAGCTTGTATTTTAGCTTCAGGAGGCACCTGTGCAGGCTTATTATCTGGGTATACTATGTGGCGTTGAAGTTTTGGGTATGAATGAATCAGGTAGGTAGTGAGCATAGTACTCAACAGATAGTTTTGCAACCCTTGCCTCCTTCTCTCCCTCCCACCTCTAGTAGTTCCCAGTGTCTATTATCTCCATCTTTATGTCCATGAGTACCAAATGTTCAGCTCTCACTTATAAGTGAGAACATGTGGTATTTGGTTTTGTTCCTGTGTTATTTCACTTAGGATAAGGGCTTCCAGCAGTGTCCATGTTGCTGCAAAGGACATGATTTCATATTTTTTCATAAGACTCTTTCTTTATTCCACTGCTTCTCCAGGGCTGGAGGTTCCCTGAAGGCAAGTCTCATACCTTGTGAACTATTATATTGCCAGTGCCAGCTCATAGCAGCCACTGACTTCAATGCCTGTTGAATTAAAAACTAAATACCGTATCAGTGAAGACACACAGAAGAGTTCCTTATATACTGTGGTTGGCATGTAGATAAGGAAAACATTAAAAATAGAATTTTCCCCTCATTTGCAACAAATAATGCTCTATCCTGGGCCTGTTTCTACCTATGAAACTGTGTTTATGCTGTTCTCTGTCTCTTAAATGCTTTTCCTTCCTTACATTTAGATCTAAAACTAGACCCAGAGAGCTCCATTCTCTGAAAAGCTGTCTCTAAGTTTTCTAGCAGGAGTGTATCTCCTCTCCTCTGCGCTCCCCCGAGCGTTTCATCTGCACTGTCTCCAAACCTTCTGCTTACATTGTTCTATGTTCAGGCATCTGGTCCTTTAATTCATGCATTCATTCATCCAGCATCCACTTATTCAGTGCTTAACATGTGCCAGCTATTTCATTTGCAGTGACTTTTCAAGGCATGCAGATTTTAAGGAAGAGGCATTTGTTATAACCTCAAACAATATTAAAATTCACCAGGGATGGGCTGGGGAAATGTTAGCATTCTATACACCAGCCGCTCAAGGATACCTTGGCTCCCCAGACACTTAGGACACTTTGACCTCAGCTCCTTTGCTTCCAGGGCTCTCTCAGCATGGGACGCCCTGCCCAGTCCATTCCCCTGTCTGGCCTGCTGAGACCTCTGTGTCATTCAGGGCCCAGCCCAGAGGCCCTCTCCTCTGCGAAGCCTCTCTTAATGCTTCCTGTGGGAACTAAGAACTCCCTCCTGTGTCTCCTTCCAGGAAAGGCATTGGAGCTGCTCTGCAGCGTGTTTCCTGCTCTGCTGCGGTGGCCTTCCCAGTGTGTTGTCAGTTTTCTTCTTTGGATTTTAGATTCTCAGAGAGAGAAGCATGTTTCTCAGCTTTGCATTTGCCCCTTTGCCAACTTTCCCTAACAAAACACAAGATGTAAGATTTCAAAAAAAAAGGTAAAGGTGAAGAGATAGAAGAATCCATTACATACTCACTACAAGGGCAAAAACTAGAAAGCCCCAGCCCAAGAAACCAAACGCTGATGAGGCCACAGAGCTCCCCCCGCCACTCCTGTGCTGCCAGGAGACTGGAGAATGGGGAATGGTGCAGCTCCTTTGGAAAACTGCTTGGCTATTTCTTATAAAATTAAACATCTACCTACCATATGACTTAGCCATTCTACTCCTGGGTATTTGCTAAAGGAAAATGAAAGCATGTTCCACAAAAAGCTCATGCAAATGTTCATAGCAGTGTTTTCCACAATAGCTCCAGACTGGAGACAACTCTAATGTCCACCAACAGGTGAATGGGTGAACACATTGTTGATTCATACAGTGGAATCTTACTTAGCAGTAAAAGGAGCAAGCTACTGATATATTGCACAGCAACACCAAGTAGACATGCCACAGGACTCCATGACATGATATTCTGGAAAACTCAAATCTAATCCGCAGTGAAGGAAAGTGGATCCCTTGTTACCCGGAGAGGACTGACTGCAAAGTGGCATGAGATCATTTAGGGCAGTGACATGCTCCATAGCTTGACTGTGGGGATGGGTACATAGACAACCACTCATCTGAAGTCACCAAGCTATACCGTTAGCATGAGTGCTTTTGAGGGTACATGAATCATACTTCAATAAAGTTAATTCAAAAGAAAAATGCCCCAGGGTTGCTGTTTTGCAGGCTTTTAGCTGAATTACCTGTGACTTTATGGGGCTCTGGAGAAGTTGGAATTTGGGGAAGACAACAGGAGGACTAAATGTATTGTCATAGCAGGTGGTAGGCCATCATTCACCTTTATAGGTGGCTTATGAGGTGGTTTATGGAGCGGAATCTGAGGCTAAGGAATGAGCTGTCCTGCAGCATAACCTGAATAGGAAGCATGTTAAAGATTCACACCGAGTTTGCCTGAACCAAAATACCTTGATTTTATTTAGCTGTTTTCACCATACCTAAAAGAGGGTGAGTTGGAGTAGGAACCCCTCTTAGGGGCATGCTGGGCACCCATCCCCCAGGGATGGAAATAAAGGAAAATCTTGAGTTTCTTCAAGGGCCATTCCAGGCACCCAGCCAGCCTTGAGAAGTGAATGAACAACTTAATAAGCAAGAATGTAATAGTAGCTTAAAACAACAGTGAAGGAAGTTAGAGTCACCTGTCATGAGATGCTCGGTTCCCTACAGGAACTAAAGAGAACATCTTAACATACAACCCTGGGTTGTTCTCACAAATCTGGGCCTCATCAAATGAAAATGTCGTCTGCTGGCACCTGGGCCTCAGGGAAGGGGAGCTGAGGACTGAACTCTGCTGTTCTTTGACCAGAATTTCTTTCCAAGGAGCCTGGAGGAGGTCATGGTCACAGGCCAGAGCTAACGTTCTTTTCTGCTGACCCCCAGATTTTAAACAAAGCGTTGCCCTCTTAACCAATCACAAATCAGAAAATCTGACTCCTCCTATGACTATGACCTGTGAGTCCCCACTTCGTCTTTAGGTCAAAACAACGTAGGGTCTCCATGTATTGATTTAGGACTGTGCCTGTGACCTCTGCCTCCCTGCCTTTAAAAACCCTTAGCTGTAAGCCATTCGTGAGGTCAGATCCTAAGCAGGAGCTGCCTGATTCTCCTTTCTTGTTGCCCTGCAAATAAATGTCTTCCTTGTCCCACTGCAAACCTCTGAGTGGATATTTGGCCTTTCCGTATCAGGCAGGCAGGGTGGTGCAGCAAGGACAGTGGAGGGGTCTTATCGGCATGTGTCTTTGCTGCCCTTCCCTGCAGTCATACTGCAGGAAATGTGCCTTAAGAGCCACCGTCTATGGAGAACTGCCCTTGTGGACATTGGCTTTACTCCAAAGCCTAGCCCTCTGTGCTGGTAGTCAGAATCCAGGCAGGTTCTGCTGTGGGAGCTGTAGCAAAAGGCTCCTCCTCAACATCTGGGCCATTGCAAGGGAACTCTGTGTGGGAGTCCTTGGACTATCAGGCATGAAATAAGCTGAATGAATGAATGAGCTAACCAAATCAGGAAAATATAAGAATGGGCAGTAAGCTCAAATAATTTATGGCAGTTTAGAGGAGAAAGGACACCTTCCTACTGGAGAGTTCAGACAAGGTCTGTGAGGCTGCACTGCATGGGGACCACCTGTATCCCATGGCAGGGAGCCACCAAAGCCCTGAGATGCGGGGACTCACCGCCCAGGCAAGGTGCACACGGGTCTGCCAAAAACAAAACAAAACAAACTCCCCTCAAATATCCGCACTGTTTGGTTCCATCTCAGTGATCACAAATAAATGCCATAATGCTTGTTTGGAAACAGAAGCTCTGCATTTATTGCTCAGTCTCTGCAGCCCCTGCCAGTCCTTCCCTCGCACACCCTCAGGATGGCTGGGGATTGTCAGACATTCCAGCCTCTGATGTGAACAATGCCACATCCTTCTTTTTAACATGAGATATCCCAATAATTATATACAAAAGCATAAAATAAAAGTCAGCTTCCTGTCCTAAGGAAATAAGTTATTTGCTGAGAAACAGGGATGGGAGCAAAATAATCACAGAGCCCACACCATCTGCCGGAAACATCACTTTCAGAGATAGAAAAAGCATGTATCCGCAATTCAAAAGATCCTCTTTTTCTGAGTTTTACTTTTAGGACAGGTCTTAAGGCTGATCTGTGCTTTTTGGGGGGCCATCTTTTTCCTTGGTTCCGCCTTCAAAGCCGTGCATGGTTGCTGAGCTGGTGGTGAGCCTCAGGTCTGAGGGGGTGGCTCCTGCACAGCCTGGGAAGCCTCTGGCGTCCACACTCTGCCTCCCCCTCCCCTCTGTCCTCTTTCTCCTCTCCCTTTTCTGCAGCAGAAGTGATGTCATGTTTCTACAAAAAGCTTCTTGAAAGACTTATTTCATTACAAGGCAAGGTGGAAAATTAAATTTTGGGTGAAATAATTTTAAAATTTGATTTTACCAATTGGAAACCACCTTAGGGGCCTTGGTTATGCAGGGCAGGTCCAGGGCCTGGTCTGATGAGGACGTTTGTCCCTGGGGCCTAACAGGACTGCCCTTCATAATTAGTCAAGGGGACTTTCCTAGGGCCATCTTGTATTTTAACTGAAGATTTATCCCCTCTGGTGGGGAAGGGGATCTTAGAGTGAGCAGAAGAGAAGCCAGCAAGAAGGAACTAGGGAGCAGGACCCCAGCAGCAGGTAGGTCTCCAGGAGGGAGCAGCCATCTGGGCATGGGCTGTGAGATGTGAGCGTGGTTTCCATCTATCAGACATCTTTCACTTTAAGAAACCAAACAGCGTATGTATAAAGGCACGGTGTATACTATTTAAATGACAGGACCTATTCCGTTCAACATTTCGTAGTGCTGTTTGTAGAATGTGGAATTAGTGAATGACAAGGCAAAGGCAGAGACCACAGTGAGCTTGGGGGACCACATGTCCATGAAACTAGAGTGACAGACTAGAATGGAGATGTCATTGGGTCTAACAATGAACCAGTGGCACAATTAACAAGTCAGGGGGGAAGGAGAAAAAAGAGGGGTGCCCTAAGGATATTTAAAACTGTAAATAAAAGAATACATATAAAAGAATACATATATAAGTGATTTAGCAATAGACAAGAGATGGTAATCAATTAAACTCAGGTGGAGGACCAGAAATATGACAGTGGGGGCTGAAGAAGAACGTTAATTAGGTCGTTACTAATAATCGGCAACTAAGCAACACTGTCCAAAAATAAAAGGTATTGTGGAAAGCCATGTTTATAAATGCAATCCACTGAAATAAAAATACAAATCTTCTTTATAATTAGAGAAAATTGTACAAGAAAAACAGAGCATACAGAAATAATTTTAAGCTATAAAAAGGAAAACAATATAAAATGACAGAACTAAAACTAAACATAACTGTCATTTCAATAAGAGCAAATGGGATGAAATCATCTATTAAAATGAAAACCCAGCTTTATTCTGTGACAAGACATGTGAATAAAATTAGTGATTAAAATTTGAACATAGAAGTATGTGCAAAGTATAAACTAGCCTTTGTTTTCAGACAGAAAACAGGTTATTTATCTTAACATCAGATTAAATTGAATCCGTGCCAAACATCATTAATCAAAACAAAGAAAGATGCTTAAAATGCTAAAGGGTGAAGAACACAGCTTGATAGTTGTGAAATAACATAGCAACCACATTAATAACGTGAAAACTACAAGACGTATAATGAGAACTAGACGCCAATAGTGGGAGTCTTCAAAGTACCTCTACAATGTAAGGCAGACATGGAAGGCTTAAATATCATAATTAATAAGGGCTGTTTACTCAACAGATTCAGATAATACACCCTGAAAACAAAGTCTAAACCTCCTCAAATGCCCATGGAACAGTCACAAAATGTGATTTTACAAGGGGTCTAAACAGAAAAAGAAAATGACAGTAAATGCTAAAAGTCAAAAGTACAACCGTTATCTGATCTAACATAATAAAGCTAGAATTTAAAAGCACTATGACAAAACAAAAAGTCCTTAACACTTGGACTTTAAGGTGCTCTCAAGCAATTATTGGCTGAAAAAATAAAATCAAATAAAAATGTCAGAACAGAGCCAGGCGTGGTATCTCAAGCCTGTAATTCCAGCACTTTAGGAGGCTGAGGTGGGCGGATAGCCTGAGAGCAGGCATTCAAGACCAACCTGGCCAACATGGTGAAGCCCCATCTCCATAAAAAATACGAAAAATTAGCCAGGCCTGCTGGCACATGCCTGTAGTCTGGCTACTTGGGAGGATGAGGTGGGAGGATTACCTGGACCTGGGGAAGTTGAGGCTGCAGAGAGCTGTGATTCCACCTGCCACTACACTCTGTGCAACAGAGTGAAACCCTGTCTCAAAAAAAAGTCATAATAACTGTAAACAACAACAAAAATAACAATAACAATTTCACATATCAAAACATTTGGGAGATAGCTAATGAAGGATTCAGAGAAAAATTCACAGCTTTTAGTATAGGAAAGAAGTCACAAACATACAAAATGAGAAATTATGAGAAAAAAATCAGATAATTAAAAATTAGAAAACACCTCATAACTTAACTTTGTCAAATACATTTGAAAGCTAGGAGGAAATGCTAATTTTGTAACAAAATATAATTTGTCAAAACTGACTCGAGGAAGACAAAATCTAGAAGAGATAAAAAACAAATGTGATTATAGAAGAAATTAAGAGATTTATTAAAAGACTACTCAACCTTCAGCAAATAGTGAAGAATCCTGTTATTTGAAGAGTTGATAATTCCTAAGATACGAAAATATTTCAGACCAAAGAAAAATAATTGCTTTTTTCATAATATTTTGAAGAAAAAAGCATGTTATTTACACTAAAATGTGACAATGATTGCATAAGAAATTCTAAATTACAGTCCAATTTTACAAGTAAATGCTCATTCAAAAATCCTAAGATAATTAACAGTAAACCGAATAATTAAAGCTTTTTAATAGAATTGTACAGCGGGGGGGCGGGGCTAGGCACAGTGGCTCCCACTTGTAATCTCAGCACTTTGCAGGCTGAGGTGGGAGGATAGCTTGAGGCCAGGAGTTTGCGACCAGCCTGGGCAACATGGTGAGACCTCATCTCTCCAGATTTTTTCTTTTTCTTTTTTCTTTTTTTTTTTTTTTAAATAGCCAGGGGTGGGGGCACACACCTGTGGTCTCAGCTACTCAGAAGGCTGAGGTGGGAGGAGCCTGGGAGGTCAAGGCTGCAGTGAGCCATGTTCGTGCTGCTCTGCAGCATAGGCAACAGAGCAAGACTATCTCAAAAACAAAGAAAAGAAAAGAGAAAGCATTATACAAGGGTTTGTTTCAGGAATACAAAGAGGTTCTATATCAGAAAAAAAACCATTTTATTATTTCCAAAGATGTTGATGAGGCACATGATAAAATTCAATTTCCATGCTTGTGTGTGTGTGTGTGTGTGTGTGTGTGTGTGTTAAATAATACTCTTAAAAAGAATGCACTGACACTTCTCTGTGGCCATCATGCGTATGTTTGTACCAAAACAAACACTGTGCTTTATAGGGACACACTAGAAGCATTCTCACTAACGTCTGAGAAAATACAAAGCTGAAGCCCCTATTTATCTCCAATATTATTTGTTATTACTGACATTGCACTACCCACCAAAACTTAGAAAAATAAATTAAAAAATTAAAGATATACAATTGTGGGATGAAAGATATAAAATAGCTGCCATATTAGATAATATTTATCATTTGTCATCAAAAACTAAGATAGCCGACCAAAAAATTTTGGTAATGATAAGGGACTTCAGAATTCAGGTATTTGGAAATAAAATTAATATACAAAAATCAGTGGCATATATATATTTTATATTGCATATAATATTTTATATTGCATAAAAATTATATGAATTGTACATATGGAATATGGGAAGCTTTTCTGACTATGAAGAAAAGCCAAGAAGAAGGAAAAAGGTGATTAATAAATTTAGCTACATAAAATAAAAATTTTGGCATTGTATCAACCATACAGTGAAATCAAAAGACAATCAATAAGTTGGGGGAGATTAGGATATGCCACCAACATCACTGAAACAGCTCATTTCCCTAATATGTTAAGTGTTCCTCTCAAACAAAGACCAGCATTTGATACAAAAATGGCACAGTTGGGGGCGTAAGGCTCCAGGGGATGGGTTAGGCGGGTGCTATGTCCAGGAAAGTCCTGCCTGCATCCAGGGACCTTGTATGGGAGCTGCAGGAAAGGGTGAAGGACTGGGTGCTCCCTCTGGGTGAGTGGGACCATCACCATCGGACAGTCACTGAGTGAAGTTAAACCCAGAACATATTCCAAAGACCCAGCCACCACCGCAGGCTTCAGCATTTGCACAAATCCTTTATCCCTTTCAGTCATGCGCAAGCTCTCCAAGGACCTGGTTTGTTTTGTTGTCGTCGTTTTGTTTTTTATTTGTTTCCTTTATTCAATGTCCATCATTTAGTAGCATGAAATGCAAGACTTATGTTTGCTTAATAAACCTAGAATCCAGTCATTCCCAAACTTAGCATATTAACATGACCTGAAGATTTGAAATAATTCTGAAGACCAAGTTAAACCTAAGATAAATTAATTCATAGTCTTGAGGGGTTTGCAGACAAGTGTGGAAACCTCTGGAATAATCCCATGGTGGGGGAGACTTTTCTGTTTCTTGTTCTTGAGACAGCCATCAACCACAGTTAAAGGATCCCATGAAGGGGTGTGTGATCTTCAGCTGGGAGATACACAACAAGCCCTCGACTTCTCTGTGGTCTCCCATATCAAGAACTCTTTCCTCCCAAAGGCAGCTGAGCTAGCCCGCTGAACACCTAAACCACTGACTCTACTAAACAAAAACAGAAATCCAGAAACATTGAATAGATGGAGAATGGTGTATGCAGAATATTTCCTCCTTCCGCAGGGCTGGAAGCATTTCGCTGTTGTGGTTGTTCTCTGTGCCTTTTGTTTCGTTTTGTTTTGATTTTTACTTTTCATTTATGAGAAAGCTGGAGGCCAGCTTTGTTTCTTATCTTGCAGAACAGGAATATAATTTCCAGTAATGGCAACATTTTCAAGAACATTCTATTTTCACTAAAACAAATGACCTATCCTGAATAAATTTTCACTATGAGTGAACAATCCCTTCTGTGCATTTTGTTCTGACTGCGGAAAACCTGAGAGGCTGAATAAGGAGGAGGGAGGAATAAGGAAGCCAGAGGGAGCCGCTTCCTTGGAGTAATCCCCGCATCAGTATGGCGGGCACCAGACAGGGTCTGGGAGGTCACGTCCTACAGGCAAGGCTGTTTCAAGGGCTGCTACCTTAATCAGTTATTCTGGCATGAACGTGATTGACTGGGCCGCGCCTTCCTGCACCACCTGAGAAATCGGCTGGGCTTCACCTCCTGTCCTTGCCAGCTCAGATGTGAGTGATGCTTCTGCTGGGCCGGGGCTGGAAATCACTCAGTGACTGGGGAGGCCAAGATGTTCTGACTGACAGAGGCCTTGGGGTTGGCTTCCTGGAACAGCAGTTCTGAAAAGATCTCTCTGTGTCTTTGGTTTAAAGATTATCTTGGCTCATCTAAATTGCTTGGCCCTCGTCTTCAAATTGGTCTCATCCCAAAAGTATGTCTGTTCTTTGACCAGAATTTCAGATTACTCAGACTTTTCTTAGTCCAGACTCTAGATTAACTGGGGTTTGTTATTGCTCAATAAAACACCGTTGTTTCTCTTACATTTGGTAGGATGTGTGGTGGGTGTGGGTAATAGGATCTGGGCAGGAGAAACTGTATAGGGGAGACTGTGGAAACCGTAGGCACATTCTCATTAATTTTGTTTTTAAAAACTAATATTATGTTTAATTGACAAATCATAAGGAATAACATGTATAGAAGACACTGTGGCGTTTTGATGGATGTTTACAATGTACACAAGGGAAGGGATTTGTTGTAGCAACACCCCACTTCCCTGGTACCAATTTTCTATCTTTGTTTTGTGCTGTTGTAAAAGAATGCCTGAGAACAAATAGTTTATAAAGAAGAGAAATTTATTTCTTACAGTTTTAGAGGTGGAGAAGTCTAAGACTGAGGAGTCAGAAGGCAAGGGCCTTCTTGCTATGTCATAGCCTGGCAAAAGGCATCACATGGTGTAAAGGCAAAGGGAAGGCAGGGTGGGGGGTGGGCAAACTTGTCCTTTTATAAGAAACCCACTACCATGATAATGAGCCCATTTTCCACAATAAAGACATTAATCCATTTGTGGTGACAGGGTCCATCTGGTCTAATCACCTCTCAAAGTTCCCATCTCTTAATACTGTTACAGTGGCCATTAAACTTCAGCATGAGTTTGGGGTGACAAATATTCAAACCACAGCACAGCTTACCTGTGAGATACACTCATGTGCCTGTCCCTGTGCAAGCCCCGTATGTGCAGGAGGAAGCAGCAATCATTTTTGTAGTCACCTCCTATCCCCTTGTCTTCTCAGACTTCATTCTCGAAATTATGCATGATCCCTTCTTACCGGATCATCCTGTCTAGCATGCAGAGACACTGTGTTCATGGGAACCGATGAGAGTATGGGCTGATGCTGGTGGCCTCATGTAATAGATAAGCAGGAGCAGGATAAAAGACTCTATCTTCCCTCCAGGTGGGAGATCCCTGAAGTTCAAGTCAGAAGATGAGAAAATTCTTGCGTTTCCACTTGGAGTCCTTCTGACTCTGTTCCTTTTTTATCTTTTTTAAAGATGTGAGTTGCTCTTCTAGCATCCAGAAGATAATCATTAGTTTCCATTGGAAACAAGATGACGTACAACCCCTTTAGTCTAGTTTCTATAGTTGAGTTTCTTTTTTCTCTCTTTGCTAGGTTCTTCTTTGGACACTAAGGATAAATTTCACCACTGCTTGAGATTCCCCTTTGTTATTTCTGTCAGAAGGATTGTCGGTAAAAGCTGACTTCTCAGTTGAGTACAGGGCTTCTGATGGTCACTCACCTTTGTTCTCATTGACACTGACTTTTGGATTTTCTGCTTACTGCCATTAATTTCCTTCTCTTTATGCCAAACCTAGGCTAAGGGCCTAATTATTTGCAGATAGCATTCTATAAAGACTGGCCATGCTTACTCTGAAGGGAGACAACTCACTTTTGTGATTGACATCATGATTTTTTTAACTGTGGGCCTATGGGCAAGCTCTTCAACCCTTCTTTGTCTTTGCCTGATCATCATTAAAAAGTGGGACATAACAGCAACTATGTTTTCAGGATTAAATGAGCTAATAGGGATAAATGCCCAGCATGGCATGAGACCTCCCTAAATTATTTATTTATTTATTTATTTATTTTTGAGACAGAGTTTCACTCTTTCACCCAAGCTGGAGTGAAGTGGCATGATCTCGGCTCACTGCAACCTCTACCTCCCAGGTTTAGGTGATTCTTCTGCCTCAGCCTCCTGAGTGGCTGGGATTACAGGCACCCACCACCACGCCCAGCTAAATTTTTTTGTGTGTTTTTAGTAGAGATTGGGTTTTACCATGTTGGCCAGGCTGGTCTCGAACTCCTGACCTCAGGTGATCCACCCGCCTTGGCCTCCCAAAGTGCTGGGATTACAGGCTACAAGCGTGAGCCATAGCACCTGGCCCAATTCTTTTTTTTTATTTTTTATTTTTGAGACAGAGTCTTGCTCTTTCACCCAGGCCGGAGTGCAGTGGCACTATCTTGGCTCACTGCAAGCTCCGCCTCCCAGGTTCACGCCATTCTCCTGCCTCAGCCTCCCGAGTAGCTGGAACTACAGGCGCCCGCCACCACGCCCGGCTAATTTTTTGCATTTTTAGTAGAGACGGGGTTTCACCGTGTTAGCCAGGATGGTCTCGATCTCCTGACCTCGTGATCCGCCCGCCTCGGCCTCCCAAAGTGTTGGGATTACAGGCATGAGCCACTGCGCCTGGCCAATTATTCTTTATTATGATCAAGATCATTATTTCCATTTCTGTCTATATACTGCAACCTCAACTCATAGTGATGAGAATCCACTCACTACGTTTTTATCAGCATGGATAGCATGGACATATTGGAAATATTAATTTTATTCAGGAAGACAGAAAGACAGTGCACAAGAGGAGTTTATGAAAATCAGAGGGCTTTTAGAGCTCCTACTCTCCTGTCGTTTGATTTAAGTGATGTTTAGAGCTTAGTTTTGGTGATTACTGGCACTAAGAGATGGAAAGGCCCCAGGAACTGTAGTCTTTGCACATGAGTGGTCTCTATGGAACAGAGTGGTGCTCTGGGCAACAAGTCTCCTGTCCCTGCTGTGGCATTGGGAGTGCAGCCTTGCAGACAAGTTCCCACAACTGTTCTATGAGGAAATGTGATTGGTGGGCACCTGAGTGTCTTAGTAGCAATAAAACATCATGTTCCATAGAATAACCCTCTGTGGGCCAGCCGCGGTGGCTCACACCTGAATCCCAGCACTTTGGGAGGCTGAGGCAGGCTAATCATTTGAGGTCAGAAGTTAGAGACCAGCCTGGCCAACATGAAGACACACTGTCTCTACTAAAAATACAAAAATTAGCCAGCTGTGGTGGTGGGCACCTGTAATTCCAGCTACTCGGGACGCTGAGGCAGGAGAATCTTGCTGAACCCAGGAGACAGAGGTTTCAGTGAGCCAAGATCGTGCCACTGCAATTTAGCCTCCGTGACAGAGTGAGACTCTGCCTCAAAATAAAAAAGAAAAAAAAAAAAGAATAAAAAAAAGAATAACCCTCTGTGTCTGATCCTAAGTGCTTCATGTGGAAATCTATGCAAGAGATACTGCAGGCTAAACACAACCTGCATTCGAGCAGTGTAACCTGCACATTATTCATCATGCATGTATGATAACTACTAGGGTAATTGAGCTGTCGAGACCAGAGACCAGGTGGCATTCAGTCTCCCCCAAACAGTTAACTGTCTGGATTATGTATTTAGAACATTGCTAATAAATATTTGGAAACAAGAAATTATAATTTCATTTTTTCTTCAAGCATGATACATGAAGATTTTAGAAAATAAGACATCCTTCTTGGTTCTTGAAGGCAAATTATAAGCTACATCACACTTGATTTATACTCTCTGGCTTTCCTTAGTGGTTTATGCAGATTAATGACATGATAGCTTTTAAAAACTATAAAGTCCACTGCAGGTTTTTCAGATTGATATTAAAGGGGGAAGTAAAGGATACCACGGTGAGGCCAATAGATTAGTACTGTCCAATAGAAATAGAACACAAGCTGCACATGTTACTTTAAGTTACTTTAAGTTTTGTAGTAATTACATTAAACGAAGTTTCAAAAAGTGAAATTAATTTCATTTTAAATTTCTTGAATTTTTATTATTATTTTTTTTGACACAAGGTCTCACTTTGTTACCCAGACTGGAGTACAGTAGTGCCATCTGGGCTCACTGCAACCCCCGCCTCCTGGGCTCAGCCTCCCAAGTAGCTGGGACTACAGGCACTCACCACCAGGTCTGGCTAATTTTTGTATTTTTTGTAGAGATGGGGTTTTGCCATGTTGCCCATGTCTGGTCTCGAACTCCTGGACTCAAGAGATCTGCCTGCTTTGGCCTCCCAAAGGGCTGGTATTACAGAAGTGAGCCACCGTGCCTGTCTCTGAAATTAATTTTAATACCAAGTTTTATTTAAGTGTAGAATATCCAAAACCTTGTTATTTTGATATCATCAATATAAAAAGGTTTATGAGCTGTTATACAAACTTCTTTCATATTAAGTCTTCAAAATCCAAGGTGCACTTTACACCAACAGCACCTCTGACTGTGGACGCTCCAGGTTACACGAACTCAGTGATCATGTGAGGCTCGTGTCTGCTGTGTTGGATGGTGGCAACTTATAAGAAACAATTCAGAGAATCTCCAGGACCCTTTCCCTCGTCACTTCTCAGTTTGTTGAGTGTTCCCAGTGGCTCTTCCAGATCTGAAGATGCTGCAGGTCTCCATGACTTCGCACTTCTGCTCCATATTTCTGAATCATTCTGCCCACCACCCTCTCCCCACCTCTTGTCTCTGACAAATCCTTGTTCTTCCTTCAGAATCTCAACCACGTGTCAACAGCCTGGGGAAGAGTTTTATACCCTAGCTTCCAGACACAATTAATTTGATGTTCTATTTGTACCCTTGACTTATTTTATCATTTATATTTATTTGTTTTCATGTCTTTTTCCCTATCGTGAGTATCTTGGAGACATGAACTGTGTATATCATGCTTATTACCACAATGAATATAAATGCTAACATACCGTATGTGCTATAATAAATAAATGGCTCTAGATCTTAATTTTAAAGTCAGGCCTAAGGATGTTTCTATGGGCTGCCCGTTGCTTCTTATGTAGTCTATTTACAAAGAATGCTGGAAAGGCCAAATCAGATATTGGTTTCGCGCAATGTAACAGAACCATACTAATAAATCTTAATAATTAATAGTAAATATTAATATTACCTTTTACAAAATTTAACTTTTAACTTGTATTTTATGTACAGCATATGTGAGGTTTGTTATAGGTAAACTTGTGTCATGGGGGGTTGTTGTACAGATTATTTCATCACCCAGGTATTAAGCCAGTACCTATTAGTGATTTTTCCTGATCCTCTCCCTCATCCACCCTCCACCCGCCAGTAGGCACCAGTGTGTCTTGTTCTGCTGTATGTGTCCACGTATTCTCATCATTTAGCTCACACTTATAATAAGAACATGTGATACTTGATTTTCTGTTCCTGCATTAGTTTGTTAAGGATAATGGTCTCTAGCTTCATCCATGTTCCTGCAAAGGACATAATCTCATTCTTTCTTATAGCTGCATAGTATTCCATGGTGTGCATGTACCACATTTTCTTTATCCAGTCTACCATTGATGGGCATTTAGGTTGATTCCATGTCTTTGCTATTGTGAATAGTGCTGCAGTGAAAATATGGGTGCCTGTGTCTTTCTAATAGAAAAATGCATATTCCTTTGGGTATATACCCAGTAATAGGATTGCCAGTCAAATGGTATTTCTGTTTTTAGGCCCTTGAGGAGCTACCACACTGTCTTCCACAATTGTTGAACTAATTACACTCCCACCGACAGTGTTTAAGTGTTCCTTTTTCTCTGCAACCTTGCCAATATGTATTTTTTTTTTTACTTTTTAATAATAGCCACTCTGACGTGTATGAGATGGTGTCTCATTATGGTTTTGATTTGCATTTCTCTAATGACCAGTGATGTTGAGCTTTTTTTCATATGATTATTGGCCACATGTATGCCTTCTTTTGCAAAGTGTTTTTTCTTGTAGTTTGCCCACTTTTTAATGGGGTTGTTTGTTTTTTTTTCTTGTAAATTTGTTTAAGTTATAGATGCTGGATATTAGACCCTTGTTAGATGCATAGTTTGCAAAAATTTTCTCCCATCCTGTAGGTTGTCTGTTTGCTCTGTTGATAGTTTCCTTTGCTGTGCAGAAGCTCTTTAGTTTAATTAGGTCCCATTAGTCAATTTTTGCTTTTGTTGCACTTGCTTTTAGTGTCTTCATCATGAAATCTTTGCTGATTCCTATGTCCAGAATAGTACTGTCAAGGTTGTCTTCTAGGGTTTTTATAGTTTTGGGTTTTACATTTAAGCCTCTAATCCAGCTTAAGTTAATTTTTGTATATGATGTAAGAAAGTACTCCAGTTTCAACCTTTCACATATGGCTAGCTAATTATCCCAGCACCATTTATTAAATAGGAAGTCCCCATTGCTTGTTTTTGAATAGGAAGTTCCCCATTGCTTGTTTTTGTCAGGTTTGTTGAAGATCAAATAGTCATAGGTGTGTGGCCTTATTGCTGGTTTCTGTATTCTGTTCCATTTGTCTATTTGTCTGTTTTTAAACTAGTACCATTGCTGATTTGGTTACTGCAGCCCTGTAGTATAGTTTAAAGTCAGGTAGCATGATTCCAGCTTTGTTCTTTTTGCTTAGGATTGCCTTAGCTATTTGGGCTTTTTTGTTTGTTTGTTTGTTCCACATGAATTTTGAAAGTGTGTTTTTTTTAGTTCTGTGAAAAATGTCATTGGTAGTTTGATAAGAATAACATTGAATCCATAATTTGCTTTGGGCAGTATGGCCATTTTAATGGTATTGATTCACCCCATCCACGAGCATGGAATGTTTTTCTATTTGTTTGTGTTATCTCTGATTTCTTTAAGCAGTGTTTTGTAGTTCTTCTGGTAGAGATCTTTGGCCTCCCTGGTTAGCTGTAGTCCTAGGTATTTTATTTTATTTTTGTGGCAATTGTAGATGGAATTGCATTCTTGATTTGGGTTGGTTTGGCTGTTGTTGGTATATAGGAATGTTAGTAATTTTTGCACATTGATTTTGTATCCTGAGACTTTGCTGAAGTTGTTTATCAGCTTAAGGAGCTTTTGGACTGAGACTATGGGGTTTTCTTGATGTAGAATCTTATTGTTTGCCAACAGATAGTTCGACTTCCTCTCTTTCTATTTGAATGCCTTTATTTCTTTCTCTTGCCTGATTGCCCTGGTCAGGACTTTCAATACTGTAATGAATAGGAGTGGTAAGAGAGGGCATCCTTTTCTTCTGTCAGTTTTCAAGAGGAATGCTTCCAGTTTTTGCCCATTCAGTATAATGCTGACTGTGGGTTTGTCATAGGTAGCTCTTATTATTTTGAGGCATGTTCCTTCAATACTTAGTTTATTGAGAGTTTTTAACATGAGGGAGTGTTGAATTTAATATACCTTTATTTTTAAATTTAGTGTCCTTCTCAATCTTTGTGCGTATGCCTGCTAATGAGCTCAGTGATCAGGTAACTAGGAAGCAACATGAATTTGTCTGAAACTAAATGCAGCTTTCAAAAAGGGTAAGCAGATTCTGTCAAGAAAGAAGAGGGCTGGGCACAGTGGCTCACTCCTGTAATCCCAGCACTTTGCGAGGCCGAGGTGGGCAGATTGTTTGAGCCTAGGAGTTAGAAACCAGCCTGGGCAACATGGTGAAACCCTATCTCTACAAAAAAAAAATAAAAAAAAAAATTAGCTGGGCATGGGGACGCATGCCTGCAGTCTCAGCTATTTGGGAGGCTGAGGTGGGAGGATCGATTGAGCCTGAGAGGTTGAGGCTGCAGTGAGCCATGATCACACCACTGCACTTCATCCTGGGAGACAGACAGAGACCCTGTCTTAGAAAAAAAAATAATAATAAAGAAGAAGAGGAAAGAAGGAAAGATAAGATGCATATGAAGACCATTTTATTTTGAATATGAGAGTCAAGGAAATGGAATACGATGGACCATAGAGCTAATACAAGAAATTATTAAGATTCTAGTTTTTATATTGAGTAATAGGTTCACAGGGTTGACATTACCCAAAATAACTAACAAACAGATTATTGAATAAATAATATAAAAGAAGAAATATAAAAAGAACCTAGCACTTTGGGAGACCGAGTTGGGTGGATCACATGAGGTCAGGAGTTCGAGATAATCCTGGCCAACATGGTGAAGTCCCGTCTCTACTAAAAATTCAAAAATTAGCCGGGTGTGGTGGCACATGCCTGTAATCCCAGCTACTAGGGAGGCTGAGGCAGGAGAATCTCTTGAATCTTGGAGGCGAAGTTTGCAGTGAGACAAGATGGCGCCACTGCACTCCATCCTGGGTGACAGAGTGAGACTCCATCTCAAAAATAAACAACAAAACAAAAATCCTGTATTCAAATTCCTTGCAATGTACTCAATTAAGACACATATATTTTGTTGTGCTTTTCCACATTGATGACAACTTACTGACGGTTTGCATCTTATCCTTCTATTTGATTTGTTCAACCAATACCTGGATGCTTTTCTTCTCACTCAAATAGTTTCCCCTAGAATTTCTTTTACAATTTCCCACAATTTTTATACATCATTTAGTCAATTTTAAACTTCTTGAATATTTTAAAACTTTACCTATTAAATATCTATAAATCTTTGTACAGGTTACCTATTGCTGCATAATCATTCCAACACTTAATGGCTTAAAAAATGTGTTAAATTTCAGAAATCTGTGAGTTGCCTGGGTTCGGCTGGGTGATTGTTGCATGGGATCTCTCATTTGGTAACAGTCAGATGGTGCCAGGGCCGCAGTCACCTCACCTGGGCTGGACATCTAAGGCAGCTGGCAGGTTGGGAATGCTGGCTGTCAGCTGGGAATGCAGCAGGGGCTGTTCACACATTCACTGCCCAGCACCCTTCCTGGTGGCTCGGGCTTCTCACAGGTTCTAAGAGCAGAAGCTTCACATCTTATACTGTAGCCCTTGGAAAACTCAGGAAGTCACTCCTGCTGTTTTCTACTGATCAAGTGAGCCACCAAGGCCATAACCAGGGGAAGGGGATTAGACCCCACCTCTCATTGGGAAGAGAAAGAAATTAGTGGCCGTATTTACCACACTGCTTCTTACATACCTTTTAATGCACTAGAACTGTTTTAATTCAATGATGTTTTAAAAATATTAAGCTTAATTTTAAGATGAAAATACATTCTCAGAAATATATGTAGTTTGGATAAAAAGTCACTGCATATTCATCCCATTTGAAGTTTAATATGATTGGCTTTTATAGAATCACTGGATGCTTGTGCAATCTGTGATTAAATAATTAGATGGAAACTCTGTCCAGTTGACCTTGAGGGAGCATCTGTATGTAGATAGCACACGTAGTGATGAGCTGGCTGCAAAATATGACCATGATGCATTTAAAGTCAAACGCTAAAAGCATTGTTGGGCCATTTGTTCTTTTTATTGAGTGACGTTGCTTCCTTTCTTCATACCTCTGGATAATAAACATGGCTTTTATCTAGAGACTTTATAGCCATTTCATACTAAACCTGTGTGCTCTTGCTTTTCCCTTCAAGGTTGGTATCAGCACCTCTTCTTTGTTGTGGCAGATTATATTTTTCTAAAAGGGTTTCAATAATATATGCTGACCCATATGCTCTTTTTTTTCCTTTTTAAAATAAGCTTTATTTTTGAAAACAGCTTTAGACTATTGATAGGAAAACTGTGGCGCTAGTAGAGAGGGTTTCCATGTACTCTACAACCATTTCCCTTATCATTAACATCCGAAATTAGTATGGTATATTTGGCACAGTTAATTAACTAATACTGATGCATTGATATTAACTAAAGTCCCAACTTCATTCAGATTTCCTTACTTTTTATCGCATGCCCCTTTTCTGTTCCAGGAGCCCATCCAAGATCCTGCATTGTTGTCATGATTTCTTAGCTCCTCTGGGCTGAGATGTTCCATATGCCCTTTGGCCCTTCTCTCATTGAGAGATGGGGCCTGTTTTCTGCCCCAACTCTGTCAGGCTGATGACTACATCACATGTGATGCCATGCGACTCCTGATACCAGGTCAGAAAAAGTATAGGGCTTCTACCTGTTCCTTTAGTTTACTGGCGCTTGGAACTCAGTCATGCTGTGAGGAAGCTTGAGCTAGCTCACTTGGAGACACCACATGGAGAAACCATGTGTAGATATTTCTGCTGACAACTCAGCTGTGGTTCTGGTCAATATCCCACAGCAATTCCCAGACATGAGTCTTAACATGTTTTCCATCAATTTCAGCCTCTAATCATTGAGTCATCCCAGAAACAAGTCTTCAGCTGAGGCTCCAGACATCACAGAGAAACAAGCCAACCCCACCTTGCCTGGTCTGCCCTTGATACACAATACAGAAGGATAATACAGTGGCTATTTTATGACACAAGTTTGGGTCGTTACAAAGCTGTACTAACTAGAGCACTTGATATTTCACAAACTGCTATAAACCTTGACTGTCATACTCTTACCTGAGAGGTAGTTGCTAAGAGAGAGGCTACTCCTGAAAGCAGCTAGGTGCAGAAATCAGTCCTAATTGCTACATGCCTGGCATTTTTCCTGTTTTCCCATTTAACCTAACAATGACCTGATTCATTGTTGCCTAAATATTTATTGAGTCCCCACCATATGCCAGGCATGATTGTAGATGCCTGGGATGCATCAATGAAGAAAAGATCCTCACACTTGCTGAGCTTCCACTGCAGCAGAGGAACAAAAAATATCATGTGTAAGTTAAGGCATAGCAGCTTAGAAGGTGTTGAATGCAATACAAAAATATAAGTAATGCAGCAGGCCAAGGGGACCAGGAGTCCCATGGACATCTCAGAATCACACAGGTGGTCAGAATGTGCCTTCAAGATACATGAGCAAAGGCACTAGGGCATGACTGAGCCCAAGCCTTCTAGAGAGCAGAACCTGAGGCAAGGATAAAGGGAGAACAACTTGGAGGTGGAAGCCCAGGACTTGGGTGGAGAACAGGGCAAACGAGCTCAGGACGTGAGCAAAGCAATGTGAAATGGTGGGTTACCAAAAGGAGCCACTTTATCAATGGCCACAGAGAAGGGCAGATGGCATGGCAACGTGCTCCCTCAGGAATCCCATGTTCTCTGGACCAACTGCATTTGGGAGCCGCCATAGAGAGGGGAGGGGGTGCTGCCTGACTCCCATTGTCTTTCCTCTCCCAGTGGCCCGTGTTTACCTTAAGGATAGCTACTGGCCTGGCACTCAAAACCTGTGTCTTCCTTGGTAATGACGCAGGAGTCCAGACCCACAGCCAGCATGTGCCTCTCATTTGAGTGCAGAAGCAGACTGGTGGTTGAGCAAGAAGTTGGACATGAGGTTATGTGGGCCTGTGGCTGTGGCTGGGATCCTTGCTAGTAATGCAGAGAATCTGAGAATGGGCTCCAGGTCTGTGTCTATTATTCCATAGGTGAGGGACTTGGCCATGTAGATATCTGGGCCAAGAACACTCCAGCACAGGAATGAGCTGGGTCTGGCCATGGCCTGAGCCAGATTAGCTTGTTGGAAAACAAGCAATAAGGCCAGCATGGCTCAGATGTGGGAGGAAAAGGGAGGGTGGGGGAGAAAGCTTCTGAGAGGAACGGGGCCCAATGCACTAGCGCCTGTGGGCTTCAAGGACTTTGGCCTTCACTCTGAATAAAGGATGGTTGATCAGATGACTGATTTGAGTGAAGAATGGTATGGCTTGATTTACATTTTGGAAGGTGACTCCGGCTTGTAAGTATTCAATGAGGAATGTGTGTTGGGGAGCTTAGAGAAGCAGAGGCACTAGTTAGCAGCCTACCAGGGTAATAAAGGAGAGAGTGGGTGGGGGCTGAGAACAGCATGGTGACGGGGAGATGTGGATTTTCTTTGAAGGTGGAGCACATAGGCTTTCCTAATGGATTAGCTGTTGGGTGTGAGAGAAGGAAATATATCAAGATGACTCCAAGCTTTGTGGCGTAACAGGACGGATGGAGTTGACCTCACTTTGGATGAGGGAGGCAGCATGTGGAACTGCTTCCTGGGGAGCTCAGACATGCATGTTTGGACCTGCAGAATGGAGCCATTTTAAGCAGACATTGAATATATAACTAGATGAGTCAGAGAGAAAGACGTTGCTCTTCCCTATTCAGGGTTGAAACAGAGGCTGAGAAAGAAAGGTTCAGTTGAACCCCGGCTCTGGGCTGTCCAGCTCTGGACGATTGGGAGCCTGTCCCCTGCTGTGGCACTAGCACAATGGGCAGAACTGGGGCTGGCTCCAGACGGTGGAGCAGGCTAGTGGGTCCATCAAACAACTGCAGTATTCTGGAAATTAAGTGGAGCCCCTTCAATTTAATCAGCGAAGATGCACACCTGAAGTATGTTTGGCCCTGTGGCCTCCACCTGGTTACAGCCTCCCAGGTGCGGGTTGGAGGAGCCACTGGTTAGCCAGGGCTGGATGTCACTGTGGCAGGCTAATCTGTTTTTGTATCCCCTTCACTCGTTTAGAATGTCTTACCTTGAGGATGTCACTGGCCACCTTGCCACCACCATGTCCTCACTTTAAATTGGGAATAGTGGTGACCCTTAGCTCACAGCACTGTTTGAGGAATGGGCGAGATGTTTCTTGAGCACAGCGGAGTCTGCCACTTAGCAAGTGGTTCGTAGATGGGAATTGGAGGAGTTCTTTTTTATTTTAAGAGACAGTCTCACTGTGGCCCAGGCTGGAGTGCAGTGATGTGGTCACAGCTCACTGCAGCCTCGACTTCCTGGGCTCAGGTGATCTTCCTACCTCAGCCTCCCAAGTGCTGCCACCATGCCTGGCTAAGTTTTAATATTTCTTGTAAAGACGGGGTCTCACTGTATTGCTCAGGCCAGGTCTTGAACTCCTGGCCTCAAGCACTCTTCAGGCTTTGCCATCCCAAAGTGCTGGGATTACAGGTGTGAGCCACTCCTCCAGGTTTGGGGTGATTATTATTATTATTATTTTAATAGAATGCGTTTTTTTCTGAGAGCACTTCCTCTAATTTCATAAACTGGGAAAGTGTTTCATTATGTGACTTCTCGTGATGCTTCTGGGTGTGTAGGTTTGCGATATTTTGGGGATTTTGTTTGTTAATAAAGCCAGCTTTTAGGTCTCAGTTGACAATTATAAATTAGCAAAAATACCTCTGTGGCATCAACTATCCATAGCACTCTCTAAAACAGCAGGAGAATGAAATCCAAAGAGATAAAATGGGGAAAGTTGTATCATTTGGGACAATATACTGAGAAAACATCACGAAATTTACACATGATCAAGCCCTCAAATGCTCAACTAACAGATACAGTGGAGCAGGGAGGTGTGAAGAAGCATTTTTGAGCAGCTTCTCTGGGCCAAGATTCATACTAAAGCATCTGATAATTCACCCTCATGAAGGTCTTCAAGGACATCATCAATGTTGTTTATCTGACTAGGGATCTGCATCTGAGAGACCGTCAGTAGTGTGGGCAGGGGCCTTGCCTGAGTGAAGCACCAGCCAGGGCCTGAATTGGCTGTCTGTCTTCACACTCCTGCTCCCCTCTGACCTCACTGAGGGGCTGCCAGGGCCATGGAGGGGCGGCGGGGCTGCCGGGCCAAGCTGTCCTCAGTGGGCAGGAGTCTATCACCCAGCATTTTGGTTCCATCCATGAAAGATTTTTGTGCTACTGGTCTGCACTACATGATCTTGGAATGGAAGAAAAGAGTCAGTGTCATTGTGGGACAGAGTTCTTCATTGCTGGGAGAGGAGTGGGGTTTTGCTTCACCGGTGTAGAAATAGTAAGACTCTATTTTTGCACTTTCTTTCAGTGTTCACCAGCAGAAACAGTAGCTTTATTTTTTAAATGCATCCCCCTGTGCATTAAAACTTTCTCTTCAGGTGCTATTTTTTCCTATTAGTCCTCTTCTGTGTTTTGTGACATCCAACTGTCTCAAGACTATCCAGCTCAGGGAAATGAGGCTTCCTGCAGCCCTAGCCTGTGGCCATCCTATTCAACCACATCCTTTAGCCTCAGTTCCTGCTGAAGCTGACTCAAGTCTCCTGGAACCTGCCGGGTCACAGGGCTGCCCGGGAGGCGTGCTGAAAACATTTCATCCTTCTCACGTACCTTCCTTTTCCCTGCAAGACACAAACTGAACAGAAGGGACCACTTCCTTTCAACTAAGAGAATAAATGCTGGTCAGAAACAATCTCATCACCCCTTTGAAACCAGGGGCTTGGCACTAAAACTATTTACAACAGGCCACAGAATGAACTCAGAACCCTCCCATGAGTGCCCTTGGAAGCACATTTTCTAAACTGCTTTAGAGGGAAAAAAGAAACCAGCTACATGACTGCTACTCAGAGCTTTCACTTAAATGATAATTTACTGATCTTTTAAGTTAACCTTACAAAAATCTTCTCACATTTGGGTTTTTTCCTCCTTGCAAGATTTGGCACCTTATCTCTGTAAAGTTCCATTAGCCCCTGCTCTGTGTAGCCCTGCTATCTCAGCTCCCGTTTGAATTAGTACACTTCTTAAAGTTTTATTTTGTTTTTAATTGACACGTAATAATTGTACATATTTATGGGGTGAAGCGTTATGTTTTGACACATGTATACATTGTGTAATGATCAAATCAGGGTAATGAGTGTATCTATCATCTCAAACACTCATCACTTTTTGTAGTGAGAGCATTCAAAATTCTCTCTTCTAGCTGTTTTGAAATATACAATACATTATTTTTAACTCTAGTCACCCTAGTGTGCAATGGAATACAAGATCGAATTCTCCTCATCTAACTGTAACTTGGTAACCATGGAGCAGCCTCACTGCGTCCCCCCCCTCCCCATCACTCTCCCCAGCCTCTAGGGAAGCAAACAACAAAGGGGAGAAAATATTTGCAAACTGACATTACACACCTGACAATATCTGGAGTTAATATCTGGAATATATAAGGAACTCAAACAACAGCAAAAAAAATTCTGATATTAAACGGATTTTAAAATAATCTGATTTTAAACACCTCAATGGACATTTCTCGAAAGAAGACATACAAATGGCCAACAGGTGTATGACAAAATGCTCAAGATCATTAATGGGTACAAAGATTAGGTTAGGTAGAAGAAATAAGACCTAGTGTTCAAGAGATCAGTAGGCGACTATAGTTAACAATGATCCATTGTACAATTCAAAATAGCTAGAAGAGAAGAATTTGAATGTTTCTGGCATAAAGAAAAGATAAATGTGTAAGGCGATGGATATCCCAGTTACCCTGATTTGATCTTTACACTTTATAGGATTGTACCAAAATATCAAATGTACACCAAAAATATGTACATCTATTATGCATACATTTAAAAAACACAATGAGTTTTCACCTCGCCAGAGTTAGAATGCTATTATTAAAAAGACACAAATTAACAAATGCTGGTGAGAATGTGGAGAAATGGGAGCTCATATACTGTTAGTGGGAATGTAAATTAGTACAGCCATCTGGACAACAGTGTGGAGGTTCCTGAAAAGATTAAAAATGGAACTACCATATGACCCAACAATCCTACTACTTGGAATGTATATAAAAATAAAAGTAGTGTGTAAGAGATATCGTACCCCATGTTTATTGCAGTGCTATTCATAATAGCCAAGATATAGACTCAATGTAAGTGTCCATCAACAGATGGATGGATTTTAGAAGTGGTATAGATACACAATGGAATACTATTCAGACATTCAAAAGGGTGAAATCCAATCATGCGTGATGATACGGATGAGCCTAGAAGACATTACGTTAAGTGAAATAAGCCCAGCACAGAAAGACAAATACTGCCTCATCTCACTCATATGTGAAATCTAAAAAAGTTGATCTCTTACAAGTAAAGAGTAGAATACATTTTTTTATTTTAGACTAGTTTCAGATTTGCGAAAGTTTCAAAGATAGTACAGAGTTCCCATTTACCCCTCACCCCGTTTCCTCAATTATTAACAACTTACATTAGTATAATATATTTATTGCAATTAATGAAATAGTATTGATAAGTTATTATTAACGTCCTTATTGTAATTATAATTATAATTAACTTAATTTAATTATAGTTAAAGTCCTTACTTTATTGAGATTACCTTAGTTTTTACCTATGTGTGTATGTGTGTGTGCATATATGTGTGTGTGTGGTGTGTGTGTATGTGAGGTGTGTTTGTGTTTGTGTATGTGTGTGTCTTTGTGTGTATGTTTGTGTACGTGTGGTGTGTGTGTATGTGTTTGTGTGTCTGTGTATATGTGTGGTGTGTTTGTATGTGTATGTGTGTGTATGTGTGTATTTTTGTGTGTGTGGTGTGTGCGTGTGTGTGGTGTATGTGTGTGTGGTGTATGTGTATGTGTGTGTATGTGTGTATTTGTGTGTGTGTGTGGTGTATGTGTGTGTATGTGTGTGTTTGTGTGTGTTTGTGTGTGTGTGTGCTCCAGAATCCCATCCAGGATATTATATTGCATTTTGTAATCATGTACATTTAGGCAAATCCTGGCTGTAACAGTTTCTTATAATTTGCTTGTTTTTGATGACAATGTCAGTTTTCTTGCTTTCTGTTGAAACTACTATTTTTTTTAGCATGCTTTCTATTGGGGTTTATATGTTTTTCTCATCATTAGAGAAGTCATGGAGTTATGAGTTTTGGAAAGAAAAACAACAGGGCTGAAGTGTCATTCTGATTACATCATGTCAAGGGTACATGTCATAACAGAGAATCTATTTTTCTTGTCTGCTTCATTTTCTAGAGGCTGCCTGTACTCTGTGACTTGTGGTCCCCTTTTACCTTCAAAGCTCCCAGTGGCTGATAGAGACTTCCTCACATACCGTCACTCTGAAATGGACTCATCTTCTGCCTCTCTCTGCTACTTACAAGGACCCTTGTCATTAATTTGGGCCCAGCCAGATAATCTAGAATAATTTCTTCATTTTAAGGTCATCTAATTAGCAAATTTAATTTCTTCAGCAACTTTAATTTCCCTTAGCCAGTAACCTATCATATTCACAGGTTTCTGAGATTAAGATGAGGAGAGTTGAGATTAAGATGAGGAAAAAAATTAATCTGCCTACCACAAAACCCAAAACCTGGGTGTTAGATATATTTATTGCTGCTGGGGTATCATTGTTTCTAGACCCTCTCAGCAGATAGAGCAAGGAAATATATGTGTGTTTACTAACATCTATTTTTCTATCTTTATATTAAGCTAAATATAAATTTATGCTGATGTCTCCAACTCTAATCCAGCATCACATGAGTTCTAGCCGTTGATTTTCTACAACATTCCACTCCAGCAGTGAGAAACCTAGCTCCACCTTCTGCCATCAGTTTACTCATTTGTTCCATTGAAGTTTACCTGTACACTGGTTTCAGAACCATTTACCCATGTGCCCCATTGGAGACAATTTTATTAACTAGAACACAGTGCTGATGGGCAGTTCCTTTGCCTTCTACATTCTATTCTTCTCTAAAATTACTTAGGTCAATACCTTGCACCTCTATACCTTTCAGTGAGATTATTTCATACATTTGTAATAACACTTTTTTGGGGGGTCATAATTTGAATTCTGGGATTTTCAGTCCCTTTGAATAGAAAGAACTGAAACAGAAGGGTAGGATGATAAATCAGAGTCCAAGGGTCCCTGAGAGTAGGGACATGTTATTTGTAAAAATAACCCAACAGCCCAGGCAGTATACCTTCCCAGATCGCCCAGCATCATCTTGACTGTCCATTGAACTACTAGTCATCTTTTAAAACCTGCTGTGAATGTAATCCTTTCCCTGAATGTCTTGTCTTCTTTTCATTTCCAAACTAAATGAACTCATGCTGTCCTAAGAATGAGACTGCTTCATTTTTAAGTCTGGGGTAAATAGACACCTGTGCATTCATTGCTGCTCTTCGTAAGTGAATCCCACTGTTTCCCCTTAGTGCTTCAAGCATGCCTGTCTTGTAAATCTTCACAGAATGTGTTCACATACCTATCTGTCCTGTTACCACAAGCATAGCCCAAGGACATGTTCTTTCTTTTTAGTATATGAAGACCACAGGTCTTCAAAAGGTAGTGATAAAGAAAAGTGTGCTCTAATATAACACATCAAAGAATGACTGCTCTTCCAGCTGTAGGTCTGCCACATCCTCATTCTCTGCCTCATACTTCACCATTTGTAGGGTTACTCCTGGTTCCTACATGTTAGTGGTGAGTGATCTATCCCATTATACACCCTGGGGCAATGACTGCTAGATAGAATTGCCAAGCCATTTATGTTGGGTAAAGGTGGGGAACTATTTTTCAGAATTATGATATTAGTGTCTCTTAGTACTGGTCAGGAACATAGTTATTTTTCAGAGCCAATTTCAAGGTTTATGTATCTTGTGATGTGTTTCGTCACTACTCTAGTTTCTACTAATACTTTCAATCTCTGAACTCTGAATGAGCTGCCTTTTTGTGCTTGACACTTGGGTCTTAAATACCATGCCACCATGCTGGTCACATTTCCATATGCTTATACCTCCTAAATTATGATAACTACAAGAGATTAATTCAATTTATTCTCCTCTCTAGCTTTCACAGTGCATGTCATGAAATTTTCTATGTAGTAAGTGACCAGTAAATTTATGAGGATTGAGAATGGAAAGATACCTATTGAAATCAATTCCCCATCAAATGAGTGCTGTTATCCTAAGAATACCTACCTTCTGGCCTTATCCAACACAACAGTAACACATATTCACCACTTCCCAACATGGAAAACCAAACACATGGGTTTCCACATTTTCATAGGTTGTAGGCAAGCCAGTGCCTTTACCTGGGCTCTGCCAAAAGCAGAGCCCAACACGTCGTTCTGGGTGCAGGTATTTTATTTGAGAGGTGATCCCAAGAAGGATAAATGAGGGGAAGGAGACAGGAACAGACAGGAAATCAATAGAAGGAACATAATTGAGCTGGTTATTGCTGTGGGCAATGGCATCTTTGTCTAACTAATGATCCTCTGAGAAGCCCTGTAGAATTCACCTAAAAGCTATCCCTTTAAAAATGGGACATTTATGCACTGGCTGCTGGTTCTCATTGGCAGTAATTGTGCCTGGGACACACACCAGCACTATCCCATCACCATTCCCCTCCCACATTCCCAGGCTGCACCTTTGGAGAGAGCCTTGAGGTAGACGCAGCTACCCCGCTGTGTGCCCTTGTGGTGGGAGCTGGCGACGTGCATGGAGCTACCTTGCACAGTTGCACTGACATTGATAGGGCCAAGGGGCTGCCTTGTGAGGGGCAAATGATGTCTGCTATGCAAAACATTGCTTGATTTTTTGAAAGATAAGCTGAGAGTCTAAAAAGCATCATCTAAGTCCCAACTGGGATCTGAGATGAGATTTTCATTTAAAAAAATTTATCCTAAGCATTAGTCTTAAGTGTGTACTCTTCTAAATTTGAGTTTCATAAAATTTGATGGATGTCATTCTAATTTAATATGATGCCTTGGCAGCAAACCACATGAATTTTTGAACATAGGAATTAGAGTATTTACCAAGGCCCAGTTTCTCAACTGGTGAGAGATTATGTTTGAGCCGGTAATGCGCTAATCTGCAAATGTGTACTCTTCAGCAAAGGAAGTGTTATACTGCATTTGTCATTTAGGAACTACTCACCCACAGTAGGAGGGCCCAGAAACCATACTTTTCATCACTACTGTGAGAAACAAGTCTGTGAGGGGAGCCCCAGCATCCTTGAAGAGCTCTATGGTCACTCTTCTCTGATGGCTGAACCTTACATTGGCAATGACAGCCACTCAATTAAGAAACCTAAATGCAATGGGAGTAATTAGATCCTGGGGTGCCAGGGGCCAAGAGGCAGCACTCAGCCACCAAAGACGAGATAGGCATGGTTACTCTAATGGAGGGCAGGGCCAAAGCAGCAATCAAGTAGACTGACTCCAAAGCACCTGTGGCATCAGCTAGGTGATCATGGTGTTCCTAGAAGTGAAATAGACAGTAAGCCTACTAAATTCCTACATGATTTTATAAACAGAAAAGTTTTAGGTCAACTGAATAAAAATCTAACCTGAAACATAAAAACTGAGAATCACGGTCCCTCAATCAATTCCCAGACCTAAGCCAGTTTATAGACCCAGAACTCCTTGAATGAAGGGGAGGACAGGTCACCTTGAGGAAGGATCCTGGCACTCCCAAAAGTCTGTGCTGTTAATCTTGCTCCTAGTCTTCCCAAAATGGAGGCATGTATGTATATATCAGTATAACTGCATTGAGGAAAAGGAAGTAAACCTTTCAGAGACTGCTAGACACTGACTCTGAGCAAACATTAATTCCAGGAGACCCAAAATTTCACTGTGGCCCACGAATCAGATGTGGGTTTTTTTTTGATGGGGCTAGGAGTGGGGAGGGATTCAGATGATAATGGAGTTTTAGCTTAGGTCCATCTCACAGTGGACCCAGTGGGTCCCACAGCCCATCCTGTGTTTATTTTCCAGGTTCTGGAATGCATAATTTGAACAGGCATACTCAGTAGCTTTCAGAATCCTCTCCCACACTGGTTCCCTAACCTGTGGAGTGAGGAGTAGGAAAAGCCAAGTAAAAGACACTAGAACTGCCTCTATCTGGGAAAATAATAAACCAAAAGGAATGCTGTATTCTTAGACGGATGGCAGAAATTAGTGCCACCATCAAGGACTTCAAGGATGCAGGGGTAGTGATTCCTGCCACATGTATTCACTGGCCGATGTGGCCTGTGCTGAAGACAGACACATCTTGGAGACTGACCGTGGCTTATCATAAGATTAACCAGGCAATGACTCCAGTTGAGCTGCTGCATCAGATGTAGCTGAATTGTTTAAGCAAAGTAACACATCCCCTGGGTCCTGGCATGCAGTTATTGATCTGGCCAATTCCTCTTTCTTCTTACCTGTTTGTCAAGCCCAGGAGGAGCAGTTTGCTTTCAGTTGTCAAGGTCAGCAACACACCTTCACTGTGCTGCCTCAGGGCCTATCAACTCTCCAGCCCTACCGCACACTTGTTTGCAGGGATCTTAATTGCCTTTCCCTTCCACAGGAGACCACATTAATCAACGTCATTAATGACACTATGCTTTACTGGACCTAGTGAGCAAGGAGCAGTAATGACTCCAGACTTACTGGTAAGATATTTGTGTATCAGAAGGTGGGAAATAAATTCAACAAAAATTCAGAGGCCTTCTACCTCAGTGAAATTTCTAGGTTTCCTGTAGTGTAGAGCCTGTTAAAATATCCCTTCTAAAGTGAAGGGCAAGTTGTTGCATCTGGTTCCTCCTACAACAAAAAAAAGGGGCACATTGCCTTGTGGGCCTCTTTGTAGTTTGGAGGCAACATATTCCTCATCTGGGTTATTCATCCCATTTGTCTTGTGACCCTAAAAGCTGCAAGTTTTGAGTGAACAAGAGCAGAAGAAGCGAACACTTTGCAGCAGGTCCAGGCTGCTGTGCATGTGACCCAGAAGATCCAATGGTGCTCAAAGTGTCAGTGGCAGATGGGGATGCTGCAAGGAGTCTTTTGCTTGCTCCTATAGGGGAATCACAGTGCAGGCCCTTAGGATTTTGGATGAAAGCCCTGATGTACTCTGTGAATAACTACTCCCCTTTTGAGAAACAGCTTTTGGCCTGTCATTGGGCTTTAGTATAGACTGAACACTGGGGTTTAGTATAGACTTAACCCATGGCTAAGTAGCCATGGGTCACAAAGTTACCATGCAACCTGGGTTGTCCATCATGAGCTGATTGTTATCTGACCCAAAAAGCCATAAAGTTGGGTGTGCACAGCAGTACTCCATCACCAATTGGAAGTGGTATATATGCGACTGGGCCCAAGCAGGCTCTGAAGGCACAAGCAAGTTACATGAAGAAGTCCCCCAAATGTCCATGGTCCCCACTCTTGTTATGCTGCCTTCTCTCTCCCAGCCTGCACCTGTGGCCTCATAAAGAGTTCCCTAGGATCAGTTAATAGATGAAGAGAAGACTCAGGCCTGGTTTACAGATGGTTCTGCACAATATTAAGGCACTGCCAGAAAGTGGAGGTTGCAGCACTACAGTTCCTTTCTGGGACATCCCTGAAGGACAGCGGTGAAAGGAAACCCTCCCAGTGGGTAGAACTTTGTGCAGTATACTTGGTTGTGCACTTTGCTTAGAAGGAGAAATGGCCAGGCATGGGAAACAAACTGATTCATGGGCTGTGGTCACTGGTTTGGCTGATGGTCAGGAACTTAGAAGGAACGATTGGGAAATTAGTGATAAGGAAGTTGGGAAGAGGCATGTGGATAGATCTATTTGGAGGTAAAAAAGCATGTGAAGATATTTGTAATCTGTGTGAATGATTTCCAATAGGTGACCTCAGCAGAGCAGAAATCTAATAATCAAGTGGCTAGAATGACCCAATCTGTAGCTATTGGTCAGCCTCTTCCCCCAGCCACCCCTGTAATTGCCAAATGGGCTTATAAACAAGGTGGCCATGGTGGCAGGGATGGAGGTTATGCATGGGCTCAGCAACATGGACTTCTACTCACCAAGGCCAGGCTGGCTACAGCCACTGCTGAGTGCCTAATGTGCCAGCATCAGAGACTTACATTGAGCCCTCAATATGATACTATGCCCTGGGGTGATCAGCCAGCTACATGTGGCAGGTTGATTACAGTGAACAGCTTCCATCATACAAAGGGTGGTGTTTAGCCTTAGTGGAATAGACATTTACTCTGGATATGGATTTTTCTACCTTGTATGCAGTGCTTCTACCAACATTACCATCTGTGGACTTACAGAATGTCTTCTCCACCATCACGATAGTCCACACAGGATGGCTTCTGACTAAGGAACTCATTTTACAGCAAAATAAGTGCAGCAATTGGCCCATGCTCATGGAATTAGCTGGCCTTACCATGTTTGCACCTTTGTGAAGAAGCTGGTTTGATAGAAAAGCAGAATGCCCGTTTGAAGACTCGGTTTCAGTACCAGTTGGGTGGCCATACCTTCCAGGGTTGGGACAGTGTCATCCAGGAGGCTGCATATGCTCTGAATCAGCATCCAATGTATGGAGTTGTTTCTTCCATAGCCAGGATTCATGAGTCTAGAAATTAAAGGTGAAGTGAGAGTGGCACCTCTCACTATTACCTCTAATGACCCACTAGCAAAATTTTTGCTTCCTGTTTCCAGAATCTGATACTTTACTGGCCTAGAGTTCTTAGTTCCACAAAGAAGAATGCTTTCATCAGGAAACCCAAAAATGATTCCACAAAGATGAATGCTTTCATCAGGAAACCCAACAACAATTGTTAAGACAATCACCTGGCCACTTAGAACTTCTCATATCTCTGAATCCACAGGCAAAGAAAGGTGTTACTATGCTGGCTGGGTGGTTGACCCTGACTACCGAGGGGAAATTGGACTGCTCCTCAACAATGGGGGTAAGGAGGAGTATGTCTGGAATACAAGAGGTCCCAAAGTGCATCTCTTAGTATTATCATGTCCTGTTAAAGTCAATGGAAAACTACAGTCTCATTCAGGCAGGACTGGTAATGGTCCAGAGTCTTCAGGAATGAAGGTTTGGGTCACACCACCAGGTAAAAAGCCATGACCAGCTGAAGTGCTTGCTGAAGTTGCAGGGAATGCAGAGGAAGAGATGCAAGAGGTGAGCAAAACACCAGCTGGGACCATGTGGCCAGTTACACAAGTGAGAGCTGTCATCACTGTGAATATAACTCCTGATTTTTATGACTATGTCTGTGTGTACATACATATGTTTATCAACAAATATATATATATATACACCTGTTAAGTAAATGTCTGGTTTTCTTTCTTCTCTTATACCTTTATCATGTACATAACATGTATTGACTTAATTAATTAATTTTTCTGAGACAGGGAGGGTCTCGCTCTGTTGCCCAGGCTGGAGTACAGTGGCACAATCACGACTCACTGCAGCCTTGACCGGATCACCAGGCTCAGGAGATCCTCCCACCTCAGCTTCCCAAGTAGCTGGGATTACAGGTATGAACCACCATGCCCAGCTGATATTTGTATTTTTTTGTAGAGATGGGGTTTTTTCATATTGCTCAGCTGGTCTCGAACTTCTGGGCTCAAACAATCTATCCGCCTTAGCCTCATGGAGTGCTGGGATTACAGGTGGGAGCCACTGCACTTGGCTTGTATTGACTTTATATCATAGTATTTTAAAATTGCTAACTTTACATCTACTATGTAAACATTAATATTAAGGAATTACAAGGGCGAGTGTAAGGATCCCTCAAGGAAGGATGTTACCTCCTCTTCTGGGGAAGGGGTTAGTGCATTTGTGGTTGTATACAGGAAAGTTGTATCACGTTAGACAGAATTTTGATCTTGTTATTGTCTTTACTTGCACACTAAGTACAGTTTAAAGAGGTGCATATGAGTGCGAAGTTGACAAAGAATTGGCTATTGATGGTAATTTTTTGTGTCAACTTGACTGGGCCACAGGATGCCCAAATATTTGGTTGAGCATTATTTTGGGTGTGTCTGCAAGTGTGTTTCTGGGTTTCTGGATGAGATTAACGTCAGTAGACTGAGTAAAGCAGTTCCCCTCCCAGTGAGGGTGGGCCTCATCCAGTCTGTTGAAATCCTGAGTAAAACAAAGTTTGCACAAAGATGGGCTCTCTTTTTCTCCCTGACTGTCTTTGAGCTGGGACATGGGTCTTCTCCTGCTCTCAGACTCAGGCTCAGATGTGTTACACTCCCCGTCTCCCGGGTCTCTGGCTAACTGATTACAGATCTTAGGACATCTTAGGTTCCATAACTGTGTGAGCCACTTCTTTACCATAAATCTCTTGATGACTGTCTGTCTATCTCCCTCCCATTTTAGCTCACTTGAGCCCTTTCTGGTATCTCCCTCAGCAAGGGAGAGATCATCTCAAAGTGTCTCTGGCTCACCCAGAGAAAGGAGCAGAAATACCTAGGCAAGACTGGTCTCACATTTCATCAGTGCAAGGGGCACACTAGGTTGGCTCATCATGGACTGGAAGCCTGTGCTACTGGAAGGAACCCTTACCTGCTGTGTCATGCTTGCTGATGGGCCAAGCTGCCAGGGTGGTCTGCCATCAGTGAACAAACTCCATGGGAGGCTGCTGAGGGCTCCTCCTGGGCCTGCCTCCCACATCAACACTTGATGCTCTCTCTGGTCTCACAGCATAGACAAGCTGCCCAGGAAGTGGGACGAGCCACAGGAAGCTGACCAGGGTGTGCACTGGCAGTGTAGCACCTGGAGTCAGAGCCAACCAGAGCTCCTCACTGGCTCGCCCCATTTCCTGGAGCACTGGCCTAGCTTTGATTCCCCATCCCTGTGCTAGTGGCAGTCTCTGAAGTGCAGGGAATCTCTTCCCTATAGCAACCCACAACCAATGGCCAAGGGCAGCTGGCAGATAAATACCCCAGCTCCCTAGCCCCTTGGGTGGGAGCTCTGAGATGTGTGTTGTACACTGGTCCTCAGGGTACCCAGCAAGATCGACCCCCTGTTACCCACCGTCATCACAGTGTAGCAACACTGGTGGCTTAGCCACAAACTCTTTCTCAGCTTCTTCTCTTCCCTATCTCCCTTTCCCACCTTGTGTTTCCATTGTTGGTGTTTCCTCTAACTCTTGAATAAACTGCTTGCTTCCAGAAGAACCTGCCTGATGACAGGCAGCCATGGCCAGGTAAGTGGGGAGGATTCTTGTGTTTATTACAGTCATGAAGAGGGCCTGGGGTCCACAGAGCAGGGATGTGGCCACACTCAGTCCCTGCATTGCTGCCCCACCTGATTATAAAAATAGCCCTGACAGTAATAATAATAGCACTGTTATGAGGTTACTGCCCATCAGGCCTTGCTACCCTAAATCCCCATGACAATGCAGTGGTGTGAGTATTTTAGTGCAATCTTCACTGTCTGGGAAACCACCTCTGAGAGAGGTTAAAAACTAAAGTTCTTAGCTAAAAAGCTATATAGATGGAGTGAGATTCAGATGCAAATGATTGTGTAGAATTCCTTCCTCCTTCTTGAAGTCTCCCCTGACTAGCCCAGTCTGGGATAACAGGAAGTGGTCAGGCCTTAGTGTCAGACAGACAGGGACACATTGGGGAACAAAATAAAGCCCATTTCACAGACCCAGAGAGACGGTGCAGACACATGAATGCTCGCTGTTCTGATGCTTGGTGAGCTCGCTCCTGACCTGAAAGCCATGACTGATGGTGGGTGTCATATGCAGAAAGCTCCATCCACAAAGATAATAATTATAACATAATTTATAATGGGTAAAAGCGGACACAACCCAAATGCTGTATATTTAGTGATTGGATAAATACACTATGCTAAATTCAGCAGGAGAATATTAAATAAGTATTAAAATAATATCATATAAAACAATAAATGATAAGGGGAAATAAACATCTCATGCTGACTGGAAAAAAAATAGGTTGCAAAAAAAACCCAGTCATACCAATGTGAGTATGTACAGTATTGATAAAAGGGAAGGCAGGAATCCCTCGGCCCCTGAGATTTTCAGTAACTTTTACCTACTATTTGGTCTTTTATAGGTTTTCTATGATGAATACATAAATATATACTTAATATAGTCTCCATTCTTCAATAGAAACTCAGAGGTTATTCCTCAGAGATGGTGTAGTGAGGCAGAAAACCGTTGAGGGAAAGAATGTGTGCGGGAACAGGAAGCAAACTTAGATTCAGTTATGTCTGGCGCTGGGCTTACTGTTCTGGGCAGAGGGCGTTTTTTCAAGCACACAGTGTGAAGCGATTCCCCTGAAGCCAAACGGGTTGTCGATGCAGGCGAAGTCACGGACGGCAGCCCAGGCTCCCTGTCCGCTGCTCCTTCCTGCTCGCCACACTGGTCTCCAAGCATCTGGACCCACCTCACAGATCACTGGGCTTGCTGGAGTCTTTGCAAGTGTCCAGAAGAGAGAAAGTTTTTCTCTTCCTGTTAGAGGACACACAGTCAGGGCTGCGATGTTTGCCAACTGGCCCAAGGGCTGCGATGTACCACACTGTGGTGGAGAGGCCAGATGCTGCCCTCTTAGAATTGTCTTGGGGTGTCTCTTACTGTGTGTGACCTCAGCAGGCGCTCAGGATCTTGGCTTTTCTGGGCTGGAACATCCTGTCTGATCTTTGCTGGGATTCATACTGGTTCCACTGTGTAGGAGGAGATGCTGTCACATCCACCCAATGGCTTCAGAACGAGAAGGAACTCAGCAGAATGCAACAGAGTTTCAGGGAACCCAGTGTGGAAGAAGGGAGGAAAACAGGGCAGAAGAGGATCAATCATGTGGACATGTCTGGGGAGCTGGTCCCTGTTTTCCTAAAGGATTTCCTGCAGTTTCTCTTGGAACTGGGTTGAGGCACAAATGCCCAGTGGGAAGAAGATTTGGTGAAATTTGTGGGGCTTCTTCATCCACATCTTCATCATTCTCTGCTACTGGGTCCATCCCTTTCTGACTCTTGGACTTGAACTATGAAGATCGGGTCAGGCTTCCAGAAGCTCTGAGTCCACAGTCTAAATTATAGCTTCTGAGAATGTTCTTAAGGTAGGAACAGGAGCATGGCAGAATCCGTATCTGTATCTCAAGACACCATTGAGAACTTACATTATGCCTGTATTATACTCCCTCCCAAATTTGCCTGTAAGGTTGTTTCTCAAAGATGTAATTCATAGCTGAGTGGAGTGGCTCACACCTGTAATCCCAGAACTTTGGAGGCCAAGGCAGGAAGATAACTTGAGGCCACGATTTTGAGACCAGCCTGGGCAACATAGAAAAAACCTTTGCCACAAAAAATTTAAAAATTAGGACCTGTAGTCCTAGCTACTTGGGAGGCTGAGACAGGAAGATCACTTGAGCTTAAGAGGTTGAGGCTTAAGTGAGCTATCATCACATCTCTGCACTGCAGCCTGGGCCACAGAAAGAGAACCTGTCTTAAATAAATAAATAAATAAATAAATAAATAAATTAAAGACATAATTCACTGTAGATATTGGAAAAATTGAAATCTGTTCTAATCTCAGCCAGGTCAATACTTCTACCCTAATTCTTCCAGCAACTTTTAATTTATGTTGGCTTTGACTGCTGAGAAATGTGGGTAAGTCTGCTTTTTCAAAGCTTTGTAATTGGAGACTCTCCATCACTGTTTCAAAGGAAAATGATAACACTCTCTCCACTTATGCTGAAAGTGGGTGCAAGGTGAAGTGTTGGAAGGAAAGACATGAAGAACTTGACCTTCCTGAGGGCAGTGGGGCCCCAAGGATGGGAGGAAATAAATGAATTACATTTATGCCCCTGTCCCGGTTGTCAGGCAGATCATTGTTTTTCCTACACTGGGTAAAACTAAAGTGCAAGGTGTGAAATCATCCCCCTGAACCACACATGCTGTTAACAGAGTTGCTGGGGCTGATGTGCAGGTTCCCTGAACCCTGGCCCATGTCTCTCTCCTCCACCCCACACCTCACATCTGGACCCGCTTCACAGATCTTTGTTCTCCTTAGATTTTTGCAGTAACAGCCACTTGGTTAATGGCCCTGGAGAGAGAGGCTTCTGATAAGTCTGTGAAAGAACTGCCTGCAAAAGGGACTCTAGCAAAAAGAATCACGCAGTTGAGTGTATCCTGTGAAAAATGCAGCCTGACTAGGTATCACTCTTGGCTTAATGCTGCCTTGTTTATTAGACAAACTTACCAGTATTATTATCAAACAATACAAATTAAGGTAACAGTAGTAGAAATGAACAGACTTCATTTGTCAGATGTTTTGTTGTTTGAATGATAATTCACAAATATCCTCTGCAAATTAAGTAACTGGCTCATCTGATTGGGACCTCTATCACATTTTGTGTGCAACGAAAAATCTGTCCCTTATTCAGACACCTGCACTTCGGAACTGAGGAACCAACTGCATAGCTGCCTTGGCAGAACGAAGAGAGGCAAGAGCTGAGCGTGTCCACTTCCATCACTCTATAGATGAGGAAGCTGGAGGCTGGACGAAGGGTGAGGGCTCATGGTCATTAAGTTAATTACAAAGAGATCCAAGGTCAGGGTCTGGACCTCCTCCTGTAACTCACCTCTCACTGCTGTGCTCACTGTGCCTGAAGGGGAAGCAGCCACACCCACCCAGGGTCAGCTGATGATGTCATATCTGCAGCACATCCTGGGTTTTTCCAGAATATGTATTTGTAATAAACTCCTCAAGAGATTGAGACCTTCTTACTGAATTCACTGGCCTTTTTGATGATGTGTTCTTCTCTGCCTGTGAATATCTCTGAATGCAAGAATATCATTCCACATTTCCCATTGCCTTGTGCCCCTCTAAAAACCTCATTGACTGATCCTAGATCAATCCTTGGATCAAGGGAGTATGTTAATTCCATATGACAGACCTTCAGTTATTTCAAGGTGGTTCGTCGGTTCTTCCTACTGCCAAATGTCATCTTCTGAAGGCTAGAGACACCAGTCCTCAAGGCTGGAAATGCCACACTTTAGAAGAAGCTTAGATGTACTTTCTTTCTAGGGAAGGCCCATGATTTACTCCCGTGCATGAGGTATTTGGAATTACAGTTTAGAGATAACATAAAGGGGTGCATGGCAAGATGCCCATGATGCCACAACACCTGGGAAATCCCTAAACTCCTCAATATGGTTACAAGAGAGACATTTCCCAGAACAGGCAAGTGAAGTCTCCTCCTGATAGGAAGGAGCTATTGACCCAATATTTATTTTACATTTTGACTTTTTCTCTCAGAATGTTTCTCATAGAACACGATAATACCTGTTACTATTGCATGTAGAAGAAAGAGTCTGTTGTTAAATCAAAACAAACCTTCAACAAGCTGAGGTTATGTCTAGAGTAAGGAACACCACAGCTGGGATGCAAGGCTTTGTCCAACTCCTATTGCTGAGAAAACGATTGTGAGTGGTCAGTGTCTGGTTTGGGTCTTTGCCTTTTTAAAAGAAATTGGGATGGAGAAGAGAGGAGAGGGGATTAAGGGAGGAACAGACTGACTGATTGAAAGGAGAGTCTGGTACTTATGGGGAAAGGTTAATGGAGTTGAGGCCACATCTCCAGCAGAAAGTGCCGAGGAGGCAGATGAGTAACGGTCTTTAAGGGTACGAAAGGTTATGATGAGGACACTTCACAGTGATTTGCTTCCTCCCTAGAGGAATAGATAGGGAGAAATGGACTAGCATTGTCACAATCACACCAGAAATGTTCAGTTAGAAAAATGAGAATGAACTTATTGACAGTAAAAGCACTTTGATCATTCAACGGGCCTCACAGAGAAGGCTGCAAAACTTGGAGAGGAAAGAACCCATTCCAGATCCTGGAGCAAAAAATGTGCATCCTCAGTCCGCAGCTTCTGGAAGCCTTTGCCACTTTGTGCACATCCCCTCCAGGCACACTGAACTCCCAACAGCCAGCACTTGGTCTCCTAGTCAGAGGCTGCACCATGTTCTGAGGAAGACCCACTTTGTTTGTGCCACAGCCAGCCAGAAGTGCCTGGAAATGCACACTCCTAGAACTTAAACAATGACCGATGGGTGTAGGGACATCAACGCTACAGTTCCCTCACTCCTGACTGGGACAACTCTGAGGTGTAACCTACATTGTCCCTAGAGGTTTCCTGCAAGGTTAAGCCAACTCATTCTCTCTTTCTGGGCTTTGCTTGACATCTTGCTCATGTTAGACTTCCTTCCATTCCCCACTCACTACTGGCTTTCCCTGGGAACTCTTCCTAATTGATCAGCTTCTCATTTTATCTCAACATCCATTCCAAGAGAATCCAACCTAAGACAAAGTATCAATTATTTTTTGCCACATAACAAACTACCCCAAAACATAGTGGCTCAAAACAACCACCATTTACTGAGCTCATGATTCTGCAGTGTGGTGATTTGTGCTGAGCTTAGTGGGAAGACTGCAGTGGACTGTAAAATGACCATGCTACTTTGCAGCTCCTCCTATTAACAAGTAGAATGTTCTTTATTGCTACACTTGAATTTGGGCTAGCGTTGTGACTTGCTTTGGTCAACAGGATATGACGGAACAAGTTTCAAGCTTAGGCCTAAGGGCACTTGCAGTTTCTACGTTGTGCTCTTAGAATCTTATCAATATCTGAACACATCTGAGCTCACCTGCTAGAGAATGAGCGATCCCATGGACAGAAGCATCAGTGATCCCTGCCACCCCAGCCCAGGTCATCCTAAATCATGAGCTCTAGCCAACTGCCCTGCTGACTCCAGATGCATAGGCAAGCCCGGCAGAGATCTACTGAGCTCACCCCAGCCTAACAGAACCACTGGCTACCCAACCCAGCTTGCCACCTTAAATAATAATGTGTAAAATAGATGGCTTTTGTTTTGAGTCACTACAGTTTGGATGGTTTGTTATGCAGCAAAAGCTGACCAATGCAGACACTGACTGTCTACTCTCAACTCTGGATATTCCAGCCTTGATCATAATCCTCCTGATGTACTATGAACCTCTCTGACCAGCACATATTACTTTTTGTTGGCTCTCTGGCATTAGGAGTTTGCAGATAAGTAATGGAAAAGGTAAATGTCTTCATGATGTGAGATCAGGCCCAGATCATCCATTTAATCAGCACATAGGAGCATGCACAGTGCTGGGCACTGTGCTGCCTGTTGGAGTTAGAGAATCACCCTTTGGCCCATGGTTCAGTCTGTTCTTCCTGCGTTTTGTCAGTGTGCATTCAGAGAATCTGTTTAGTGTGCTTTGATTTAGTTTTAGTTTAAAACAGTGGGTCTTACATTTTTCTTAATTTTCTTTCTGACTCAGGCTTTCCTTTTATAATTTTAGACAAATTCTCCCCAGAAAAGTGCACATGGTTAGAAAAAATGGATCAACAGTGTAATTTCAGGGTTTCTGATCTGCCTGGAGTCTATCCATGGACTCTGTAAATCCTCACATTAATAACATCTGCCCTAGAGAATTCAAAGCAGTTAAACAAAAGAAAGCCTAGCCACTAAAACTGTTTCCACAGATGAACTATTTTCATCAGTTTTCCAAAGGACTTAACTGTGAAGAGAGTGTGAAAATTGGAGGCTGTCGAGGGGAATGTGGCTGAGGAAAGATGATGCTGCAGGAGTGCCCCAGGGTGAACAAGCCCATCAGGGAGGCCTGAGTCAGAGGCCCGCGGGGTCCCAGGCTGATCCAGCATCAGCCATCCTGGACCTGCCTCATCTGCCCAGGCAGCATCCTGCCTACCCCCACCCTGGATCCTGGACCGGGCCCCCAGTTGCTCGCATCTGCATGTCTTTGCCTGGGGGTCTCTCAGGATGGCAGTTGTAAGTGCCAGGGAGCCAAGACCCTCCAGGGGCAACCCTCAAACAATGACTGGCAGGAACCTGGGAGCCAATATCCAGCCCCCATCCCTCAGGTGGGAAAACCAGGAGGCAGAGGGTTTCCTGAAGAATCCCAGCGCTGCTGCAGCTGCCGGCAACAGGAAGCCACTTGATCACATGTCCGTCACCGACTGCCTGCCCTGCCCTGTCTCACTTCCTCACACTCCTGCTGCAGTTTCCTGGGAGCACCTCTGAAATAACCTGTGTGTGCTCCTTGTCTCGAGTCTGTTTCTGTTTCTGGGGAACGCTAATGAAGGCAGCGTTTCTCTAGTGTCAGGCATGGTGGCCAACAGGGCCAGGTTGGAGTGATGACACCGGGTTTCCGGGGGCGGGGGGTTGTCTTTTTTTTTTTGAGACAGGGTCTTACTATGTTGGCCAGGCTGTGGGACACTGGCACGTTCATGGCTCACTGGAGCCTCGACCTCCTGGGCTCAAGCATCCTTCCACTTCAGCCTCAGAGTAGCTGGGAACACAGGAATGTGCCACCAAGCCCAGCTAAATTTTTTTTCTATTTTTTTTTTCTGTAGAGATGGGGGTCTCACTCTGTTGCACAGGTTGGTTTTGAACTTCTGGGTTCAAACAATCTTCCTGCTGAGATTGCAGCTGTGATCTCCCAAAGGGCTGAGATTACAGATGTGAGCCACCATGCCCAGACTCCAGAATGCTTTCTTGTTGAAGTGGTTCTCCAGGCAGAGCCGGGATGGGGAGCAGGGCTGAGCTGTTGTCAAGGGCAGGCTGGCTGTTGGCTTGGCCAATGGGCTGAGATTAGCATAGTGTTCTAGAACCTGGGGAAGGGGACCCAAAACCCAATCTACAATGGGAGTCTGAACTGGGGCCACTTGAGGGGGTCTTGTAGAAGAGGAAAACTTGTGGCGCAATGGGATGTCCAGGGACACAGATAGCCAGGTGCTGGGCCTCAGGATGGAATCCAGCCACCCCTGCTGGGTGCGAGCTTTCCCTTTGCTGGTGCCTGGGGGCTTGATGGTGTTAGGGGCTGGATGGTCCAGAGCTTTTAAGTGAAGGCACCTCTGCCTGTTGCAAGAAAGGGCAGTATCTGACAACACCACACTGAAGTGTGTTTTCCTGGTCCTGGAGGAAGTGGGTGGGGTGGAGTTAGAAAGCACAGCAGGTGACTGTCCCACAACCACCTGTTACCATCTGAAGGGGCATTTTGAAGGAGATGGAGTGAATTCTGAGCAGAGGCACTGAAGCACCTGCCTGTGAGGGGGAAGGAAGAGGAGCTCAGGTAGAACCTGAAGAAGTGATGTCCCACAGCAACATATGACCCTTGAGAAGAACGCACGGAGCCAAGAAAAGCAGCTCCTTTCCTCACATAAATACAAGCAGCCCAACCAGGGCAAAGGGCAGGGAGCAAGGCAGAGGAGGAAGGAGATGATCAGAGACGCTTGCACACTTGGAACAAAAGCAAACTGAAAGCGAGAGAGGAAGGAGGTGCAAAAGGCAGAAAGGCACAGGAGATCTGGCACTGTCCTGAGGTCCAGACCATTGACACCTGCTCCAGCCCTGGGTGACTCGAGGACAGGCCTCACTGCACAAATGCTTGAAAACCACTGGGGACCTAGAGGGTGCTCAAGCCTTTATTATATTGAAGAAGAAGGAGAAGCAGCAGCAGCCCCTGTCCACCCTCACAGGCTAGAAATCATATTTGTTCTCCATGATAATTAGTGTGGTTTTTATATCTCTCCAGGTGACACACAGTGACCTTCCTCAGGAGAGTGGAAGCTCTGCAGGGTGAGAATGAAACATGGGTGGTCAGGTGGGCTCTCACATTTACTGGATCACAGATGCTTTCCCTCCTGAAACAGCTGCTGGCCTCACCATTATGTCTCCAATCTAATAATACACTGATGTCTTAATAGCTGATATTTGCCCAAACTCAGCCATTAGGAAATGTCAGTTTGCATCTGATATAATTTATGTGGTTGGTGGTTTCTCTTAGCCTTTATTGAAAATGCTCATGAGTGACTCAGGTGGATAAACAACCAGTCATTGCATTTTCCATGCAGAGCTCTGCCTGTGATGGACACCTTGGTCACCTGCCAGGGGTCAGTCCACTTGGCTGTGAGGGCCTCTCAGGGACCTGCAGCGTTTTGGTGAACTTTAGTGAGGAGTAGGATGCCCACAACCCCTGCCGCAGGAAAGCCCTGATGCCTGATCAGCTGTAAACACACGTCTGTGTCACCCAGCAGTCAGAGCTCAGGGTGCACACCAGGAGGAGCACATCCACACGTCCTGGAGCTCAGACACACACCCTCACTCACATGCACTCAACACAGCATGCACAACCTCATGGGCAACATCATCATGCCCTTCCTGCAGTCCACGGTGGGGCCACATGGTGACACCTGGGTCGTTGGTGGAAGTTAGCAACCATCACATGTTGCACATGGGAGTATGAAGGAAGGGTTGCAGAGAACATCTGCTTTGGAATTAGCCTGAGCTAAGATCAATATTGGATCTGTCATGTTATGTGGCCCCTTTAAGTCACACTGGATTTGCTATATAATTTGGAGTATCTAAGTACTTACATTGCCTGGGCTGGAAATAAAGAGATGTTTATCAAAGAGCACAAACTTTCAGCTATAAGAGGAACAAGTTCTGAGGATTTAATATACAACATGGGTGGTGATTGTGATAATCATTACACAATATATATGTACATCAAATCACATTGCACACCTTGAATATACACTATATTTGTGAATTAAATATTTTAAAATTAAAAATTGAGGAAGAGCTTAGCATACTGCCTTGTTCACTTTTATACGGGACATAACACATGAGTGGGTGACAAAATTAATTAAGTGTATTGTGGCAAACATTTTCAAAAAGTGACAGAATAAAATAAAATATATCAGAGTACATATATGGTCTGCAACTTATGATGTTTCGACTTGCAAATTTTTGATTTTATTATGGTGTGAAACCATTACAATTTGGATATAATGTAGAGTATTCAATAAACTACATGAGAAATAAACTTTATGTTAGATGATTTTGCCCAAATGTAGGCTAATGTAAGTGTTCTCAGCACATTTAAGGTAGGCTAGGCTAAGCTCTGATGTTTGGTAGGTTAAGTATATTAAATGCACTTTTGGCTTATGATGTGTTCAATTTATGATGGGTTTATTGGGATTTACCCCATCATAAGTCAAGAAGCATCTGTGTTTTGAATATAATGAGGCTAAGTATTTGTAGCGTGCTCTATTTTTGAAAATAGCCGCAATAATCTCTTACAGTCCATGTGCTATTCTAGAATGGTACCTCCCTGTTCTGCCATCAAGATGTAAGGTCTATTTCCCTCTCCTTGAATCTGGGCAGACCTGTGATTACTTTGAGCAATAGAATATGCCAGAAGTGATGCAATGATTCCTGAGGCTGGGTTATAAAAACAATGCAGCATCTGCCTTGTCAACAAGAGCCTGGGCTTGGATCCCTGAACAGCCATGTTACAAGTGAGACTACTCTGAGGCAGTCATGCTGTGAGGAAGCCCAGGCCACAAGGAGACACCACATATTGGTGATCCAGTTTGGCCGAGGCATTGAGCCAGCCCAGCCCAGGCACTGGACATGTGAGTGAAGCCATCCACAAACCTTCCAGATTAACCCGTCCACCAGCAGATTACCATTGAATGGCCTCAGTTGATTCCACAAGGAGCAAAATGATTGCTTAGCTAAATGCTGCCTGAATCCTCACCTGAAGAATTCATTAGTATAAAATGCTAATAGCTATTGTAAGTCTACATTTTGGGGTAGCTTTTTACACAATAACAACCAAGCTGGTATCATTTATGATGTGACACAAGCTAGTAGGATTTTTATTTCAGTATGCATATTGAGTTACAAAGTAAAATTCTTTTATTTATTTTTTTGTAGAGATGGGGTCTTGCTATGTTGCCAGGGTAGTCTTGAACTCCTGGTCTTAAGTGATACTCCCACTATCACCTCCCAAAGTGCTAGGATTCCAGGTGTAGGCCACCATGCCTGGCTGTAAAAGTATTCTTTACTGTGTGTCTTGCACTTAAACAAAAGTGTACAAACTACTGGTTTAGCCTAAAATAAATGCTATTATATTTGTGAGTATTATACAGAAAGTTACCTAACCTCTCTGTACCTCTATTTTCTCCTCTGCACAGTGGGGATAATAGGACCTACCTAGCTGGGCTGTTATGAAGGCTAAACGAGGAAACACTTGTAAAGTTCTCAGAACTGTGCCTCGAACAAGGTAAGCCTTCCTGAACGTCATGTAAATAGAGTATGTGAACCCCCAGATGGGGACTTTCTTCATGGCATTGATAAAGGAACTGGGGGTGGCAAAAAATGACAGACTTGCCCAGGACAAGAGTCAGCAGTGGGAGAAACAGGATTCGAGGCTAGATCTTCTGAATGTTTAGTAGGTGTTCTTTGCTGCATTTAGTGGGCTCCCTACTCAATACTGTGATGTCGGGATTGTTGCATTTTACAGCTGTCCACTCACAGCCTGAGGATCGCAGGTCAGAAGCAATGTCTCAGTGCACTGGCATCTTTGCTTTTTGACAGACTGCTCTCTGGGCTTGCAGACCTATACATTTGTGTTATTAGTCTGGCTGATTCCTGCCTAATAAATCCCCTGGTAATCCCTGCCCCACCTGGCTTTAGAGCAGGACATGGCGTGCCCTTGGGTGAACTCTCTCCAGAGTTCGTCAGCACTCTCCCCTCTGGGCCTTGCTGGCTCCTGTGGCATGCTGGAGGTGCTTGCTCTAATGGATTCCCTCTGTCTCACTGAAGCAAGCACCCAAGGAAACTGTGCCAGGGGACTTGGTGCTGGATTAAGGGAAGAAATCAAGTTTCTCTTAATGACAGCAAGTACCTATAACATCTCAACCCAGATCAAGGTGATTTTAGCACCATCAAGCTCAGATGCTAGAAGCAGTACTCACTTAGGGACTGTGTCTAATTTTCAAGTGAGAAACTGAAATAACCTAAAAGTTACACACCCGAGGCTACATTTCATAAGTTCAGCAGAAATGTCTTGTTTGTGCCTCCAGGTTTGGTTTCAACTATCCATTTAGTCCAGTCTTTGAGGTTTGTACCTGAGTTAATCTGCCACTTATGATTTGGACACACACAACTGGGATGAACTCTAAGTCTAGTATCTGGAGAGCAAACCCTAAAGATCCCTGCAATATTGACAAAGAAACCTTCTAGAAACAGAGCCAGAAAAGGAATTTCTTCTGAACACACCGGAGTATGTGTGTTGTGGCTTCCCTGTGAGCACAGCCCACACTGATTTTTGGAAACTGCAGATTTTGGGAAGAGGTAGGGAGAAGAAAGGAGTGGGAATTATCAAGCCACATCAAAGAAGAAGAGAAGAAAATGGCAGTGGAGAGGCCAGGGGTGCCTGTCTGCTACCAGAGCTTAATTAGGCAAGTCCATGTCCTACATTTGTCTGAGATGGACAGGACGAGAAGGGCAGCTCCCAGGTTTTGCAGTGAGGGCTGACTCAGAAGCTAGCCTCCTGCAATGCTCCTTCATGAGGGCAGAGCAGCCTGCTGTCCCACACTGTTTACTTCTGGCCTTCAGAAAATTCCTTTCTGGAGTCACAGCCCAGTGCATTACCACCAGGTTTATTGAAGTCCAGACCTCCAACATCTGCCTCAAAAACACCCGGGGGATTGAAACGTAAAATGTCAAACCAACAAATATGTTCGTTCATAACTTTGTGTAAAGATAGCGACAATACCTGTAACATATTCTTCCCTGCCTTGAAGCTTTGCAGATTTGATATAGAAATCCAGGAGAAAATTCTATGAGAAGAGCTCTTACCATATAATGAAGACAAGACTTGAGCAAGACTTTGTAATTTTCTACTAATCAAAATTCAAAGTATGAGTCTTGACAGAAGCCAAACAAAGCCTCCTGCCTGGAACTCTGGAACTCTTCTCTTTTTGTTCTGAAGCCTTGGACCCATCTTGCCTTTTGCTATGAGTAAAGTTTACCGCAGAGGCTTGGTATCTTAGTTTAGAGTTCACATTTCTGGTTTTCGATGGCTGTAGATCAATCCTAGTGGAAAACTCCACAAAGTGCAGAGAAAGTTGTCCTTGTGAAGTCACCTTGCAGAGGAGGAAAGCGGTCTCTAAATAAGAAATCTATATTCCAGTCTGACAGCTCGTACGGCGTGGGGTATGAATTTCTCCTCTGAAAGTCTGATGGCCATCCTTGTTCTTCCTCAGCAGGGCTGCCTGAGTATCTTTGAGAAATGCCCAAGGGTCCTCTTGAGGAAGGGGATCGTCCATTGGCACCTGGAGCCTTCCATGGAAACTGGTTGGCTGGCTCTCCATTTTACGCTAGAGTCATCTCAGACATCAGTTAGCTACCAAGGCAAGTCGTTAACATGCATGACAATGAATCCAGTCTTGGCAATCATCGTAATTAAGTGTGCACACTGTATCAGGGTGCTGATTAAGTGGCTTCAATTTTATGGGTATGATTCCTAATGATCGTTCTTTTTACTGATTAAGATGCATTAAGCCTCAGAGGACATTGGGGATTCCTATGCACTTGGAAGGAGGAGACTGAAGCCACACAGTGTCTGGAAAGGAAAACCCTTGATTAATCACCAGAGAAGAGGAAAGGAATTTTCTAAGGTGTTTTCTAAGCTGAGTTCATCCCAAAGATGTCAGAGTGCTAGAAAAGAGATGACTCCAAACAAGTCCAACCTGACTATGGCATTTGAGAGTTGAATGTGGCATTGGAGCTTGTTTTGTTTTTGTTTTCCTGAAAAAATTAACCAAGGGAAATTTCAAATTTTTCAGCCTGTCTAAATACGGACAAATGTCCCAAGAAGCTAAAAGCACCAGTATATGCCACCCTTGGTTCCTGTCCTCATCCCTATCCCTGCACAGTGTAGCTTTCACGATTACCAACCAACACCCATCATCTCCTCTAACCATCACCCATGGGCATCCTGCAAGACACATACAAGAAAATGACACCGCATTTCACTTACCTGAAATCAATATAGTACGACTGGAAAAAGAAATAAAGGTTTATCCCTTTGTCCTTCTCATGTTTAAAATACCCATGGACTCATACATGACCCAGAAAAGGGAGCTCACAGCCAAATTACAGAGAGGAGCAGAAGTTTGTCTTGGGTTTTGAGTTTTCTGATGAGTTAATGGAGGTGTGTGGGATGTAGGGTATTTTTAACACTTGAGAAGCCCCCAGCTTTGCTTCATTCTCTGTCTCTCTCTCTCTGTCATAATCACCTCTCTTGCTAAAAGAGAAGCTCACCATCCCATAAGACACCATGCCAGAAGCAGGGATGTCCTCACCCATCACCACCTCCTCTCTAATCTCACTGCCCCACTTCCCCTCCATAACCTGCTCCTCCTCCCCTCCTCTCCCGTCCCCTCCGCTCCGCTCCCTTCCCTTCCCCTTCCCTCTCCTCCCATCCTCTTCCTCACTGTCTTTCTAGCATATCCACTTCTCTATCCCCATTGATGTGACTTTAGCAGGATCCTCATTCACAACTTCAGCTATTGCATTTTCTCCCAACTGGGCTCCTGCTTCTTTTCTTATGGGATCATAATCCCTCCTTCATTCAGCAACCAAGATGAATTTTATGTTGTACAAATATGGTTATATTCACTCCTTGTTTAAAGTAAATGCCTCTTAATTTCCTGGGTATAAAGCAAAAATACATTAGCTTAGCTTAGAAGTCTTCCATGGTCAGCATCTCTCTGCCCCCAGCACTCTCTGACTTCCAGCCATAGAGACATTCCTGCAATGTCCCCATATACTATACCTTCTTGTGTCCCCATGCATTGGACACAGATAGGGCTCCCCATTGCTCTTAGAATAAATGTTCATGTACCTCTACTTTGTGGCACTTAAACTACAGCTGTGCGTTTTTACACTTACCTGTGCATGTGTTTTGCTTCCTTGACTTTCTGTAGACTCAAGAGGGCCGCAGTCTTGTATTGGTGGTGTTTGTTGGTTTGAGTCGTTCCTTACTATGTTATCCCCAAAATTAGCACAACATCTGGCCTATAGTGGAAGCTCAGTAAGTAAATGTTTAAGGAATTAATAAATTTTAGCATCTCTTGAGACTTTTATTGAGCTTGTAATGCATAGTTATAGCATAAATGGTTGACGAATGAAATGGCCAAGCCATCTGGCTAGATGCCAAGGTATAGTGGCTTTGGAATCTGGACCCTGTCTACTCCATCTTCTTGTATTCAATATTCATTCTGATTTTGTGGTAATGTAGAAACTTCTTCTTGTTCCTTGTTCCACGGAACACCCTACCCCAGGGGAAACTGAGGAAAGGGGGAGAGGAGATGGCCCCCACACTCCTGCTGCTTCCTCTGCAATTTTCCTTTTCCCTTCTCAACCCAGCTTTAGCCAGACGTCTGACCTCTGTACCTCAGTGGATCCAACCACCTACCTGATTAGATGAGATGAGGTGGGACAAGGACACGGAAGCCCAAATCAGAAGAGAAATTTCAAGAGCTTTAGAAATGAGGACTTCAACTGTGCAGACTTGGGACTTTTCTGGCTTGAGAGGTGGTATGCTCAGCCATCATTCACTCTCAAGGCACTGCAGATGGTTGGCCCAGCAGAGGCAGACATTACAGCTTCAGGGCTAAGTCCTTAACTCATATTTGCCTCTTGTACTTTGTATTTAGCTTACGTGGAAAATGGATTTTGGAATCATTTGTTTCCTTCCTTGAATTTGCAGGCTAAACTAAAAAACTGCAGGTCATATTTTGACTGGCTGGGGGATGGGCTGGTGAGGATGAGTGGAGGAAATTTCAGCAGGCAATTTGGCAGGTGAGCTGTGGCTTCTGGGGAACATTTGTGCAAGTCTGAGCTTTGTGACAATCCCTCATTGCCTTTCGCCCTAAGTTTCTTTAAATTTATTTCTGTTGCTCCTTAGATACACTTTAGATATAAATAATGTTTGTTCCTTCTCTCTATAGTTCAATATATCATGAATTCTTCCCTGGCTGACTCACCACTCTGAGGTTGACTTCTTATCTAGTTATCACAGATCCACCACCTGCTCCTTTTTCCTACTTAATTCTTTCCATCATTTTTCCTGCAGCTTGTATCTTGACATCTGTCTGGCTCATGCTAGAAACTTCAGTCATCCTTGGTCTGTGATTCGTTCCACGTCCTGTCACTCACCCTCTTCCCCAACCATTCCCAGGCTATGTCCCTTTTTCTCCATACTTTTGCTAGAGTCTCATGATCACTTACTCCCTTGACAGCAAAAGATCCTAACTTGACCCTGAGAGTTCTGCAAGCCAGAAATACCGTCTGTCTCACCTCTGATATATCTCTGGTTTTCATCCCACTGCTTGGAACAGAGTGACTGCTCCAGGTGTATAATTTGACTGAGTTATAAGTCTTCCTTTTTCTGGGTTCATACCCTCACTGCTCTGTTCCACATCGTTAATGACTCCCCATCACCTATAGACTAAAGCCCACACTACCAAACATGGATATACAAGACTTTCATTCATTTGGCCATGGATTAACTTTACATTGTAATATTAATTTTCATCTTCTATCACTCTTATACATAAATTCTCCATTCCAAATACTGATAATTTCTTGTTCTTCCCTAAACCGAAGGAGAGAACTGTTACCAGAAAGGAGTCTTGATCTAGACCCCAAGAGAGGTTTCTTGGATCTCGCACAAGAAAGAATTCAAGGTGAATCCATAGAGTAAAGTGAAAGCAGGTTTATTAAGAAAGTAAAGGAATAAAGAATGGCTACTTCATAGGCAGAGCAGCCCCAAGGGCTGCCAGTTGCCCATTTTTATGGTTATTTCTTGATTATATGCTAAACAAGGGGTGGACTATTGATGAGCTTTCTGGGAAAGGGGGTGAGCAATTCCAGGAACTGAGGATTCCTCCTCTTTTTAGACCATACAGGGTAACTTCTTTATGTTGCCATGGCATCTGTAAATTGTAACTGGTGGGAGTGTTTCTTAGCATGCTAATGCATTATGATTAATATATAATGAATAGTGAGATCGACCAAAGGTCACCTTTTTCACCATCTTGGTTTTGGTGGGTTTTAGCCGGGCTTGTTTACTGCAACCTGTTTTATCAGCAAGCGCTTTGTGACCTGTATCTTGTGCCAACTTCCTATCTCATCCTGTGACTCAGAATGCCTTAACCTCCTAAGAATACAGCCCAGTAGGTCTCAGCCTTATTTTACCTAGCCCCTATTCAAGATGGAGTTTCTCTGGTTCAAATGCCTCTGACAGAACCACTATTTTTAATTCTCTTTTATTTCCTTTTCTTCTTGCTATTTCCTTTGCCTCTTTTCTGCTTCCAAGTCAGTTACTCCTTCCTCTGTTGAAATTCTACTTATTCTTTAAGACACAGTTCAGGTGTCACTTTCTCAAGCAAGTTTTCCATGACCCATTTCCCCCGCCAGGCATTCTCAAGCATTATGCTGACTGAAATCCACAATTCTACGTGGACCTCCCTTTTAGAAGCTAACAGAACATGTCATTATTATTTCATTATATATTACTATTTGTCTTGTCAAAAAGATTGTGATTAAAGTTTGTTTCCTATGCTACTCCCTAATTTTTCAAGTTGACTTGCCTCTTCTCTGTGTCATATTATGACAATAATTTACATTCTTCATGTTATTTTCCTCAAGTATCCATTCTTTAGTGAAAGATCACTCATCCTTCAGTGACAGAGGCACTAGACAAGGTTAACAGGATGTTGAAACTCTGTTTTAGTCTCATCTGAAGGCTCCACATCCTTGCTCTTCAGTACAAGAGATGTTAAGGATGCTGTGTCTTAAAGCAATGTGTATTGCGGACCTCCTAAGAGATTGTGAACTTGTTTTGTCAGTTTAAGCCCATCATCCAGATGTAGGCTATGAAGTAGAAGCAGAAGAATAGGATGACTTTGGAGAGAGTCATCCTATGTGTTGCATGTTCACCTTCACTCCAGGAAGGGAAGGAGAAGGTGAGTTAGTTTCCCATCTGTGTTACCAACTGGACCACCCAGAAATCTGATAGGTATCCTCCAGAGTGTACAGGGCACAGAGATGGGTTCTAACTGTCATAGGAGGAATCTAAATTGAAAGGGTATGGAGATGGCCCTACTTTTGAATCAAGAAGTGTGGCTCTCTGGGAGACAACTGGACTTCCACCATGGCAGGGGAAGGGAACTATTTCCTAAGAATTAAGAGAGATGGTGTAGGACTGCAGGGAAAGAGGAAAGAGAGATGACTAAGGAAAGAGAGATGACCTTCAGAAGCCTGAGGACTGGGAAAGGAGTCAAAAGTGGCCCAGTCACAGTATCTATATGGGAAAAGCTGCAAAATTCCAGTGGTAGAAATTAAAGAAGGTCTAAATATATGGAGAGGTATTCAACATTAATAGGTTGGAAGACTTGAAATTGTCAAGATGCAAATTCTTTCCAACTTGATCTATAGATTCAACATAACCCCAATCAAAATCTCAGAAAGCTATTGTATAGATATTGACAAATTGATTCTAAAATGTATGTGGAAAGTGAAAAGACTCCGAATGGCCATACTGAAGAAGAATAACAAAATCAGGGCCAATTCCCATTACCATTACCTAATTCCAAGACTCACTATAGAGCTACAGTACTCAAGATAGCATGGTGTTGGTGAAAGTATAGACATGTAGATCAATGGAACAGAGTAGACAACCCAGAAATAGATCCACACAAATACTTTCAACTGATCGTTAGCAAAAGAGCAAAGGCAATTCAATGAAGAAAGAAGAATTTTTTTAAAAAAATAGTGCTGGAAAATTTGAATATCCATATTAAAAAATAATTGAGCCTAGACACAGACCTTACACTTTTCACAAACATTAACTCAAAATCAACTGTAGACCTAAATGTAAAGTGCAAAGATATAAAACTTCCAGAAGAAACCATAGCAGAAAGTCTATGTGATATATTGGGTGATGAATTTTTAGATACAAAACGAAAACATAATGCATGAAAGAAAAATTGATAAATTGGACTTGATTAAAATTTAAAAGTCTCTGCTCTGTGAAAGAAACAATTAAAAGAATGAAAATACAAACCACAGACTGGGAGAAAATATTTGCAAAAAACACATCTGATAAAGAATTTATATCCAAATATAAAAAGAGCTTGTAAAATTCATCAATAAGACCCCGATTTTTAAAAATGGGCAAAAGACCTGATGGAGTACCTTATCAAATATGATATACAGATGACAAACACACAGAAAGATGCCCAGCATTATTTGTCACTGGGGAATTACAAATTAAAACAACAGTGAGACACTAATATACCTATTATTACTGGAATGCTAAGATCTAAAAAACCAATAAAACCAACTGATGATAAGAATGTAGAGCAACAAGAACTCTCACTCATTCTGATGGGAATGCAGTAAGCTTGTCAGTTTCTTACAAAGCTAGATTGTCTTACCATATGATTCAGCAATTGCAGTTTTAGGTATTTACCCAGATTATTTGAAAATCATGTCCACGCAAAAATCTGAATGTGAATGTTTCTAGCAACTTTATTCATAGTCACCAAAAGGGAGAAGTAACCAAGATGTTCTTCCAAAGATAAATTAATGAATAAACAAAGTGATATAGTCATACAATGAAATATTATTTAGTAATACAAATAAATGAGCTATTAAGCCATGAAAAGACATATGAGAACCTTAACCAGATATTGCTAAATGAAGGAAGCCAGTTTGAAAAGAGTATACACTCTATGATTCTAAGTATATGACTTTTTGGAAAGGCAAAACTATAGAGACAGTGGAAAGATCAGTGATTTCCATGGATTCAGAGGGAGGAAGAGAGGGTTAAACAGGTGAAGCACAGGGGAATTTTAGGGTGCTGGAACTATTCTGTATGATGGTATCATGGTGGATACATGATATATGTATTTGTCAAAATCCATTGATCATTATAGCACAAAGAGTGAAACTTAATATATGCAAATTAAAACAACAACAATAGCAAAACAATATTCTTTAGAAGTTTGGGGGAATCCCAGGATGGAATGCAGAAGATGACAAAATGATATAATACAAGAAAGAAAAAAGAAAGGAAGGAAGAAGGGAAGGAAGGAAGGAGGAGAAGGAGGAGGAAGAGGAATAAGGAAGGAAGGAAGGGAGGGAAAGATAAGTGGCTTGTATGAGGCACAGCTGATATGATTGGAAATCTAGTTGTAGGTCCCCGTGTGAAGGCCTCAGAGGGATCCGCAATGCCGTCCTTGAGGGAGGAAGCCAACCGCTCTACCAGTCACATTGGGGTTTTCCTTCCTCCTCCTCCTTCAACCCTGAAGCTGTGAATATCTGCTAGCACAGGAGGTGGAGCTAAGAAATCAGAGAAGCTGACAATGCCAGCCTCTCTACTCCGGGCATTCACTGTCAGGGCCAGACTGGGAGCAGAAGAAAGCCTGAAACCGAGGGCCTTGATGGGATTGGGGGCTAATGGAGAGCTCAGTTAATGTATTTGGTATCTGGACCTTATTGGGTCCAGCTCATGCAACACAAGGGCCAAACAAGGAGACAGGCAATACCACCAGATAATAAAATCTAGAGCCAGGGAGAACTGAGGCAAGGGCTACATGGTGGGATTTTGGTGGAGTGGTCGAGGGGCCCATCTGCAAAGAATGTCTGAGGAGATACCTAAGTGAAGTATACACAGCTGAGGCTCTCCAAGAAGCCTCCCAAAGCAGAGGGGATAACCACTGCAAACCCCCTGAAGTGAGATGAAATATTTGTATTTAAGGCAAGGCTGGAAGACAGAATCCCCAGTCTCTCCACACAGCCAGAACACACTAGCAGAGAGGAGAGGGAGGGAAGGAGTGGAGTTGGCCAAGTAGCCAGAGTCGGGCTCACAAAGCATATTCCAGGCATGGTGTGGTATTGGACTTTATTCCACCAGTGATGAGAAGCTACTGGAAGTAGGGGTTCAAGAGTCAAGTTTTCCAAATCAAAATTAAATTTAGGCTTTGGCTTTCTTCAAATAAAGACCAGGATCATTAACAATTCACAATGCTCATTGAAAATATAGGGTAAAATCATTTTAAAAACATTAATTAACCCTAATCTCAGATTTGCATGTCTTACCTGGAACCAGGCAGGTCCTAGATAGATTTGAACATGATGTTCATGTAGGTGTTGTTGGTCCTATGGCTGAGAACGGCAACATTCTCCAGATCCTTTCCAGGGTAGGATGGGCTCTGGTTGAGTGTGGGCTCCTGGCATGATTTGCCTTTTGTCCTGCATGGTGGCCTGAGTCCCAGGTACTGACCCCATGCTGGCAATGCATCTGACAAGCACATTCATCCTAAGTCAACAAAGGCTCCAGAAATCCAGCCCACTCATTGCCTCACTGGGTTCCTACGCTCACTTCCATGGAGACATCAATCATGAAGATGGTGAGCTGCAGGGTGCTGTCAGGATCAACTGTTTCTCTCTCTCTCTCTTTCTCTCTGTCTGTCTCTTCACCTCAATTTTGGTCCCTAAATTTATGACCCTATATTGATATGTAAAGCTGGTTGTTCATGCAGCCAAGCTCCTTTATTGTAAAATCACGGAAATTGAATTTTAGCATGGAATGAAAAAGATAATTCAAAGCACTATGCCTATGCAGCTGGTACCCGGCATCTCTCCCAGCCGCACTCAGAATTCTTCTTGTCCTCTTCCTCCTTTTACTTCTCTTCCATAGATGTAGTGTTCACTCTATACCAAATTTCTGGGAGAAATTCAGTTCTTGTCCTAACAAGTTGAGCAACTAGACACTCAGGAAGAAGAAGGTCATAGAGGATGCTCCGACCTTATTAAAGGTCAAAGGAATTTAGATGACATGAAGTTCGCTGAAGGCACGACCCCTTACGGACCGGAGGAAGGAGGCAGAATTCACCACTCCCTTGGTGAGGACAGGAAGACACCCGCTCCGAAGCACAGTGCATTTGCAGAACATGGAGACAGGTTCCACTCACTCCTGGCCACACACTCCTCTTCTTGAGTATCTAGAGAAAGGAATCTCATCCTCTGTGAAAACCAACTCTTCCCTCCAAGCAGTAGTAAAGCATATTTAATATAGTGAGTCTATAGATCTCAGCACACAGACACAAAATCAGCCCTCACCTCAGCTCATGCCCAGCCCTAGTGATGATTTGCAAATGTAATATTAACAACACTGTCAATAATACTGCAAATAATAACATTGACATTTATGGAGCTTTTGCTTTGTGCAGACAGCACACTTTCCTTCATGTAATTATCTCTGCAAATCCCCACAGTGACACCGTGAGGCTGGATGTCTTAGTGTCATCCTCCTTGGACAGAAGTAGCCAATGCTCCTGAAAGTTAAGTAGCGTCTTCAAAGGCACGCAGCCACGTAGCAGGTGACTGCCTGCTCTAAAGGTGGAGCCCCCACGCCACATGGAGTGCCCACTCTGCGCCCACTGCCTGCAGCGGTGAGCTGATGGCCAGCAGGTAACTTTTGCCTCAATGATCTGGAGAAGGCAGGAAGGCACGTGAATTAGAGCATGAGCTCTGCTTAGAAAGACACGGGTTCAGATTCCACTGCTGCTCAGCGCTTGGCCAAGTTACGTCTCTTTGAAGCCTCAATATTTTTTGTCTTTAAAATGGGGATAAGAATGCCACCTTCCTGTGGCTCTGAAGAGTATTAAAAGGTGTGTTTCATATGAAGTGCTTGGTGCTTGAGGTGATGGATTTTCCAATTACCCAGATTTGATCATTACACATTGTATGCTTGTATCAAAATATCACATGGACCTTATAAACATGTCTATTATGCATCTATATATATTTTTAAAATGGCTGCCTTTACTAAAGGAGGGTTCATGAGTAATTTTATGCCGTGATGGGTAGAGGTACCATTAACTCCCCGCTTCCCCTCCTGCTGGGGAGGAGTAGGGTCTGCAGTGGATGCAGCAACACCTTTCCTTATGTTCAGATGTCATTGTCAGAACAGCCTCTCTAGTTGCCAGGTGTCATTCTCATGCAAAGCCATTCCTTGCCCTCCTTGCTTTCCTACTTTATCCTACCGCCTGGGGACACCCCTCGTGGGGGCACCCCTCTTCTCCAGCCCTGTTGACACTGGGCTGGCTTCTCTTATGATTTTGTTTGGACATGGAGCTTCTTCATCAATCTCTTCTCCCCTTGCCCAAGGGACTCTTCACCACCTGAACTGCTACCAGTTTCCTGTTAATGATCTCCCCCATTCAGCTCAGTTCACTGCACTGCCAGCATGGGAAAAGGATGGAAGTGCCACTCCTGGGAGCTAGGGCTGAGGTTACACACACTGTCAGCAACTTTATTAAATTATTCACTCTATATGCAGAAGAAGGAAACTCTGTTAAGGATACATATTCATTTATTTAAAACTATATTTTGGAGGTTCTGTGGTTATCTGGAAGTTTTCTTAGTCTCTGGTGATATAGCACTTCTAAATGAAATGATGACTGGCCTCTCCTGCGTGGAAACAGGCATGGAGCTGTGGCCTTGGTGCCCTCTGACTCTTCTTGAAAAGCCTTGGGGTCCTATTTCATTCTCTGAAGAACTTCAAAGCCCTCTTCAAGTGTTTCGGGATTTTGGGATGAGGAGCACAGTCATTATTTCTGTTTTGAGGCTCCCACTCACAACACACTTTTTTGTTCCCTACCATCTAGCCAGAATTGATGCTCAGTGCCTTCCGGGTTTGCCACAAAAACAAAGAGAAAAGGACAAAACCAACCAAAACTGATTTCTAACATGCACACACTTACACTCAATGTCCCAGTGAGAATAGGAGCAATCAAAGAGTTTCTATTTCAGAAAAGTAATCAACTTCGAATTGACAACTGGGCATTCCTAGCCTAAACAACTGCCTTAGCCACCTCACCACCACAAACCCTCATTCATCCAGTGAAAGTAAATAATCCATCTTTAAACACAGGTGACATTTATATTGACAAATGTTGCCATTTTCCAATTGAGAAACTGAGGCCCAGAGCCATGAAATGATTGAAAGAAAACCACGAACTTAAACGGCAGAATTAGTTGCTTCTTCTTCCCAGCTCAATGCCCTCTCTGTTGAGCAGCGGGAGCCCAGCTCTCCTGAACACATGCAGGTCAGGCAGATCGTCTGGCGGGCACTGTGGGGGCATCAGGATGTGCAGGTGTACTAACATCAGACACCAGGACCCGAGGATGCCTCATTTGCAATGGGTCAGCCTGAATCATATTTGCAACATGTCTATCACAGGCTTATCAAGACTTTGTGAACTGAGCAAACACCAGACAGCTCAGCATGAAGTAAAGCATGTTGTACCCCATAGGCCAAACATCAGAAAATAAGTAGACATGGCACCAGGCCACGGGGCCTTGGTGTGTATCACGAATGAATGACACAACATTTGAGAAGGATCTTCTTCAAATCATAAAATCACTGAAACATAATGGAATCACTTTTCATAGATTCCTAGAAAACATAGTGATATTCCAATTCAATATATTGGTGGCTAGTAATAAAAAGACAAACACCCTGTGGAGATTTACAGAGCTAGTTACAAGTAGACCTAGACATTGTACTCAGGTGTATTCACTGTATTGCTCAATATTATCATTATTGGAGAAAAAGTGACAGAGGCCTTAATTATAACTTAGCTCCAAATCAATTCAACTCCAAATGAATTTAAGATTCAACTGCCTAAAACTATAATTATCTTTTTTGAAAAGAAATGAGAGAGATGACCTTTAGACTGGTGTATGAGAAGTTCCATGGGCCCTTTCTTAAGTAAAATAATCATAACTGATGAAAATTGTGTGTACAAAAACATTTAAAGTGATGGAAGCTGTTATTAGTGATACGGCAAAGAAAGAAATGTTTATTCAAGAAAATTCTATTAAATCACAGTCAGAATAACAAGAGTCTCTGCATTTAAGCCATTAACTATGCCCCTCCTCCTTCTTCCAGCTCAGTATTGACGGAAGTTCTACTCGAGGTGGGTGCAGCTAAGAATACAGGAGTCCCTCTCCCACTAGCTCCCAGGCTAGGGCTATGGTATCTTCCCGGGACAACCAGGACACCAGCATTTCTCATCACTCCAGATCTGTTTACAGAATCTCTATCCTAGGCAAGAATGGCTGAGAAGCTGGGGCCTCTTTTCCTCCACCTAGCCCCCACTGATAGCAGGCCAGAATTAGTATAGTTGCAATTGCCTCAACTCACTTGTAGGGTAGAGGTTCCCCACCAGGAGAGGCAAGCCAAGAAGACCTGAGGCTTCTGACCCCGACCTAGTACCCTGTTCATAAAGCAGAGGTATCTCTCTGAGAGAAAGGGCCCACTGTCTCTCTTCTCAGTTGTGGAAAAGTGGCTCATAGGCTTTTATTAGTCGGGGGAAGGCAAGCCATTAGAATGTTCTGAAGGTAACTGGCTTTATTTGGAAGAGTGTGTAGGGGAAGTTCAAGTCTAAGGGCACTGTAAAAAACACTAGAGATTTCATGGTAAGCTATTAAGAAGACTCTAATAGATTGAGGATGGAAACATATTAAAGCATAGACCAGCTAGAAGTTTCCCAAAGAGAACCAGGGAAAGAGACAACAGAATTTTCTAGGGTTGGGAACAAACCTCAAAAGACTAGCCTCAAAAACCACTTTTGCAAAGGAGCCCAAATTTGAACGAAAGAGTCTGTAGAGCAATTTATGTGCCTGGTCACTGTTGAAAACAATACAGCAATCAGTTGGCAATTAGAGGAGTCTTACAACAGGGTGTGATACCCAGAGAAGAAATTAGCTTAGCAGAAAGACAAGAAAAAGACAGAAAAGGACCATGAAAGAAAACCACCAAAATTTCATGGTGGCTTTACGCATGCCCATGGCTGTGCCCTTTGAAGACTGACATTAGAGGCTATGTATGGTAGAAATAGACTTCACTAAAATAGTTCAACCATGTTATCAAACATGTCAATAAACAAACAACAACAACAAACCCTGGAGAGTGGGGAGGAGTCAGTATTCATGGCTGTTACAATATATCATTTTAAATTCATAATTTTTCTACAAAAAAGTGCAAAACACAAAAAAGAAGAAAGTGTGACCTATACATGGAAAAAACAAAACAGAGAATCAAAGCTGCCTTTGAGAGGGCACAGATATAATATTTAGAAAACAAAGAATTTAAAGCAGTTATTATAAAAATTAACTCAGAATTACAAACTGAAATTTAAGAGCTAAAATTCTAACACTCGTAGAAGAAAATGTAGGTGTAAATCTTTGTTATCTTGAGATAGGCAAGGTCTTCTTGGATATGACACAAAAATCACAAACAGCAAAAGAAATACAACAAATTAAATATTATCAAAATTAAAAAAAACTTTTCTACATCCAAGAAATTAAAAAGACAATAGACAAAACTTTAAAAAAACCTATTTTAAAATAATATATATATGAGACTTGTATCAAGAATATATAAAGAACTCTTCCAACTCAATGATAAAAAGACAAATAACTAAATTAAAAATTGGCAAAGATTTGAACAGTCTGCAAAGAATATACAGACGGCCAAAAAGGACATAGAAAGATGGATGGCAGTCTCCATCGAGGCAATGTGAATCAAAACCGCAGTGAGATCTCACTGCATAACTATCATGGTGGCTTTACAAAAATGAACACGCAAGTGTTGGTGAGGATGTAGATACCCTGGAGCCTTCATAGGCTGCCAGTGGGAATGTAAAATGGTGCAGCTGCTTTGCAAAAAGTCCAGTCATTCTGTAAAAGGTTAAATGTAGAAGTCTTCTATGACCCATCCTATGACCTACTTTTAGTTATATGCCCAAGAGAAATAAAAATATTTGCCAACACAAAATCGTGTACATGAGTGTTCATAGCAACATTATTCATAATAGTGAAAAAGTGAAAAATACCTAAGTGTCTATCAACTGATAATCAATCCATGAAATGTAGTATATGCATACAATCAAATATTATTCAGCAACTCAATGAAATGAAGTCCTGACACATGCTACACCTGAGTAACTTGAAAACATTATGCTAAATGATAGAAGCCAGTATCCAGTCACAAAAGAAAACATACCATATGATTCCATATAAATGAAATGTGCAGCATAGGCAAATCTGTAGAAGTAGAAAGAAGAGTGATGATGTCTAGGTTGTGGGAGAATTGGGAATAATTGGGAGGGATTGCTAACGGGTATGGGGTTCTTTTTGCAGTGATGAACATGTTCTAAACTTGAATCTGGTGGTAGTTGCACAACTCTATAAGTATAATAAAAATGTTTCCATATGCACTTTAAATGGGTGATGTATAGTATTTGAATTATATTTCAACAAAAAAGTATTGGAAAAAGAAAGGAGATAGTAACATAACAATACTAGCTTTAATGTCTTAAGTTCAATATATATCTGTTTTATTAAGAGGTCCCTATCATAATTATAACAACTTTTCATGGCAGTGGGAGATGTCAGTCACCATCACCCCCATTCACCAGGACAGAGGGGCTACAGAAAAAGCTGAACTGTGCTGAGCCATCTGCTGCCTCTTCCCAGTGACAGCATCTGAATCTGAAAGAAAAAAAGAATGTCACATCCATTTGTCATGGTAATTTGTCTAGTCAGGCCATGGTATTTGAAGTCAGCATAATGGGGTTCAGCAATTAATTATGGTTTGATTGTCCCATGCACTGCCATTCTTTCCCCCAAATGAGGCTGACAGATGAATGCTGCAAAGTGGCAGCAGACTGTGGCAGGTTAGGAAACTCTGCTGGACTCCCCAGACGTCTCTTCCTGTCTACCAGCATCAGCGCTGGTGAGAACAGCACACCCGCATAGCACAATTTGAACAGACCTGCCCAATCAAGGGTCTCCACATAGGCCTCAGATTAGAGTTTCAGGTCTGAAACAGCCTTGATGCTCATTTAATCCGGAGCTCTCACTTCTCTGCACTGAAGCCAACAGACATGAGGCTTCATAATTCATGCTGCAAAGCTGGCCAGTAGCAGAGTGAGCACCAGACACCCCTCTTGGCCCTCATTCCCACCCCTCACAATGCTGCCCTGGCTTGGGTGGGCATGGGCTACAGCAGGTCTCTTGTCTGTCTCCTTCAGGCTCTTGGGACCCTGACTTTATGCAGGGGTGCTGGGAGCTAAGTAAAACACCTCAAGCCAGTAAGTCCCCCCGCAACACACCTTAGAAATATAAAATTGACTTGCTACAGACTTGTTTCTAGACCTGAACTCACCTGCAGTTCTTGGAAAAGAAAATTAAATGGGTATGTTATTATTTAAAATATTATGGTTATTAGCATTTATGTGTATATGAAAGTATTGTTTCATCAAATACATAGACACACACATAGACACACACACACACACACACACGTGGACATTTCCAAAGAGACTATTTCCTCACACTGCTCACAGGTCAGTAGCTTTTGCAGGATAAAGGGGAGTAGCTTTTGCTGGGACATAAGGGGTTCCCAGGTTTCTTCCCTGATTCACCCTGGCCCTATCATGTGCTAGGCTGCACTTTGTCAGTCTAGGTCAGGAGCAATTGCAGATGGACTGCATTCCACCCTACTGAAATTTCCTCAATTGAATGCAATTTCCTCTTGGAGTTTGCAGATCACCTTCAGGAGCCAAAGTCCTCACATGCTTCCAACAGACTCTGCCTAGGGTCTTTTTATCCACAAGGTTTAAGGGTTTGCAGGAACAGGATAAGCCTGTCTAAAACCACAGGTTTATCTCCTTATGTTTATGCCACATCAGCACAGAGACTCTTAGGTTAATTATCCAGAGCCATTTATTTAGCTGCGGGATGTATGTCAGCCACTGCTGCAGAGATCCAAGAGAAATGACTAATGGTAATTTCATTTCATAAAGAGCTTCGGTGAGTCTTGTCCAAACTGAATGCCCTCCATATTTCCATGGCAACCAGTATCTGTTGGAAAAGAGCAAAGAGACCAAACAACCGTGGCATGGACCAAGACTTCTAGAAACACTGGGCAGCAGGAGGCAGAGTGGAGAAAACTGGAAGCACAGAGTTCATATGATTAGGTAAACCAATGTTCCATTCAAGGAAAAGGCACTGTCTGGCTGGAAGAGGCTCAGATTTAAGGGCCTGATTGCTTTTTGTTGTGATAGTTATCTACGTGACAACTACGTGACAGAAATTGCAGCAGCCTCTCTTGCTGGTTTCATACAAAGGTCTGTGAGCATAGAGACTTCTGCTTCATTGGAGCATGTGAGGAAATGCTCTCTGAAGATGTTTCACATGGACCCATGGGAAGCCCAGGGGGCAGGTGGCATATACGATTAGCAAGTGTGCACCCCCAACATGTCCAGGGTGCTCAGGCATGGAGGAGGATGCTGGGGCCACTGTTCTACCATGATGACAATTCTTCTGTGCCTGACATGTCCTTCTCCATAAAATTCCGTGAGATTCTGGGACATGCACAGCAGCACCTCCAAAGGGGTGGTCAAATGTTAGCCTCAGTAGAGTAAAGAGGTGATGAAGAGGGCATGATTGAGTTGGGAAAGTGTGTTTAATTTATTGCAATCATGGGGGATTCTAAGTTAGTGTTTGTAGCACTATCAACTAGTTTTGTGAAATGGCAACTTCACATGATCTACATGGGTGTTTTAGCTACTGAATTAAGAACGATTTGATGACAGTGAGTAACCCCAACATTGTAGAGTGCTGCAGTGCTCCTCTCCGAGAGTTGCATTTTTATTGGCCGGTATTATTGCTGGTGCCTAGGTGTGCTTTACTAAGGATATTGACCCCACATTTTCCTGTGTACAAGAGAAACAAAACAAAATGCTCCCATGCCATAGCTACACAGAGCCCTTCCAGTTCCCAGCAGCTTAACACAGTGGCTAGAATGGACAACATCAAGTTAGGGATGTAAGCGGAGTATTTCATCCTGGACAGATGGACTTAGGTCTTCATAGAACGATGAGGCAAATTGCTGTTTTAGGAAAGTGCCCCCATGAAGATTATTAACAAATACACAGTCATGGCAGTCATCAGCTCTCAAATCCTTCTCGAATGTCAATCTTAAAAAAGTACTAGACGAAGTCATAGTCACTACGTTTGACAAATGCAGACTGGGAAATACTTAGATAAGTATTTCCAGGATGAGGTGGAATGGAGCCATGTCAAAGTCTAGAAATTAATATGCTTATGGGTTTTCTGCAAGTTCAAATGTGAAAGATTATGGATGATGCTAGTGTTGGCCCAAGGGGCTTGCTCACTGTGGAGAGGGTCATGGCAGGCATCCTCAAGTGGGTACGTTTCTTGCACTTATCAAGACCAGGGGTCCGATCTTTGGCCCTATGACTCTGCACCATCCTCCTAGAACCATGAACGTTTCAGTTTGATGAACAGAACCAAGACCCTCCCTTACAGATTGTGATAGATGTTGTAATATATTTTTAAAAGACTCAATAAAATGGCTTTAAAATGAGACCAAGGAAGTGCATAATCACTATATTCTACTAATTGCTGATGTTATGTGACTTCTTTTCCTGAGATTGATTTAGACTTTTGCCAATTTTCAGGGGTAAGTGTTGTTTGTGATTGGTGAAATGAGTCATAGTTTATGAAAGTGGAAGATATTCAATAAAAAGGCAGTTTTCAAAATGACAATCTGGGAAGTTGTAGGAAACTGTTCAGCCTGTAAAGATCTGGGAAAGAGTCTATTAAAAGTGTCATAATAGTGTCTAAAAATGGCCACCTTTTTTCCTTTCTTTAACAATTTGCAACCTTAACCATAGTGGTTACTCTGAAAAGAAGTTAAGTGAAAGGACAGAGATGATCTATCTGGGTAACAGAAAAATATTGACGTCTCATGGATCTGGGAGTGAGAGTGGGGGAGTTACAAAATAAGACGGTGAAGAGCAATGGAGGAGAGGCAGTGTCATTAGGCCTGAGATTCTGCTGTGGTGAATCAGTACAGTAAAGATATTGTGGAGCAGAATCTCTTTGTCCTGGTGACACCTGAGCCAACTGGCTGTCTTGACCCCTTGTGACTGGTTTCCTTCAGCTGGAAAATGATGCTTAGGGCCCAGGTCTGGCACTGGCCAGTCCAGCCTAGCCCATGCTGACACTCAGTGCCAGGGCTGGTTCTGGCCTCACTGACTTCAGCTGCTCTTCTAAGGGACCTTCAAAGTCTGATGAAGATGTGGTCTATCTTTTCAAATGCGATCCTCGCTCAGTTTTTCAGTTACACCAACCTTTCCTGGATTTGTAAATACAATGTATGTGTGTCCAGTAAATTTCTGGAATCACATATTCAGAGCGACAGTGAGTAAGTCCTGATACCAGAGTCACATTGTGATTGTATATAGGGACTGGGAAGGCAAAGGTAAGTGAATCCCACACATAAGCAGATCGTGGGTTTTAGCTCACACGGTGTGGGCATCCTCTTTTGTTGGTCCATTTGCCTGAGCTCCTAGCAAGAAGGAGTTTATATTTCTTTTGTTGTGCTATGGTACCTTTTGGTGGAGGTATAGGTGTAAGGAGCAGACTCAAGGATCAGGGGATTGGGGTGGAAAGCAGGAGGAATGTATAATCTCTGCAATCCCCCATTTTTAATAAAAGCTTCTTTGCATACATTTGACATTCACCCAGAAATTGATGTATGTGGATATATGCCATGGGACCTGAAGTAGACAGTGACATTAATCCTTGACTGTTTAGTGCGTTTGCATTTGTATTCACATTGCCATCATTTTCAAGAAAACAGCCATAGGAACTGTTTTCAGGCTTCACAGTGGAGCTTAATGTTTCAATTGAAATACGAGGAAGGCTTTGATCATTTCTGTTTTATGCGTAGGGCTCAGATTTATTAATTGTATTGACTTCCATATGTTTACACTAGAAACAAGCATTTGTCATACCACCTCCTTCAACTCTTTTTTAGTGAAGAATCAACTAGTAATGATGTTTATTTTATACTTTAATGGCTTTAATTTGTAATTCCTCTATTGATGAATTATGAATCCCATTTTCCAAAGTAAATACAGTGCTGTTCTCAAAATTATAATATTTTCCAAGCTTCCAATTTCTTATCTTATTACTAAAGCCTCCATCTGCTCTTTCAGTCCTAGCATTAGCCACTAGGCAGCTGATGTTGCCTATATTAAAACACATACATACATATATAATACATCTATATAATATTGACTAATGAACTCACTGAATAGATTTAATGGCTTTCAAGGACTGTAAACACTGAGATATTAATATATGTGTCCCAAGGTTTAGTGAAGATTAAATGAGATACATAGGGGAGCACATGGCACTCGGTGGTTCCATGGAAGTCTCTATAAGTGATTCTATAGCTGACATACTGGAGATCTTTGATGATCAGATAGCTTCCCCAAAGCTGCTCAGATCTCAGCCAAAAGATACAAGCCCAGGTTTGCTCTCTTCATGTCGATGCTAGTTCCGCTACACCTCTCCTGACTTCTCTCTCTGTGCAGTGGTGATTCCCACCCAATAATTAGCTGTCATTTACCTTTGGGGACTAAGGAAGTCACTGGCAACCTAGGGGAGCAGCCATAGAATCCTATGTTTTCTCATGCAGGCTTTAACCATTTTAAAGGTTCTTAGCACTTATTAGGCATCCCCCCACCCACCGCCTTACACTCCAACTGTTGCACATGAAAATGATTCAGAAACACTGTGAAGTAATGAAGTGAACTCTCTTAAGACCCTGGAGTCCCCTGCAGAAGGCACTTGTGGGCAAGCAGTTGTAGTGCTTTGAATGGCTGAGCTCTTCTTGGGAAAGTCAAAGAAATAATTTCTGAACTTGTGAATCTCATGACTTTGCCCCCTGAGCCACCTAGATGGTTTTCTCCTGCATCAATTCCAACTTCTCGTCTAGTTCACTTTGAACATAGTGAATGATAAGCTTGTGTTTCTTCCCCTGCGGGTTGGTTGGAATGAGATGTGTACCAAGAACACAGAGTTCACATCATGAGAATAGCTCATTAGTGCCCACTCCCAGGTGGGCACATTGAAAGGCTGGTATTTTCAAGAGGAGGAATCACGTATTGGGTGTGATTTACACAGGCAGGGGAAGAAAAACAGTGCATCATCATTTTAATAAGCACCACTATTTTCAAAGTCTCTGAGAGCATTTTATTTACCTATAAGCCAGAACACTAAAACTTAAGGAGCAGAATGCTTGGACCATGAGATGGTAAATTACACACTCTGCCATGCAAGTGGGAAGTATCATCTATTTGTTGGTGCACCTGGTAAATCTTCTCTAAGAATACGGGTCCAGTTAGGATGCTAGTGATGAAAGCTGAATGAAAAACTTTGGACCTGCGCATGTCTGTATAAAGTGGCACGGGCAGGGGCCTCTAGAATTCTCTGAAAAATCTTCAGTTTGAATTCATTCTATTAAATTTCTTCACATAGTTTAATGAAATCAATACACATTTAAAATAAATGCTGATTAAAGCAAGAGACACTTCTCAAATGAAGACATACACATGGCCAACAAACATGGAAAAAGGCTCCACATCACCAGTCATCAGATAAATGCAAATCAAAACCACAATGATATACCACCTCATGCTAGTCAGAATGGCTAATATTAAAAAGTCTAGAAATGCCATGATCACACCACTGCACTCCAGCTGGGGTGATAGAGTGAGAGCAAGTCCCTTTAAAAAAAATGTCAAGAAACAGATGCTGGTGAGTTTTTGGAGAAAAGAGAACACACACTGTCAATGGGAATGTAAATCAGTTCAGCCACTGTGGAAAGCAGTTGGGAGATTTGTCCAAGAACCTGAAATAGAACTATCATCCAACCCAATAATCCCATTATTGACTATATACCCAAAGGAATATAAATTTTTCCACTGAAAAGATATGTGCACTTATATGTTATTCACAGCACTATTCACGATAGCAAAGACATGGAACCAACCTAGGTGACTGTGATTGGTGTATTGGATAAAGAAAATGTGGTGCATATACACTATGGGCTACAATGAAGCCATAAAAAACAACAAAATCATGTTCTTTGCAGAAACATGGATGCAACTGGAGGCCATTATCCTAAATGAATTAATGGGGAAACGGAAAATCAAATACCGCATTTTCTCACGTATAAGTGAGACTGGCACACTGGGTACTCATGAACATGGAGATAGAAACAATAGATACTGCGGACTCCTAAAGGAGGCAGGAAGGGAGGTAGACAAAGGTCAGAAAAATGCCTATTGGGTACTGCATTCACTATGTGGGTGATGGGTTCAGTAGAAGCCCAAACCTCAGCATTATGCAATGTTTCCATGTAACAGGCCTGCATAAGTACCCCCAAATCTAAAATGATCTTAAAAAATTAAAAAAAAAAACAACCAAGCCCCACATAACTACAGAGGAAAGAGAAGAGACAAACCCAGTCATAGAGCTACAGACCCTGTGGCATGACAGATGACAGGGTTGGATTCAGGGATGGCTGCCCCTGAGTACTACTGTCCTGGAAAGGGGGTCTCCACCTTCCTCCGTTTGCTGAGTGCTTTGCACTAAGCTCTTGTTCACCCTCTGTTGGCTGAAAACAGTGAGGTCATCAGAGTCTACTCCTCTCCCTAATGTATGACAGGCACCACATGAGTATGTTACACATAACTGTACCAATTTGTATTTCTTGGTGGATTAATTTATCATCATGCTGTATGCATAAACTGTCCAGCACCATGCTGGAGTACAGCAGTCACACCACCACATGACCGGCTGTGATTGAAGACAGCAATAGATTTCTTTGGCATTGTAAATGAAACTCTTGTCACTTCATAATGAGATGAGGAATATGAAATTGGATATTTCTGTGGATGCGCACAGTTATGGAGATGGAAAGTACATAGGTGCTGTTACTCATTTGTGTACCTCCTACTGTACCTCAAATCCATCAAAATGTGTTTTTCCCTTAGAAGTCGATGGTGTGTTTCCTGAATGTTCATGTCTTTTGGGACAGCAATGAGCATATGTGCTTTTGCATGAAGGAAGACTGGGAGAGGAGGATCCGGATCGCCTCTGTCCCTGCTACAAAACGAAGATGCCTAGGAGAAGGCGGCTGCCCAGTTAGTTCTGCCTCCTGTACTGCATTTATTTCCAGTTGTGCTTTGTGCCTTTCTTAGATGAAGTCAAAAGACAGCTCAGGATAGGACTGGACGGTCTGTCGGCTCAACTGGGTGCACTTGACAGAGGCCTTCACACATCTATGTTAGCCTGAAACAGACAGCATCTAACAAGCCCAGATTTGCTTCCAGCAGGGAAAGCTGCCAGGCTGCACTCAATTCCATTCTTCATGGAATGCACACATGTGTGAGTGAGTGTGTGTGTGTGTGTGTGTCTGTAGTTCATGTGGTGGCTTAATCCACTCTTATGTACTTTGATCCTGTCTCTAAATTCAGACCAGAAGCAGCACAGAGTCCAGAGTGAGCTCCAGGGCACCTGGGTTCCTGACCTTGCCTCTGGAGTGGCTGCCTGGTGCCCCTCCTCACGGTCTTCTGCACATAAATGGACTGCTAAGGCTACAGGCAGCAAAGCCTGCAGAGGGCAGAAAAGTAGAACAAGCACTAGTTCGGAGGCAGACGGTTTGAGGGCAGTTTGGAAAGGGATGTGGTCTGACCCCAGGAGACAGGAAAATGGTTGTGAAAGAAACACTCAGTTTTAATCTGAATACCATGCTTAACATTAACCACGGCATTTTTTTTTGAGAGTACAACCCTTACTAAATAGTATCATACAATATTGCAAACTCTTAAAAATATAATTCTACATACTATTCATTTTTACAGATGAAAAAACCAAAAGTTTACAGTGGGTATGTGCCCGCCTGCCTAACAAGGACTGGATTTGGTATTTAAATCTTCCTTCCTTTAAAGTCTAAGCTCTTTTACCGTACTTCCTCTTCTGGGTAGACTTAACTTTCTCATTATATCTCTTTGTGGTGCTATGCAATCACTTGTCTGTGTATCTTTTCCTGTCACATGATAAGATCCTCAAGGTAAGACATCCCTGGTTTATAAGTCTTTGATTCCCGCAGCACCTTATACAATGAGTTTTGTTGTTTTTGTGCTTTATTGAGTGATTGGATGGATGGATGGTGAACCAATTCTAATCAACATCCAATTGGTAAGTCAGCATGCAGGTTCTCAACACTTTGGAGCCCCTCAACATGTTATAGTGAGACAGAGCTGGGACCTGTCTTAGGTGCCTGCTGGGCCCCTTAAGCATGGAAATAAAGGACAATTTTAAGTTCCTTTAAAAGACATTCCAGGCATCCAGCTAGCCCTGAGAAGTAAACGAGTGACTTACTAAGCAAGAAGGTAATCATAGCTAAAAACCATAGCCAAGGAAGTCAGTCATGAGATGTTGGGTTTCCTAAAATTTCATGCTTTGTGTTTATTTCATAAACCGTAGTCAAAATTTAGGGGCCTATGATCTAAATGAAAGTGAAAACCTGAACCAAATAAAGTGACTGATTCTTTGTATCTGAGCATACTGAATCATGCCTATAAGGTAAGTTTAGAAAGTAAATACTGTAAGAGATGTGGAGAGCACTCCAAATAAATAAATAAATAAACAAAACTAAAACCTTGTTTACTGGGTACTTTGGCCTTAGAGAAAAAGATGACTATGAAAATACAGGATACCATCCCGGCTAAAACGGTGAAACCCCGTCTCTACTAAAAATACAAAAAATTAGCCGGGCGTAGTGGCGGGCGCCTGTAGTCCCAGCTACTCGGAAGGCTGAGGCAGGAGAATGGCGTGAACCCGGGAGGCGGAGCTTGCAGTGAGCCGAGATCCCGCCACTGCACTCCAGCCTGGGCGACAGAGCGAGACTCCGTCTCAAAAAAAAAAAAAAAAAAAAGAAAATACAGGATAAAAATGTCATTCACAATTATTCATCCAGAAAAGATTTAATTCCAATCTAAACTATCATCAACTCTCTCTAATGCTGTGAAACAGAGTCAATAACTGCAGTTTTTCTTTGTTTTTTTTTTTTGTTTTTTTTTCAACTTTTATTTTAAGTTCAGGGGTATATGTGCAGTATGTGCAGGCTTGTTCATAGGTAAATGTGTGCCGTGGTGGTTTGCTGCACAGATCATCCCATCAACTAAATATTAAGCATAGCAGCCATTAGCTATTCTTCTTGATGCTCTCCCTCGCTCTTCACACAACAGGCCTCAGTGTGTGTTGTTCCCCACACTGTGTCCATGCGTTCTCATCATTCAGCTCCTACCTATAAGTGAAAACACGTGGTGTTTGGTTTTCTGTTCCTGCATCAGTTTACTGAGGATAATGACTTCCAACTCCATCCATGTCCCTGCAAAGGACATGATCTCATTCCTTTTTATGGCTACATAGTATTCCATGGTGCATATGTACCAAATTTTCTTTATCCAGTCTATCATTTATGGGTATTTAGGTTGATTCCATGTGTTTGCTATTGTGAATAGTGCTGCAACGAACATACATATGCATATGTCTTTATAACAGGATGGTTTTTGTTCCTTTGGGTATATGCCCAGTAATGGGATTGCTGGGTCAAGTGGTGTTTCTGCCTCTAGAACTTTGAAGAATCACCACACTGTCTTCTACAATGGTTGAACTAAATTACACTCCCACAAACAGTGTACAATTGTTTCCTTTTTCTCCACAATCTTGCCAGCATCTGTTGTTTTTTGACTTTTAATAATGGCCATTCTGACTGGTGTGAGATGGTATCTCATTGTGGTTTTGATTTGCATTTCTCTAATGATCAGTGATGTTGACCTTTTTTTCATATGGTTGTTGGCTGCATGTGTACCATCTTTTAAGAAGTATCTGTTCATGTCCTCTTTCCACTTTTTAATGGGGTTGTTGTTTTTCTTGTAAATTTAAATTCCTTGTAGACTCTGGATATTAGACCTTTGTCAGATGAATAAATTGCAAAAATTTTCTCCCATTCTGTATTTTGTCTATTCACTCTGATGATAGTTTCTTTTGCTGTGCAGAAGTTCTTCAGTTTAATTAATCATATTTCAATTTTTGCTTTTGTTACAATTGCTTTTGGCATTTTTTGTCATGAAATCTTTGCCCGTGCCTATGTCCTGAATGGCATTGCTTAGATTTTCTTCAAGGGTTTTTATAGTCTTGGGTTTTGCATTTAAGTCTTTAATCCATCTTGAGTTAATTTTTGTATAAGGTATAAGGAAGTGGTCCAGTTTCAATTTTCTGCATATGGCTAGCCAGTTTTCCCAGTACCATTTATTAATTAGGAAGTCCTTCTCCCATTGTTGTTTTTGTCAGGTTTGTTAAAGATCAGATGGTTGTAGGTGTGCAGTCTTATTTCTGAATTCTCTATTCTGTTCCATTGGTCTATGTGTCTGTTCTTGTACCATTATCATGCTGTTTTGGTTAACGTAGCCTTGTGGTATAGTTTGAAGTTGAGTAGCATGATGCCTACGACTTTGTTCTTTTTGCTTAGGATTGTCTTGGCTATTTGGGCTCTTTTTATATTCCACACGAATTTTAAATAGCCTTTTCTAATTCTGTGAAAAATATCAATGGTAGTTTAATGGGAATAGCATTGAATCTATAAATTACTTTGGGCAGTATGGCCATTTTCATGATATTAATTCTTCCTATCTGTGAGCATGGAATGTTTCTCCATTTGTTTGTGTACTTTCTGATTTATTTGAGCATTGGTTTTTAGATTTCCTTGAAGAGTGCCTTCACTTCCTTTGTTAGCTGTTTTCCTAGGTCTTTTAATATTTTTGTAGCAATTGTGAATGGGAGTTCATTCATGATTTGGCTCTCTGCTTGCCTGTTGTTGGAATACAGGAATGCATCAAAAAGCTTACCCACCACTATCAAGTTGGCTTCATCCCCAGGATGCAAGGTTGGTTCAACATACACAAATCAATAAATGCAATTCATCACGTAAACAGAACTAAAGGCAAAACCCAAGATTATCGCAATAGATGCAGAAAAGGCCTTTGATAAAATTCAACATCTCTTCATGTTGACCAACTCTCAATAAATTAGGTATTGAAGAGACATACCTCAAAATAACAAGAGTCATCTATTACAAACCCACAACCAATATCATCCTAAATGGGCAAAAGCTGGAAGCATTCCCCTTGAAAACCAGCACAAGAGAAGGATGCCCTCTCTCACCATTTCTATTCAACAGAGTAGTGGAAGTTCTGGCCAGGGCAATCAGGCAAGAGAAAGAAATAAAGAATATTCAAACTGGAGATAGGAAGTCAAATTTCCCTGTTTGCAGATGACATGATCCTATATCTAGAAAACCCCATTGCCTCAGTGCAAAGGCTTCTTAAACTGATAAACAACTTCAGCAAAGCCTCAGGATATAAAATCAATGTGCAAAAATCGCTAGCAGGTTTTCTTTATGTGGTCATGTCCCATATATTTTTTGCTTATTTTTGGGCCTTACTAGGCATAGAAAGGCCCTGCTTAATCAAACTTGCTTAATGACTCTATGCAAGGTCAAAACATAACATGTTGCACTGAGTATCCGCCACAGCAGGATCTGGCCAAGTGTTAATCTCATGAAAAGTAGATGAACCGTAGGTTAATTAGATGGGGGGTCCACATACTGAGATAAGATAGGACAGTGAGACTGTAGAAATGAAGTGACTTTAAATAGGATGTTCAGACCAGTGGCTCACAAACTGTGGTCTCCAGACCAGCAGTGTCAGTAGCACCTGGGAACTTGTTAAAAATGAAGACACTCAGGCTTCACTACAGATCCCTGCACCAGAAACTCTGGAGTAGGGTCCAGAACACTGTGTTTTAAGCCCTCCAGGGGGAAGTTCTCCAATCCCCAAACCATTGCTCTAAACCAGCCAAAGACGGACTGTGCAAGGAACTTGGCATTAACTGAATAAGCTCATACTCAAGAATCAGCAACAAGTCCTATCATTACTTTCTGTTTTTAAAGGAATGAAATAAGAGAGAGAGAAAGGGGTTTCACTGTGAAAATGGGTTCACTGGTAATGCCCCCTTGTCAGAGGCAGATGGGAGACCAGTGAGCACCTCATTTGGTGATCTGTGCATTCAACAAATCTTAATTGAGCCTATGTTTTAGAAACAGTCCAAGGTAATGTAACACAGTAATAAATGAGACAAGTGTGGTCCCTGCCTTAACAGGTCTTGTAGTGTAGAGAATAAGACACCTGCCTTCAGAGATCTTGTAGTGCTGTGAACAAGACAGATATTAAACATGTGATAACCCTAAAGTGTGAAGACTGTTGTTTAAGGTGTGCTATGAGGAGTTATGATATGTAAGAGCACCGCCGAGTCTTCTGTTGAAGGTGGTGACTTCTTCACTCCCAGCCCAAAGGAAAGATGTTGAATTTTGGACCCAAGGAGAGTGCAGAATGAGGGAAAGTATTTCAGGTAAAGAGAACAACATGTGCAGAAGTCACAAGGCTAATAAAAGCTTGGGGAGAGTGTGAAACAGAAAAAAAATCAGAGCAACTAGAAAGTGAACTAGCAAGAGGAAAACTTGAAGAGTGAAAGCCTTATAATCTCTGTAATCAGTAAATATTCACACTTCATTTTATGAGATTGGGTAAGCACTGGCTGAATATAGATAGGAAAACAACTTGACTAGACTTTCTTTTGAGAAAATATCTCTGGATAGAAGGTGAAGAATGAAATCAGAGAGAGTGGAGCTGAGGGCTGGGAAGCCACTTGGGAGAAACTTAGGAATCCAAATGAGGGAGGCTGGTGGGGCCTGGATTCGTTTTTATTACAATCAACATAGGAATCCCTTTATGTGAAGATTATTACTGCTTCTCAAAAGCCATAATTCACCAGGTATTCTAATAGGAATTCTTGGCCAGATCCCATTGACACTTCCCTTGTCCTACGGTCTGTGTCACTGACCAGGCAAGGGCTCTCTCCTGGCGTATTCATGGTGTTGAGCCAGGAACTCACATGGGCACTTGGGGATCTGAAACACAGCCACAGCTGTAGCCCCACACTCTTAGTGCCATAACCCTTGGAACTTGTCATTGCCTCTTGATGTCGTTGTTGCTCTTGGTACCATTTCAGCAACTGGCCTCAATTGCACATCCCAGGTAAACCAAAGAGCATGAATTATCCAACTAAGATAACTCTGCATCTCGCAGAATAAACTGCTCCCAGAGAGATTTACTATATTGAAAAACGACTGTACAGTAAATGCATTTTCAAGCTGTAATGAAGCAGAATAAACCTGGCTGGCTTGGTTTTGCTTTTTCTTTTCCAAGGTGAAAGAAAAATAATAGCAGTTCTCCTAAACATCCTTCAAAGGGAATTGATATGTAGGATTACTTTCATAATGAATAATCACTTTGAGCCTCAACCAATTAGTGCACATTTCCTTCTTACTGAGGGGCATTTAGGGAATCAAATAAAATCAGGGGTACAGGAGAGATGACCTGATATTCACCAATGGAACCTGTATTCCTGAAAAAATTGTGACAATTTTCTTGTTATAAAAGATACCTAATCCTCCCTTCCTCCCTCCCTTCCTCACTGCCTCCCTCCTTCCCTTCCTTCCTTCCTTCATCTGATATTGTTTGGCTCTGTGTCCCCACCCAAATCTCATCTCGAATTGTAATCCCCATGTGTTGAGGGAGGGTCTAGGTGGGAGGTGATTGGATCGCAGGGGTGGTTTCCCCCATGCTGTTTTCATGATAGTGAGTTCTTAGGAGATCTAACGGTTTGAGAGTGTGGCACTTCTCCTCGCTCACTCTCTCTTCTGCTGTCTTGTAAGAAGGTGCTTGCTTCTCTTTTGCCCTTCGCCATGATTGTAAGTTTCCTGAAGCCTCCCCAGCCATGCAAAACTGTGAGTCAATTAAACCTCCTTTCTTTATAAATTACCTAGTCTCAGGTATGTCTTTATAGCAGTGTGAGGGTGGACTAACATACTGTCCCACCCCCACCAGAGAAGATGATGAAACAAATTCATGCAGTGATTTTTAGATATCGATTCTCAGCTGAGGAGTGGGTGGTGCAGGCAAATTCCCCCTAAATTGAAATTATAGCTAAATATGTAAGAAGAATGCTGACAAGTCATGATTAATTAATTAGAAAACTATGATCTAATTAATGTTGAGGTAGGAGACTGGAAGGACTTGTTTTTTGGTCACAGTCCTGCTGACCAAAACAGGATCTGGTCCAGATAGGATAAAATAAAAAAAAAAAGTCAGCAGGAACCAGCAGATGATGATTAAAGTCATCCCCAGCTGACCTTATAGCTCATTGGCATAAGACACTCCCACAAGCGCCATAACAGTTTACAAATGCCAAGGCAATGACCCGGAAGTTACTGCCCCTTTCCTAGAAAGTTCTAAATAGCCTGCCCCTTAATTTGTATTGACCTGCCCCCTAATTTGCATGTAGTTGAAAGTAGGTTTATGTGAATATAAGTATTGTTGCCAAGAGCCCATATGTTGCTGACTCTGGGCACACTGCCTATAAGTCAGCCCTGCTCCACAAGGAACAGTACCCGTTCAATAAAGTGTAGCTGTCTGCCACCACTAGCTCACCCTGGAATCAGTGGAAAGGCAAGATGATGAGAAACAGTGAGAGATGGCAAGATGGTGACCAGCGACGTGGCAAGAAACAGCAATTGGCAGTCAGTGAGACAGTGAGAGGCAATAACTAGAGAGAGATGGAAAGGCAATGATTGGCGATTGACAGTTGTTGGGACAGTGAGACAGTGAGAGGCAGCAATTGGCGGTCAGTGGAATGGTAGTATGGGGGGATGGTGATCAGCGAGACAGAGAGATGGTAAGATGGTGATCAGTGCTGTGGTGATCAAAGCTGCAGAGCTGTAACACTAGCCAAGGGCTCTTTTAAGAACCATCATCTTTCCTGGCAGGTGGTGGAGCCCAGTGGATGGGTGAGCAGCCACAGCACCCCAGCCTCACATAGGACCTGCCACTGCAGCTGGTGGGTCGCTGATCTGCACTGACACCTCCCCTTCCCTCCATAGCAGCTGAGTCCACCCAAGCTGGGGAAACCTGGGGAGCAGACTTTCACCCCAGCCCTAAGTTGGAGACTGGTTGGTGCCATTTTGGCTCCTGTGGGCAGGAGAATGTCCCCTCTGCCCTCCCTGCCAATATCGGGTGAACCAGGCTTTGCCTAGATAGCAATTCAAAGTCCTAACCAACTACATCCTTGTCACCCCTTATCTCAGTCCTTTCCTCTCTAATGCCATTTTATGTTTTTGTCTGCTGCTATTTTATTTTTTTTTCCACCCTGAAATTTATGTTTTGTTTACAGTTTTTCCTTTGGCTCCCCACTAACTGCATTTGGGCAATTGTTTAAGGCAGGACACTTAGCTGTGGGAGATTCCCTGTTGTGTTGACTCTGGGATGCCAGTCATGTTGTTCTGTGGCCCCAGCCAGGCTTTTGGGTTTCACTGTTGGTAGCCCCCAGATGCTCCAGGTTTCTTGACATTTGGTGTGGAGACCCTCAAAGGCCCATACACAGGAACTCCATGTTTTCCTTGTTTGTTATTTTGGGCCACCCCCTGGATACTCTGAGGATTTTTGCATTGGCATTCCCTCTAGGACTGTGGGTTGAAAGTCCACCCTAGGGGAATCTTGGTCTTGCCTTTTCTGTTTTCTGACCTAAAGTTATTATTTTCCATAACAGCATTTTCTTTTTTTATTGTCACTTTCACACGTTTCTTTCTTCACTTTACTTAAAAAAACACTTTGTCATAGTTCATTCACTGAAAAATGATTATAACCCACTTTCTTATGCCCTATATTTATGCTTTCTTTGCAGGAAGTGAGAATCTAAGACAGAAAAATAACAAAGGGCCAATTTCCTACCCTCTTGCTAGACTTAGACAAACTCATGTGCCCAGTAGAAATCCTTGTTGGACATGAAGACAGTGACAAGCCTCCAGGGGATTTGCCACTATTGTACCTTTTAGTCTATTGGAGCAAATTCAAATTTGACTTAATTTTTCTATTGTAATGCCATTTGGGTCCAAAATAAATTAGAAAACCAAGAGATTTGGCCTAAACATGGTTATACACATTATAATGCTATTTTACAATTAGACATATCCTATTAAAATGGGAAGAGGTCCCTTATGTACAGGCTTTTATTGGCCCTTTACTGGCTCATGTTACTTCCAGGCACCAGGAAGGAGCACCTATGGGCTCCCTCCCAGCTGCTCCCCCTAGAATACCTCTGCCCTCCTTGGAGTCTCCTCAGACCCCCAGTTCTGAGGTCCTGCCAGTCCTCTAATACAGAATTTCACTGCAAGGTCATAAGGTACCCCTCCCCCTTATCGAACTAGCCTATACCCCCTGCTGCATGAGAAAGTAAGTCCAACCAGTACCACCAGAAGTGGGGTCCCATATCAGCCCTACAGTCAAACCTGTGTCCATTGTGGGAAGTAGTTGATGGAAATGCGGGGACACTTAGAGTACACGTGCTATTTTCTGTGTGTACAAGACTTTTCATTTATACAAGGAAAAATTCAGCCAGTTTTCAGAGGATCCAGAAAAGTTTGCAGAGGAGTTGACTAAGCTGTCCACGTTCTTTAATTTAAATTGTCATGACTTGCAAGTATTGGTGTCTGCTTGCTGTGCCACAGGAAAAAAGCAGGAGAAAAATAGTGTGGTTAAGCCAGTCATTTATGACAAGGTTAGAGATATTTTAACTCAGGGAAAAGACAAAAATCCCACTAGTTTCTGGGCCATTTGGTTGAGGCACTCAGGGAATAGACTAATTCGGACCTAGACTCCCTGGAAGGGCAAGCTTTCCTGGTTACACATTTCATTACTCAATCTGCTGTGCCTGACATTAGGAAGAGGCTACAAAAAGCAGCAATGGGACTTCAGATCCCTGTAAGCCAACAGGGCCTTTAAAGTTTACAACAATAGGGAAAAGGCAGAAGACGTGAAAAAACACAAAAGAAATAGGCAAAAAGTGCAATTAGCAATAGCTGCTTTAAGCCCTCTGCCACCTCAGAATTACCTATCCTGAGGCAGTGTTGTAAAATCGGTGTCTGGGATGCCCAGATGAGAGCCACCAACTCGCTGGTCCTTGGGCCAGAATCAGTGTGCCTACTATATACAAAAGGACCATTGGCAGTGAGAATGTCCTAATCGTGCCCGGTGGCAGAGGAAAAGGCTTCCTGTCAACACTAAAGCTAACCTTCTTCCACTAGCCCCAACAAGCTGCCTTGCTCAAATAAGTTTACTGGGGGTCTTGAATCCTTGATGAAGCAGACAGCTTCCCACAGTGGAAGACAAGCAGCCACCTGAACATTTTTCTTTGGAGTCTCCACAGCTGGGGGAGCTCTCAGGCAGCTCCGGGATGCCCAGGTCTCCCTTTGAGCCGTGTGGTTTGCCCTCTCTCTTCCTTATTTGATGCTACAGAATCCTGTTCCCTGCCTCTTCCATACCTGTTGGGGTAAACAAAGTTTAGCCAGATAGGTCAGGATTTTGTAAATGGCTTGGATCCAGTTGTCTTATGCAGGTCACTTTGTTATGTTTGTTTATGTATATATACAAGTACTGTGATGTATGTTATGTCTGACATGCTATCCAATTGGCTTATAAAAAAGAATGTTGAATAAATTAAACAAATAAGACTAATCTAAACTTGTTACTTTAAAGAAAATGTTATATCTTCTAAAATTTAACTTTAAGATATTTACCCAGGTAAATAACTGATGTTTGTAGGCTTTAAAATGGTTGAAATGGCTTTAAATGGTAACTAGCTTTGCATGATAGCTTGGTTCTTGGAGGTAGTCTAGGTAAAACTGTTAAAAATAGAAAAGTTAAATACATGTGACTAGAATAGTTCCCTAAATAGTGAGCTTTCTGTGTGGTTTGAAATCTTAAAATTGGGCCTGGCAGGGTGGCTTATGCCTGTAATCCCAGCACTTTGGGAGGCCGAGGCAGGCGGATCACCTGAGGTCGGGAGTTCGAGACTAGCCTGGCGATCATGGCGAAACCCTGTCTCTACTAAAAATACAAAAAAATTAGCCTGGCATGGTGGCATGCACCTGTAATTCCAGCTACTAGGGAGGGTGAGGCAGGAGAATTGCTTGAACTCGGGAGGCAGAGGTTGCAGTGAGCCAAGATCGTGCCATTGCACCTCCAGCCTGGGCAACAGAGTGAGAATACGTCTCAAAATAAATAAGTAAGTAAATAAATAAATAAATAAATAAATCTTGAAATTGTAAAGTGGTTCTCCTTTCTTGCTTCCTAGATTTGTATAAAATGTACCAAAAATGTATTCTTTGTTGGGAAAAATGATTTTTGTCTAATTCAAAAGTTCTTGAAAGAGAGGCTCAAAATATAAAGGAACCAGTGAGTAAAAAAAGGGGATGTAAAGAAAATTATAAAATGACCTACATATTGAAACTAAGTTTTCATAAGGTATTGATTTGCTAAATTATGGAAAACTTTGCTTTTAATGCTATAACCAGCTTCTTTTAAAACTTCTTGTATTTATATCTCTCGGATTCAACTATTGCTGTCTTACTGCTTTCAGCTGTTTCTCCCTTTAAAAAGGCCTGAGATGATGGCTCTCTCCTTCAGCTCTTCCATCAGCTCCTGTGATTCTGACTGTTGTGTCCTGATGGTAAAGTGCTTTGCCTTAGAGGTCTATGGGAGTGGTATTTTCCCCCACTATAGCTTGATCCTATGCTTTTGGTTTTTCTTGATGTGTAACTTTTTTTTTGGCTTTTAATTTTTGACTCTTGTATTGCTTCAAAGGATTTTAAGGGCTAATGAGTACCTGGTCACTTCCATGCCTACCTGACCTAGAATGTTTAATTGGCTTATAAGTCTTTTGACTCTAAGTCTCTTGGCCAAAGAAAATCCCAAAGAAATCAAGAAAACCTAACTCAGCACATGACATAAAACATGAAACAGGAAACAGGACATCAGTCACACCTCACTATGGCCCCTTAAAATTTAGGCTAGGTTCAAAATACCTTTCCAAAATTATAAAACCAAAGCAAAGGAAAAAAATAAAAAGATTCAGCCTTACTAAAAACTTAAAAAAAAAAAGGGATCCCCTGAGGATTAGATACAATAATATGAAAGAGCTCTTATTGGGTATAGTTAAGTACCCTCACCGCTCTTAAACTTTAGGGAAGTACTGGTTGGGAACATTTGTCTAGGATTAAACCTGTTTCTTATGAGTTCCCACAGGCACAAGAGCAGGACACCATGACCTATGATTTGTAAACCCTAGAAAACTTAAGGTTGTTGTTTTACAAATGCATAAATAAATAACATGATGCTGTGGGTGGGCATAGGAGCATTACATTTTTCTCCTTCCTTCTAATTATAATTTTCTTGTTTAGACTCCTAGTAAAGTTTATATTTTCTAGATTCCACATAAAGACAATGCTAGCACCAGCCTTCCAACCTATCCTGTCTTCTAACCCAGAAAATGAGAGCATCCTGCCTTTGGGCCCCTTAGATCAAGTATCTGGAGATTTTACTCCTCCAGTGTTAGTCAGGGACTACAGCCATAAAATCAGCAAGAAGCCAAGAAGCAGTTGCAGAAGATGGACTGCTGCCCTTCTGCAGCCCCCTTAACGTTAGGGAAGAGGATCTATTCTTTGGTGTTAATCATCCTGTCCTGCAACAATGTCTTTATCTTTTAAAACTCACTCTAGGCATGCCATGTTTCCAGCAATTTTAAACTTTTAGATTAATTTAGAGGCTTGGAAAATTAAGATGAAAGATACCCTCATTTATTCATTCCACAAATATTAGCTAAGCATCAGCCATGTTGTATACTGCCCTGGGACTGGGGTTATGATAATGACAAAAGTTCATTTCTGTTTTCCAGCAGCTTAGAAGCCTGTGGAGTCTTTCTTAGGATAATATTTTTAGATACATAAAATAAAATACATAAGATTAAAAAATAAATGAGTTACCATGAGATATTGGTATTTAATTATCTGAAAAGTTGTGATATTGTTATATGTGTAATTTTTAATTAATGTATTAAATGACTATGTTAATAAGATGAATACCTGTAATTTTTATCAGTGACCAAGGCACAGGTACTAATATTTCAGTTTTTTTTTCTTTTTGGCTGGCATTATTATAGAAATAAATTTTAATTTTTTGTTAGATTTACGTGAAAAAAAGGTACAAGTTTTTCATTCGAGTTTGTGGAATCTCTGAATTCTGTTCATGCTTCCTAAGAGTCTTCGATCTATGATCTTGGGTTGGGGCTGACAGTGTCTTGAACAAAACCAGTAGTGGGAGGGTAGAGGATGCCAAGGGTCTCTTAAAGTGAAGCCAGCCTGCTTTCTTAGAGTCCATTTCGGAGACCGAATCTGATCAAAAAAGTGGAAAATTGTAGCCAGTTCTGAACAGACAGATGGCCGGAGCCACCACCCTGGAGAGGAATCCCTCTAAGGAGCTCTGCGGGGGCGGGGTACCAAGTGAGCTAACCTAAACCCTCCAGGCTCCCACTCCTCCACGCCATGCTGAGCCTTATCACAGAGATGCCAAGCCAAGGCTTTATTCAGCCAGTGACAGGTTTCTTATGGAGTAAAATTAGGAGACAAGGCGGAGCGGACAAATCCCTCAACTCAGGACATACATTTCCCCTGACAAACCCTCGTTCTCCACCTGCATGGTGCTTGATCCCAAACACTGGGATCTATTTTTCACAGTTATGAACACGGAGAAGAACCAGTTTTATTGCCATCATTTTAGAGGAGAAAAACAGAATCCTAAATTGCTTCAGGAAATGAAAGCTACCTTTTAAGAGTTACTGTTAGTGGCATAACATTGAGCTATGTAAAAAAACTAAGGCAAGAAGTTTAGACTGTTATTAAAATGAGTAGACGATATTTCAGCATTATTCAAAAGGTCTTAGTCCTCCGTGGAGATAAATCATTGTAACATTGAATATGCTCAAAACAGCTCCTGCTTCTCCCTCAAATCTGCTGCACCTGCATTCCTTCCCAAAATTTTTAATGGAGTCTCTTTACTTCCAGTTGCTCAGGTCAAAAACAATGCAAACATCCTTGCTTCTTTTTAAAATTTACACCCCACATTCAATTCATCAGCAAATGCTGTTGCAATACATGTCCAGAATCCTTTCCTTTCTCCACCATCCCTGCCCCCACTGACACTAAAACTGTCATTCAATGACCTTCCCTCTTGCCTCTAAGCACACCTGCTGTCCTGCACCCACACTGCCTTCTTACTTTTTGCCCCAGAGAGAGAACTGTGCTCTCTGCCTTTCCTGCCACTATGCTCTAGAAAACTCCTTTTCTTATCTGCTCTGGAAGCTCTTTTTCTCACCTCTGGACTCTCATAGCTGTGTGACAGGGATTTCAGTGGCTATCACTCCCCACATGGCAGACCCTGCACCACCCACTGCAGGGAGCTTCCCCTGTGCCTCCAAGGGCCCAGACGGGTTGAGAGATTGGTCTCATGGCCTCTTCCTGTGGTCAGTGTCCACATCTACTCTACTCATGCCCCAGAGTGACCTCTCTCAGTAAGACGCCAGGTGTGGACCCTCCATCCTTTACCCTCACTCAGAGACCTGTGCCTGTCCCCATGGCACTCACCTATTTTCCTGCCATACCCCTCCATGCTCAGGACATCTGGCAGGGAGTCTGCCCTTCACCAGGAAACTGCCAAAATGCTCCAGATGTGGTTTTTCTAGTTAATTTCCCCCAAACCCTAACTTATAGTAAAAAACTGATGGGAGCTTGTGAGAGACACAGAAGCAGCCTGGATGTTGCGAGCCTGCACAAGTCAGATGTTTATGTTTGTATCCCTCATGTCCTGTGTCTTTAACCTTCTCTTCTCTACTGGCACTTTCTCATCAGTTTAGAAACTTGTCAAGGTCTCTCATATCAAAAAGACACCTTTATTTCCACCATTCACACGCAGAGCTATCACATTTTTTCTTCCTGTTTCAGCCGTGCTGTTGCATTTATTCAATCATTTATTTACATGGATACTATCTTAGGACACTCAGTGTGGCAGAAAATGAGGTCCACCCTCCTTGACGCCTTGATTTCTTAACCTAGGGAAATCTGGTTTTCTTCCATCCACTTCACTGAGACACTGATTGCAAATAAGCTCACCATTGCTAAACCCAGGCAGCATCTGCCCCTCTCTGTGGCAGGCTTTCTGATGTCTTAGGTGTCTTGAGCACCCCTTTGTCTCTGTGATCTTATTTCCTCATCCTTCTCTTCCTTTCTAATCATTCCCTACTACTCTCCTACATGGTATTCTCCTGGGTATTTTCTGAAGTTCAATATTTGATTTCCCATTAAGCTACCTCATGCAACTGAATGGCATCCTCTTCCATTTACTTGAGGATGAATCCCAGATCTACGACCTGCACCTGGACTTCCCGTCGGAACTGCAGGTTTTTGCTGTTCAGACATCTGATGAACATTGGCATGTGCATACTTCACAAGTATCCAACACTGAATGTGTCCCAAATATAATTAATCACAGACTTGCATGCCAACCCAGAAAATCCACTGGGCACATCTGAGATTCCCTTCCTATCTTTTGTCTTTACACCCTTCTAATCAATCAATGATCAAGACCTAATGATTTTACCTCCTGATCATTCTTATATTTATTTTCTGTCAGTACTTTCTACCAATACCTGCATTCAGGTGTCAATCTTTAATGTTGCGCTGGGCTCCTATCTGCTTTCCCAGCCTCTAGGTTTGGTGCTATAAAAGCTCTGAATTACAAGCCTGTTACTTCCTTTCCAAAGCTCTTCACCTACATACCAAAGACCCAAGTCTGGTAGTATGTCCTGTGAGTCCTTAAAAGCAGAATGTTCCCTGCCTTTTTGTCCATATTCCCCATCTCTCTCCTTATACCTTGCTCTTGAAGATGGGTTTGCTTATGGTTCTCACATATGCTATACTGTCTCACAGGTTGGGACATTCATTTATGTGCACTGTCCCCAATTCCCTCCCTATTCTCTGTGGATGCCTGTAAACTGGTAGTTCTCAAACTTGGCTGCTCACTGTTGTCACTTAGGGGAACTTCTGAAAATTCCTGATACCCAAGACACACCCACATCAGTTACACCAGAATCTTTGGGTTTGGGACCTAGGCTCCTTTTTTTTTTTTTCCAAAGCTCTTTGGTAATTCTAGCACACAGGTAAGTTTGAAACCCAGGGCTCAACATAAGTACTTGTAACAGTTTAGCGTGTATACAAATTACCTTGAGAGTCTGCATTTCTTTTTTAAATTATTTATTTATTTATTTATTTTTTAGACAGGATTTTGTTCTGTCACCCAGACTGGAGTGCCGTGGCACGATCACTGCTGACTGCAGCCTTGACCTCCTGGACTTAAGCAATCCTCCCACCACAGCCTCCTAAGTAGCCGAAACTATAGATGCACACCATTACATCCAGCTAATTTTTTACATTTTTTGTAGAGACGGGGTTTCACCATGTTTTGCCATGTTGCCCAGGCTAACGAAAATGCTAGAAATAAAACACATGGTAACATGAAGAATACCTTTGATAGGTTGACCAGTAGACATCACATAACCAAGAAAAGAGTGAGTGAGCTTAAAGATATGTCCACTGAAACCTTCCAAGATAAAATGCAAAGGGAAAAAACAATGAAGAAACAGAACAGAACATCCAAGAACTGTGGGGCAATTTCGAAGGGTGCAACGTATATGTAACTATAACATCAGAAGGAGAAAAAAGAAAGGACAGAGTAAATAAAATGTTTGAAGTAATAATGGTCAAGAACATTACAAAATTAATGGCAGACACCAAAGCACAGATCCAGGATTCAGAAAACTCAAAGAACACCAAGCAGTGTGTATGTGTATGTATGTGTGTATATATCAGGTTGGTGCAAAAGTAATTATGTTTGATATTTACTTCCTATATTAGTGTGTGTGTACATAGATATAGATCTTCCTAACATAGGGATGTGTGTGTGTGTGCATGTGGGTGTATCTAAGCAGATAATTTTCCAACTGTAGAAAACCAAGCTGTGGTTGAGCAAGGACACCTAACTGTTGTGATAACTTTTCAGAATCAGGATGGACTCTCATCTAAAATTTAGTTTGAATGTTGAGACTGGTGATGCCACCCATATACCAGGAGGGCATGAAAAGGTTTATTAGTCACATTATGAGGTTTTCTGATGAGAGAAATGAGAAAAGAGTGGTTCCCAAGCAGGTCCAAACATGGCTTGAGAGAATGGTGTAAGGAGACTGGCTTGAGGTGTTTATTGTAGTTAGGTCATAGGGTTGAAGTGAGGGGTGTTTATAGTAGTTAGGGCATAGGGTTGAAGTGAGGGTTTCTACAGGCAGGCCATGGTTTGTGTGGTTTGAATCTCCACCAGTGCCAAATAGGGGAGCACCCAGACCTTCTTATCAGCTTCCCCAAATCTGGGGTAAATGTGAAAGAGGAAATGGAGAAACATAAAAAGCTATGAATAGTCAAATACCTCCCCCACCAAAAATGGGGTCAGACTCTTTAATATGCTTATCTACAGAGAAATCAGGAAAAGTTCTACAGTGGGCTTGTCACTGAGACCATAAAAGCAAGAAGACAGTGGAGTGAGATGTTTAAAGTATAGAAGAAAAACACCACAAACCTAGAATTCTATATCCAGCAAAATTATGTTCAAAAGTAAAAGAGAAAGAAAGCTTCCTTAGACAAATGAAACCTGAGGAAATTTATCACAGGCATATTTTCACTGCAAGAAATATTAAAAGAATTTTTCATCAGATGAAAATGAAACAGGTCAGAAATGTGGATCTACATGAAGAAAAGAAAGGCAGAAAACAAGGCAAACTAAAAGTTTATCATTTTAATGGATCTAAAAGATAACTATTCAGAGCAATACAGGCAAACCTTGTTTTATTGCATTTTGCTTTATTGTGCTTCACAGATATTGCATTTTTTACAAATTGAAGGTTTGTGGCAACCCTTCATTGAGCAAGTCTATCAGCACCATTTTATCTAACATCATGTGTTCAAATTGTGTCTCTGTGTCACATTTTGGTAATTCTCACAATACTTTAAGCTTTATTATTATGATTATATCTGTTATGGTGATCTGTGATCAGAGGTCTTTGCTATTGTAACTGTTTTGGGGTGCCAAAAAACATGCCTGTATAAGGTGGCAAACTTAATCAATAAATGTGTGTATTCTGAGTGCTCCACCAACCAACTGCTCCAACCACCAGCTGTTACGTGATCACTTGTCCTCTCCTGAGACCTCCCTATTCTCTGAGAAACAACAATATTGAAATTAGACCAGTTCATAACCCTGCACTGGTCTCTAAGTGTTCAAGTGAAAGGAAGAGTCACATGTCTTTTGCTTCAAATCAGAAACTAGAAATAATTAAGATTAGTTAATTAAGGCTTAGTTAATTAGGGTATACTGAAAGCCAAGATAGGTTGAAAGCTAAGCCTCTTGTGCCACACAGCCCAGTTGTGAATGCCAAGGGAGAGTTCTTGAAGAAAATTAAAACACTACTCCAGTGAACACACAAATGATAAGCAAACAAAACAGTTTTATTTCTGATATGGAGAAAGTTTGAGTGGTCTGGCTGAAAGATCCTACCAGCCACAACTTTTCCTTAAGCCAAAGCCTAATCCACAACAAGGGCCTAACTCTCTTCAATTCTATAGATGCTAAGAGAGGTGAGGGAGTTTCAGAAAAAAAGTTGGAAGCTAGCAGAAGCTGGTTCATAGAACTTAAAAAAGAAGCTGTCTCCATAACATAAAAGTATAAGATGATAGCAAAAGTGATGTAGAAGCTTCAGCAAGTTATCCAGAAGATCTAGCTAAAATAATTGACAAGAGTGGCTACACTAAGCAACAGGTTTTCAATGTAGGAAAGACAGTTTTCTATTGGAAGGGGATGCCATCTAGGACTTTTACAGCTAATGAGCAGCCGTCAATATCTGGCTTCAAAGCCTCAAAGGACAGGCTGTCTCTTTTGTTAGGGGCTAATGCAGCTGGTGACTTTAAGTTGAAGCCAATGTTCATTCACCATTCCAAAAATTCTAGGGCTCTTAATAGTTATGCTAAGTCCACTCTGCCTGTGATCTATAAATGGAACAACAAAGCCTGGATGACAGCACATCTGTTTACAGCATTGTTTACTGAAAATTTTAAGCCCACTGTTGAGACCTATTGCTCAGAAAAAAAAAATTCAAAGTATTATTGCTCATTGATAGTGCACCTGATCACCTGAGAGCTCTGATGGAGATATGTACAGAGATTAATGTTGTTTTCAGGCCTGCTAACACAACATTCATTCTGCAGTCCGTGGATCAAGAACTGATTTTGATTTTCAAGTTTTATAATTTAAGAAATATATTTTGTAAGGCTATAGTTTCTATAGAGAGTGATTCTTCTGATAGATCTGGACAAAGTAGATTGAAAACCTTCTAGGAAGGATTCCCCATTCTAGATGCGATTAAGAATTTCATGATTCATGGGAGAAGGGCAAAATATCAACAGCTACAGAAGTTTGGAAGAAGTTGATTCCAATCCTCATGAATAAATTTGATGGGTTCAAGACTTTAGTGGAGGAAGTAACTGCATGTATGGTAATAGCAAAATAGCTAGAACTATAATTGGATCCTTAAGATGTAACTGAATTTCTGCAATCTCATGATAAAACTTGAAGGAGTGAGGAGTTGCTTTTAAAGAAAGAGCAAAGAAAGTGATTTCTTGAGATGGAATTGACTCCTGGTGAAGATACCGTGTACATTGTTGAAATGACAACAAAGAATAGAAAATATTAAATAAAGCTAATTGATAAAGCAGCAGTAGAGTTTGAAAGGATCAACTCCAATCTTGAAAGAAGTTTTACTATGAGTAAATTGCTGTGAAACAGCATCACATACTATAGAGAAATTTTCATGAAAGGAAGTGTCAATCAATGAGGCAAACTTCATTTTGTCTTCTTTTAAGAAACTGCCACAGCCACCTGAGCCTTCAGCAACCACCACCCTCATCACTCAACAGCCATCAACATCAAGGTAAGACCCTTCACCAGCCCTGAAGACTCAGCAATCGTTAGCATTTTTTTTTTAGCAGTAAAATACTTTTTACTTAAAATATGTACTTTTTAAAGAATAGTGCTGTTGCACATTTAATAGATTACAGTACAGTGTAAAAATAACTTTTATATGCACTGAGAATCTAAAAAATTTGTGTGATGCACTTTATTGCCATATTCATTTTATTGTAGTAGATAATGTAAAGTGGAACCTACACTATCTCAAAAGTGTGCTTGTAATAGTAATAATGTACTGGATAATTATAGCTAGTGGATCAGTGTAATTAATGACAACAATGTCAGAGGTATGGAAGGAAGAAAGTGGGAATACTCTGATACAAGACATTTGCACAATACAGGAAGTTGTACACTGTTATTTGAAGGTGGGCTTAGGTTAAAAATCTAAGATTTACAGACTTTCTGTTCAGCCCTGACATTTAAAGAGCTTGGAAGTTATCATTACCATCCTTACAACTAGAAAATACTTGAAAAACTGAAAATTAAGGACTTTTTCAGACCAATCAGAGCACTGAGATTGCAGGGCAAAATGCCATCCTGAATAGTGGAGAGACAGGAAAATACAGAGAAACACAGACAAGATCAGTAATTGATATATCAAGTAGACAGAAAATCAATTAAGATATAGGTGACCTGAAGAATACTAGCAATCAACTTGACCTAATTGACATTTAAAGAGTACTCCATCCAACAACAGCACAATACACATTTTTCTAAGCTCACATAGAAGATTCCCAAGATAGACCATATTCAGGATCATAAAACATATCCTAATAAATTTTAAAGGATAATCATAAAAAAGAATGTTCTCAGACCACTTTGAAATCAAACTAAAACCAATAACAGAAAGAGAGCTGGGGAAAAAAACCCAGATACTTGAAGATTAAAAAACATACTTCTGAATAACACATTGATTAAAGAAGTCTCGGCTGGGAGCGGTGGCTCATGCCTGTAATTCCAGTACTTTGGGAGGCCGAGGCAGGCGGATCACGAGGTCAGGAGTTCGAGACCAGCCTGGCCGACATGGCGAAACCCCATCGCTACTAAAAATATAAAAATTAGCTGGGTGTGGTGGCAGGCACCTGTAATCCCAGCTACTCGGGAGGCTGAGGCAGAAGAATTGTTTGAACCCAGGAGACGGAGGTTGCAGTGAGCCAAGATTGTGCCATTGCACTCCAGCCTGGGGGACAGAGCGAGACTCCATCTCAAAAAAAAAAAAAAAAAAAAAAAAAAGAGGAGTCTCAAGAGAAATTTAAAGGATTCTTTGAACTAATAAAAACAAAAATAAAACATAAAATTATAGGGTGCAGTGAAAGCAGTATACAGAGGGAAACTTAGAGCATTAAGTGAATATATTAGAAAAAAGATTTAAAATAAAAAAATAAAAACTTCTTCTTTAGGAAACTAGAGAAACAAAAGCCATTTGAGTGTAGAGCAAACAGAAAAGAAGTAGTAATGTAAAAATTGAACAGAAATCAGGACAATTGAAAAGATGAAATCAATAAAGAAAATCAATAAAAACAAAAGTTTCTTCTTTGAAAAGATCAGTAAAATTAATAAAATTTTGTCCAGGCTAGAGAGAAGGCACTAATTCAGAAATGAAGGAAAGTTAACACTAGTGATATCATGGACATTTAAAGGACAATAAAAAAATAGTATGAATAACTATATGTCCACAAGCTTGATAACAGATAAAATAGCTCATATCCTTGAAAGACCCAAACAACTAAAACTCACACAAGGAAAAATCAATAACCGGGGCCAGGCGCAGTGGCTCACGCCTGTAATCCCAGCACTTCAGGAGGCCGAGGCGGGTGGATCACTTGAGGCCAGAAGTTCGAGACCAGCCTGGCCAACATGGTGAAACCCTGCCTCTACTAAAAATAGAAAAATTAGCCGGGCGTGGTGGCACACGCCTATAATCCCAGCTACTCAGGAGGCTGAGTCAGGAGAATTGCTTGAACCCAGGAGGCGACAGTTGCAGTGAGCTGAGATCACACCACTACACTCCAGCCTGGGTGACAGAGCAAGACTCAGTCTAAAAAAAGAGAAAAGAAAAAAAAAAAAAGAAATAAGCGGAATGGTCTAATATCTCTTAAATAAATGAATCAAGTATCAATACCTTTCAGTAAAGGAAAAAAAAAAAATCCAAAGCAGGTCCAGATGATTTCTCTTGTGAGAATTCTAGCAAACAAGGAATAATTGATACCAATTCTCTACATTCTCTTCTAGAAAATAGAAGCAAAAAAAATTCTTTTTTTAAACTGTTATTTTAGTTTCTAGAGTACATGTGTAGGTTGGTCCTATAGATAAGTTGTGTCACAGTGCTTTGGTGTACATGTTATTTTGTCACCCAGGTAACACTCAGAGTATTCAGTAAGTAGTTTTTCAATCCTCATTCACCTCTCACCTTTAGTAGGCCCTAGTGTCTATTGTTCCCATCTTTGTGTTCGTGTGCACTCAATGTTTAGCTCCCACTTATAAGTGAGAACATGTGGTGTTTAGTTTTCTGTTTCTGTGTTAGTTTGCTTAGGATTATGGCCTCCAGCTTTATCCATATTGCTGCAAAGGACATGATCTCATTCTTTTTTGTGGCTGTATAGTATTCCATGGTGTATATGTACCACAGTTTCTTTATCCAGTCTACCGTTGATGGGCATTTAGGTTGGTTCCATGTCTTTGCTATTGTGAGCAGTGCTGAAATGAACATATGTGTGCGTGTGTCTTTATGGTAGAACAATTTATATACCTTTGGATATATACCCAATAATGGGATTGCTGCATCGAATTGTAATTCTGTTTTAAGTTATTTGAGAAGTTGCCAAACTACTTTCCATAGTGGTTGGACTAATTTGCATCCCCACCAGAAGTGTATAAGTGTTCCCTTTTCCCCACAGCCTGCCAACATCTGTTATTTTTAGACTTTTTAATATTAATCACTTTGCTTAGGTAAAAATCTGCCAAAACAAATATGTGCTGTACATATGAAAAACCAAAAATTTCTAATGAAAAATATCAAAGAAGTCTCAATAGATGGAGGGATATTCTATGCTCATGGATTGGAAAACACGGTATTGTTAAGATATCAATTGTTCCCAACTTGATTTATAGACAACACAAGCCCAATCAAAACAGTACAAACTATTTCATAAATACCAACAAACTGATTCCAAAGTTTATATGCAAGCAAAACACCCAGAATGGCAAACGAAATCCTCAAAATCCATTGCCTTGAAAACCACGAACTGTAGTACCTCGCAAAGGGCTGGAAACAAAGGTGGCCAGCACCACTGGAAATTCTTTCTCTATATGGTATTTTCATGTACTTAATATTAAAATCTCATTACTTTTAATAAAGTAGACTAAAATGAAGTTCTAGTATTTTCTTCATAACCACAGGGATAATCCTGAGAAACACACACACACCTTTCCCACTCTGAAGACCTTGGACTAGCAGTGTGGAGGGGGCTGAGGAAGGGTCTCTGTGGTAACACCTTGGTTGAGTCATTATCTTCAGGGTTTGGCCATTTGCTTCCCGGCTGCAGAAAGTCAGTTTATGTGAATTAAACCAGGAATACTTGGCATTTTTGTGCAGATTTACAATATGGAAACTCATATATATATAAATATATGTGTGTATATATATGTGTGTGTGTGTGTGTGTATATATGTGTGTGTATATATATATATTCATATTTTATATATATATGAATGCAAATTTGGTGAGCCCAAAGAGAGCTTATTCTTTTCTAGGGATCATAATGCTGTCATCTCAAAAACTCTGGTCAGAGACCTTGCTGCTTGGTGAGCATAACCAGGGAACTAACTTGGGTTTGGGAAAACCTCCACTGAATACTCGGTCATTAGAAAAGGGAAGACTTCTCCAGGGACTGCTGTCTTATACACCAGCTCTGTCTTCTCAGGGTCGGGGCTGCAAGGGCTCTGACAACTTTTATTATTGTTGTTGTTTGTTCTCTCAATTCTTTTATTTGTCTGTAGCTTGTTCAATTGAATCTTCTTTGTCTAAATTATAGATTGCATTTTTGAGTGGTTTCTGGGTACCAGACACTGTTTGAAAAATTTTGCATGCATCTATTCATCTCTATCACAACTCTGTAAGATAGAAAATATTACTTTCCACTCCAACAATGAGGAAGTCAGCACGGAGGGGATCGATAATCTCTGTGAAGTGCCAGGGCTGAGAATGGAACCCAAGATGCCTGTCCACAGTCTGCCCCTGAACCCCACCCTACTCCTTGTGTGGGGGCTGATAAGGAAGTAAAGGTCAGGCAACTTCCCCTGAGTGTAATGTGGAAGACACCCCACTCCGTACATTAAGATGTTGCTTTTATCTTTCAAATTATTGGATTGATGGGGCTGCAGAATGTCTCCAGGTCTTTCCCATGACTTCCTCACAGCCTTCAATGATCTCTTAGACCCTGGACCCCTGCAGCCTTTGAGCCTCAATCACACCATCCTAGAGGAATTATTTCACATAGCGACCTCATGTGATTTCACCTGACTTCTCTGAGCACTATATTTAAGCAATTGAGACTTCCATATTTTTCTGTCTACACAATGGCCAGCACAGAACGGCTGTTGGTACATCATATGCATACTGGCTGATGGACTGATGGATAATCTGTAAATGTAACCATCCTTACCATTTCCAAAAAGTCAGCCATGGAAGGAATTTTTCTATGAAGCCAAAAAAACCATAGAATTCATTTGTTGACATTTTTCCAAAATATCACCTTGTATTATGCAAGCTTTTGGAGGTCACTGGGGGTTATTTGAATTATTTGTTTTACTTTCAAATTACTCCACAGCCTACAGGGATCATTTTCCATAATGGAAACCATTTGCTTGCAGTCACACCTACCCAAGTAGATGAACCACATCATTAACCACTGGCACCTTTATTACACCACACTCAGGTGCGTGAAAAGGTGTCTTCATGCTTTATTTTTTAAACAAGAGAAAGCTGATTTGTGCCAAATACCGTTTCTTAACCAAGAAAGCCTGCAGGGCTGAGGAGGGGAGATAAGTCTTGCTTCCCTGCACTGAGGCCCACTAATTAAGACTACAGAATCACTTACCAGCCATTTGTATCCCAAAGCCGGCTTTACTTTTTAATATTTGTCTTTTGCACTTCTATAAACACCCCAGGGATGAATTGCCTCACCTGAGACAAAGGCAGAAGCCAAGCATTTTCAGAAATTAAGCTCTTAATAACATGTCATTATGGTTATCTGTGGCTTCTGGATGTGCACTCCTTCTCCTGGACGAAACACTGGACGATTAATTGGATGTTGGACATTAGCAACAAGAAAGGAGAAGAGCTGACGTGAATCTCATTGCACCTCCTTTGTCTTCCAAGTTCCAGTCCAGCAGCTGTGGGCTGCAGAAAGGACACAGAATGTGGACCCAGGGATTTCTGCTTGAGCCTGATATTCAGCCACTTACAGCTGCGTGATCTTAAGCCTCATGGGTTCTTATTTTCCACCCATAGGGTTGTTGTAAACATTAAACAAAATGATATTTGAGAATTGTGCTGCAATTTTCAAAGCAAGGTGTTATTGCTTACTATTTTCAGATATAGATATAGTCTTTGTAAGTAAGAGTGCTTCTGTATTATAACAGACAGTTTTCCCTGAACTACTCATATTCCATCTTGGAGACACTGATGTGCCTCTAGAGTCAGCACTGGGCTCTGAGGACTCACCTCGGGAACCACGTGCTATTTATCCCCATTGTTTTCTCTGAGCTGCTCCCTGGATTTTAGGGAACTTAGGCAGAACTCTTAGCTTCCAAAGTTCAGATTTACCTCTTGAACACTGAGTCCCCAATTTCTAGAGTCACTATATAATTATTGTCCAAAACTGTACACGTTTCCTAGCAAAAGGAATGCAATTACTAACAAGGCTGGGGCAGCAGGTGTAATTGAAGCATTTGTTACCCTCTTAAGAAGGAGCTATTGGCGTTGTCAGAGAAAAGGAAGATGTTTGTGGTCTGTTGTCTCTAGTTAAAAGTTACTAAGTGAGCCTGGGAAAGTGTGCAATATTTTACTCTCTTGGCCATTTCTTCTTGCCCTGGATAGTATTTACCTTTCAATATCTGACTCTTGTGAAAAACCCAGTCATGGTAAATTTTAGAGGAGGGGCTCTGGGGCATGGCAGAGAATAATCCAAGGGCCTTGGCATCATCCCACAGAGAAAGCGGCTCACTTCTGATCCTCCTCTTGCTCATGCTTGTGCCCTATCACATATCCAAGGTCACCAGGGTGCTAGCAGATTTTTAAAAATGTGTAACATATTTTGACTTGATCTCTGGCTTCTGGAACTATGTGGATTGTGGAGAGATGAACAGAAAATCGGGATTTTCCCCAACACATGGGTTGTTTTCCCAAAAATCTAATGTATTGAGCTTTCTACATTCAAAAGAGGTCTACCCTCTTATCATGTCTATATGGATTCTTCTGTCTTTTCCTTTTTGGTTAAATTAAACCATTAAAGAGCAGGGAGAGGTCAGAGGACAAAATATTATGAGGAGTACTCATTTCCACTTACTTGTTTTGCCAGTAGATCTACACACTCTACACACAGGACTCTAAAAGTGAATACTCCTTAATAAACTCTCTTTCATATATACATCTATCCTATTAGTCCTGTCCCTCTAGAGAACCTTCACTAATACATCACCCAGGCCTTTTATCAAACTGAATTCTAGTTTTGTATGAGATGTCAGTAGGTGTCCAATTTCACCTTCTTCCAGAAGAACACCTGTCGTGCCAGTGCTGTTTCTTGTGATCTCCTGTTTTCCCACTGAGTTGCATTTTGTCACTTAATCATCTTTATCTACAGCACTGATGTCTGGATTCCTCACAGGGTTCCAATCCACCAGTAACATGCTGATTAGTTACAACAGCTCTGTAATTGTAACTGGTAATTAGTAAAATATAACTGCTTTCACTGATACATGTGTATTTATACAATCTTCTTAACTATCCTCATGCATACATTTTCCCATATAAACTTAGTAGTCATTTTATCCAATTCAAATAAAATACCTCATTGAAATTTCTCAAAGAACTTAGAACTACCATTCAACCCAGCAATCCCATTACTGGGTATGTACCCAAAGGAAAACAAATTGTTCTACCAAAAAGACTCATACACTCATGTTAATTGCAGCACAATTCACAATAGCAAAGACATGGAATCAACCTAGATGCTCATCAATGGTGAACTGGATTACAAAAAATGTGGTACATATATACCATGGAATACTACACCATGGAATACTACAAAGGACATGAAATTATGTCCTTTGCAACAACGTGGATGCAGCTGGAGGCCATTATCCTAAGCAAATTAACACAGGAACAGAAAACCAAATACCACATGTTCTCACTTATAAGTAGGAGCTAAACATTGGGTACTCATGGACAGAAAGATGTCAAAAATAGACACTGGGGTCTACTAGAGAGGAGAGGGAGAAAGGGAGCCAGGGTTTAAAAAGTACCCATTGGGTACTATGCTCAGTACCTGCGTGATGGGATTTGTACCCCAACCTCAGCATCACCCAATACACCCATGTAACAAACCTGCACATGTACCCTCTGAATCTAAAATAAAAGTTGGAATTATAAAGATATATATATTAAAACATTAAAATGGACTATTAACATCTTTATAGATAAATAAAACAAATACCTCATTGAGATACCAATTAGAATGACATGGTTTGCACACTATTTTGGAGAACATGTGGTATGACTACTGTGATATTAGATCTTCTTTTACGTCTCTCCATCAGCTTTGTTCTTGTCCACCTCCTATAATAAGAGTTTGTTTATAGATTCTACAGCTTATTCAGTGATATAGGCTCTAGTTCTCATTACACATATTTCTAATTATTTCATGCATTGGTCTCCATTGTAGTGAAATACTTTTTTGATTTTATTTCTAATTACTTGTTGCTGGCATAGAGCAAAACTAAACATTTCTGTATAAATTATTGTCTCCAACAACTTTGTCAGATTTTTAAATTAATTTTTTGAACAAGACTCTTTTGAGTTGTCTCCTTAATCTTACCATTAGCAAAGAAAGAATAAATGATGCTCTTCTCTTGTGATGCTTGCTCTAGAGCAGCATTGCTTCAGTCTGTTGTATGCACTCAAGTTGTATCTGGTATCTCAGTTGAAGAAATTTCAGGCCACAGAAGAAAGTTTATCTTTAAAAAATTATAGCTCTCAAAGCAGTGCAGGATTTCACTATCCCATCAGTTTCAGTTTAGATTCTTTCTAAAGAAGACCCTGAGATGAGGAGGCAAATTCAAATAGTTTATTTGGGAGGTGATAGAAGCACTGGGTGGGAAGTGGGGAGGAGAGAAAGGGACAGGAAAAAGGCAGTGGAGGAGGAATTATGATGCAGCCACACTGGGGGTGGGGGTGGAAAGTGCTGGGTTTCCCCTCACTGGGGAACTCTGGAAGCCAGAGCAGAACATCGTTCTCAGCATTTGCCCTCCTGAGGGATGAAGGGGCTGGGGTATGTATGCACTAACTTTGTCAGGAATTATTTGGGGCTGTCCCCAGGAGGACAAACTCAGAAGTTCTGAGAAATTCGGAAGAGGGGAACATATGCAGTAGGCAGTATGAGTAACTGCACAATCTCATGCATGTAAAGTTACTGCTGTCTGTGGCTGTCAAACCCCTGAACTAGTGCTGTTGAAAAAGAAGAGTCCATGTAAAATTCTAGAATAAAACAGCGAGAAAGACCAACTGATTTGTGAAGCTTCTTGGATTTACAAATAAACAAAATCACAGAGAAGGAAAAACACTTACTTCAACCCATTTGTAAAAGATGGGCTGTGCCACAGAAGTTCCGGAGAGAAGTTGAGTTTGAAGCCTGTTAGCTATGCTTTCGTGAGAGCTGGCGCAAAGACACCCAGGTACCGCACGTCCACACCATCAGCTCAGGGAGTTTCTCCCAAGGGATGCCAGGCCCTGGCTCAGATGGGAGAACATTTCAGATCCAAAAGACTGTTTCTCAAACCAGATTATACTGTAATTCAACACGATGTCCTAGGTCTTTACCACAATTTCTGCAAAGAGGGAAAAAAGGATAGGTCTTCCTGTGGCTGAGAGGAGCTGCTCAGGCTAAGGGGAGGCAGATGCGAAGCACACCAGCACTACATTACCCTGTGGAGCTGGGTTTTGTAAACTTGACAGGACTTGCTTAAAATTAAGTGCTGTGGAATCTCTGCTGCTTCAGCATGTTTTTTTCCCCTTAGAAAGGATTGTGTTTAAGGGAGCTCCTGATATAAAGAAAAAAATAAGTGCTTTATAAAGTCAGTAAAAGAAAATAATTGCAGCAACTCTCAGCTAGGTTTTCTAATTCGCTGTTGCTGAGGGAGAGCCCTCCAGAGATGTGCATGTGCCTCTCGGAGGAAGACTGCTGAAAATGTAAAGGTGCAGCCCTAGAAATTAACAGCACCTTAGGTCTGACGTTGGACAGCGGTGACTCTGAGTAGATAAGCTCCCCACAGGGGATGCTGGTTTACCTCCCAGGAAGGTCCTTGCTAAGCCATTGAAAGTTATGCACATATCCACACAGTGACAAAGTGACTTTCTGGACAGAAAGTGAAAGATGCAGTTAGAGGATGGATATTTCCATTAACTCCTCCAAATTCATGGCTGACTTTTCTTTCACTGCCTCTGAGGGGCATTTTTATATCACAAACACAAGGAATTACTGCTAGTATCTCAGGCATGTCTGGGAAAAATTAACTCAAGTTTACAGCATCTCTAGATCAAAATAGGAACACACCAGAAGATTAACTGGGTTTTGGGCCAAGAGAATCTAAATATTTAGGTATATTCCAGAACTCTTGCAGGAAACATGCCTCCACCCTTTGCTCCAGGAAGGGCAGGTGCATAAACACTCCATGAGTTTGGCCGAAGAGCATATACTACTGAGCGCTTTCAAAGTGGAAATGGTGGCAGCCCAGAATTTCCACTGAGGGCCCTGGGTGAGGCTACATGGGTGAAAAAGAGAACGGGGTTTGAGAATTGCCCGCAGCTGCTGCTTGCAGAGCACATGTGTTTTCTGTGTGATGATGGGTGGATGTAAACTCATGCAGAAGGGAGTTAATGGAGATAGAGGGGATAAAGCTCTCTTTTCCAGGCCATACCCAGAGACCCTTGGAATCTGCAAATAGGAACTGGGTAAGGGGTGCAGGAGCAATCAGTCAAGAAGGTTTTGTAGCACCTCTGAGTTTCTGCCTGTGAATGAGGCCCTCTCCATGCTGACTATAAGAGCGGCCCTAAGAATTCCTGATCAGTATGGGGAGAAGAAAGATGGTCCCTCAGGCCCCAGAAATACAGACATAGCTGGCTTTACACATTCATCAGTCTTAACTTTGTCTCTTCCCCCGGGGGACACTTATTTAGTCAGAACTCAGCTCGAAGACCTCATTTCTGTGAAAAGCCTCCATTCCACCAAGAAGTGTGGGCCCCTGTAACTTGTGTGTGCTCTGATGCCACCTGCAATGATCTATGGACCCCTGATATATGTCCTTCTCCAGAATCTGCAACACACACTCTGATTTGTTCATCTTCATACCTAGGGCACCAAGTACAATGACTGGCATGCAGTAGAAGATTACTATATATTTATTCAATTACATGGTAGCAACAGAAGGGAGAGGCCAGCCCTTAAATAGAGGATTCTGAGTACAAGTTTTCAGTCAGTAAGCAGTGAGGATCTATAGATAGAAGACTGGGGATGCATACTGCACTGCAAGACAATTTCCACACCTCTGACTCTTCATAACTACATCCACTTTTCAACATGAAACCCTGCTAAACCTTTCCTACACTACACTCTTCTGGACCTCTCTGTGTTTTCCTCCTGATCCCCTCACACAGAACTCAGGTCCTAGTGTGGTGCCCACTGTATGGACTATAATATAATGCTCCATCTCAAGCTTCAGGAGCACTAAATCTAAGTACATCTCTGCTATTGTTTTCTTTTTCCCATATGTATTTTTTTAAATTAAAGATACTATTAGATAAATTACGTATTATTTAGTCTTCATGTAAACCCAAGAATATACCCTGGTTTCTTCAGAACTGCCTGGTTTTGCTAAGTAAATATCGCTGGAAGGTAGAATGGACCAGGAAGAGATGAGCAGGTTCCTGTTTGTGCCCTGGACATGCAGGCCCGAGCATTTCCATAAGCCTGATGCTGGGCTTACATTATAAGATGATGGGTTACAGGGAGGAGAGCACAGGAGGTGAAACAAAACTATTCCATTTCCAGATCTGTCTTTACCACTATCTAGCCTTGTTCACACAGAATAAAACACTTAATCTTTGGCTTCAAAATATGGGATTAAAAAGTACTTAAAAAGTAGGGATTAGAGTAGCTGCTTTCCAAAGTAACCTGTTCTAAAATAATCCTAGGGTCTTATTTATTTAAGGCTAAGCAAATTAGCTGATCTGAGGGCAGGCTTCATGCCTGCAGGAATCTTGGAATCAAACTGCACTGAAGCTCCAATGACCCCCCTCCTGAGACAGTCACCAGACAGGTTTCTCAGGGCCCTGCTGTGGTAATATTTCTGCTCATATTGCTGGCCTTTGGAGCTCAAATGTAGGAGTCCTGGTCTGGCCAGGATTTTTCCAGTTTTAGCACTGCAAGCCCTGCATCCCAGGAAGCCCCAGAGTCCCAAATAAACTAGGATGATTGTGCCCTTCCATCAGATTACAGGATCAAATCTTTTCCCATTTTGGGAAGCAAGCCTGCCCCTAGATTGCACAGCATGAGAAGCCTCTAGAAGCACCAGTACTTCACACCATTCTTAACTCATTCCCCACTCAGCTGATTGGTGGGCTAGACTGGGAGACTCTGCTAAACCTCTCTTGGTTTCCTGACCTCACAAAACCTCACAGTCTTTTTTCCCTGTGTGGCATTGGACTCGATTAGTCCTTCATTTCTACTTTCAGTCATATGTAGTTGACATCTCCAGTGAGGTCTAAATTTGAGCTAACAGCCTCAGCTGTGCTTTTGACCAGGGGTCAGCAGCTCATTCTATAAAGGGACACAGAGAACAAATGCCAGGCTCTGCTGGACACATGATCCCAGGGCTTACCAGAATATGTAGAATGCTGTTTTCATTGCCTAGTTGTTCAAAGCCAAGTGGGGAGAGAGCCCCAACTGCTGCTCTTTGTAGGACCTAAAGCTGCTCACCGTGAGCTTCAAGGTAGCCCATTATCTATCTCTAATACAAAGCCAGGAATCTGTGGTATATTAGGTAGATGAAAGATGTCGATTTGGATTCAACTTCAGAAGGAAAGCCCTATAGCTTGTTGACAGTGAAGCTCATTTGCTCAGGCAGCAAGGTGGCAGGAGGTCTGTCCTGGGAATTCCAGGTGGCACTGTGTCTGCCCTGAGAGGGATCCAGGCAATGAGGAAGGAAAGCAGAGATGCAGTGAGAAGTGGAGGTCAGAGGTAAAGGGTGAGGGGCCCCCTGTGGAATCCGGGTTTTGGGGTTTGTGGAATCCAGGCTTAAGACCAGGCACTCTGCGTCCTTCCTGGGGACTGGTTATGAGTTAATAAATCTCTGCTTTGACTGGCTTACTAGTTTCTTGTCAAACAAGAGCAAGAAAAGCCCTGCTTCTAGTAATCATCTTCTCTTAGGCACTGTTCACTGCCATCTGTCCCTTGCATCTGGGCTGGGTCTGGTCTGAGCACCCCAGACCCCTCAGCACCTCACAGGGTCCACTGTCCTCCAGCCTGTGAGCCCCATCGCTCAGGCCCCTCCTTGCCTAATTCCATCCACATTTCTCCTCTGTAGTTCCTGAGGCTCCTGAATAATCACAATGACTAGCAGAGACTTGGAAAAAACCCAGTTTCTCAAATAAGTAAAGATCAATATAAAGTGACAATGTTCTTGTCTTTGGATTTATACAGACTTGATTTCTGCCTCCTGCCATTTCTCATGCCCCCTCTGTGCTGTCTATCTAAGACTGTATGTAGCTTTTCATGTCCCTCTATGGAGGTCAAGGAGTCCTGGTTTTGTCATCTGATTTTCTTTGTTTCTTTAGGTGGTTCAAGGCCACAGTGACCTGACCTATTCTCCCTCCTCTGTCTTCACACCACTCTCGTTCTCGTCAATGAACTGAATGAAAGCCGAGGAAGCTGGATCCTATTTTATAAATAACTATTGATTCTGTCACATCAATAACAGTAAATAACAGAAGCAAAAGTCTGAGATAGTTAGCAAAAGAGGAGGTCTTAGATGGTAAATTCCCTTAGCTTTCCATGTGGTGAGAATAAGCCCCACAGAGGGTAATGGTATTTAAGAGCAAAACCGCAACGATGATCACTGTGGGAACCTACCGCAAATATATTTTCTGCAGTGCACATACTCATGCCTGCTTTCTTAGTGGCCAGGCCTACACACTGTAAGAAGAGCTGTGAGTCAAGGCTATTCTGTCATTATCTACCATACAATAGACTCACTAGCACTTGGTCTATAAGACCAGAACATTCTCTGGTGGTTATTTCTTCACCACTGCATTTGGAAAATCTGCTATAAACTTTAAACTACAAGGGGCCATTCTTATTTTATCTCATATGATTTTATTCTCAACACTCCTTTCTGCTCTGACAGGAGACTTGGTGTAGATTAAAAGGATGCTTCCATCCTGTTGAAAATGTTGGTTGATGAGAGAAGGAGCCAAACGTGCTTGAAAATGGATCAAAAACAATACCTTTAGAAAAAGATGCTGTCATTTTCCCCCATTATATGCTTTGAGCTAACCTTTTTTTTTTTTTTTGAGATTGTGGGAATAACAGTATTTCCTTCTGTTCTTTCCACTTTCCTTTTTCCTTCTTTCATGAATATACGCCAGCATCTCCTCTTGTTTGATGGCTGTGAATATATCATCAAAATGATGGAGAAAAAGATGAAAGGAATGCCTGGTTTCATAGTCATGCGACTGCTGATATGCTCAGGGACAAGTTCTGGTTCAAACTAAAATGTGCCAATTAATTATCTTAGATAATTTTCAGGGCACATTTCCCCATGAGCGAGCTAATTATTCTGAAGACAGAGTAGCACGCCAGCCATTGCCAGAAAGTTCTGATGAAAATGAGCCAACTTCTCTCAGTCACTTAAGCTCCTGCAGGGCCAGTAGTGCAGCTGTGGGCCAGACGAACCCAGGGGTGCTGCTAGCTGGCACCACACATCTCGTGCCACATGTCTCCACACTAAGCCACAGGCCCAGCATGCTGCCCAGCGCTCCGTCACAATTCCCTAACTTGATGTGCTCCACAAGCAGCATTTGGCAAGTGCTGCCCATGCCCTGCTGTGTCTCTTGGGCAGTCACCCCCAGTGACCACCGCCGCACAGCTCCCTACAGGCTGAGGCCTCCTGCGTCTTTCTACCTGAAGGTGGGCCCTGGCCTCAAGAAAGGGTTTAATTCACACACGGTGTCAGCCTGAGATTCTGGGAGAGAATGTTCTGGAAGCAGCCCTCAATGATCATTGGCCAGGGGATGGAGAATGCACACTCCAGCATCCTCGCTCCTCAGAGATGAATCGGAGGCTTGTTCTGCACAGGCTCTTAGAGGGTCTGCAGGGACACTGAGCTGCCCACAGTGGTGACTCACCCAGGAATATAGCCTTCTACAGCCGCCTGCCCCTCCAGTCTCATTTCCTCACTCTGCCAAAGATGTTTTCTGGAATCACCTCCCAAATAAAATACTTGTACCCACATTTTTATCTAAGGGTCTGCTTTTGGGGAAACCCAAACGAAGACCCAGTTAAAGAAAATGAACTCATGATAATGACCAGCCTAAACTTCCCAGTGGCAACAACTGCATCGCCTCTGATTCTCAGAGCTAATGTTTGGTCATGAAAGGCTGAGATTTCAATGCAGGCTAGGCCTTATCACATTTTAATGCATACTTGGAAACTGCGTTAAAATAAAAATTTCTAATTTCTAATGAGCTTTCAGGCGATGCCAATGTTGCTGGCCCATGGACCACACTATGAACAGCAAAAAACTAGAGGGCTCCAAATCCTAATTTTGTTTCTGTTTGTTTTTTGTTTTTTGGAGATGGAGTCTTGCTCTGTCACCCAGGCTAGTGCAGTGGTACAATCTCGGCTCACTGCAAACTTTACCTCCTGGGTTCAAGCGATTCTCCTGTTTCAGCCTCCCGAGTACCTGAGATTACAGGTGCCCATCACCATGCCCAGCTAATTTTTGTATTTTCAATAAAGAAAGAGTTTCGCCATGTTGGCCAGGCTGGTCTCGAACTCCTAACCTCAGGTGATCTGCCCGCCTCGGCCTCCCAAAGTGCTGGGGTTACAGGCATGAGCCTCTGCGCCTGGCCCAAATCCAACCTTTTATTCAGAATGACACGTGATTTCTCTGACATGAAGAGTCCTTCAGCCCTGCATCTGGGCTCAGGTGTCACTATCAAAAAGAAGCTTCTTAGAATATACTGGAGTGACCCGGGTTTGAGGTCTTGTTATTTTAAGTTTCAAAGACGAGAAACAATCAGGCTCCCTTATGCAATGGGGTTATTCCAAAGACTCAGTAGAATCTTCAGAAATGTGAAAACTCTCCTGTGAGGCTTGCCTATCTTGTTTTCTCTCTTACTCCCTATTTTGGTTCCTTTCCCATGGCTGATAAGGTGGATGTAGCAGTTGGCCATTGTCGTTTTAGGGCATTCCTACTGGCCATCTTTGGCCCGATTGCAGACCTCTGGTCCAATTAATCTTGACCAGTGGCTACAGTACCTTGGGTTGTTGTTACTATAGTTCCTTTAATCTAGGACTGACTTACTGCCATTTCTTCTTTTCTGTGATAGTGCAAGCTTTTTAGATAGACAGAGCTTGATGTCATGTAGAGTATCTGACATCAGATTTATCTTATTATTTCCTGTGGTGTCATTTAACTTATTCCCCTGACCCTGTATTTCCTGTATACTAGAAGTTGGTCTAATGGCTTGATCGGACTCAGTCTGAATGTTTTTGGCAAGAACAATTCATGGGTAACACTATCTCTTTAATTCTGCATCCCATAATTGCTGACATCAGGTTTCACCGATTGGCTCATGGAGGGCCAGCCTGATCTCTCCACTGTAAAATTAACTTTTCTCTTGAAATTAACAAGTAATCTGTGGGGCTTTCCCATGACCTGTAGCCTAACAGATTTAGTGTCCATTGGTGATCCTTGCTGGAATCAATCCATCACCGAGGGCTACAGAAAGGTCATTTTCCAATTCTGTCATTTCTTTCAGCGGGCGTTTTTCTAGGAAGAAGAGTTTGTCTTTGTCAACTGAGGGTGACTAAATTATTTATAAACAGGCATGACAAAAGATTAATTATTTCCTTTAATAATCAATGTTTAGGAAAAGAAATTGGTCAGTCACCTCCACTGAGGGTAAAGGCGTAGTCCTCTGTCTCTCAGTTCCCTCCTATTTCCACTAAGGGCACGTACAGTCTTATTCATTCAATATTTTGAAATCAATTACAGTGATTTTTCTTGATGTCTAAATTGTCCCACATGTGCCTGGTGGGAACCTCTTTGGATTCTGGCCTGTGTGTTTTTGGTGTGTGTTGGTTTGTCTTTTGTTCATCCTCTGGCACCTACATAGAACATCTGGGTTCCCCTTGCATGTTCCCTGCCCCAGACTTGGAGTCAGCCATATCCAGAGTGGTACCAAGCACTCATCACAATCTGCTGGTTCTGCACTGGGTACCCGCTGCCACCAGTGACAGTGCTGTAGGGCCTTTTAATTTTTCCAATTAAAACCTTATATTATAGGAGTTTTTGAACTTTTATAGTTGTGCATGATTTCTCTTTCATCTAAGAACTGGATTAATAACATTAGTTTATTTGTTTCCATACAATATACATAAAATAGCTTGAACATTTCTATATCAGTATTGCTACTAATGAAAATTAGTGATTAAAGATAATTTTTTCATTGCAGTTCTTCTTGTCAATAGAACGTATTCCCTAAAGATACATAGAGGGCTATGTTTAAATTCGTTTGAAGTAAATGTTTTCTCTGTGTGGTGATGCTTCGCGTTTGATACATGCTTAGGCTTATTTGTTTTCACTTTTAGAATTTATTTTTTCTTTTCTATTTTGTTTTTATTGTTTTTACTATGTAAGATTTTGCATGGCTCAAGTGTTAAGACTTTATAAACATAAAGTCTTAACTTAAACTTAACTTAAACTTAAACTTTATAAACATAAAGTCTTAACTTAAACTTAACTTGCCCTGGGAAGCCCAGCTTTATCTCTCTTCCCTTTACTCGGCCCCTTTGCCTACGGATGACGATTTTTGATAGCATTTGATTTACCCTTTCAGTGTTTATTTCTGAAGTAAAACAAAACAAAACAAAATTATACATCTACACATAGAAACCTATGTATTTACGGTGTTCTTTTAAATTTTAAACAAATTGTGGCATCCTACATGCCCTGCCCTGCACCTGGTTTTCTTTGTTTTTCCACTTTACAATAAAACCTGAAAGTCACCCTTATTCCACATGCTGTGCATGGAAGCTGTCTGCCTCCATTTTTAAAAAGAGCTTCATGGTGATCCAGTGTTTGCTACACTGTAGTTTATTTAGGTACTCTTCTACAGATGGGCATTCGGATTGCATTGTTTCCAATATTTTCGTGATATAAATGATACCACACTGAATAAGTAGCATGTTGTTTCACATTTGAGCAGGTGCACCTTTAAAGTCTTAGACATGGGTTTGCTGAGTCAAAGGTATCAATGTCAGATATTTTCAAATTCTCCTCCACAGTGTTATATTGTTCTGCCTTTTCCCCATAAGTCACTGCAAGATTTGTTGTAATTTATCTTGTAATGTGATGGGTAAGAAATGGCGCCTCAGGGCTGCTAGATTTTGTTTGCTAACATGTTTAGAATGTTTGTATCCATATCCATAGGTGATATTTGTTTGTATCTTCCTTTTTCATACAAAATTACATTTGATCCATACAAAATAATTTGGAATATTTTCTTCTTTGTCTATGCTCCAGAACAATTCAAGTAACATAAAATTATCTTGTTCTTGAAGTTTTGTTATCTACCATTATTTACCCATATTAACCATTTGGGCTGAGGCTTTGTGAGTGTTTTTGGGGGGGATGCAGGGTACAAGCTCACTGAAGGTCTTCTCTATTTTATCCATGAAGAGAAGTTTTTCTCTTTTAGATTTCATATCATTACTGTGATCAGTTGGTAAATAATATTTACCAGTAGGAAATTACTTATTTCATCAGGTTTCCATTTTTTTCTGTGTGTGTAGAGCTAAGTAAATTAGTATCCTTTGATTGTTGTATTTTTTCTCTCTTTTAACAGTTATTTTCCAATCATCATTTCTTCTAAGGTGTACTTGTGCTTTCCCCCAAGTTAGTGAATGTATTCTCTGTATTATGAGAAACAGAATCAAAGCAATATCTTTTAAACTTACATGTTGGGTCTACTGTCTTTTTTTCTAATTCATTAAATTCTGATTTTAATACAGTTGCTCTGAAGTCTATTATGTTTGGTTTTAATACAGTCACTCCTGCTTTTCTTTGATTACTGTTTGCATGATATATCGTTTTCCATCCTGCTACTTTCAACTTGTATAATTGATGCTGTCATCAAGTTGAGAATGTTCTCCTCTATTCTTAATATTTTAGGAAAATTTTTATCATAGATGGCTGTTCAATTTTGTCAAATGCTTTTTCTACATTGAATGATGTGATCACGTATGGTTTCTTGTTTAGCCTGTTGATTTGGTGGTTTACATTAATTGTTTTTTTAATACTTAAACCAGATTATATCCCTGGAATACAGCTCATTTTGTCATGGTGTTTACTTCTTTTTATATATTTGCTATTATCTTGTTAAAGATGTTTCTATTTTCACAAGAGATATTGGTCTTGGTTTTCTTTCTCTTTACTGTTTTTGTCTGGTTTTGCTATTTGGTTCATTCTAGCTTCATAAGATGAAAAGAGAACTATGCTATCTTTTCTTATCGTTATGGGGCTATGTAAATTATCTATGGTTTGGCTGTGGTAGTTTATGTGTTTTGAGGAACTGTTCATCTGAGTTGTCAAATTATGAATACAGAGTTGCTTTTAGTACTGCCGTATTCTCCTCTTGCTACCTCAAAAGTCTGCAATAGTATCTCCTATTTCATTCCTGAGGTTGGTAATCTGAGTCTTCTCTCTTATGTCTTTGACAGTTTTGCTATAGGTTTGTCAGTTTTGTTGATCTTTTCAATCAATGACGTTTAGTAAAGTTTGTTTTGTGGCCTAGGACATGGTCTATCTTGGCATATGTTGTTTGAATACTTGAAAAGATGGATACTCTGCTGTCGGGTGGAGTGGTCCATAATATTGACTTGAACCTGCTGATTGATGGTGTTGTTGAATTCTTCTGTACCCTTGCTGATTTTTTTTTGTTCTATTAGTAGTAGTATCATACTTTGAGGTTTTAGATTTAAGTCTTTTGATTTTTTATTTGATTTTTGTATATGGTGAGGGTTAGGAGTCTAGTTTCATTCTTCATAAAAATATCCAGTTTTCCCTGCACCATTTATTGAAAGACTGTCCTTCCCCCAATGTATGTTCTTGTCACCTTTGTCAAAAATGAGTTCACCATAGATGTATGGATTTATTTCTGGGTTATCTATTATGTTCCATTGGTTTATGTGTCTGTTTTTATGCCAGTATCATGCTGTTTTGGTTACCATAGCCCTGTAGTATAATTTGAAGCCCGGTAATGTTATTCCTCCAGTTTTATTATTATTTTTGTTCAGGATAGCTTTGGCTATTCTGAGTCTTTTGTGGTTCTATTTCTGTGAAGAATGTCATTTTGATAGGTATTGCATTGAATTTTAGATACTATGGATATTTTAACTCTACTTTCTTCCAATCCATGAATATGAAATATTTTTCCATTTTTTGGTGTCCTCTTCAAATCCTTTAATCAATGTTTTATAGTTTTTATTGTAGAGATCTTTCACTTCTTTGGTTAAGTTAATTTCTAGGTATTTTATTTTATTTGTAGCTATTGTAGTTTTTTGTTTAAACATTTATTCCTGATTTCTGGTCAGTTGAACGTTTTTTAGAATCCCATTTTTATTTATTTAGAGTGATTTTCAGTGTAGCTCTTTGTGTAGCTTTTTGAACATTGTTTAGTGTTTGCTGTAGGTATGACACTATATATATATGTATATGTGTATATATGTATGTATATATTCTAATGTCATCATTTTATCAATTCCTATAAAAGTAACCATCCTGTATATTCCTTTACCTTTCCCAGTTTATAATATAATTGTTTTAAATATTTACCCTACATAGAGCCACATTAGACAAAGTTATAATTTTTAATTTAGGCATCAAACATAATTTAGAAGACACAAGAAGGGTAGGAAAGACTCTTGTATCTACCCATATTTTTGCTTCCCATGTTATTTCTTTCTTCTTGATGTTCTAAGATTCCTCCTTTTTTCATTTTTGTTCCGTTTAGTGAACTCCTGTGAATCATTCTTTTAGGGTAGATCTGTTGGTGACAAATTCTCTTAAGTCTTCTTTCATCTGGGAATGTCTTTATATCTTCTGAAGGATATTGTTGTCAGCTATAGGATATTGGGATGACAGTTGTTTTATTTCAACACTTGAAAAAAAAAGTTCTACTTTCTTCTGGTCTTCATGGTTTTAATGAGAATTCCACTGTCATTTGAATTACTTTTTCCCTACTTTCATTGTGTCATTTTCCTCTTATTTACTTTCAAGATTTCTCCTTGGCCTACAGTTTTCAGAATTTTGACTACTTTGATGACATTACCCTGATGTGGATTTGGGGAGGCTTTCCTGTTTCAGGTTTGCTCAGCTTCTTCAATCTGTAGGTTTATGTGTTTTACCAAATGTGAGAAGTTTTCAGCCATTATTTCTTTAGGTAGTTTTTTTTAGGCCCACCCTCTCTTTCTCCTCTCATTCTAGGACTCTGATGACTTGAATGTTAGAACTTTTGCTTTAGCCCACAGGTCTATGAGGCTCTGTTTAATTTTTGCTTTTAGTCTATTCCCTCTCTATTGTTCACATTGGGTAATTTCTATTTTTCTATCTTCCAGATCACTGATGCTTACCTCTGCCACATCCATTACTCTGTTGTTACCATCCGCTGAGTTTTTAAATTTCGTTTATTATGTTTTTCCGTTCTAAAATTTTTACATGATTCTTTTTCATAGCTTCTTTTTCTTTAGTGAGACTGCTAAAATTTTCTATTTTTTAAAATTTGTTGTGAGCACGTTCACAATAGCTTATGAAAGCATTTTCACTGTGGCTGTTTTAAAATCTCTGTAAGTTGGTTCAAACAGCTGTCATCTTGGCATTGGCATCTATTGATTCCAATTTTTCATTTAGTTTGATGTCAGCCTGGTTCTTTGTGTGATGAGTGGATTTTGACTGAAACCTATACCTTTTGAGTATTATATTGTATGACTCTGGATCTTATTTAAGTTTTCTGTCTTAGCTGACCTCTTCTGGCACCTTTTCTGCAGGGGAAATGAAGGGGCTGCCTCCTCAGTGCTGGGTCGGAGAATCCAGATTGCCCACGTGGGCTCAGTTGAACTCTGGAGATGGGGGCATCTGTTCCTGCTGGGCTGGGCAGCAGTTGGCTTCTCCCCATGCTCCACCCCACCCATCCCCACCTCCACTGATGTCCCTGATGCCTCCCTTGGTGGGGCAGGCTGGAAGGCCTCATTATGCTCCCCACACAGCCTCCAGTGACACTGCCGGGAGAAGAGCCTCCTTACTACTGCACATTGGTGAAAGCTGGCTCTGCACTAGGCCTGCTCAGCCGCCACCCCAGCAGGGAGAGGGACATGTGCCTGGTGACAGCACAGTAAAGGTGGAGGTCTAGGCCCCCAACCTGGCCCTGCTTTCTGTGGTGATGAGTGGAGTGAAGCAGCTATTGCCTACAGGTGTTCTGTCTTGCTGGGCTGCCCATTCACTAGTCTTTTGGCCAGAGGGAATAGGTTTTTGCTGTGACTTTGTTGTCTTTACCTGGTGGCATTTTTGGGTTGCAACTTTTCAGCTTCACATCTGGGATACAGGAGGAAAAAGGAAAACCCAGGAAGCTGACCTTCATGTCATTCTTTGGGTCCTAATGTTCCTAGCCAGTCTTCTTTCTTCTCCTTATCTTTTGTAGTCTGCTTATAGTCTTTATTTATAATTTCCAGGGTCTTTAATTGTACAGAGGGGGAAGATCAGGGAAAAGTATGTATTTTCCACATTCCTGGAAACAGAACCATTCTGATTATTTTAAAGGAGTAGAACAACCACATTTCTCAGCAGCTGTATCACCCTTGTCTATACTCTCGGTGTAGAGAGATGTAAGCAACCCCATCTCATGACTATAATCCACCCAGATGCCCATGAAGCCTCTCCGCACCTTCCTCTGGGATTATGTTCCTGTGAACTACTCTGAGTCACACCCAAGGGCCATCAGGTGCAGCTTTCACCTCAAATAGGAGCAGTTTTCCAATGGTTTGTTCAGGTTGAGGAAATCTTTATGAACTTTTTTGATTTGTATATTTGCTCCTGTTTTTATATACTTTCCAGAGATAGAGTGAGAGTGAGAGTAAGAGTGAAAGTGAGAACAAGTAGTGGGGGAAAGGAGGGCAGGGGAAGGAGGGAGAGTGTATTAATCTGTTCTCATGCTGTTGACAGAGACACTTCTGAGACTGGGTAATTTATGAAGGAAAGAGGTTTAATGGACTCACAGTTCCACCTGTCTGGGGAGGCCTCACAATCATGGCAGAAGGCAAGGAGGAGCAAAGTCATGTCTTACATGGATGGTGGCAGGCAAGAGAGGGCTTGTGCAAGGGAACTGCCATGTATAAGACCATCAGATCTCGTGAGACTTATTCACTACCATGAGAACAGTATGGGGAAACAAACCCATGATTCAATTTCCTCCACTTGGCCCCGCCCTTGACACATGGGGATTATTACAATTCAAGGTAAGATTTGTGTGGGGACACAGTCAAACTATATCAGAGAGGGAGAGGGAAAGAGGGAAACAGCAGATCACAGGAGCAGACTTGGTGGGGTGCAAAGCCATGAAGATGAGCCAGGACAAGACAATGAGACCCATTGTGAAGTGTCTGTCTGGGTATCACATTCTTGAGGTTAGGTCCCGATAACAAGATTCAGTTGTTTTCAGTGATTAGTGAAAGAGACACCGTGTCCCGGCTGTCACACTGTCATATTCTGCCATCCCATGCCCACTTGGTATCCTTGTGTTCTTTCAAGTATAGCTTTTGTTACAGCAAACAGGAGCAGTCATTTTTTTTTTAAATTAGCAACTGAGTGCTTCTCCCACATTCTCAGATGTTCAAGTTTAGATATTGGGAGCAGTGCTTGGTGACTTGACAGTCCCAGGGCTGGAGCACTGATGCACAGAGAGACAGACTGGAAATGTGCAAGAAACCTTGGCTTTGCTGTCAGAAACTTGCACATTTTATCATTTCTTAGTGTGTATCTTGAGCATAGGACTTGACCATAAAATGGGTCTCATGTTGTCACCCATAAAATGATTTGGGAATATCTATGAGGTTGAGAAGAAGTGCTAAGGGAGGCAAGAACTCTAGTGGAGGAATGGGAGCTAGGGGGCAGGAGGACAAGTGCCCTGATCTCGGGTAAGACCTTTCAGTCCCAGTCCTTCTGTTGCTTCTGGGGGTCCTCGTATCAACTTCTCTTTGTATATCTGGAGGTGGCCCCAAGACTCACTCCATCTCCAGGCCACATCCTTTGAGCCTACATGCCTTTTTCTGCTATATCTTCCCTCTGGATTTCTCTGTACTGGTTCCTGCATTGATCTCACTTGGAACTGAGTTCTGGTCCTAGGATGTTCTGGCTGAGGATAACCAGGGGCAGCCTCCTAGCCCTGTGGTCTTGGCACTGACCAGCTCCCTGCTTAAGACCCTGGCTTGCCCAGATCTGCTCCTCACCTTTGTCCACTTAAAATCACAAGACCTATAGATTTGGAAAGGAGAGCTTTATTTCTCATAAAGAGTTGCAGCCTGCAGGCTGGCCACCCTACAGATTGGGAAGCACATCCTCCAGCAGAAACAAAAGCAGGCACTTCGAAGACGGATGGGTGAGACAGGAAGTTATGCTCAACAGGCTGGCTAAGAAGACACATTGAACAGGTTATGGGAAGAACTATGGATATTCACATGCACATATGTAGTAAGCAAACATACATGTTATATAAATCCTGTGTTCACTTTGGAGTGGAGACTTAACACTTAAATGCATTACAGTTAGGCTCTACACATGAAATGGTGACATGGAGGACACAGAGGTGCCCTGTCTGCAGCCTCCATAGACCAGCCAGAGCCAGGTTGTGATTCGTGATCTCTTATGAGGAGGAAATGCTGATGGGCTGTTGTTCTGAAACTGCAAAAAGCGGAGGGGGTCTGGCTGCAGCATCAGGAGGTTTGTTGAAATAAGTGATGGAGCAAGTCTTTCTTTCAAAAACACTGGATTCTGTTTAACTCTTAAGAAATGAAGTCTAATGTAGTTAGTGAGGGAGGGGGTGTAATGAGGCATGTCCCACTTTCTGTCCTGTCATAGCTGGGAGTTGAGTTTTTAAGGCTTCTCTGGTCAAGAGGAGGTCCCCTTGGTCAAGAGGAGGACTTTTCAATTGGTTGGAGGGGCTTGGAATTTTATTTGTATTTCTCACCCTCAAACGGTTTAATCAGCCCTAGGGGTTTGACTATGACCCAAGATCCAAAAGGGTTTCAAACTAGTTAAGCCTGTTGCATTCACACTTAATTCACTTCAGGACACCTGCTGTCCTCATGCAGAGGAATGCCAATGGAATAATCTGCTTTAAATCCATAACTTTTCAATATCTGCAATATTTGAAGCTTTCACTTCCTAATACCCTGAATCCCTTGTGCCAAGTCTACTCTCATCTTCTGGTGACTCTGAAACATGCTACCCACACCGACATACCATGTATCACACACTGAATTGCCCCTGACATGCTGTGGGTAAAATTGCCCCCACCATGCTGTGGGTTGCCCCCGACATGCTGTGGGTAAATATCACAAGTTAAGAAATGAAATGGAAACTGAAGGGTTATCACGAAATACGCTGTAGGAATAAGCCTATTTGTGAGGAACTTTGCTGCGTATGCATGCAGAATTTTCTTTTCCTGTCTTCCACTTGACGATATGTAATCTATTTCTGTGCTTTTTCCTCTGAGACCTGTGTTTACATTACCACTTTTCCTCTCATTTGACCACCCCTGAACTGGAGCCTGCATCACTGATTCAGCATCTTCAATTGTTGCAAAACCTTGATATATACTACTTTTGTCCCTTTAAGAAGTCTGGGCCATTAGCATTACAATGAATGTCATCACCACCATGTGCTGGCATTTCCCACACTTTGCAGATATAAAGACTGAAGCTAGGGGAAAAGAGATGGTGAAGGTGTAAACTCAGGGGGAGTCCAGAGTTCTCCTAGGATGGATACTAGCCAACCAGAGCCTGATATCTGTCTCCTTAGGAACAAGGAAGGCTGGTAACGCTGGGAAATAAACCTGCTCAGTGATATTCCTGAAACTGTGGCACTGCTGTTCTCCTCTGAACCCCAGTAGGTATCAAAGTACTCTTCTTTTATCAACAATCTATAAGCCAAGGAACAGTTAGGAAAGAAAAGGGGAGAAGGTTGTCCCGTGATCTCACTAAAAGTTCTTGTTCCAAAACAGTTCAATCATATCCCTTGGAAACTCAGGTTTGACAAGACCACATTACCTCAGTGACCTGGGATCCACTATAGAACATAAAGCCTGGAGGTGTTAATAGCACCTTGCCTGGAAGAATCAGAAGATTTACAGCTCTAGGAAGTATTGGTTGTATCCATTATAAAGGAGTTTATTCAAACTGCGAAGTCTAAGGCACTACTCCCCACAAATTTGTCTTCCCTTCAGACACCAGCTGCAATTTTAGGGTCCCCAGGGACAGCATCACTTCATATCAGCTGGCTCGAATTTAGGGGTCACCACAAACTCCCTCGGGCTGGATAATTCACTAGAATGACTCACAGATCTCAGAAAAGTATACTTGCATTAAAATTTTATTATAGCATAAAGATACAAAATAGAACAAGCTAACAAAACAGACACAGGGAGAAGTCTGGGAGGGTTCCAAACATAAAGCTTCTGTCATCCTCAGGTGTGCGTTACCCTCCCATCATCAACGTGCAGCAATACACATAAAGTGTGGTTAACCAGGAGGCTCACCTGAGCTTCAGTCTCCAGAGTTTTTATAATAATGCATTATGTGTATGATTAATTAAATCATTAACAACATAACTGAACTAATTTTTCAGCCCCTCTCCCTTCCAGGAGCTCAAGCTAATCTTGCATAGCTCAAAGCCCCAACCATCTAATCACTCAAGTGGTCTTCCTGGATTAGCTAGCCTCCATACAGAATCCACTCATAGCATAAACTATCAGGTGTGGTCCCAGGGGGCCCACTATGAATAGCAAAGACTACTACCAGAATATTCCAAGGCTTTAGAGATTACTTCTCGGGAGCCCAGGAGTGGGTACTAAGATCAGACCTCACCTTAGTAAGATTAATTATTTACTACACAGCCGTGAACAGATAGTTTCATGAAGATCCTGAAATCCAGCCAGAATTGTTTTGGGGTTGAATCATATGGGAAATGTAAATGTTGATACCTTCTGCCTTCTCTAAGGTGAGGGTATATTGTTGTCCAAAAATTAAGCAGAAAAACTGAAGATGAAATCAGTTAACTATTTCTTGGTCATCTTTGAATATGTGTTTGTAAGCAGGATTATCCCCCAACTCAGACTAGTTAAAAATATTGAGTTTTCTCAGAGATCTGATTTTCATGTCACCAGTGCATATTGGTGACACTGACACGATGTCCAGCCCCACATTCTCTGGGCATTTCCATGGCATGTTTCCACTGTTTATTTTATTTAATATCCTCTGTAAGTAGGGAAAGCAGAAGCTGGTGGATAAAGGCTGAAATACTCTGTAGAACCTGAGTTCCCATGTGTGCTGAGGGAACACATTCATGCATGGGAGACGGAGTGGTGTGTATCAGACTTGGCCAGGCTGGACGTGAGGAGGCCACATGGATTGTCTTGAGAATCCCTCCTCTGAAGAAGGACTGAATTATACAGAGCTACATAAAAACTCCCTAAAACTCCAGATCTGATTATATTTTTAAAAATTATTTCCCTCAGGATCTTTCATTCACAGAATGATTTGAGCATTTAAAGTAATTGTCTCATCAGGGATAGACATCAGGCAAATAATTTTGGATGGCAGGAGTTGATTGGGGAAGAATGAATGTTTGAGAAGGATCATTTGTTGGAGTAAGAGAGAGCTGGGTAGAGATTTAATTTGATTTCCAAAAGGTATAATATTTGGAAATACTTTGTTGCTGTTATTTTTTAACCTCCACCCAGGCTGACAATGAGTTACAGGAGCTGCAATTCTGTGCCTTAAGGGTTCTATCCATGAGAAATTCATGGTATCCAGAAGTATCCTCAATCCTTACATGTACAAGCCTGGAAGTCAACAGAGTTAATTCACTGCAATCATCCCTACAGGTGACTCAGACATCCACTTTGTGTGTGTGCATGTGTGCCTGTGTTTGTGTGTGCATGTGTGCACGTGTGTGTGTGTGCCTGTGCATGTGCATGTATGCAGGCATGTGTGCATCTGTCTGTGCATGTGTGCACATGTGTGTGTGTCTGCGTGTGTGTGTGCACGTGTGTGTGTGTGTGCATGAGGGGACAAATGGATACAGGCAAGAAAACAGGACACTGAACTGTGGTGCTAGGGAATAGAATATGCTGCCTGACAAATGGAATGGAAACGAAAGAAAATACATGGAGTATTAGGTGTTTGTCATGCTAAGGATTCATGCTTGTTGGGTCCATTGCCCTCCTTTTGTACCTAATCTGAGTGATGGGAAAAGGGAGGTAAAACCGAAGCCAGCAGGAAGTCTCTGACACAGAGGTGAAGAAGTGGGTGGAAAGCGGAGCTTCGCCATGGGACAGCCTGGGTTGGAAGGGGTGTGGAGGAGAGTGACGAGGATAGAGCTGCAGGGTGGTGGTCATCCAGGATGTGAAAAAGTTTTAGTGGGGAGAATGTTGGGAGGATTTTAAAGTTTCCTGTAAATTAGGAATTTTCTTTCCCGCTTTGATTATTTTTTAAGAGATTGAATGCATGTTCCATTCATTTCTGCTGCATTTTCTTATGTTGCTGCCACTTCCTTGAATGAACTCATGAGAAGACAGGACTGCAGGGCTCCCAGGGCTCTCAGGGTTACAGTGGGATGGGGCTGGGGTCCTGAGGGGTGGAGTCTCTCTGTATGGCTGCATCTCTTATAATTTAAGAGGTTATTTCTATATGTATGGGTCTCTCCACATTTTATTTATTTCTGAAAAATCCAGAATAAATCCAGGGAATTGTGAGGCTGGACATGCCCCTTCAAAAAACCCTTTTCTCAGGAAACCCAGGATGCCCCAGGCGTTTATGACCAGCTCTTCTCCTCAGCCTGCTTTCTCTTTGAGGTCAAGTTCTTGATGTTAGAAAGTGACAGCTGAGGACTACAATTTCAATTTTGACTGGGAGGAAAAGGCCCAAGGCGGGTTCTCAGACTACTCTTCTTTTGCTGCTAGCAGAGGGGAGTGCTAGGGTCACACACAGTCCATAACCCGGCACCAGAGGCCTGGGTGGTGCAGTGGAGTGGCGGCTGGTTTCCTGATGTTCAGAACGTGGTCTCTGAACAGAGAGGATCCAATCATGCGGGCTTGCAGGCTGGAAAGGGGACAGTCAGGGCTAAGTTCACTGTGTGTTGCCACTTTGGGAATTGATGTGGAGAGTCACGTTGAGTTCAGACTCACCTCCTGAGTATCAGCCGGGGATAGTGTGCAGATGGCAGGTTGAGGGGCCTGATGGAATCTTCCGCAGGCGCTTATTTCTAAGTGGGAGCTAAATGATGAGAACACATGGACATATAGAGGGGAACAACACACACTGGGGCCTAGCAGATGGTTGGGGGTGGGAGGAGGGACAGGAGCAGAGAAATAGCTGATGATTACTAGGCTTAATGTCTGGGTGATGAAATAATCTGTACAAAAGACGCCCGTGACACAAGTTTACCTATGGAACAAACCTGCTTATGTACCCCTGAACTTAAAATAAAAGTTAAAAAAAAGGAATCTTTCAAACAGAGCATCTTCAAGGTATCCGAGGAGGAGGTATAGGTACTGCGTCCTCTCTGTCCGGAGGCAGTGGGGTGACGAAGATGAGCTCATGAGCTTCCTCCTGGCCTTAGGTGTCTATGATCCCTGCTGTCCCCTGACCCTGGGGAGCTCATATCTCTTAGGGAATCATGACTTAGGTGACAAAATGTGACAGAAATGAGTCTCACTTTTGAAATGTCCTTTTTCTAGTCCTGCTTTGGATCTAGTTGAGGGATCCAATCTGCTTGCACTGTCACAACCAACACACTCTGATCCATGTCATTAACTCGATTTCACTTTAACTGTCTATATGATTTTTCTCCAAACATAATCAGAAGTGTTCTTCATATTAAAAATAATGGCGAGTCATGCCAGGTGTGGTGATGCACACCTGTAATCCTAGCACTTTGGGAGGCCAAGGCAGGCAGATTGCCTGAGCAACATGGCAAAACTGCGTCTCTGCTAAAAATACAAAAAATTAGCTGGGTATGGTGGTGCATGCCTGTAATTCCAGCTACTTGGGAGGTAAATACCCTGGGTCTCCTCTCCTTAAAGGCAAGAACAAACCATGAATATCCACGGTTATCTCTCATTTTTATTGCCTTGGAAACACTGGTCACTTAGATTAGACACAAAAAAGAACTCCAATACATGGAATGAAAAAGATAAAATTATCACTATTTTACAAGATGTAATTATATATTTGAAAATATCCAAATAATTAACTAAAAATACTTAGAAAATGTGATTTTTCAGAATTGAACCTGAGAGGAGGAGGTTGCAGTGAGCCGAGATTGCATCACTGCACCCCAGCCTTGGCGACAGCGAGAGACTAGAAGAGCACATTCGACTCTTTTTCTACAGAGCTGGAATAATTGAGACGATGTGTGAGTAGAGTTTAATTCTGGCAAAACTTTTAGAAAACTTTTAGAAGCTGTGATTTTAGTGCTCAGCTTCTTTAAGGCACCACTCAACAGGGTCAATAGGTTTCACGTTTGCAGAGAAATCTCTGCACAAATAAAATCTCCAGGGTAATTGGTGTGCAAATTATCTTAAAAGATGTGTCAACTTCTTAAATTGTATTTGCTCTAGGGGATTAAAGATTGCAAAATAATCTATGTCTTCAGATCTATTCCCTGTCCTCAAATGAGTGCAGGGTATTCAGGCATTGGGAAATTTAAAAGATCTGCATATACAGGACGAAGATAAAACTGAAACAAGAAAACAGTGCCTTAGTATCTATTGAGGTTTATGTAGATAATCCATATCAAAATGTTTTGGAAAATATAATGGATAATGATTGATAAAAGTAAGGTAGTAGAATAATAGTTGAGTAGCTCTCAGATCATTCTTAGTCTTGTGGTTGGTTTGTTGGCCTCTAGGTGAATGGGCAAATGGTGAAAGAATCTAGTTCAAAATAATTTTAAATTCCTAAAGTCAAATTTGATTTCCCATAGTTTATCTTACTAATCACTGTGCAAATAAAGCAGAAGGTCACCCGCAATGTTATCCTAAACTACCATGGTTGCTTATGTCAATACATTTTGTTATATGACAACATACTTCCATTTTGAAACCTTTATTATATTTTGCTGGAAGGTTTAAATGTTAGAAGATAATGTGATCCTAGGTTTTTTAAAACCTATTTTCCCAGGAGAATGAACGCTGCATTCTATAGGTTCCAGAGGCCCCTGATAATAGTGGGATGAATACACTGGATTGCTAGTGAGGTTACAAGAATCCTAAAGATGGTGGAAACAATACATTGGTAAGAAAGCCACAAGAAATAGATTGTGAGGGAGTGGAAGGATGGATTCTGAAATATCGAGGAGGTGAACAATGTGGCACAGAAGAGAGAGGAACCCAGGAAAGAATTGTTTCCTGTAGAGTATATTTAATTCCAAAGGGCTCTTGTCTCTGAGCTGCTATTCCTCCTTGGTAGATGCCAGTGGAAAGGATAGTTTACCCCAAACAAACATGTAACAAAAATGGTCATAAGGGAGGGGGGATTATTTTAGGAATACATACACCTACATAGGGAAACAAATCTAAATATTGAATGGAGGAAAACATTTGGAGGAAAATAAAAGAAGACAGCAATAAGATATCTTGAAGAAAGCCCAGGTTTCAAAGCTAGGAGGACCCGACTCCTTGCAGCGCTCAGAGACGATGAGCGGATCACTAGTTGGTGACTGCAGGCAACAGTTACCTCCCCAGACCTCAGGTTCTGTATCAGATAAATGAGGATAATTGGTCAAGTATTGGTGGCTACAGTGGTGGCAGAAATAGACATCAGACTGTCTATCTGCAGAGGGGTTGGACTAAGCTTTAAAGCACATGTGAGCAGGCAGAGCCACAGCAGGTGGTCTCAAGTCTGTGTAGCTTCTCACTGGTGTCTTCAGTTAGAGGAAGCCCATCCGATTACTCCTTGGCTTGTTTCTTCTGACTATTTAATGTCTTAGAATGCAAGTGAGAAAGGACAGACTGGAGACCTGGAGTCGGGAAGCTTGGAGTACTGTACCCATGCTGCTGTAGAGCAATAACAGGGAAAGGAGAGAGGACCAGCCTATCTGTGCCCTGGACTTTCACAAAGCAGGTCCAGAAATATGGGAGATTCTCACTGCAACTGTCTGGAGTAAGATATTGGCAAATCACTCAATGCAACCATGTGGAATTCATCCCAAGACTCTAAAAAATGTTCAATATTAGTCAATCTATAAGATGCTATGAAGTACTGCATCATAGAGGTCAAAGGAGAAAGAGGGTATAACTATGCAAAAATGCTGAAAAGACATCAAGAATAAGGCTCAGAAGGACAAAGGGATTGATTGTTAACATACTGATCTGTAGCCATGTCTCCACATAGATGCCTCTAAAGACAATTCAAACCCATGCTGTCTGTAAACACCCTGAGTCTCCTCTCCTTAAAGGCAAGAACAAACCATGAATATCCATGGTTATCTCTCATTTTTATTGCCCTGGAAACACTGGTCACTTAGATTAGACACAAAAAAGAACTCCAATACATGGAATGAAAAAGATAAAATTATCAGTATTTTACAAGATGTAATTATATATTTGAAAATATCCAAATAATTAACTAAAAATACTTAGAAAATGTGATTTTTCAGAATACATTGGACAAAGTCCAGAAAACAACTGCTTAGAAAAACAAGGTGGTTAGTTGGCATGTCAATTTTATAAAACCTCTCAAAAGGATAATTGGCAATGTTGTCCTAAATTTAAAATGAACCACAGTCTGTCTCATTCATTCCCAGTGTGGAAATTTAACATGTAGATATGATCACTTCCCTGCAAAACCAACGTACAAGAATGACTTTGTAAGAGTAAGTCTGGATCTAAGCAAATGTTCATGAACAGAGAGCCAGATGAATAATTAAGAGTTGTTCGTAGAAAGAAATATCATGCATCTGTTAGAAAAAGAATTAAGTCTCTATTTTTGATATTATGGAATTATCTCCAAAATGTAAAATATAAAAAAACTGTAGTAACATAGTATACATATTTTCATTGGTGTCAAAGGAAAAAACATATTTGTATTCGCATAGAAAATTTACTTTTACATAGCAAAATACTATCTTAAAAATGTTGCATGGGCAAAAGTATTTGTATTTGCATACATTATTTCTCAAAAGTTAAGCAAACAAAGAAAAATGAAATAAAACAGAAAAGAGAGCTGATAGAATCAAGCAACTCTGGGGAGAAAACCAGGCACTTTCTTGCCTTAGGGTAGTCTGACTACATTTCATTGTATGTACTTTGGCTTTATTTGATATTTTGAAAATTTTTGTCTACCTAAATAACAAGCAGAGAGAGCCTCCCTAAAAGAAAATGATATTTATTCTGGAGTAGGATATTGCAATGGGAATATGTGTGGCACTGCGAACTGTGTTGTGTGTGTGTGTGTGTGTGTTTGTGTGTGTGTGTGTGTGTGTATTTTGGGAGGTAATAAAAAGGCAAAAGCTTTTCATTTTTAAATTTTATTAATATATTTATTTTATTTGCAGGGGAGGGCATAAACACTATCTCCCACTACACAGATTATGCAGTTGAGTGTCCTACACTTGGGGAAATCATGAGAGTCAGCACAAGGAGCCTCCCTTGGGAAAACACTTTCCTGATCCTGGTGTCTCTCCTGCCAGGTAAGTGTAGACAAATAAAGGGAAAAAAAAGGAGGATTACATAATTGTTTTGAAATAATTGTCCTTGGCTACAAGAATCCACAACTAGGGTGACACCAGTTCGAGGCTGGACAGGCAGTTGCTGGGCAGATGTCCTTGCAGAAATGTTTTGTGTAAGGTTGCAATGGTCTCTGTGCAAGGTTGTGTTTTTTGTGGAGTATTTCATGGTAGTTTCTGTTATCGGACTTTTATGCATGACAACTCTTCCTTCATGCCATTCCCCAGCTCTACGTATCAGGGTGGTTTTTGTTAGTTTGCTTTTTTTTTTTTTTTTTTTTTTTAGCACAGGTGACTCTATTTTAAATCTTACAGCTTTCACATCTTGCACACATACATCTTTATTTTTTATTAAAATAAAACCATTTTTAAAGTCAAACATTAACTATGTAAGTATAAGTTCTTTAACCACATGCTTAAGGACACTGTAGTGCATCTGAACCACAGATTCTAAAATCTGAAATTTGGGCAAGGAGATCATCACTAATTCTATTGGAAAGGAAAAGGGTCCAGGCGCAGTGGCTCACGCCTGTAATCCCAGCACTTTGGAAGGCTGAGGCTGGTGGATCACTTGAGGTTAGGAGTTGGAGATCAGCCTGGCCAACATGGTGAAACCCTGTCTCTATTAAAAACCAAACCAAACCGAACAAACAAACAAACAAAAAAAACAAAGAAAAGAAGGAAAAGGCCAATGTGGCCGCCCAGGTCGCTTGGCCCTTGGCTCATATTGCTGGAAGCTACTTAACAAAGCACAGGAGAGCTGCCTGGCTCACATCTGCTTCTGCTTTCTCTGACAACGGGGGGTTTCCAATGGGAACGTGATGGAATGAGGGAAGAGGGCCTGCAGAGCCGGCAGCTGCACATGCCAGGACAGTGCTCCCAGGGTGGCTGGTTGCCCAGGGGATGTCTGAGCTGCTCACGTGGAGGCACACAGGCTTGAGTGATCTTTGAGACGTGAGATAAGAAGAAAGACACTGGACAATGAAATGGTCAGTGAAACACTACTCTACCTTAACAGACAAAAAACTCCAGCTAAAATCCAGACAAGACTGGAGGAGAAGGTAGGTGAATGTGGAAGCAGATGGAGAAAAATAAAAAAGTAAGTAACACTGTTGACTTGAAGTCCGTTCTGCGAGTTCCTTCCAGATTAGCCTCAGACACAAGGCTGCCCTGCCTGCCTCTCCATCCCCAGGAGGCTGCCTCCCATCAGGGCCATGCTTTGGGTGCTATTTTCAAACCCATGAGCTTCATTTGCAAGGGAGAATGCTGTCATAGCACATCACGTGATTAAAAGCAATTAGTGTTCATAAGCTAGACAGGCATTTAAATTGTTCTATTGTTAACTTGTAGAATGATAAATTACAGAATTAAAGTCCATGTGATTATTCAACTGTGTATGAGACAGCGGTTGTGATCAAAGAGACCACATTGTTAATAACGATACAAAAGCATAATATGATTCACTTTTTCTGAAAGAATCATTGTAATTAACAACAGTATTTTATCACCATTTCTCTCAAACGCATAAATATTTCTGGATTAACTCTGCTAATTGGGAGAACAAATTCTTCACAGGAGTCATAATACACCATAAAGCAGTGTTTTATGTACCAACTTAGGTCTAAGAATGATGAATAGTGTGAGGACGTGCTGGGCTGGATTCCAGCGTCAGTAACTGGAGGGGGCTCACAACACTAAGAACACAGCACACAACCTCCTCCACGTCATTTCACTTGTGGTCTTCAGCCCATGCTTCGTGGGTTTTTATGAGCAGCAATAAAGCAGCCACGAAAGAAAGTCCACTTGCTGTCTACACCTGCATGATCCCACTCTGTACCCAGCCAGACTTCACGGAGGAACCAAGCCGATGTCCTAAGGAATCCACTGCAGGCAACATACTCATGCATCCCCTCTGCGCCTAGGCTGCTCCTGGTGATGTCCCTTCCTTGGTATTATTAAGACAGTGTTCACTCAAATTGTTTCTGTAGGGCCCTATTCATTTGTGGAGCTCCACATGGGAAAGGCTGCTGTAGCTGTTTAACATTCACAGGCCCACAGCCAGTTCAGAAAGCAGGGTCCTCATTGTGGATTCCCTGTTGGTTGGCCTGGTGAATGCAAGTTTTCTGTGTTCAACAATGTAAGACCAAAATGTATGTGTGCCTTCTGACTGTTATTAGTACTTATCTAATTTTTTGGTCTGCTTGACTGATAATTTCTGAGAAGATTTGTTAAAATCTACAGGAGGTAGTAATTTATGTCTACTCCTAATTCTTATGATTATTTTCTTTAAATGTTTTTATAGCATATATTGTAAATGAATACATTCTGATAATTATAGCATCTTCATGCTTTATACCCAGTTGATAATGAACTTCTATTGTGCCTTGATATAATGACATGTCTTCTACTTTTTAAAAGAGTAATATGAGACCTCCAATATTGTCTGGTATATTTTTGCAACATTATTTTCAATGTTTATTTCTTATTTTTAAGTATTCCTCAAATAGATAATGCATAGTTGGATTTTGCTTTTTAATTCAATATGAAAATTTTAATTTTTAAAGTAGTATAATTACAGTTTTATATGTGTTGCTTTTTTTTTTTTTAGACGGAGTCTTGCTCTGTCGCCAGGCTGGAGAGTAGGGGCGTGATCTTGAATCACTGCAACCTCCGCCTCCCGAGGAGGCGATTCTCCTGCCTCAGCCTCCCAAGTAGCTGGGACTACAGGCACATGCCACCATGCCCAGATAATTTTTGTATTTTTAGTAGAGATGGGGTTTCATTATGTTGGCCAGAACGGTTTCAATCTTGTGACCTGGTGATCTGCCTGCCTGACCGTCCCAAAGTGCTGAGATTACAGGCGTGAGCCACTGCGCCCAGGCCATGTGTTGCTATTTTAGTCTTATTAGGTGTTATTTCTTCTTCCTTATTGCAGATACAACACCATATATTATATATATAAAATATATATTTAATATGTAATATATATTATATACTTTTTATATTATATATAATATATATAATTTTATTATATATATAGTATAGTATATATATTACATATATATAATTTTTCCTTGTCTTTTTTTCATAACATACACTCACCCGTATGCTTCTATGTTAAAGTTTACATATTTTGTTCTTAAGTGAATTCCTGCATGCCCTAGGGCCTCTCCTCCTCTCCCTGTCTTCCTATGCTCAAAGGCCAGATTCCCGACATTGGCTTAGAACTGCTTCTGTTCTGCTTGGCTCTGTGAGGTCTTGTCACCAGCCCCCTGGGAAAAGAGAACTAAGGGAACTAGCATTTTCTGAGCATCCTTACTCTGCTGGGGATCATCCTAGGCACTGCAGAAATATTCCCATTTGATGCTCAATTCAGGCCTGCAATGACAGCACAATGGCCCTGTTTCACAAGGTAGGAGACAGCGGCTGGGAGGTGACTGAGTGGTCCAGGTTTACAGAGGAAGTGCCTCTTGTGTGAAGAAGCCCAGGCTGGGACGTCTGGTTTGTGCTGCCTGCAGTGATGTTCCTGAGAATTTCTGTCCCTTGGGGTCAGGGACATCCCAGGTGCCTTTGGATTTCTCCTGTGAGTTAGCAGCCTGGAACAATGGGAAGGACGTGGATAGTTTAGTAATCTGGGACTCTTTGAAATCGAGGGCAGTAAGGATACTTGTCAGAATTTTATAGCAAGTCAGAGAGAACGTTCAGAACCTGAACTTCATTCCTGAAGCAGATGTGAAGTGGGAGACCCCCTGCTTTTGATGTGAGCTTCTGGCCAGGGTCCCCAGGCAACTCACCTCTCCTTTATGGTGCCCCATGGGGGTTTATAAAGGTAATCATATTTGGGAAGTGCTCCTCAAAGTGTGGTCTCTAAACTCATAACAACATCAGCCCCTGAGAGTCTGTCAGAAATGCAAATTCTCAGGTCCCATCCCCAAGCCTACTGACTTAGAATCTCCAGGAAAGGACCAGCAATCTGTGTTTTAATAAGATCCACAGTTAATTCTCAAGCACACTGAAGCCTGAGAAGTGTTCACATCTATGACCTAATTGAACTTATTGTCCAACAAGCCCCACAGGGTGGAGGCACAGAGGTCAGTGTTTATTGTCAAGACAAAGCCATAGAATAAACCACCCCAAAGCTGAGAGGCTTGAAACAAGGAGCAGCCATGAGCTCAGGAGTCTGAGGGTCAGTGATATTGACCAAGAGTTGGGTTTCAATGAGGCACTTCTGGCCTCAAGGGATGACTCATACATGTATGGCCAGCTAATATGCAGGATGGTTGCACCGCAATGACCGGCTCCATGTCCCAAATTCTCATGGGAAGGTGGACAATCTTATCCTCTAACGATGGACCCCAAGTTCTCATGGGGAAGAGAAAGGATCTCGTTCTCCAACCGGCTGACATATATTCTCATGAAGAAGTGGAGAAGCGCCAGAACATGTGGAAACATATCAAGTCTTTGCATCCTATTGGCCAGAAAGTGGATGAGCACAGAAGCAGGAGCTGGGCAATTGTAGGGGGTGAGGAATCGAGGCTATTAACTCAAACAGTCTCGGCAATGAATGTTACAATAATTCCCATTTACAGATGGAAAAACAGAGGCTCAAAGCCACAGAGTAATTTGTGCATGATTGCATGTCCAGGGAATGGCAGAGCTAGCCCCGTAACTGTGCTTCTGAATCTTTTCTAAATTCCATTCTGAGTATGAGAGAACTAACGGTACACAGAAGGCTTCCTATGGTCCATTCTTTTCTTTTTTTCCTTTCCAGGAAGTGGAACTCAGGGCCTCAGCTAAGAGTGTTACCATATCCTGCTGTAGGCTATGAAAGGTTTCAACCAAGAGAGATCTATGAGGGTAGAGCACTTTCCCTAGGAATTTTCTGGGAGTTACTGAAATTATAGCTTTCTGCTGGCCACTCAAAGGGGGAGATCCTCCCACTTCCCTGTGAGAACTTGTGGTCCACCTGTTAGGATAAGATATTCTGACCTTGCCATGAGGACATCTACTTTAAATATCTTCTCCTCTAACATTTGCTCAACCATCTTTAGTTTACAAGTAAATTTGCCTGTGTTTTGTGAAAAAAATGCTATTATCTATGTTTTTATTGTGGTAAAATATACGTAACATAAAATTTTTCAGATTAACCATTTTTAAGATTACTTCTCAGTGGCATTAAGCACATTCACATTGGCGTGTAACCATTGCTATTACTAAACTTTCTAGTCTTCCAAAACCAAAGCTCTGCTCTCATTAAACAACAACCCATTCTTGCCTCCCTGAGCCCCTGCTAACCACCATTCTACTTTCTGTCTGTATGAGTTTGACTGTTCTAAGTACCTCCTATAAGTGGAAAAATACGATATTTGTCTTTGTGTCTGGCTTACTTCACTTAGCATAATGCCTTACAGATCATCCATCTTGCAGCGTATATCAGAAATTTATTCCTTTTTGGGGCTGTATAATAATCTGTTATACATATATTCCACATTTAGTTTATCCATTCATCCATAAATGGGCATCCAGGTTGTTTCCACCTTTGGGTTCTTATGAATAATGCTACTATGAACATGGGCATACAGATATGTGGTCAAGACCCTGCTTTTGTGTATTCTATTGTGTAATTGTATGTATACAGTTCTTTTACGTATAGACCTAGAAGTGGACTTGCTGAATACTATGGTAATTCTGTTTAATTTTTAAAGGTAAAATATACTGTTTCCACAGTGGCTGCACCATTTTACATTCACACCGGCAATGAATAAAAGTTCTAGCATCTTCACATTCTTACCAACGGTTATTACTTTTTATTCTTTGATCTCACATGGTGGTTTGAGTTTAGATTTCTCTAATGATTAGAGATAGTAGCCATCTTTTCATGTACTTATTGATCATCTGTATAATCTTTGGAGAAATATTATTTAATTCCTTTGCCAATTTTTAAATTGTGTTGTTTGTTTTTGTTGTTGATACGTAGAGTATTTTCATTTATTCTGGACATTAATACCTTAACAGATATAGGATTTACAAATAACATCTCCCATTCCGTGTGCTGCTTTTTTACTCTGTTAATAGTGTGTATTGATGCATGAAATATTTAACATTTGATGAAGTCCAGTTTATCAATTTTTTATTTCATTGATTGTGCTTTTGGTGTCACACCAAATAAATCATTGTTGAATTTAATGTCATAAAGATTTTCTCCTAAGTTTTCATTCTAAGAGTTTTATAGATTCATCTCCTACATTTAAGTCTTTGATCCATTTCAGCTAACTTTTGTGTATGTCATAAATTAAGGCTCCAACTTCTTTCCTTTGCAGGTGGATATCCCATTTATTTTAGCAATTTTTGTTGAAAAGACTGTCCTTTCTCCATTGAATAGTTGTGCAACCTCGTAAAAAATCATTTGACCATACATTCAAGGGTTTATTTTTGAGCTCTCTAGTCGATTCCATTCATCTATAGGTCTGTTTTCATACTAGTACTACCCCTTGGGAGTATTTTTCTGCAAAAGATGTCCCTGGAATTTTGATAGGAATTGCATTGAATCTGTAGATTGGGTAGTATTAACATTTTAACAATATTGAGTCTTCTAATTCTTGAACACGGAATGTCTTTTCATTTGTTTGTGTCTTCTTTAATTTCTTTCAGCAACATTTAGTTGTTTTCAGTGTACAAGTTCTTTGCCTCCTTGTGTTTAATCCTAAGTATTTTATTATTTTCAATATTATTGTGGATGCAATTGTTTTCTTAATTTCACTTTTGGATTGTTCACTGGTAGTGCATAGAAACATAACTGAATTTTGTATGTTGATTTTATATAAAGTTGTGCTACTACATTTTTGCTAAATTGATTTATTAGTTCTAACATTTTTCTGTGGAATATTTACAGTTTTCTACATATGCAATTAGGTAGTCTGCAACAGAAACAGTTGTACTTCCTTTCACATTTAGATGCCATTTATTTATTTTCCTTGCCTAAAACTTTCAATACTATATTAAATAGAAGTGGCGATAGCAGGCAACCTTATCTCCTTCCTGATATTCGAGTAAAATATTACAGTCTTTCACTAGTGAGTGTGATGTTAGTGTGGGCTTTTCATATATAGTATTTGTTATGTTGAGTTAGTTTTCTTCCATTTCTAGTTTTTATAGTTTTTTTCATCATAAAAGTGTGTTGAATTTTGTTAAACATTTTTTCTGTACCAGTTGTGATATCATGTGGGCTTATTTCTTCAGTCTCATAATATAGTATATTATATTAATTAAATTGTACATATCGAACCATTCTTGCATTCATTCCAGGAATACATCCCACTTGGTCATGGTGTATAATATTTTTTGAAAAAAAGACTACATTTCAGAGAAGTTTGGATTCACAGCAAAATTGAGCAGAAGATCCAGAGATTTCCCATAGACCTTCTGTCCCCTTTCCCCCTTATCAAGATTCTGAACCAGAGTGTTACATTTGTCATAATTGATGAGCCTGCATTGACAAATCATTATCACCCAAAGCCCATAGTTTACATTAAGGTTCACCCTTGGTGTTGTACATTTTATGGGTTTGATCACATTTATAGTGACATATATCCACCATTACAATATCACACAGACTATTTTCACTGCCCTAGATATTCCCTAGTATCAGCTTATTCACCCATTTCTCCCCTGTAATCCCTGGCAACCACTGATCTTTTTACTGTTTTCATAGTTTTGCCTTTTCCAGAATGTCACATAGTTGGAATCATATAGTATGTAGCCTTTTCAGATTGGCTTCTGTCACTTAGGAATATGCATTTAGGGTTCTTCCACATCTTTTCATGACTTGATACCTCATTTCTTTTTGGAGTTTAATAATATTCTATTGTCTGAATGTACCAAAGTTTATTTATCCCTTAACCTACTGAAAGACATGTTGGTTGTTTCCACGTTTTGGTAATTGTCGATAAAGCTACTATAAACATCCATGTATAGGTCTTTGTGTGAACCTGTGCAAGTTTTCATACCATTGGGTAAATACCAAGGAGCATGACTGACTATATGGTGAGAAGAATATGTATAATTTTGTAAGAAACAGCCAAACTATCTTTCAAAGTGGCTTCAGACCAGCAATGAATGAGAGTTCCTGTTGCTCTGCTTCCTCACCAGGATTTAGTGTTGTCCATGTTTAGATTTTGGTCATTCTAGTAGGTGTGTAATGGTACCTCATTGTTGTTTTAATTTGCATTCTCTGATAACATATGATATGCAGCATCGTTTCATGTGCTTATTTACCATCTGTGTATCCTCTTTGGTGATGTATCTGTTCAGGTGTTTTGTCTGTTTTTTAAATGGGTTGTCTGTTTCCTTATTATTGCATTTATAGAGTTCTTTGTATATTTTGGATAGCAGTCCCTTATCAGATGTGTCTTTTGCTTATATTTTCTCTCAATCTGTGGGTTGTCTTTTGTTTTGTTTTGTTTTGTTTTGTTTTGTTTTGTTTTGAGATAGAGTCTCACTTTGTCACCTGGGCTGGAGTGCAGTGGCACGATCTCGGCTCACTGCAACCTCCGGCTACCACGTTCGAGCTATTCTCGTGCCTCAGCCTCCTGAGTAGCTGGGATTACAGGTGCATGCCACCAGGCCCAGCTAATTTTTGTATTTTTAGTAGAGACGGGGTTTCATCATGTTGGCCAGGCGGGTCCTGAACTCCTGACTTCACGATTCGCCCACCTCGGCCTCCCAAAGTGCTGGGATTACAGGTGTGAGCCACCACGCCCCGCCCTGTGGTCTGTTCTTTCACCAACACCACACTTTCCTCTGATTATTTTAGCTTTGTAGTCAGTCATGAAGTCAGACATACCAGTCCTCTAATCTTTCTCCTTCAATATTGTGTTGGTTATTCTGTGTCATAACTTGGTGAGTTTTTTTTTTTAATTGGGATTGCATTGAATCTATAGATCACCCTGGGAATAACTGACATCTTAAAAATATAGAGTCTTCTATCCATGAGCATGCAATATCTCTCTATATATTTAGTTCTTCTTTGGGTTCTTTCATCAGAATTTTATAGATTCCCTCAAATAGACCTTGTACATATTTTGACAGATTTATCCCTAAATGTTTCATTTTCTGAGTGAAAGTGTGCTTTCAATTTCAAATTCCACTGGTTCATTAGTGGTATATGGGAAAGTGGTTGTATATCCTAACCTTGTGTCCTGCAACCTTGATAGAATCACTTACTAGTTCCAGAAGCTCCTGATCTTAGTGGGAAAGTTTCTAGTTTATCAGCATTAAGTGTGATGTTAGTTGTAGGTCTTATGTAGATATTCTTTATTCAATTGATGGAGTTGTCATCTATTCCTAGTTTAATGAGAGTTTTTATCATGAATGGATGTTGGACTTTGTCGTGTTTTTTCTCTAATGATGTAATCATGGGATTTTTTCTTGTTTAACTTGTTGATGTGATGGATTACATTCATTGATTTTTAAATGTTGAAACAAACTTTGATATTGAGATAAATCTCACTTACTTACGCTGTAGAATTCTTTTTAAACATTGTTGGATTAAATTTACTAATAGTTTATCAAGGTTTTGCTTCTATGGTTATGCGATGTTGGTCTGTAGCTCTCTTTTCTTGTAATGTCTTTTGGTATTAATGTAATGCTGGTCTCATAGAATGAGTTAGGAAGTATTGTCACTGCTTTGATCTCGAAGAGATTGTAGAGAATTGGTATACTTTCTTCCTTAAATGTTTGGTAAAATTCACCAGTGAACCCATCTGGGCCTGGTGCTTTCTGCTTTCGAAGGTTATTAATTACTGATTTCATTTCATTAATAGATACAGCCTATTTAGATTGTCTATTTGTTCTTATTTGAGTTTTTGCAGTTTATGTCTTGCAAGGAATTGATCCATTTCATCTAAGTTATCAACTTCCTAGGCATAAAGTTGTTCATAGTATTCTTTTTCAAAATCTTTTTAATGCCAGTGGGATTTATAGTGATGGCTCCTCCTTCATTTCACATATAGAAATTTGTATCCTTTCTTGTTTTTTATTTGTTTGCCTCACTGATGTTATTGATCTCAAAGACACTGTTTTGAGTTGTATTGATGTTCTCTGTTGAATTTCTGTTTTCAATTTCCTTGATTTCTGCTCTAATATTTACAATTTTCAGTATGTCTTCTTAGTTTGGGTTTAGTTTTATCTCTCTCTTTTTTTTTTTCTCATTTCCAAAGAGGGAAGCATAGGTGATTGATTTTAGGTCTTTCTTCTTTTCTGATATATGCATTCAACACTATAAATTTCCCCTAAGCACTGCTTTCACTGCATCACACGAATTTCAATAAGTTGTGTTTTCATTTTATTTTAAAATATCTTTCATTTTCTTTTGAGATTTCTTCTATGACACACGTATTTAGAAGTATGTTCTTCAATCTGCAAATATTTTGAGATTTTCTAACTATCTTCCCATTTTTGTTTTCCAGTGCAATTCCTTTTTGGTGTGAGAGCAGAGATGACATGATTTCTATTCTGATTTTGTGAAGGCATATTTTATGGCCTAGAATGTGGTCTAGCTTGGTGAGTGTTTCATGTGGGCTTCAGAAGGACATGCATTCTGTTGTTGGATGAAATAGTCTATATGCAGTTGGATGAAGCAGTATTATATCCAGTTGACTCATGGTGCTGTGGAGCTCAACTATGCCTTTAGTGCATTTCTTCCTAAAGATTCTATCCATTTCTCACAGTAGTATTGAAGTCTGCAACTCTAAAAGTGGATTCATCTTTTCCTTCTTGGAGTTATGTCAGTTTTTGCCTCATGTGTCTTGACATTCTGTTGTTAAATGCACACATGTTAAGGATTATTATTTCTTAGAGAATTCATTGACACCGTTATTCTTTAGTAATGCCTCTCTTTATTCATGATAAGTTTTACTCTGAAATCTGCTCTGAAATTAATATAACTGATTGCACTTTTTCTTATTAGTGTTAGTATGGCATATTTTTCTTTACCTATTTGCTTTATGTGTCTTTAAATTTAAAGTACGTTTCTTGTAGAAAGTAGTTGGGTCTTGTTTTTTTATTCACTCTGACAATCTATGTGTTTTACCTGGTGCACTTAAGCCACTGATATTCAAAATGATTGCTGACATAGTTGGATTACTATGTGTCATATTTATTACTGTTTTCTATTTGTTGACTTTTTAATTTTTTTCCAATTTTTGCCCTCCACTCTTTTTTTTTTTTGCCTTTTGTGGTTTTAACTATTTGATTTTTTCCATTTTGCCTCCTATCTTAGTATACAAGTTGTACTTTTTTAGTGGTTGCTGTAGAGTTTGCAGTTTACAAAAACTACAAATCCACTCTCAAATAAGATCATAGTACTTCATAGACAATGTAGGCACCTTATAATAACAAAATAATCCTAATTCCTTTCTCCCATCCCTTTCTTTGTATCTTTCCAGTTGTTCATTTTTCTTATAAACACGCACAATCAAATACTTGGCTGATACTTGAACAGTTATCTGTTAGACCTGTTAAATCAAGTTTAGCCTAAAGTTGCCTCCCTGTGTATTTTAAGTTTGGTCTAAGAGTTTATCTGTACATCGTGAACTATAACAAGTGGAGTTGTAAACAGACCATAGCCTACACTCGTGCCAGTCACCCAGTTTTCACCAATCAAATGTAGCTAACTGTTTGAACCATGTTCAAATAAGGCAAACACCAAGCTGTAACCAATCCAGCTGTTCCTGTGTCTCACTTCCATTTTCTGTGTGTCACTTTCCTTTTTCTGTCCATAAATCTTCTTCCACCATGTGGCTGTGCCGGAGCCTCCAAGCCTACTCTGTCAGGGAAGGCTGCCCAATTCGCGAGTCGTTCATTGCTCCATTGCACTCCTTCAAATTTAATTTGGCTGAGGTTTTTCTTTTATCAGATGATGTCAGAAGCAAGGTCTGAAGTAGAGCTTCTAACGACCCCCAGGGGCGCTAAGTGAACAAGTGAGGTACCAACAGGATCCATTTGTGTCCATTGATCTCTCAGAGCCACTGGGGATCATGGTAAGTTCTCTCTTGAGTTTTAGAGCTCCATGGATTTGTGCTTTGAGTTCTCTGAGTTTCTTTGAGCTAATTTCTGACCCAAACTCGGTTTGGAAGTCATGACAGAAACTGGACTGGGTCTAGGAGTGGGTTTGATTGACTAATTAACTGGCTTGAATCCAGTTACAGGTCTCTTAGGTCTGACTGGGTCAGAAAGGTACTGGTAGTAAATGGTAATGTTGTAGGGGGTGTAAAATTTGGCTTTTGGAAATTCACGGGGATTTTTGTGTTTTACCCCTTTGTTTCATTTTTCGTGAGTACTTAGGTAGGAAAAGAAAAATCACTGGCTAAGTTAATCAAGGGAACCTGTGAGCAAAGCCAATATCTTAGATAAAAATGGAATCTTTAATTTCTGAAGAACTGAGTTCCTTCTGGCTTATACATGAATAATAAGTATTAGGCCCTGGAAGCACCAAAGCCTTACAGAAATGGTAAAATCTTACTAAAGATAACTTACAGTGGAATGTTCCAAATGAACAACAATGCACTGAAGTGCATTTGAAAATGAGGGCTTCCAAATTAGTCTCATCTGGGAATACTTATTGATACGCAGAAGTTTCTAAAAAGATTTTGGCATTTTTATTTAACGACTTTGTGAAAGGCAAATAAAAAGCTTAAGTGACAAATATACTTAAAAAAATTAAATCTGCTAACCTTTTAGCTAAGTTGCTATCCCATTCCAAAGGAAATAGACTGCAGTACCAATTGGCTGACTTTGGGTAAGCAATGGGGTACATTTTACCTAGGTAAAGGATGGGATGGGGTGCAGTAAAGTCCCTCTTGGTCAAAAGTGGACTTGGCACTATAGGATTTTAACCACTATTCTCTTTGGATTAATCTGCCTTGCACTCTTTGCTGGCAGCTATGGCTGACAGGATTAGGCATATACAGGACTTTGGAACATGGAGAACTTTTTCTCCCCAAAGGGGAAAAGTTGAGAGCTGATGGGACTGGAAAAGATTCTTTATCAACCAACCAGCTGCCACCTGAACTATTAATTCAGTGTCTCTGCAATGGGTGGGTCTTTCTCTGGCCCCCCTGAACTCCTCACCTTAGATAGCGCAGACAATTCTTCTCTCTCTCACTCCTTCACTGTGCAAAATGGATGCGGGAATGGTAAAAATCACTATCTCTTGCAAAGTTTTAATTAATAGGAAAAAGGATTCATGAGGCTAGTCTTAAGCTGTAACGAATCTGGTGAACTTTGTGCTGTGAATTTGTCTTTCTGTGTCATTCTGCCATGAAGAGAGGTACCTTAAAATAGAACATGAGCTTAGGACCCCATAAGCTTGCTGTTCAAGATAGCCCAGCAAGCTGGTCAGTAATAAACTTTGTTACAGATCCCTGAAACAAACGAAGAAACGGGATGAGGTCTCCATCTTGTTTATGTCCTTGTGAACTTGATCTTGTAACCATGTAACAGTATTTTCTCTTGGTCTCTGCCGTCTAAGGAACAAGAATTTTGAGGTTTATGTCATAGTTAGCTCTAAAAATTATTTTGGGTACTTAAAAACCATTGCAAGCTCAAAATTGACTGCTCTATACTCTTCTGGGAAGAGCAATGTAAACTACCTAATGTTACAACTCAGCAGCTAAGGCTTTGCCATTTTACAGTGATGGCCTGGGTTCAATCCTGGCTTAGGGAATAAGTACTGCTGGTTGGTATCTGTGTGACCTTTGCCATTTGTTGATTGTCTTCTCCATGAACAACTTCTGGCTTTCCTTCTTGAATTTTTCTTTCTTTGTGCTACCTTTGAAAATTCTACATTTTGTAAAAACTGCTTACCTCCTTTTTGAAAATACTTTGTATGCCAAGGTTAAGTCATAACCTTAGTTGAGGCTTGTTGGTTTCACCTGTGAGGTTACTTTTGGTAAAGTTCAAAAGCCAGAAGTATTAGCCAGCTGTTTAGCCTGACTAAAGTGGGTTAATAAGAAATTTAGAAGGACTTTTGTTTTCTTTAAAGAGTACTATGGTTAAAAGTCAGCTTAATTAAAAATTGATATCCAAGCTATACCTATATTTAAAAGCCCTTTTATGGTTTGTTTTTTTCTCTTCTTGAATCTTGTTTTTCTGGAAAAAGGATTTTTTCTCTTTTTTCTCAGTTGATTGAATTATTTTTCTCTGTTTTTGTCTTGCCACTCTTGATGCACATAGGAGAGGACTTAAGAGAACTTCTAACAGCTTGGCACTCCTTGGGAAAAACAGAGGAAGCACCATAGATCTGTACTGGGAAAAACGTGCTTTCCTCAAGAAACCCCAGGAATTGAAAGTGGATGGATCTCTCTCAAAAATGTAAAGCTCTGTTCTGCTTTGCATTGTGTTAGCTAAAGGTTTTGAGTTTTGGGCTAATCACAGAATGGGCTGATTGGCTTTGGGTTGCTTTGCAATAAAATGCATTGCGCTGTCTTCTCCCATAGCATTTCCCTCTTTTTTGGGATCCATGATCCATGATGCAAAATAAAAACGGGACCCTTAACTTTGGAGAACTGTTTTTGCCTTACAGGTGTGCCTGCTTATTAGGCCCTAGGAACTACATGCTCTCCTGGCTCTGTTCCTTGAAGGGATGCACCCTGAAGCCAGTAATCCAATTAAGAAACTGGCAAATGAAAAGCCCTACAATTATTAGATATTCTTCTGTCTGTCTGTGTAGTTACATATGTGTTGTGTGTGTGGTGCTTATATAGAAGAACTCTGATTAATTGGCTTAAAGAAAAATAAGCACTTAAATATTTTGAAAGAAAAAAACTATAACACTTTTAGTTCATGTGACCTCAGTAATCTTTGGTAAAATAAAGACATTTGGTCTAAATTAGGCAGGTCAGGTACTAGGTTTGCTAGACGCTTTAAGGTCATAAACTGCTTCTTTGGCTTTTGAAAATTGTTCAAGTTGCCTACTTTACAGCTAAGTAAGGCCTAGGAACATGTGGAGATAGCCATGCTCCCTAGCTATGCTGGAAAGAGTCTTTTTATCTGCACTTCTGTCTGGTGCCCTAGGCTCCACACCTAGTACCTAAATAAAATCACTAACTAGCCAGATTTTTCACCAAAAGTTGCTGAGAGGTAACAGTGTAACATATACTTGAAACTACTGAAGAAACAGTTTTACATGCAAGGTGTGTAAGGACAGTGAAATGCACCTTTAGGAAAAGATTATAAGAAGCCATAAGAATGTACATTTTTGCCTAGGTTAGAAGGTTAAATGATTGTTTTAAATGAGATAGAATAAAGCTAAACACTTGAGCAAGCTGTAAAAGATTTGTAAAAAAAAATCTTGTAAAAAATTATATGTGTTAATATATTGGCTAAAATCAAAAGGGTTTTATTCAGTTTATCTGGAAATTGAACAATGGAATAAAGGTACAACAGACTTTTTCCTAGAACACTGATCTGCTCCTTAGCAAAAATTTGTAAAGGGTTATAAAAGGTTTATGAGAATCTTACCTTAGGGTCAAACACATTAAGATTGGATAAATTTGTCTATAAGGTTTTATTAAAGATTGGAGTTAACATTACTAGTACACTAATGCAAGGGTGAAATTTGGCTTTCTATCTTGAAAAAGACTTTCATGTAATATTAAAGGATAATGAAAGGTTTTTGTTTGCCTTTTGAATAAACTACCAAAAAAGGAAGGGAAAGACAAGAGACAGATTGTTTGGAAAGCTAAGTCTTCCCTCTATCAATGAGTAAAGTTTTTTTGCTTAAAAAAATTTTTAAGTCATCATTTTGGCTAAATGAATGACTTATGGTGACCTGGAATTCTATTTTATATCAAGTATTTTAAACATTTAATATATATGTTAGACTTCCCACAATCAAATTTCAGCTTCAAAATGGTCTTTTCTGACCTCTAACTTTGAGATACTGAGAGGTGACAGCATGCTGGCAGTCCTCAGAGCCCTCGCTTGCTCTTGGCACCTCCTCTGCCTGGGCTCCCACTTTGGCGGCACTTGAGGGGCCCTTCAGCCCACCACTGCACTGTGGAAGCCCCTTTCTGGGCTGGCCAAGGCTGGAGCCCACTCCCTCAGCTTGCAGGGAGGTGTGGAGGGAGAGGCGTGAGCGGGAACTGGGGCTGCATGCGGCTCTTGCGGGCCAGCTGGAGTTCCGGGTGGGCGTGGGCTTGGAGGGCCCCGCACTCGGAGCAGCCGGCCAGCCCTGCTGGCCCCGGGCAATGAGGGACTTAGCACCCGGGCCAGTGGCTGCAGAGGGTGTACTGGGTCCCCCAGCAGTGCCAGCCCACCGGCGCTGTGCTCGATTTCTCACCGAGCCTTAGCTGCCTTCCCGCGGGGCAGGGCTGGGGACCTGCAGCCCCCCATGCCTGAGCCTCCCACCCACTCCATGGACTCCTGTGCGGCCCGAGCCTCCCCGACGAGCACCACCCCTGCTCCAGGGCACCCAGTCCCATCGACCACCCAAGGGCTGAGGAGTGCGAGCGCATGGTGCGGGACTGGCAGGCAGCTCCACCTGCAGCCCCGGTGTGGGATCCACTACGTGAAGCCAGCTGGGCTCCTGAGTCTGGTGGGGACGTGGAGAGTCTTTATGTCTAGTTCAGGGATTGTAAATACACCAATCAGCACCCTGTGTTTAGCTCAAGGTTTGTGAGTGCACCAATCAACACTCTGTATCTAGCTGCTCTAGCGGGGCCTTGGAGAACCTTTATGTCTAGCTCAGGGATTGTAAATACACCAATCGGCACTCTGTATCTAGCTCAAGGTTTGTAAACACACCAATCAGCACCCTGTGTTTAGCTCAAGGTTTGTGAGTGCACCAATCCACACTGTATCTAGCTGCTCTGGTGGGGCCTTGGAGAACCTGTGTGTCGAAACTCTTTATCTAACTAATCTGATGGGGACGTGGAGAACCTTTGTATCTAGCTCAGGGATTGTAAACGCACCAATCAACGCCCTGTCAAAACAGGCCGCTCGGCCCTACCAATCTGCAGGATGTGGGTGGGGCCAGATAAGAGAATAAAAGCAGGCTGCGGAGCCAGCAGTGGCAACTCGCTCGGGTCCCCTTCCACACTGTGGAAGCTTTGTTCTTTTGCTCTTTGCAATAAATCTTGCTTCTGCTCACTCTTTGGGTCCATGCTGCTTTTATGAGCTGTAACACTCACCACGAAGATCTGCAGCTTCACTCCTGAGCCCAGCGAGACCACAAGCCCACCGGGAGGAATGAACAACTCCAGATGCGCTGCCTTAAGAGCTGTAACACTCACCCCGAAGGTCTGCAGCTTCACTCCTGAGCCCAGAGAGACCACGAGGCCACTGGGAGGAACGAACAACTCCAGACGCGCTGCCTTAAGAGCTGTAACACTCACCGCGAAGGTCTGCAGCTTCACTACTGAGCCAGTGAGACCACAAACCCACCAGAAGGAAGAAACTCCGAACACATCTGAACATCAGAAGGGACAGACTCCAGACGCGCCACCTTAAGAGCTGTAACACTCACCGCGAGGGTCCGCGGCTTCATTCTTGAAGTCAGTGAGACCAAGAACCCACCAATTCCGGACACAATACTACAGAGAGTCCCTGAAACATCCAAAAAAAGAGGAAAACAGGACTATCTGACATTCCAAGTTACATGGGAAGCATTGTCAAAATAAAAAATAATGTATAACTTTCTTCAGGCTATATTTTAGTGAATGACATTAATATATGTTCCAAAATTATATGTCATGGTAAAATTCGAATATGTCTGAGTATATGCTATCAATCATAATTATGATTATTATGTTATTAAAACCACAGAAATAACTAGATTGCTTTGTCAGTTGTGTCTTTAATTGTGACTATTTAAAGTCATTTCCACTGTTAATTGCTTAATGCTGATGCAGTTTCTGAAAACGTTGCAAGCACACAAAAACTGAGAATATGGTATCTTTTAGGAGGTTCATGAAAGGATGAAAAGGACCCTGAAAAGCACTCTTTAATACAGGTTTCTGGTAACTTTAAAATCATGATTTGGACTGGGTAGGAATTCCTGGAACTTTACTGAAAAAACTGACTGGTTTATAAAACTGCTAACCCAAGGAGAACAAAAATTAATTGAAACCAAGAAAATATTTTGCCATATTTTCATCCTAAATCAGCCAACACTGAAATTGTTTAGATATACAATTTGAATAAACTCCATGGTCTAAGTCAAATTACCTAGAGTAACCCATTAGTTATCAGTGCTGTGCGCCTAAATTGGAGAAACAACTGGTATTCAAGACGACATAAGTCCAATGTTAAGCATGGACTCATGGAGAACCAGGACAGCTTCCCTGCCCTTCCTAAGTTCTTATAGCTTTTGTAGTTAAAAGTTCCACATTACATGATACATCCTGGAAAAGATAAAATGAACGAAATTAAATACATATTGGTATGGTGACTTCTAAATTGCTAAAGTAGTTTATGACCAATGTTTGGTTTGTCAAATCCGTATTCCTGGGAAGACAATGAAAGCTTCAGAAACATTCAGCTACTTGATGAGCCATTTAAACATTTATAGAGGAATTTCATTCCATTGTCATTTTCAATGCATGTTTTCTGGTTGTATAAAAGCTTTCCCATTAGCAAGAAGGCTAATGCTATAACAGTAGATTATTATGCCACAGTCTATTTTCACCAGGTAAAGAAAGCTTTTTATGGTTCACAGACTGAGGACAATCAACCCCTTCACAATCTAGAACCCAAACACTGGATCTTCTGAGAATATCAGAGAAAGACAGACCTTGCCATCCACACTGAAACTAAACTTCAGGACCTTGAACATTGGGTTCATAATTTCACAACTGAGTAGGGTCCCTCCACACTCTTGGAACTGTACACCCATTGGAACACTTAAGGTAAAGCTAACCAGGGAAGTTTATCCCCAAAAGAAGATGGCATCCTTGATGTGAACAGCTTTTTCTAAGATCACAGATCAAGACTTCTCTACTATCATAAAACTCTTATCTTTGCATATTTTTCCCTTGCTTATGCCTCTATGAACAATAGAAATGAAAAGGGGATCTGTTGTGTGCACTTATGGGTATACTTTTATTTGCAAAGGATTTTGCAGCCAGCCTTATGCATGGATAACCTTATACCTTGATAGATGAAAGATGAAGGCCCAATGTAGGTGAGAAACTTTAATGGTACATATGTTGCCTCATAGTCAGAAACAGAGCACTGTTTCACTCTTCTTAACCCACATCATGGGTTAAAAAGAACATTGCCAGGAGGGCTTCACTGTTCTATAAGGGCATCATTTGTTAGGTCCTTTTTCCATGGTTTGGAGTAAAAGAGGCAATGATTAAAAATGTATCCCTCATGATAGGCTCTATAGCAGATTCTACTGTAAAGGCTATGGTTACACAACAGACCTTAAATTCTCTTGTGAAAGTTATGCTAAATAATAGATTTACTCTAGATTACTTACTGGCTAAACAGAAGTATCTGTGCAGCTGCTGACACTTGTGGCACATGGAGAAAACATTGGGTAGTATAGAGATTCAGTTGTAGGGGATTAGAAAAGAGACTGCTTAGTTAAGCGAGCAGACTCTTTATCTAGCTCATTGTTTGATCTATTTCATTTTAGATGGTTTGGTTTATGGGGATCCTGGGTAAGAACCATACTCCAAACTCTCGATATTATCTTCCCAATAGTCATAATAGTAGTCTCCCTGGTGCACTGTGTTCTCTCAAAAGTTTTCAATGCCTGCATGCAGCCATGTCTGGAATGTCTAATGGTCTCTCTTCAACTAGAATGACAAGACCTGAAAGAAATATGTGACCATGAGGACACCGTAACCTATGAATGACATGCTGAGACCAGAAAGCCAAAATGATGGTAACTCACAGTGGTGCTAGGGCCCTAAGTTTTGGTCACATTCTCACCTAAGTGAGAACCTGATTAAAAATGGGGAATTTTCTTGTCTCTATCTCTTTCAGCTCTACTCTGATCTTAGTTATTTTTTGTCTTCTGCTAGTTTTTGACTTTGCTCTTGCTTCTCTAGTTCTTTTAATTGTGATGTTAGGATGTTGCTTTTAGATCTTTCCCACTTTCTAATATGCTTATTTAGTGCTATACATTTGCCTTTAAACACTGCTTTAGCTGTGTCCCAGAGATTCTGGTACATCGTCTCTTTGTTCTCATTGGTTCCGAAGAACTTATTTATTTCTGCCTTAATTTCCTTATTTATCCAGTAGGAGCATGTTGTTCAGTTTCCATGTAGTTGTGCGGTTTTGAGTGAGCTTCTTTTTTTCTTTTTCTTTTTCTTTTTTTTTTTTTTTTTTTTTGAGATGGAGTCTCAGTCTGTCACCCAGGCTGGAGTGCAGTGACATGATCTTGGCTCACTGCAACCTCTGCCACCCAGGTTCAAGCAATTATCCTGCCTCAACCCTCCAAGTAGCTGGGATTACAGGTGCCTGCCACCACATCTGGCTAATTTTTGTATTTTTAGTAGAGACGAGGTTTCATCACCTTGGCCAGTCTGGTCTTGAACTCCTGACTTCGTGATCCACCCGCCTCAGCCTCCCAAAGTGCTGGGATTACAGGCGTGAGCCACCACACCCAGCTGTGAGTGAGTTTCTTAATCCTGAGTTCTAATTTGATTGCACTGTGGTCTGAGAGACTGTCTCTTATGATTTCTGTTCTTTTACATGTGCTGAGGAGTTTTTTACTTCCAATTATGTGGTCAATTTTAGAATAAATGCTATGTGGTGCTGAGAAGAATGTATATTCTGTTGATTTGGGGTGGAGAGTTCTGTAGATGTCTATTAGATCCTGGATCTGTGGTTTGGTGCCAAACATTAATTTGGGAGAAATTTTTAGTCATTATAAATTCAACTATTTCTTCTGTTCTTTTCTCTCTCTTTTTCTCCTTCTAGAGTTTTTATTACACATATTTATACCTTTTGTAGTTGTCCTACAGTTCCTGTATGTTCTGTTTTGTTTCTCTTTTCTGTCTTTTTCTCTTTGCTTTGCAGTGTTGGAGGTTTCTACTGATATATCCTCAAGCTGAAAACAGACTTTTCTCAGCTTTGTCTGTGTCCAGTCTATTAATGTGCCTAAAAATGCCTTTTTATAAAAATGTGTTTTTTATAAAAGGCATTTTCCACTTCTGTTATAGTGTTTTTGATGTCCAGCATGTATTTTTGATTCTTTCTTAGGATTTCCATCTCTCTCCTTACACTTCCCGGACACTCTTGCATGCCAATTGATTTATCCATTACAGCTCTTAGCATATTCATTCTAGTTGTTTTAAATTCTCAGTCTGCTAATTCCAACACCTCTGCTATATCAGATTATGGTTTTGATGCTTGCTCTATCTCTTCAAACCGTGTTTTTACCTCTTAAGATGTCTTATAATTTTTAATTGGTAACCATAAATAATATACTTGATAAAAGGGACTGCAGTAAACAGACTTTTAGCCATGTGGTGGTCATATGAGAAGGAAGGCCAGCATTCTGTAGTCTTATGGTCAGATGATGAAGTGTCAGCCTTTTAGTGAGTCTGTGCCTCTGTATCGTGAACTTCACTTGTGCTTCTCAATTCCTTCCCCCTCCATTAGATGGTACCCCATGGCTGCTGGGGTATTCCCCTTTCTCCAGGACACTTAGGCTCTTATAAAACGTCATCACGTTAGGCTCTGGTTGAATAGTTTCTCCTGAGGGCAGACCTTGTTAAGAAAACAGAATGCTTTGGGATAGTTTAAAATGATTCCTTTTCACCTCTTCCTGCCAGAAGCATGAGGGAGTTTTTCTGTGATATTCACTGTGAGGCTCTAATAAAGCTCCAGAAGTTAAAACTCACACAAGGGTGGTGTCTTAGTCCACTTGTATTGCTATAACAGAGTACCTGAGACTGGGTAAATTATACATAAGAGAAATTAATTTCTCACAGTTCTGGAAGCTGGGAAGTCCACAGTCAAGGTGCCAGCAGGTTTGGTTGCCTGTTGACGACCTGGGCTCTGCTTTTGAGATGGTGCCTCAAATAACACATCCTCCAGAGAGGAGAAACAGCATGTCCTCATATGGTGGAAAGCAGAAGGGCAAGTGCACTGAACACTGCCCGTAGCCTCTTTAATAAAGGCATTAATCTCATTCACAAGGGAGCAGCCCTCACGGTCTAATCACCTTTCAAAGGCCTTACCTTTTAATACTATCCCATTCAATGGGTAGTATTTTGGAAAGGACACATTCAAACCATAGCATTTGGATAGCCCACAATGGAAAGGTCCCCTTGGAGATTTTACTTCTCAGACTTGTCCACTCTAAGCCTCCAGCAATTTGCAAATTATAGTTCAGGCTTTCCTGTCCCCACACTGGTTCCCACAAGGATTGCTGCTCTGGGCTTTCTGTTGTGGTAAATTGCGATTCTCTATATTTTCCTCTTCCTAGTTTCCCTTCTGTAACTTATTTCTAGTTCCATTCCATTCTGAAAAAAATATTTTGTATGATTCAATATTTGAAATATTATGACTTATTTTGTGACCTAATATATTGTGAATTAAAAAATAACACAAAGTTTTTTTCTCTGCTCTCACACCACAACAATCAATACAGACAATTTCTGTGAACAGACTGTCAGCATTTCTCCTCACCAGCAAGCAAGCAATAAACTCTGCCACGGACATGAGCCTTCTGGCCAACTGGCTGTAAATTGGGACTCCCATGACCCCCTCCTTGTGTTAGGCTAATTTGCTAGAGCAGCTCACAGTACTCAGGGAAACACTTGCATTTACTAGTTTATCATAAAAGATGTTACAAAGGATAAAGATGAAAAGGTGCATAGGGTGAGGCATGGCGGAAAGGGCGCGGAGCTTCCATGCTCTCCTTGTGCCTCACACTCCAGGAGCCTCCACATGTTCAGCTATCCAGAAGCTCCCCAACATGTCCTCTTTGGGGTTTTATAAAGGATTTGTAACATAGGTTAGAAATGTGATTTGGCAAAAAGGGTGTGATCTAGTGCTAATAGAATGAGTGGGGAAACTCAGCAAGGCCTGTGTACTCAGATGCACCTTGGCCTCTCTCTGCAGCATTCCCATCTCCAGGGTATGGGGCAGGAGTTTTCTCATCAGACAAGATAGGTCAGATGACCTTTATGGAAAGGTGGGAAAAATTAGAGTGTTGTCTTGTGGAGAAAAATGATCAGATGAAAGGAGGGTGGAGGTCAGAGAGAGAGAGAGAAAGAGAGAGAGAGAGAGATTCTGTTTTTGAGGTCTGCTTCTGAGGCCTAAAGCACCCAACATTATAACAAGGATGATGGGAGTTATGAGCCAGAAACTGTGGACAATCCCATTCTCTATCTATATCTATATATTAATTCTATAGAGAGATATATAATATCTATGATACATATAAAATATGTATGTTATATATATAATATCACACATATGGGCTGTTTTGGAGAATGTTTCACATTTACATGAGAACAATGTGTACTCCTCGTATGTTGTGTGGAGTGTTCTGCATATATTTATTAGATCCAATTGGTCTATAGTGCTGTTCAAGTCCTCTATTTTCTTATCTATGTTCTTTCTGGCTGTTTCATCCACTGTGGAAAGTAGGGTCATTGAAGTGTCTTACCATTATTGTAGAACTATCTATTTCTCTCTTCAATTTTGTCAATGTTTGCTTCAAATAATTAGGCACTCTAATGTTTGGTGCATATGTGTTTATAATTGTCATTGCTCCCTGATGAAGTCACCCTTCAACTATATTTAATGTCCTTCTTTGTGTCTTGTAACAGTTTTTGACTTAAAGTGTATTTTATTTCATGTTAATATAGCCACACTTCCTCTCTTTTAATTGATATTTGCATGTTTCTTCAAGGGTGTGTGAAAGAAAAATACAATCTCAGTACCTGAAGCTCACTAAGCCAAAGGCAAAAGTCAAGCTGGGAGCTGGGTCATGCAAACCTGCCTCCTATTTTGTTCCCAAATAGATGGCTACATCCTTCCTCAAGTTTTTCTCACAAGAAAATTTCCTATGGGCCCCAAGATCTTTACCCTAAAGTGGTTCTGTTAAATTTCACCCTGACAATGTACATTATTAACAGCTTATCTTCACAGGCATAGGGCAAAGGACAGAACAAAAAGTCCTCTCTCTGCTCAACTGAGACAAATCCGTACCTGACTGCTTCCTATACTCTATGATTATTTTATCTTATGTTAAAAACGCAGATTCACGGAACCAGAAGAATGCATAATTGACTTTTCCTTAGCCGGCTTCTTTCACATGAAAAATGTGGACTCAGTGAAAATAATCAAAAGACTGAAAGGAATGCAACTGCTCGCCTTACCTACCCTCCCTTTTTTTCTCTCTTCCTCTTTCACCTACTGCCTGCTGTTTTCCCTATAAATAATGAAGCCCCCAGACCCTGTGTGGAAAAAGCACAGACCGCAGATGTTTCCTGTGGGTACGTGTTCCTTTCTCCTGGGCGTGTCTTTCACCTCGGCAAAATATACTTCTAAAAAGGTTGAGACTTGCCTCCATCATTTTCTTGGATTTACGGGTGGTTTCCGACAATTCATTTTCTTCCCTGAAGAAGTTGTATTTTCTGGTGTCTTTGTACGCCTTGTGATTTTTGTTGTCGTTGTTGAGAATTAAGAATTTGAAAAAACAGCCACTTCTCCTAGTATTTGCGGACAGGCTATGTGATGGGGAAGATCTTCACTAATTCTCAGGACATGTTCTGAGCCTTGGAGTCAGCCCAAGGAGTAGCTTAAGATCTTCTCAGGTTTTTTCTGAGTATGCATCTCGTCTGAGCCTTCATGTGGCTTTAACTATTTCCCCATAAACATGGCTCCTTTTAGACATCTTAATTTTCCAAAAGTCTTGTTCCAGCTTCTTTGTGTGCCCTTAGAGGGTTTATTACATGCTTCCATTTGAAATCTCTTGCCCAGGCATCTTCAGTCTCTGTAGCCTCCCTGCAGTTTTTAAGAGCAGTTCCTGCTGCTTTCCATAGCTTTTTCTCAGCCTGCAATCTGAATTAAACTGCTTCTCTTATTCTGAGCTCTGAGTTGAACAAAGCAGGACTAATCCTTCAAGCCATCCCCAGACAGGTTAGACTCTGCTCACTAACATTAGAGGGAAAGAACTGGGAGCTGGGCTGCCACCTCCTCCAAACCAACACTGCTCAGTGCCAGGGAAGGGTGCAGAAAGGGGGAGTACAAATCCACAAAATCTCCTGCATTTTGAATGTTGCTTTTTCTTGAATGGGCAGTTGCTTGGCTCCTGTACCTTTTCACTATTTTCCAAAGGTCCTCTAATTGTTTTTAAAAAAATGTTTCTGGGGGTAGTAAGTAGTGTCTGAAGTTCCTTAGTCTGCCACCTTGCTGATGTTGCTGTATCATCTGTTTTAGGACATGAAGGATGAGCTGCAAGGAAGCTGCTCAAGATCACACAGCTCGGGAAAAGGAAAAAGTAGAGCTGAAATTTCCATCGCTGCCCTTCCGAAGGAAAGAACTGCTCTAGCCATGCACCTGGCTGGGATCGCCAATTTCCCTTGTTACCTTGGATTTCCCCTGGCCCCAGGGCTCAGGACGCTTGTCCATGCCTGTCCTATGGACTTGTCTTATCCCAGGTTCCTTAGAAATAGGATAATGGGTCTGCTGTGGTTTGAATGCATTTCTGCCAAAATTCAGGTGTTGAAACTTCATGGCCCATGTGATCAAATTAAAAGGCAAGGCCTTTAGGAGGTGATGACAAGGCTGTGAGGGCTCCTCCCTTGTGAATGGAAGAGGCACCATCACAGTATCCGGCTTGCCTGCCCTTCTGCCTTCCCTGAGGACGCAGGGCTCCTTCTCTCCAGAGGATGCAGCAAGAAGGCACTGCAAAGGGAAATAAAAATCTCGGGTCACATATGCACCACGGAATACTATGCAGCCATAAAAAAGAATGAGTTCATGTCCTTTGCAGGACATGGGTGAAGCTGGAAACCATCATCCTCAACAAACTAACACAGGAACAGAAAACCAAACACTGCAAGTTCTCACTCATAAGTGGGAGTTGAACAATGAGAACACGTGGACACAGGAAGGGGAACATCACACACCGGGCCTGTCGGGAGGTCGGGGGGAAGGGGAGGGAGAGCATTAGGACAAATACCTAACGTATGCAGGGCTTAAAACCTAGATGATGGGTTGATAGGTGCAGCAAACCAACATGGCACATGTATATTTATGTAACAAACCTGCATGTTCAGCACATGTATCCAAGAACTTAAAGTAAAATTGAATATATATATATACATATATATATATATATATATATATATATATATAAAACCTCATGCAAAAGTGAAGATTAAGCCCTAAAGTTCAGTCATTGCCACACTGTCATTCAAGTAAGCAGCTGCTACCAGCAGTATGCACCCTCCAGATACCCCATGGAAAGGCAAAAGGCCTCAGACATCTGGAAAGTCTGGCCCCACAGACCACTCACGAGTAACTTCTTTGCTGGCCTCCCATAAGCAAGGTCATGCCAATTGTAACTTTAGGTCTGCAATCCAAATCTAGTTCCTGAAGCTCCACACTGATAATGTCAATTACTAGCTTATCTCCCCAGGTGCGGAACAAAGGCAAGATGAGATTAATCATTCCTTCACCCCTCCCTGAGTTGGCTACATAATTGTTTTATTTCTGTATTCCTTTTTTCTTCAAAGGTTCACCTTATCTTATGTAAAATGTAGATTTAGTGAGAAGTAAAGTCTCACAAGTATGTAACCATTCTCCTCACTGCCTCCCCTCCTTTTTAAGAAAAAATGTATAAATACTAAGCCTGCTGAGAACCTCTTTGGAAAGAATGGTTGTGTCTGTGGCTCATGTTGTGGGCGCACTCTCAGGCTGGCTCAATACACCTTGATTGGTTGAGACACCTGCTTCAGTCACTCGTTTTGGTCGTCTGCACCATCTTGGAAGCAGAGAGCAGTCCTCACCAGACAACCAAATCTGCTGGCTGGTACCTTGATCTTAGACTTCCCAGCCTCCAGAACTGTGAGAAAATAGATTTCTGTTTTTATAAATTACCCAGTCTATAGTATTTTGTTATGACATCACGAATAGAGTAAAATATAGGCAGAGCTCACGGCCTACCATTTCATGGTGCAATGTTACAGCACCAAAAATGAGGGGAGAAGAGGGTGATCCTGAGCTTGCAACAGCTTTACAGGAAAGGAAACACGACTGATTTCTAATTTCTCGTCACATGAGACATGTATAAACAGGCCAGGCAGAAGGGTCTGCCAGAGGAAAACAGAGAAAAGGATTCATCTGTCTGTTCCCTCCTGGCTCCTGCTCTCCCAGGACAAAGTTCTCATCATGGGGGATTGCCTTCCCCAGCACCCTTCCAGATAGCATCAGCAGCCACTCCCATAGCTAGTGGGAAAGCCAGAATGCTATCCCCTGGTAAAGGAGCACATGTGGCTTGTGAAATCACAGGAGAAGCCAGAACTGCACAGTCTGCTGGGATTGTGCAAAGGCACTGGGGCTGCTGTGGTTTACACCATTGTGGGCACAATGGAGGCCATGCCAGAGCCCTACTCTCACCTCAAGGACACATGGCTGGTGCTAGGGGAGGAAGAAAAAGATGGGGTAGCAACCTGGGCTCTGTATTAAACAAGCAGCATGGGGATAGGTGGGCTGAGCAGAACTGGGGAGGTAAATTAACCAGTACAGCACTCGCCTGGTGTGGGCAGCTTCACTGTGCTTGTCTGCCTGTTCCTGCTCCCCCAAGAATGGAGCTGAAATTCATTACCCTGCTGTGTGTCTCAATCATTCATGTACCTCATGAGCTTTCTGGGGCATTAGATGACAGTCAGATGAATGCAGGGGCAAACGGAAGAGGGCCTGTAGAGACACCAGGATTCCAAAGTTTCATAGAAATGGTGATGCAGTATCCGGGAGAATTGAAAACCGAGTTATCACCTAGTTGAGTTTAACTCCTCATTGGATTCAAGAAGCTCTATGTTTTCCTTTTGAGGAAGAAAACTTCCTTTTAGTCCAGGGTGGTGCTCTTCCCTCCAGTTTAAGCTCTGCCCCAATCTTATTTCCTTAGGATACCGGTTCACATCTGTTCCCGCTCTGACCAGCTCCAGGATTCTGCCCTTGGCTCTGAGAAACTTATATTGTGTTGTATTCACCTGTTCAGGTGGGAAGAAACTGGAAACAAGAATAGCCTAGAAGAGCAGAGGTCCCCTTGGCTGCAGGATGGGTGTGAGGAAAAACTTCCCTCTCTTTTCTTTTTCCATGTGAACAGTTCTGAGACTCCTTTCATAAGCTCCTCAGATGATCGCACTGGCGTGGTGCACCCACATGGGGGCTCACACATAGAAGATCAACCTCTTTCTTGTCTCAGCTCCTTGTCCTGTACTTCTGCCCTCTAGGGTCCAGTTCCCAAATAAATTACCCAGGCGCAAGCCTTGCCTTAGATTACACACACACACACGCACGCGCACACACACACCACACACACACAGGAGATTACACACACGCACGCACGCACACACACACAGGAGATTACATACACACACACAGGAGATTACACACACACATGCACGCGCACACACACACAGGAGATTACACACATGCACGCACACACACACAGGAGATTACACACACAGGAAATTACACGCACACACAGGAGATTACACACACAAACACACACGCACGCACACAGGAGATTACACGCACGCACGCACACACACGAGATTACACACACACACGCATGCACACACGGGAGATTACACACACGCACGGGCACACACAGGAGATTACACACACTTGCGCGCACACACACACACAGGAGATTACACATACACACGCGCACACACATACACACACACAGGAAATTACACACATGCACGCACACACACACAGGAGATTACACACACAGGAAATTACACGCACACACAGGAGATTACACACGCAAGCACGCACACACACGAGATTACACACACACGCATGCACACACACAGGCGATTGCACACACACGCACGCACACACGGGAGATTACACACACGCACGGGCACACACACAGGAGATTACACACACGTGCGTGCACACACATGGGAGATTACACACACACGCACGCGCACACACACACAGGAGATTACACACACACATGCACACACACACGAGATTACACACACACATATGCACACACACAGGCGATTACACACACGCACGCACGCACGGGAGATTGCATACACACGCACGCACACACACACAGGAGATTACACATACACACGCACGCACACATACACACACACAGGAGATTACACACACATGCCTATGCTTGCACACACACACAAACACACAACCCATATCACTTCTATCTTAACTAAGATAGTGATTTTGGCTTACTACCAAACCCAGGGCCCAAGTTGACCTTCAAAATCTGAAGTTTGCTCTTTAACCCTTTCCTTCATTCTGCCCGTTTTTGTTGTTGTTGTTGTTGTTGTTTTTTAATGCTTTGGGAAGGGAACTAGAGTGTATAACATTCACTGAGCTCTTTTTTCTTGGTGCCAGATATTGTTGTAGGTGTTTCCACAGGTGTATATGTATATATATATGTATTTTTACATTTCTCACTATAACCCATGACAGAAAATATTCCCAGACGTATGATATAATGAGCATATGAAGCTTAAAGAAGTTAAGTTTCTGACATAAGATCCTGTATTAACTGGTCCTGCCTGGCTCTTTAGGCCTTAGAGGAGGGTCTGGGGGAAGAGGGGTTCCTGCCCCAAAGAAGGGCTGGGTGGAGTTCAGTTGAGATACCAGAGTGCTGTGTGGGAAGAATTGCCAGAAAACAGGAAACCTTATTTTTCCACCAAACCATCTGATTTTTCTCAACAACCGACAGAAATCGTCTGGGAAACCTGGCTTGCTGTGGTCACCTTGCCCTGTCCATAGAAATGGAAACAGAATGGAACAGCATGTTATTCAGGAGAATGGTGATGACTCATGCTTGTAGATAAGAGCTAAGACATTACAACAGTGAGTGATCAAGGATTAGCGGCTTCACAGCGGAGCTAGCATTTTCTCCCCCCACCCCCAGAGGATAAGGGGGCTCAATTTGAGGCAGTTCAGCGACACATTAACAGTGGGAGCAACCATACAGGGCAGCAGAATCAAAGAGTCTGTCCACCTCAGCCCAGCCAAGCAGCTCTGTGCAGAAAGATATAGGAAGGAGCTCAGGTCTTCTCCAAGGACCACCTGGGAGCAAAAAGCCAGAAAGCAATTGAAGCTGGTTCAAACATCAGCTGCTCTTATTGCCACAGCAATGTAACGGTGACTGAAAATAGCACATGCCACTGGCAGAACGGGGGTCCCAGAGCAGTCATGCAGAGGGCATAGCATGGCTTCTGCCGCATTCTATTGGCCAAAGAGAATCACGAGGAAGCCGAAACTGGAGGGGTGGGGAGAGGAACTCCACATCTCAGTGGGAGGAGCTGCGGAGGGCTCAGATACAAGGAGAGGTGGAGAAATAGGACCATTTTGCCATGAATCTACCAGGGGGGCTTATTAGAAGGATTTGTAGCGGAATTATAGGAAATGCTGGTGAGCATGAGCTTTCCTGTCTCTTTCTGCCCTCAGTGGATTGGATGAGGCCCATCCACACTAGGGATAGCCGACTGCTTTACTCAGTCCACTGATCCAGATGTTAACCCCATAGAAACACCCTCACAGGTGCATCTGGAATAATATTTTATTACCAAACATTTGGGCACTCCATGGTTTGATCAAGTCAAGTTGATGCATAAACTATACAAATGCATCAAATTTGCTTTGCTACTGGGTCCTCTCCGACCCCAGGACTCTTAATCTGCAGATTCACACCTGGAGCCACCATCTTTCTTTGCCTGTACCTGCCTTCTTGGCAGTTGAGCACTCTGTGTCTGGAGGCCTGACACCACCCCTGAGTGTATCGCCACACTACCATGAGCTTTGTCTTTTGGAAACAACTAGCTTCTTCCTAACACCCCCCTCCCAAGTGGAAAAGTTTTAAATTTGCTCCAAGACATGGAGATCCATCCTGGAACATGGGCGATGTTTACTTTCCAATTCTGTCTAGGGTTGTCCTCCCAGCTACCCTGCTGCCACCCATGCTGAGCAACTTTCCACTGTACTTGCCACTTAATGCTCAACATTCTTAGAAAAATGGAAGTTCACACCAAAGTTAGGTAGGGTCAGGGACACCCTTCCACCACCTGCTTGTGGGGTGAGGTTCATGGAAGATTTGAGCTGCCCTAAGCCTCATAGAACACAGAGTCCTAGACATAAAGGCTGTGAGGAAATGATGACCTTTAACCCACTGACTTTCCAGGGCACACACCTGGCCCCTATGGGGAAAAGGCTCACCAGATCACCAATCACAGAGGTCCTTCCCATTCCACAAGACGCCCCCAGACAGCTGGAGAGAAGTCACCAGCCCAGAGCTTCTGAGAAATAGATGTTGTGTCATGGACCAAGGAGCAGAGGGAAGCGATGGTCTCTCTGCGCACTTCCCCTGCCTCCCCACTCTCACCACCAAACCATCTCACAAGGTTCTTGTCCAATAGACCTCCTCTCTCCTCATCAAAATTCTTGCTACTTCAAGGCCAAACTGAAAGAACACTTGGGCCTCCCTAGGGCTGTGCTTGTATTTGAAAGAAGGTCTTGTGGAAAGTCCTGCTTGTATCTGCACCCGTTTGTGAGGTCGCTGGAACAGCTCTTCTCCTGCCACCTGCTGCATGGCCTTGGCAGTGTTACCCAGCAAATGCCCATCAGAGTCAGAGTGATTTCTTGTTGAGGTGCAATGCTCCAATCAAAGCTCAGAAAGAGGAAGCGATCGCCAAGCTCTGCTTTCAACTAAGCGCCCTCTCCTCCCCTGCCCTCTGCTCCTCTCTTTCACTCCAAGGCCCTGGAGATAAAGTTTTTCTGATTTGCAGTTCACTAGAAACACAATCTCTGGTCATTTGAATGTAAAGATGTCACAACAGGATGCCAAAGTCATCAGCTCACCTTGGACCATAGCACCAGGACCCTGGCCAGACCTGAGCTGAGCTTTCAGACTGAGAAGAGCAATGTCCCTAGGAAGTGAAGCCTCATGTGTTCCGACTTAACTAAACCCTTGAGCTCATGGCTGTCAACAAGCTTTCTCGGTCCCGTACATCCACTCTTTGCTGATTTAATGGTCTTGTCTTTATTGTGATGTATTTTCATTAGAACCAGAGCCCAGCAGAAAGTTCAAGGCTCCTGCAGACTGTGAGTTCTACAGATGATAAAAAGAAACAGCAAAGGCACTGAGAGCTCTCACATCTGCCAAGCCCCTAGGATCCGCGTCTGCCTGAGAGTGAGGTTGGGACAAGGCTGCAACTTTCAACTCTCAGCACAGACAACAGGACGCTTAATGTCATTTCTCAGGGGGCACTCTGGGATGCCTTGATGACAAGAATAATTAGGCTGTTTTTGACTTCTTCACCTCCTCCTTTATCTACTCCTCTTGGTGTTTATGGCTTTGGCGACCAACTGTCTTTGGTTCCCCCAGGCTGCCTCAAGCCTTGGTCCTGGTTCTTTCATGTTCCCTCTTGGCCCTAATGGGCTGGGCACCTTGTCCTCACACCTGCATCACTGCAGCGGATAAACTAACCCAACTTCCTGGGATGCACTGAGAGAAAAGTACAAAAACTAAAGCTTCCCTGAAATTCACTTTAGCTGTGCAATGCATACCTTTTCTGGTTTCAAAGTCTGCTGTTGTTGTTATTAATAATGGGTCTGTAGTTTCCCATTTGTCTGTTTTGTGACATTAATTCTACACTCATCAGAGGAAAAGAAGGGCCATTTGTATTTAAATAATTCAGGATTCCGAAGCTGCTTGTCTACTCTCTATCCTTATGTCCAAAATCAGCAAGTGTGCAGTATTTGGTTATTCCCCTATTAAAGCTGCATGTTTTTAAAATTAAAATTACTCATATGCAGACCTAACAAATGTAGTAGGAACAAATATTGATTTTTCTCATCTTATTTAGCACTGCATATTTGCTGATGCTTTACAGCCCACCATCAACTAATAGCTGGGACCTCAGTCTGAAAACAGCAGCAATGAGCCCCATCAGTCAGAGAAAATAAAGACGGAGCCTGAATATCAACTCCAACTCCTGCAGAATTATTTCCTATCTGCCTGAGGGACTCATTAACATGCGTGGCTGTGATGCTGGCCTCTGCTTTCAAGATCCTCATTTCTGAAGGAGGAGAGCTACCCTGAAAAAAAAGCCTGCTTAGCAGCTCATTTTTATCTGTTGAAATGAGCTATTAAAGGTCTGGAGGTGGAGTTTATTATTTATTTTAAATGGGGTCCATTGATCCAATCTGCCCATATTTTGAAGATGCTTTTACATGTCTCATCTAACTCACATGCTGTACGATGAAAAGTGACTTGCAGTGAGATTGCATGTGAAGCAGCTGCAGCCTCCTGGCTGCGCACGCTGCTGGGTGTGTGGGTATGTGTCCAGTCTCATGCCACAGAGGACTCGGTCAGAGTCTAATCTGTGTTCATTCTAGAATTCCTGCAAGCCAGGCATGTCTTCAAGTAGAGGGAGTGGATTTGTGGAAAATAGAAGGGTCCCAGGTCCCCGAGCAAGCACAGAGCTAAGGAAGGGGGCTGTGTTATGTCCATCAAGGGCCAACAGACAGGGAGGATGCATTTTCTGAGTCCCACCTTGCTTTACGGCCACTTTTTCCATCCCAATAGCCCTAAATAGCTGCCAAGAAAACACACAGAAAGTATTAAGAATAAAATGAAGGTGATTCAAGAGTGCATCTGAGTCCACCGTCCACCTCACCTTTGTTTCTCATTTGGCTGCTGATGAAAACGGGAGGGGGCCCTGAGGGGAAACAGAGAGTGTGGAGCCAGGAAGGGGAAGGGGCAGTCTCAGAACTGCCCCAGGAGCCAGAAGGCTCATTCTGGGTGGGACGCCTGGCATAACACAGGCTGAGCTGAAGCAGCCTAATATTAGGAGCAGTTCAAGATGAGGGTGGAGGAAGCATTGGCCATCTGGGTTTGGGGATGCTTTATGATGTGGCCCTCCCCTTGGGTGTGTGATGAGCACCTGGGCCCTGGGACACAGTCAGTGCTCTGTGCCAGGTCACTGTGCCTGTTCCCCAGTGGAGCATGCTGGGCCATGCAAGTTGACTGGAGAGAGCTGATTCCCATGTCTCAGGTGGGGGCATCACTGGCTTCCTTTTAAAAGCACTGTCTGCCAGCCAGGCACAGTGGCTCATGCCTGCAATCCTAGCACTTTGGGAGGCCGAGGTGGACAGATCAGTTGAGGTCAGGATTAGAGACTAGCCTGGCCAACATGGTGAAACCTCATCTCTACTAAAAATACAAAAATTAGCCAGGTGTGGTGGTGTACACCTGTAATCCTAGCTACTTGGGAGGCTGAGGCACAGAATCGCTTGAACTAGGGAGGTGGAGGTTGCAGTGAGTGGAGATGGCACCACTGCATGGAGTGAGACTCCATCTAAAATAAATAAATAAATAAATAAATAAATAAATAAATAATACACTGCCTGCCTTTTCCGTAAAGCTAATTTTCTCAAACTGGACAATCTTGCACAATTTAAGAAGCTGACAGAAGCTTTCTCTTAAGGTTTGCATTAATAACAAGGCAGGTCTTCTTCCTGGGAAGGGTGCCTCAGAACGGCTGTCCCTGCAGGAGACCTTGGTGCTCCAAGGCTGTCATTGCTATTCTTCCATAGGCTGTCTTGTCCCAGAGGCTAGAACCCAACTTAGAGGATGAGAAACTGAAGACAAAATCCATACTCAAATTTCCTGGTTGTCTGAGATGTAACCTTCCTTAGCCTTTGCAGAGAGCCATACAAGATATGGGAGGACAAAGCTTAACTGGGTTGTCATTAATCAAGGTATGATGGTGATACTTACCTGACTTTCAGGATGGATTGTACAGTTTCGGTGTCTCTTAAAGTGAGTTGTCATTTTAACCAAGAGGGTGTTGCATCTCTACCCTTCCACAGACCACTAGAGCAAAGTACATCTCTCGCAGGACAACCGTGCTCATTTGGGGATCACAGCTTATGTTCTGGAATGTAGGAGGCTTCAACCAGGCACAGCCAGACTTAGCTAGTTCTGCAGGGAAACATTCCTAAACACACATCCTCCTGGTTGGGCAGTGCCCAGGCTATGCAGAGCAGGCCTCGAACTGGTGAGAACACCTTCAGGAGTACTGCCCCCCTACTCAGCATGCGGGGGCAGAGGCTTGGGCTTGCTTGACCCTGACCAGGCCCAGTTTGATGGGAACACAAACCCACTGCTATGTAAAACCTTGCGTGGAGGTGCTGCTGGGGTAAAGGATGGTCAAATATTCACACTCCAGGATCCAGCCTCCATCCCTCTCCCGGTTTACATCTCTTTCAGCAGAACTTTACTAAAGTCCCTGGATGGAAGCCTGGCAGCACAGTGGCAGCCATTAGCTGACATTCTTCTCCAAGTCCATGGATTGGAAGCACCTGCTGAAAACCTGCAGCGTCTCAAATAACCTCTAAGTTGTCCCCGAGCCACATCTTGTTTCTGAAGTTGTGCTTTTGTGTGCCATGGCACGGTCAGTGATCCCCTTCAAATTACTCGCCATGGAGAAAAAGTGAAGCAGAGATGATGTTAGCATAAAACTCCAAACTCATCTCCACAGGAGCAGGAATGATTCAGCAGGCCCTATGGTGGGAAAATGAGGCATTGTGTAGTTTGAGTAAGATAAGATTTCTAGCTTTCCCTGTGAAATTTTGTCTACTGCTTCTAGATGTGTAAAGTGCGTAGACATTCTTTACCTGTGATCGTACTGAACCCACAGGAATCAACTGCCACCACTTACAACAATATTGTCTGGGGGTTTGGTAACTGTTCACTGGGATGGACAGAAACAGATTCTTCATGACCCAGTTCTTGCTTTAAATAAATCCCACTCAGCAGTGAGGGTCTGGAATGTTTTCAGTTACGTTCCACGTGATATGTTGGCCAGTGATAAACTGCGTAAATGACAGTGATCCCATAAGGTCATACCATATTTCTACTGTACTTTTTAATGTTTAGATACACGAATACTTACCACTATGTTCCAGTTGCTGCAGTATTCAGTACAGTATCATGCTGTACAGGTTTGTAGCCTGGGAGCAATAGGCTCTACCACATAGCCTATGTGTGTAGCAGACTAACCATGTAGGTTTGTGCAAGTCACTCTATGATGTCTGCACAATGACAAAACTGCCTAGCAATGCATTTCTCAGAGCTTATTCCCATCGTTAAATGATACTTAATTGTATATTAAGGCATCCATATTGAAGCAAGAATTCCTTGCTCTGCAGGGCAGTGGAGAAGTGGCCCACTGCGTTTTGAGGCATACTGTATTTATTTATTTATTTTTGAGACAGAGTTTTGCTCTTTCACCCAGGCTGGAGGGCAGTAGCACGATCTCAGCTCACTGAAACCTCCGCCTTCTGGTTTCAAGGGATTCGCCTGCCTCAGCCACCTGAGTAGCTAGGATTACAGGTGCCCACCACCACATGCGGCCAATTTTTGTATTTTTATTAGAGACGGGGTTTCACCATATTAGCCAGGCTGGTCTCAAACTCCTGACCTTGTGATCTGCCCACCTTGGCCTCCCAAAGTGCTGGGATTACAGGCTTGAGCCACCACGGCCAGCAATGGACTGTCTCCTAGGACACCGGCACCCAAGGGAATCCGAGGTGGGTGACCTGGCCCAAGTACCCAGGGCTTCTTGTCTAATCAGCTATTGAAGGGAAGACTGAGGAGGGGACCAGTTTTCCTCTGGGATGCTTGTTTTAAGGCAAGGAATGTGTCTGCTGATGTAAATATTTCCTTTAACTACCCAGTTGGGCCCTCATCCAAGAGTCTCTTGGGCTCTCATTTGCCTCCTACTCTTAGAGAAGGGGAGGGCTAGGCAGTGGACAGCTTGGTCCCCAAATTTGTGAGTGGCTGGATGTATTCTACTCGTTTACTTCCTTTTCTCTATCTCTAGGAAACAAATGAATTCCAGACTTCAACTTCCATGTGGTACAAGTTCTCAACCAAACTGACCACCAATACTATCGAAAAGACAGCAGCCCCCAAGCAATTTGGCCCAAAGCCCACGAACCTCCTACCCTCCTCCCATCCCTCTATTTTCCCTATTATTCAGAAAGAAATCACTGTTATTCATTGCACAGACCAGGTAACAGTTAAACAGATGGCCGTATACATAAAGACAGTTTCACAGTCCATAAGGCAGAGGACGGGAAGGTGTGTCTTCTGCAGAGTCTCTTACAGTTGCAAGTAGAGATCCACCCTACCTGCTGGTTGTCATGGAAGAGCCTGCTGATCACGCCTCACTATCCATTCTCCATTTTTCCTGTCGTATTACAGCTTGTAGCAGCCCCTGGCCATCTGGAAGGAAGACTACACTTCCCAGCCTCCCTTGCACTCAGGCGTGTCCAGGGATATAAAAGCACAGGAATGCAACAGCATTCAAGGCCTCCCCGAAGACACAGCTGATGAGCGCCTTTGTGATTTTTCTACCATGTTCCTTCTCCCCTTAATCCTACTGCCTGGAAAATAAAAGGGCTGCCATAGGCCATAAATTTGAGGTCATGCTCAGCAGAGAAACAGGATAGGGAAGGTGGGTAGCTGGCACAGTGGAGGGTCATGGCTGTCTCAGACTTCTGGACGTTCATGTGAGAGTGGAACACACTTATGCCTTGTTTGAGCCTCTGATAAATCTGCCTGTCCTTTGTAACTGAACCAATCCTGACTGATTCAGTTCCCGCCTCCTATTTGGGGAAGCCAGGCTTCTATGTCCTGCGGGAGAGCTGCAGTCCATCTGGTGGCTAAAGCCCCGGGTTCTAGAGTTAGACTGCTGTGCTCAGGCTCCAGTGTTGCAGCACGGCAGGTGGTTGCTAATAGAAGGACAGACAGGCTTTGGTGCCAGAAGACCTCTCCAAACCAGTTCCTTCCATTCCCTTCTCCCAGGAACTTATTTGTAAGATCATGGTTTTCTGAGAAAGAAGGATGCATCTCACCTTGCTGGCTGTTGTGAGACATTGAGCAGGTAAGCAGTGCCTGGCACAAGGGCCAGCATACAAAGACACTCACTGGCTTGGGCTGCATTTGAGAAACAGATCCTTGTGTATCTTCACTTGGGATTGTGCATTGCACATACTGGTCTCTGTGTCTGACTCTCTTTGTAGTTGTCTGTGAGTCTCAGCCAGTCCTCTCAATACCTGTGATGGCCCCACCAGACAAGACTAACTGACAGGCAGGCAGATGATGGGAGAGTCTGGAGTTTTTCACTGACAGTGAGATCCACAGCTGATTGCAGATTGCTAGACGAGTGTGGACAGAGGAAAGTGAAGGTCTGTCATCTGAGTGACAGTGTTTTTCCCCAAGTGTTTGCCATGAACACTAATAGTTTACCTGAGTGATATGGCAGCTTTACCTTATTTAAAGGGAAGGTAGTGTGTACTTCACCATTTCAGGTCTATGCATTGTGCCAAATTGTGTTGGTTTAAACTCATTATGATATTTAAAAGTTCTAAAAGAAAGTTGGTTTTTGAATTAGCGATGTGTGAGATTAGCAAATTATGTAAAAATTGAATGAGTGGTCGTTTATAAGGAACGAATCTTCTAAAAATATTTGATAGGGCCATCTACATGCACCTAATAGCTACAGTACCACACACCTGCCTGCTGTTATTATTCTCTGTGTGAGTTTATTTTTATTATTATTTTTTTAGATGGAGTCTCACTCTGTCCCTAGGCTGGAGTGCAGTGGCGCGATCTCAGCTCACTGCAACCTCTGCCTCCCAGGTTCAAGCGATTCTCCTGCCTCAGCTTCTTGAGTAGCTGGGACTACAAGTGCATGCCACCACGCCCAGCTAATTTTTGTATTTTTAGTAGAGACGGGGTTTCAACATATTGGCCAGGATGGCCTTGATCTCTTGACCTCATGATCCACCTGCCTCAGCCTCCCAAAATGCTGGGATTACAGGTGTGAGCCACTGCGCCTGGCCATGTAAGTACTTTTATCCTGGTTAGCAGCACATTGTACAATAGTACCAATGTGTGAAAAGCCTACTTTACCGCAAACTAAACAACACGTCTCTATGCTTGTCCTATCCTCCTCGTAAAGAAGCTGTTCTGTTGTTGATGAAGTCATTCTGCTTGGCTATCTCTGGATGATATATCAGAATATACTGCCCCTGACCTCTGAGTAGGTGAGATGATGTTTAATGCTGCTCATTGTGAAATATCAGTGGAGAAAGAAAGGCAGACCACTCTAAAATGCAGAGAGATGGCTCTAGGAAGCCTCAATGTCTCAGAGACTGGAAGTCTGACAGCAGATGCATCATTTTTTTCTGACCAAAATGGATTGATTCTGTCACTAGCAAACTAAATGCAATCAGGATTTTGACTTGAATCATAAATTGTATTTAAATTACAGTTAGCAGGGAATTGAGGCTGGACATCAGTGCAAAGGAGTTTACAGAAATATGTAAGTAGTTACCTGTTTCCTTAGGACTCAAAGGGCTTCTTTTGAAATACCCTAATAGATATACATCTGCCTATTAAAACTCTGTGTGTGTTTGAGAGCCAGAGAAGACAAAGTGCCATTTTGGTGATCACATTTAGTCAAACTGGAGCTTATTATGGGCCCTTCAAATGTCACTGAACACCAGACTAAAAAAATTCTCTTTTTGGGAGGTGGGGACAGTCAATTGTTTAATGGAGAAAGGTTCAGTCCTGGTCAACTATTACACCAGAAAAAGAATAGAAACCATTCCCTGCCTAGCTGTAAGCTCTACATGCATTAATTAGTACCTTTACTGAGAGAGGATACATTCTCATCCTGGCCATCTTTCATAAAACGTCCCCTTTTAAGTGAGGGCAGATGACTTGCTAATTAGGTGTTTAAAATTGTGCCAACCCTCAGGAAGGCACAACTCAGAAAGAAACCCTCCCAGGGTGGGTATCTTACCATGTAGCTATATTATGGCAATTATATTATTTTCTGTAGATTTAAAATTTTATTAAAGACATACACTATCAGAGTAAAAAAAAGTCCAACTAAGCACTATCTGCAGACAACAGACTTAAGACTAAATGATATAATAAGATGAAGGGGAAAGTGTAGGAAAATATATATCAACTAATCACCAAGTACGCGAAAGATGGGGATGCTATACTAATATCATGCAAAATATGTTTTTACCAAAAATATTATTAGAGATAAAGATAGATATTTTTAAAGGAGAAAATGTAAATCTACCAGGAAGCTATCATGATTGGAATACACATAAGCCTAAAAACAGAGCCCCCAAACACACAAAGCAACAATTCTGAATTGAAGGGATAGATGCATAATAAAAAATAGTTGTAAATGTCAATACCCCTCTTTCTATAATGGGTAGAATAACCTGGTAGAAGATCGATAAGGAAATGGAAGACTCAAACACTATAAATCAACTGGAACTGATAGACACATATAGTACATTTGACCAAATGGCAGCAAAATACCTATACTTCTCAAGTGCACAAAGAACATTTCCAAGGATAAACCACATGCTAGGTCATTAAAAGAACACCAAAAAGTTTTAAATGATTGAAATATTATAACATATAGTCTCCAACAACAATAGAATGAAATTAGAAATCAATTAGGTAAATTTTTAGAAATGTGGAAATTAAAGAACACACTTCTAAGCAACAAATGGGTCAAAGAAGATATCAAAAGGTAAATTAGAAAATACTTAGAGATGAATGAAAATGAAGATGTAGTATACCAGACCTCACAAGAAAAAGCTAAAGCCATGCTTAGAGAGAAATTTATGTATAATTCCTATATTAAAAAGAAGAAAAAATTCAAATCAAAGAACACCTTAAGATACTGTAAAAAGAAGAGCAAACTAAACACAAAGCAAACAAAAGGAAGGAAACAATAGGGATTAGAGCATGAATCAATAAAATTAAAAATATAGAAAATAAACAAAGCAACAGTTGGTGCTTTGACAAAATCAACACATTTGACCAAGTTTTAACTAGACAAGTCACATATTAATTAATTCAAGAATGAAAGAGAGGATATCATTACTGACCTTACAGAAATAAAAAAGATTATAATGGAAAACTATGAACAACAGAATACCAACAGAAAAATATAACTTAAACAGCCCTCCTTGGTAGGAGTGATTGATCTCTACTACCAATTTCTTCTTGGTAGTAAGGATCAATCACTTCAGTTAGTACAGTAACTATCATATTTCCTATTGATACAGGGGCCTGAGGTCCCCAAAGTTAAGTAGTCCTAACTTTCAGTTCAGGGGAAATACCATTGTGTCTCCCAGTGGAAATATTCTTCTCCTTGGCACTAAGCCACCTGGGCCTGCAGAGAATAAGGTCGTAGGAACAGGAAGCAAACATTTTGCTGGTGGGTCACTAGGGATAATAGTGAATGGCACCTCTTCTACCCCCACCCCTGAATTCCTGGACCTGTGAATCTTGGCTATGGAAGATACAGCACCTTTTATTGAATGCCAATTCAGAGCATATACAGCCTCTTGAAGAACCTTGTTCCAGCCCTGAAAGGTATTCCCGCCTAACTGGCATGGTAACCAATCTTCAAAAGACGATTTCAAGGTTCTATAACATAGCTGCTTCAGGATGGCAATTTCCATGAGCGTGGGTCCTTGGCCACACTTCATTGGTTGTGAAGTGAGTTCCTTGATTAGAAGCAATGTTGTGTGGAATATCATGATGGTGGATAAGGCATTCTGTAATTCCATAAATGACAGTTTTGCCTGAAGTACTGTATTCAGGGAAACAGATCCCTATCCAAACTAAGTGTCTATTCCATTAAGTATAAAATACCACCCTTTTGTTGACAGAAGCGGTCCAATGTAATCTACCTGCCACGAGGTATCTGACTGATCACCCCAGAGAATGGCGCCTTATTAGGGGCTCAGTGTTGGTCTCTCCCTGCTCCTGGCAGATTACAAACTCAGTAGTAGCTGTGAGGAGGTCAGCCATGGTGAGTGGAAGTCCATGTTGCTGATCCCATGCATAACATCCCTCCCTGCCACCATAGCCACTTTATTCCTGAGCTCATTGGGTGATGACAGGGATGGCTAAAAAAAGAGGCTGACTGGTATGTACAGAGAAAGTTATCCTACTCCATTTATTAAAGTTATCCTATCACATTTATTAAAATTGTTAGCTGAAGTCGTCCTTTGGAAAGCATTCACTTGGGACACAAATGTCTTTGTGCCCATTCATAGAGGTCTATCCATATACTCTTTCCCAATTTCCTTGTCACATATTTTCCATTCATGCTCCTTCCAAGTTCCTGACCATCCACCAAACCTCTGGCTGCAGCCCATGAATCAGTATGCAATCACACATCTGGCCACTTCTCCTTCCAAGCAAAGTGCACAACCAGGTACACTGCCTAGAGTTCTGCCCATTGGAAAGATTTTCCTTCACCACTGCCCTTCAAGGGTATTTCAGGAAAAGGCTGTAGGGCTGCGGCATTCCACTTTCAGGCATTGCGTGTATAGCATGCAGAACTGTCTGTAAACCAGGCCCAAGACTTCTCTTCATCTGTCGACTGATCCTGGAAACTCCCAATTAGGCCATAAATGTAGGCTGGGAGAGAGAACGCAGTGCAGCAGGAGTAGAAAACATGGTCATTTCGGGGACTTCTTCCTGTTACATACTTGTGCCTTCAGGGCCTGCCTGGGTTGGTCTCATGCAGACAGCACTTCCATTTGATGACAGTGTTGTTTGCTTGCCCAACTTTATGGCTTGGTGGGTAAGATGACACCCAGCTCATTATGGGCTGCTCAGGTTGCACAATAACTTAGTGACCCATGGCTTATTTTCTGCTAAGGCCCAGTAGCAGTCCACATCCTGATTCTCAAAGGAAGTAGTTATCCACAAAGGATGGCCAGGCTTTGCTTCAAAATCCTAAGGCCTACACTGTAATTCATATGTAGGAGACTGTCAAAGGCTCCAAACAGCATCCCTATGTGCCAAGGTCACTTCAAGTAATATTGGATCTGCTGAATCATATGGCCCAATTGGCAGACCAATTTGCACAGCAGCCTGTACCTATTGCAGAGTCTTCTTTTGTTCAGAGCCCCACTGAAAACTAGTAGCTTTTAAGGTGATTCAGTAAATAGGCTGGGGTAGTGCACCCAAATGAGGAATGTGTCACCCTCCCAAATTCAAAGAAGCTCGGTATGCTTTGTGCCTTCTTTTGAGTTATAGGAGGGGCCAGATGCAACAACTTATCTTTCACATTAGAAGGAAAATCTCAACATATCCTACATCAATGAACTCCTAAAAATTCTACTAAGGTATGAGGCCCCTGAATTTTTGTTAAATTTATTTCCAACCCTCTGGCATGCAAATGTCTTTTCAATAAGTCTAGAATAATTGTTACCTCTTGCTCACTAGTTCCAATCAGTATAATATTATCAATGTATTGGACCAGAGTGATATCTTGTGAAATGGAAAGGTAACCAAAGTCCCTGTGAACTAAATGATGACATAGGGCTGCAGAGTTGATACACCCCTGAGGTAGGACAGTGAAGATGTATTGCTAGCCTCAGGAGCTAAATGCAAACTGCTTCTGGTGGTCTTTATTTGCAGGGATGGACATAAATACATTTGCCAGATCAATAGCAGCATACCAGGTACCTCAGGATGTGTTAATTTCCTTAAGTAGTGAAATCACATCTGGTACAGAAGCTGCAATTGGAGTCAACATCTAATTAAGCTTAAAATAATCCACTGCCATTCTCCAAGATCTGTCTTATGCACTGGCCAAATAGGTGAGTTGGAGATGCAGTGAAAATTAATGCCCCTGCATTTTTGAAGTCCTTGATGGTGGTGCTAATTATTTAAATTCCTCTAGAATGTAGTCTTGCTTTTGCTTTACTATTTTTCTAGGTAGAAACCATTCTAGTGGCTTCCACTTGGCCTTCTTCATTATAATTTTTCCCTCACCCCATAGGTCAGGTAACGAATGTGAGGATTTTGCCAACTGATGAGTGTTACACTTGTGTAAACTAGAACTGGAAAAATAGCTACAGGATATGTTCAAGAACTCAGGGATTCAAAATTTCAGGTCAAGTTCTGCATGAAATACTTGAAAGCATCTATGTCTGTTCTGATAGTTTATCTCATGTAGCCGCAAGGCTGAGATTGCTGAAAACGAAACCCAAAATCTTATCCTGCAAGTGGCTAATTAACAATAGAGATTGAATTTCTAGCCTTGTAGAATATCTACTGTTAAAGTGAGAGCACCCTTTTATTTTCCAACTATGTCCAGTGATATTAGAAGAAAGCATCCAAGAAGTGCTCACCATACTTGTTAGTTTGACAAAAATGTTTGAAAGTATTATACACACAGTCAGACCTTTGCTTCTTATGTGTGTTTGATTAGAAGTATCCAATGATGATATTGTGCCTATCTCTATTGCCAGAACACACCATGGACTATCAGTCCTCTTTTTACTACCTGACATAGAGACATTAGTGTCTTATTTAATCAAATTAGACAGCCAATTCCAGAAACCCTAGAATCAATTTAGAAAATTTATCTTTAAGATTCTGTTCAATTCTTGGTAACAATTTTTTTAAATCAATCATGGTTCACCAGAGAAACAGAACCAATATAATATGTATCTATAGAAAGAGACCTATTATATGAAATTGGCCCACATGATTATAATATCAATATAGGGGCAAATCTCATAATCTTTGTTGTCATGTCTTCTTAGACAAAAAGCATAAACAAAAATAACAAAAGAAAAAATAGATAATTATACTTTATCAAAGCTTAACACTGTCCTTCAAAGGATACAATAAAAAATGTGAAAAGATAACCTACAGGCTGGGAGAAAATATCTCCAAATAATATAAGGTCAATTTGTCATTATTCACAGTAGCTATGTTCCATAAAGTCTCCACAAACGCTGAATTAGCAAATACAGAACCACTGATCCTAAAGTAAAAAATACAAGGTTAGATTTCTGTGAGCTTCTGACCATATCACTTTTGTGTCAACCAATCAATACCTAACCTTGCTTTATGTATGGTACTATTTAAAGACACCTTATTTAATAAATATTTTTGATTTATTAACATTGAACTCACAACCAACAGCACTATCACTCATGCCTGAATGCTATGTATCTAACACAAGTATTTTCTATGTAAGGGACTTGACAGCCTTCCTGCATTTAGGGACAGTAGTCAGCACATCAACACAGCCCCTATAAAACAGAGAAATCAACAACAACAAAAAGCATAAAAATGTAAAAATCATGGCATTCAGTAGACAAAAAAAGGACAACTGTTTACGGTCTGAGAGCTAAAACATCAAGGTAAAGCATCATTTTATTGAACTGTAGCTGGGAAGCTGCATGCCAAGTGACTCAAACGTTTTGCCACCCTGTGCATATCTGTGAATAACTGTGAAAGCACTGTGAGTGTTGATTTTGAAGCTACCAAAAAGTTTTAGCAAGTAGGCAATTCACAAACACAAAATCTGTGAATAATGAGGATTGACTGTATCAGATACAAGTCTAGGATCCAAAATATACAAATAATTCTTATAACTTAACAATAAAAAGAACATACAATGAACTAAAAGTGGGCAAAAGATCTACATAAACATTTCTGCCAAGAAGATATGTTAATGGCCAATAAGCACAGGAAAATATGTTCAACATCACTAGCCCTTAGGGAAATGCAAATCAAAACCAAGGTGATATCACTTCATATACCCTAGGATGGCTAAAATTAAGAAAGATGAACAATATAAAGTGTAGGCAAGAGTGTGAAGGAGGTGGGACCCTCACACATTATTGGAAATGTAAAATGGTATATCTGCTTTGCAAACCAGTTTGGCCTTTGCTCAAAATGTTAAGCAGAGTTTCCATATGACTGGAAATTTCACCCCCAGGTATATACACAAGAGAAATGAAAACATGTTCATGCAAAGACTTGTGTGAAAATGTACATAGAAGCATTATTCATAGCAACCAAACAGTGGAAAAGAACTACATATTCATCAACAAATGAGTGGATAAGTAAGTGCGGTATATCCTTACAATAGAATGCTATTTGACATAAAAAGGAATAAAATGTCAAAACATTATTCAATATAAGTAAGTGTACTTTTTGAAAACATGTTAAGTGAAAGAAGCCAGTGCCCCAAACACAAATGATTCCTTTGGTATGAAATGTCTAGAATAGGTGAATCAGGAAAGATATACAGTAGACTAATGATTGTCTAGGACCATGGATGTCAGAGAGAAATGGGAACTAACTGCTAAAAGTTGTGTAGGTTCTTTTTGTGGTGATGAAAATGTTTTAAAATTCATAGCAGTCATGGTGGAATAACAGAAAATAGATTTTAAATCACTGAATTATACATTTGGGTGGTTACATTGTATAATCTCAATTATATTTCAATAAAGCTGTTAAAAATAAGAGTTAAAAAACACTGACCATATGACCCAGAAATTTGACTCCTAGATATTCTCAAAATAAAATATAATGTTTACAATAAAGTTTATATAAGAATATTAATAGAAACTTTGCCTATAATAGTCAAAACTGGAAACAACCCAAAATGTTCATCAAAATTGTAGTAAATTTACACAATGAAATTCTACTTATCAATAAACCAGAATTAACTAATGAATACACACAACAATATGGATGAATTTTAAAATCATCATGTTGAGCAAAAGAAGCTGGCCTGAAAGCATATATAACTGTGTTATTTCATCTTGATGAAATTCTAGAACAGGTAGGGACAGAAAGTATTTCATAGGGCCAGATGGTTGGAAACAAACTGTGAAAATATACAAGATAATTTTCAGGACTAATGGGAATACATTTTAAATATTAAACATATTTAACAAACATTAAGCAAAAATAATGAAGAAATGTGTGTATTACCTGTTATTAAAACACATAATAAAGGTATAATAATTAAAACATCTGCATAAAAATACATAAATCATTGAAACATATAAAGGCTCAGAAGTGAGATCTAATATTTATAAATGATAAAGATGGGATTTCAATTAATTTTGTATTGCTCGGTAGGAATCCTTATGACGACTGTTTAACTTTGGAAGACATAACAGGAAATCCTAGTGGAGTATGTGAAACTAAGGGTGAAGGAACTGAATTTAAGCACTGTGCTCTAGTTAATAACATTGTTTCCCATGGGAATAGGAGTCAACAATTCTGATACTATTTTACATGTGTACTGGAATTGAACAATTAAGTAAATGGTGGTGGATGGTGGAAGCCAAGTTTCTCACTGTTAGAGTGGGAGTTTACCAACAAGCAAGGGGAGGAGGCTATAATGATTTACATGATAATGGACTTAGTTGGAAACATCAGTATTAACTCCTATTTAGTTAAGTATAGATACAAATGATTATATCAAAACATTTATATATAGGCGTGTACATATATATGGGCTAGTATGTATGTATGTGTGTATACATGCAGGTACACATGTGTATACATGTACTAGTGTACACACATGTGTATGCATGTACAAGTGTACACACATGTGTATGCATGTACGAGTGTACACACATATATGTATATGTGTATACATGTACATATACACACATAGATACATATATGTGTATATATATCATTGCTCCTGGAATGTGGTTATACATATATGCACATATATACATATATGTATGTATGTGGTTTTTTATATATACATATATATACACACACATCACATTACATACACACATATGTATCACATTACAAGCTCAAATATATATATATATATATATATATATATACACGTGTGTTTGTGTGTATATATATCTGAGCTTGAGGTGTGATTATTGTTGCTGGGATGTGGTTTACTAGCTTATGTATATGTATACATCAGCCTATATATGTGTGTGCATCTATACATAGACACATGGTATAAACATTCATATACACATGTTTCCTTGCTCTGTCAGCTGAGGTAGCTTAGAAAAGACCACATCCCAGCAGCAATGATCACACTACAAGCTCACATCTTGGTTTCAAATACCGTTTTCCAATGTAAGGAACCACAGCTTCTTGGCAAAAGAGCTGATTCTAAGACAGGGATAGGGAATATACGAAATAGAGACTGGAGCGCCTTGTGATGCAAGAAAGTAAGAAATAGGTAAAATAAAGCTACATTCATGAGGGTTTGTCAAAAAAGCACAGGGACTGACCAAAAAACTCCCAATAGCCAAGGTTGGAATAATTTGATAACATAAAGTAGTCTAACATTGGATTATAACCCAAAGTGCAAAAAAAAAACTATGAGTTCATGAAAGATATGATTGAACAAATAAATAAATGGGGACTGGTGATAAGTCTCCTATGCATAAGAATTCCAAATAATATATGCAGATATTCCAGTTTCAGGAAGATGAAGCATAACTCCTAATTCCCTAAATATGAGTGGTGCCGCCTCCAAAATAGTACAGTATGGAAAAGGGGGTTGAGAGGAGAGTAACTTTGAGGTGGGGAAACTTGACAAACACTACCTCAGCCAGGTCAACATCAAGGGTGATAAGTCATGTAGATTGTATCCACCCTTGATACAATGTGATGAAATATCAATTTACCTCTGCAGTCTTCCTGGCAGAAACCAATGACCCCTAATATAATTATGAGAAAAACACCAGACAAATCCCAATAGATGGAATTTTAGCAAAATATCTACAAAGTATTCCTGGTCAGGTATAAGGTCATGGAAGGAGTTTAAAAAGATATTGCAGGCAAATATTACCCAAATGAAGGCTGGGGTTGCTGTCATAATATTAAAAAAAGATATTTTACTATGAAAATGTGGTAAATTGAAGCTTTAATAATAGTGTTTAAATGATAAGAATTATACAATAAATAAAAACTTTTACATACCTATAAAATAGTTCTATGTATATATAGTGTATATTTGACAGGCCTCCAGGGGTAAAAGGACAAATCACTAATATAGTGGGATATTTTGACATATTTATTAATTATTAAGAGGTCAACTAAACAGAGAATTAGTAAGAATTTAAAAGATTTGGACCATACAATTACCACCCTTGATTTGATGAATAGAGAATATGTGTTTCTCTCAAGCACACATAAATCATATTTAGAAAAATACATCAAACATATATTGGGCTATAAAGCTCAAAACTTTTCAAAGAAATTAGCACCATAGAGTCATTCTCTCTGACCACAATGCAATTAAGTTGGAAATCACTTACAAAAAGAGAAAAAGAAATACTATAATTTTGGTAATTAAATAATATTCTTCTAAATAACACATAAGGCAAAGAAGAAATCAAAATGAATCTTTAAAATTAATTACAACTAAATATAATAAAAACACTACATTTCAAAACTATTTTGAAAAAAAAAATGAATGAGGAAGAAGCATAACAATAGGTGTAGCAGAGATTAAAAAGCTAATTAAAAGATAATAAAAAACACAACGTACAACTCTGCCAACAGAATATATATCTAAATAAAATCCTTTTATTGTTAAGGAAATTGAATCAATATTTCAAAATCTTTCCACACACACACACACAAAATCCCAAACACACCAAACCATTTTACATAAAATTTGAATCTGTCTTTTAAAGACCAGATCATTCCAACATGATAAAACTCTTCCAAGGAGAGAAAAATAAGGATCATTACTCAACAATGGTAACTGTAATATCATAATCTAAAAAGGAAAGTATAAGAACAAGAAATTATTGCTTAAACATGATTATGAACGTAAATGCAAAACCCTTAAGCAATATAGAAAATAACCAAATAGAGTAACTTATTAAAAAGTTAAAATATTATAATCGGGTTGAAGCTTATTCTAAAAATGCAGGAAGTTAACATTATAAAAATTTATAAATGTAATTCACCACATTAGCATATTAAAGAAAATTCTAATAGTCACCTCAATATATATAGAAAACATATTTGATAAAATTTGAAATCTCTTCATGATAAAAACTCTTACTAGCTGAAAAATAGGGAAAAATTCTCTTAGCCTATAAAGTATGTTCCTAAAGCATCCAGCAAACATTACTTTAAATGAAGAAACTTTAGATGTATTTATTTTAAAATAAAGAGCATAATAAGGACACCCACTAATACCTTTATTCAACATTGTACTTGAGGTTTGCATATAATAATGAATATAAGTTGTCAGTTGGAAAAGAGGAAAGGAAACTATCTCTCTATAAAAAAATAATGGAGAGCAATTTATGAGAGTTGGTAATACCTACTAAGATGCCTAAGAATGCTATAGTAACCAAAACAGCATGGTACTGGCACAAAAACAGACATATAGACAAGTGGAAAAGAATAAAGAACCCAGAAGTAAAGCAGCACGCCTATAGCCACCTGGTCTTCAACAAAGTTGACAAAAAGAAGCAATAGGGAAAGGACTTCCTGTTCAATAAATGGTGCTGGTATAACTAACTAGCTATATGCAGAAGAATGAAACTAGGCCCCTAATTTCACCATATACAAAAATTAACTCAGGGCAGATTAAAGATTTAAATGTAAAGTCTCAAATTAGAAAAATCCTAGAAGAAAACCTAGGAAATACCGTTCTGGACATCAGCCTTTCGAAAGAATTTTTGACCAAATTCTCAAAAGCAATTGCAAAATAACAAAAATTGCCAAGTGGGATCTGATTAAACTGAAGAGCTTCTGCACAGCAAAAGAAATTATCAACAAAGTAAACAGACAACCTACAGAATGGGAGCAAATATTCACAAGCTATGCATCTGACAAAGGTCTAACATCCAGAATCTATGAGGAACTTAAACAATTTAACAAGCAAAAAGCAAATAACCCCGTTAAAAAGTGGGCAAAAGAGAAGAACAGATACTTCTCAAAAGAAGACATACAGGTGGCCAACAAGCATATAAAAAATGCTCAACATCACTAATCACCAGCTAATGCAAATCCAAGACACAGTGAGATATCTTATTCTCCACTTTGATTTCTAAAATAACAGTATGCTGTGATTTTATCTTTTTTCTACTCTCTCTACTTGAGTTTTCTTCATGTTCTCTAGAGATTTTGCACATGTTCTCCCTAGAGATTTTGGGTTGAGTCACTTAAGAAAGTATAGCTTCCTGTCTCTTTGCTTTTTTTCAAATGGCTGACTTTTATTATTTTTAATATTTTACAAATAATGTATGAATGGGATCCAAGGAGGCATGTCTCAGGCAGTGCCTGGTGGGTAGGATTCCCAGAATCAAGCAGGCACTTGCTTCTTTAGCCCAGTCTCCTTTCTAGTCTTAGTTGTAGAAAGCTAGGTATAGAGGCTTGTGGCTTTCACCAAAGGCAGAGAAAAGGAACACGGAAAACAAAAGCCAAGGTAATTTGTCTCTCAGAAGACAAGTAGGGATCACTGTTATGAGAAATCATGAGACTATAAATTTCCTAATTTCATCATTATGGCTGTCTTTTGAAAAGAACAGAGAAGACCACTGGTCTCAACCCTCCCATGCAGGACACTGCACCTCCAGGGACTGTCTAATTCTATGGTGTGAATGTCTTTAACTGTCCTCAGCCAGGCTATTTTGCAATTCCTAGAAATAGAAGTACCCTCCTGGTGGATCACCTGAGGTCAGGATTTCCAGACCAGCCTGGCCAACACGGTGAAACCCCATCTCTACTAAAAATACAAAAACAAACAAACAAAAACAATTAAATTAAAAAATTAGTCTGCCGTGGTGGCGGGCGCATGTAATCACAGCTACTTCGGAGGCTGAGGCAGGAGAATCGCTTGAACTGGGGAGCCGGAGGTTGCAGTGAGCTGAGGTTGCACCATTGCACTCCAGCCTGGGCAACAAGAGCGAAACTCCCGTCTCAAAACAAAAACAAAAACAAAAACAAATGAAAAAAGAAATAGCCTTCTGGAGGGCTAAGAGTGATATTTGGTGTCCATTGTGATGCAGATGTTTTGTGTCCATTGTGATGTAAGCAGTTCCTTTCAGGGCAATGCTAATATTTTTCCCTTCAGGAGGTGGAATTAATTTCTGGGCTGTGGGAAGGATAATCAAAACATTCAATCTTTTCCCAAACGTTACGTTTGAGTGCCTAAAATATTACCCAGTTTTGCATCTATTAACAAATCATTTCAGCCTCTTGGTAGCCTAATAGTTCCTTGAATCTGTTTTTGTGTCTTAGATCATTAGCTAATAAATAAAATCATGGGCACATTTTTATTTTCATTAAAGCCATGATCTTTACCTTTTTGAATATTATCCCTGAAGAGATTTTTATTCATTGTAACCTAAAAGAACCCAAATATTGCAAACCTTAAGTTTTATCAAGAGTGTTCACCAACCTTATTTACAATTAATTCTTTCAGAAGGATTGGAAGGATGAATTACTTTGCCCCTTTTTGCAGATGTTGAAAATGATTCTCACGTGTTTTTAGCTACTGGGATTTGGATCTGGGTTTTCTGAGTGGGCCTCAGGTCTTTCTTCTAGGGAGTGTGATCTCCAGACAAGCAGCAGATTCTCAACTCCATCCATACCTGACTCAATCAGAAACAAGGGCTGAGGGGGCAGCAGTCTGTATTTTACCAAGTGCTCCACATAACATGGATGCAGTCACTCAAATGTGGAAACCACTGCCCCTCACTGCACATCTAAAGCACATGATGAGCTTTTAAAATACTGATGCCTGGGCTCCCCACTAGAGGCTCTAATTTAATTGCTCTGGAGTGTGGCCTGCACATCCAGGTTTTTAACAGCTCCCCAGCTACAGCCAGGGTTGCAAACTGCTGCCCTTTAGAGTGGTAACTCCAAATCATAAATGCACTTTTGAAGTATTTGCAGCTTGCACTCTCTACAAAGCATGACAGACTGTAACTGGACCCATATCTCACAGGAGAGAAAACTTTTAAATGGATCTCATGACAAGATTTGATTTCCCTCTGCAAGAATCATGAAGATCATGACCCTTAAAAACAGCACATGCCTCCTCACTCAAGAGAAGTAAATGGAATGAATGTTCTTTGGGTTGGAGGAAAAGAAAAAGAAAGAATGTTATTTGGATTGGCCCCATATGGTTCAGTTACTTCTCAATATAGCACAAATTCATTTTAATTTAATGGATTTGTTACAAATTTCCTGAAAAGCTTTTTCAGAAGGAGGTTATGAATTAGCAGCTCGGCATCCTACTGAGGAAGTCATTATGTAGCAAACTCCAAGCTGAGATAATCAAATAATAACTGGCAATTTATAACTTCCAAAGTAATATTCTTAAATATGGAATTGTGAAAGAAAACATTTGCCAACAGCATTATTGCCGTGGAGATGATTAGTTTTTAAAACAACAAACAAAGCGCCTCTTTCCTTGGTGGCCACCTGCTCTTGCCTTTGAGACATTTCGAGCAGTGAGTACTGGTCTAATGTGTTTTCACTTCTACAGCTTCACAACTTCTGGGACCCTCTGGGGATATTTTATGTACTCAACTGGTCATGAAAGCCAGGAAAGATATGTGCTAAATTGAATAATGCCAGAGTGGGTGAGATGTTGAGAATGTCTGATGGTTGGGACATGAGTTGTCCCATGAGATGTTTGTTTTGCATAGACTCAGCACAGCAGTTGGCTCAATCACTTCATTCAACATCATGATTTTCTTTCTTTCTTTCTTTCTTTTTTTTGAGACAGGCTCTCACTCTGCCATCCAGGCTGGACTGCAGTGGTGTGATCACAGCTCATTGCAACCTGGAACTCCTGGCTCAAGTGATCCTCTCGCCTCAGCCTCCCAAGTAGCTGGGACTACAGGCATGTGCCACCACAACTGGCTAGTTTTTCAATTTTGGGTAGAGACGGGGGTCTTGCTTTGTTGCCCAGGATGATCTCGAACTTCTGGACTCAAGCATTCCTCCTGCCTTGGCCTCCCAAAGTGCTAGAATTACAGGCATGAGCCACCATGCCCAGCCCCGTTGTGATTTTCTAAAGAGTTCTAAGCTAAAGCATCACATAACAAACCCAAAAAACGCAATCTTGGGATTTACTTAGGGTCTCAAATTCTCATTAGTTTTTTAATAATATTCTAAGGTTTATGGTTCAAAATATTTCTGTCCCACATCAAAATTGATTATTGAAATATCTGTAAGTGGCTGTTAAATTTTATTCTGTTGAATAAAGTTTCTCGCTCTCACAATGTTCTCCTTCTATAAACAAACAATCATCTCTTCATGCTGTCAATTGTAGACATGTTTGTGGAATTTGCTAATATATGCACATCTTTAATTCTTAATAAGTATGTAGAATTCCTGAGAATAGGGAAGGGCAGGACAGTGTATGTTATGATTTTGAATCCATCATTGGGTCCTAGACATACAGTAGGTGCTTCATGCGCATGGTGGCTCACATGAAGGATTCTGTGTGGTTCATCCTCTGTGCTTACTCAATGCCTTAGTCTCTGGGACAATTTATCTTCAAAGCCTGACTTTGTTACACAATACTGGTGTATACTGGGTTAATTGCATGGCTTGTGCCTCAGTTTTCTCAGCTATAAATGGGGATAACAGTTGTACAACCCTTGTAAATTCATTATGGGAAGATTAAGTTACTTAATCTTTGAACATAGGGGAGCACATGCTAGAGTCAATCAAAGTGCTGGGATTACAGGCGTGAGCCACCCCGTGGTCCTGCTTTTTTTTTCATTTTGGAATAATTATTTCTTTTAATTATAGACAATTAATGTAATTTAGCCAGGATACTCTAACTCTAACAGTACCAAGGGCAGTAATGATCTCTCCTCCTACCTCTTTGTTACCTGGGACATATTTCTGTTTTTGCATTTATCATATTAGAATAAAATACTCATATTGTAGCCAGTGTTTTCCTATTGACCCAGCAGCCCTTTAACAGCAGGTGCCATATTTTATATTAATCTCTATCCCTTATGTTACCTTGCGGAGCCTATGCCCAAATAGTTGTTGATGACATAAACGGTCACCAGAGCTTGGTCTATGCCAGCTGGTCAGTCCAGTCCAGGAATCTCAGGACAAATTATCCACCTTGAACTACTTTGATATCTAATAGAATAAATACATACTTCACCAATGAAAAAAAATCACAGCAAAAGCCAGTGATGTTGTCGGTTTATGTGTGAGGCAATACATACATTCTTTAAGTCTTAGAAAGGGAATGTACATGAATAGATATAGAAATAGAATAGAAAGAAAACGATGTTAATTGTGGTTACAACAAGGTGCTAGAATTATAGATTAATGTCTTTTTTTCATTATAGATTTCAGCAATCTCTGACATTTCTAACAACAGAAGTGCTAGAGATAACAGTAAAATATATTTAAAAGATATGTTATTAAAAATGAAAGGGAAAAATCCTTAAACAATAAAGAGTAGAAAACTTGTTGCAAAGGCATACTTCCATTTGGAGAGATGTGTGTCTCTATAGCGAATGTTGTCTTGGCTGTCTGACTTTAATTAAATATATCATTCCTCCAGAGGTACATGCAGTATATTAAATTTTTACATTGGCCATTAAAAATTTAGTTTTAAATTCTCACTCCTGACAGAACAATCTTCCAAGTATTAGATTTTATTTTTCAGTTTAAATTATTCTGTCCTCTCTTCTTTTTCAATTTAAGTCACTTATTTGCAACAAAACACTGGGTGAAATGAAACCATTTGAATGAATAAAGCATGAACTCCAGAAAAGGTAGCCCACATGCTGTGCATGTAATGAAATCTGTTTCTCTTTGATGATCTCAATTAAAAGAAGTTAAGAATTGAGAGTGTGACTTTAATTATTTCTTGATGTATCTGTGCTTTCTGCTAGGCAGAAAAAGCTTCTATCAGGGTTTCTTAAGGCTGTCTTTGGTATCAGGCCCCTGAAATGAATGGTTAGGAATATTTCAGGGAAGAGGACCAAGAACTGATATTGAGAATAAAAGGGTGGAAGCCTTTTGTTCATGTAAACTATTATTTTATTATAAACACCCCCAAAACAGAGACAAAACCATTTATTCTATTTTGCTCACAATCAGTGGGTCAGGGATTCTGGCTGGGCTCAGCCAGGTGGTTCTTTTTCTCCATATGGTGTTGACTAGGGTTCCCTGATGGAATCCTAGAAAAGAACCCAGGAAATGATTGAGTTATTTCAATATCTATTTAACATGTTTTAATTGAGGTGTTGTGTTTTTTTTTTGTCTGGGCTCTGGTGAACCTGTTGAATAAAACTTAAAATTTCTGCCTTCATGAAGCTTATATTCTAATGAGAAGACAGATAATTAAATAAATACATCAACATATAGTCTCAGCTACAGTAATGTGCAGTGAAGAAAAAATCGTGAGAAAATAGGCTAGAAAATGACTGTGGAGGCAGGAAGGGGACTTTTTTTTGCTGTTTAAGTGCTGAGGGAGGATCTCCTGGTATATAACATTTGAACAGATGTTTTAATGAGGTAAGGAAGTTACCATGTGGCAATATGAGAAAGAAAAATTTTATTTGGAAAGAGTAAGAAATACAAAGTCCCTGAGGCAGAAATAAGCCTTGACTTTTTGAGCAACCCAGAGTGGTTGAAGCAGAGTCAGAGCATTAGGCAACGTTAGTTGTTAAATGCTGCACAAGAAGTCAGCCCAATACTAAGTGGCTTAAAGCAATAACAGTAACTTATTATCTCTCGTGAATTCTGTTGGCCAACAGTTCAGGAGAGGCTCATCTGTGGTTCTGGCTCAGAGTCTCTTGTGTCACAGGTCAGCTGGACGTCCATCATCTGAAGGCTTGACCAGGGCTGCAGGAGCCACTGTCAAAGGAGCTCCCTCCCAAGGGTGGTGAATTTATGCTGACTGTTGGCTGGGGGCCTCAGTTCCTCACAACATGGTAGCTGAGTTCTAAAGGTAAGCAAAGAAAGAGAGAGAGAGAGAGATCTAGGAGGAAGCTGCATTCTTTATACAACATAGCCTTGTAATTCAACCAATCTGAATTTTGCTGTACTCTACCAGTCAAAGTCCAGACCTGTAGAGACCAGACCACTCTTTAAAGAGTGGTAGGAGCATCAGCCACATTAAGAGAGCATGTGGGATGAGATAAATAGGTAGGTTTGATCATCTTTGAGAAACACAGTCCAGCCCAGGTGGCTAGATAACTTAGGGACTTGGGGCCATAGGAAGGAGTCAGGATTTTAGAGCAAGTCCAATGGGAATCCTTGGAAGGTTTGGATAGAGAGATGGTATAACCAGATTCACATTTCCAGAAGTTCATTCTAGATGGTGTGTGTAAAACTGACTGTACAGAAGAAAGACAAGAGGCTACTGATGTTTTCTAGGAAAAAAATAAAAAACATGATGAACTCGGTTATGCCTGTGAAAATGGCAGGAACTTTCAAGTTTGGGAAATGTTTTAAAGTTTGAAACAATATGACTTACTTTTGTATTGAATGTCGGATTTGAGAAAGAGGAATTCAAGTCTCCTAGAATTTGGGTTGGAGCAAGTGGGCAAATGATGCATCCTTTATTGAAATGGAGAAGACAGGGTAAGGAGCTGATTTAAGAGTGATGGGGACTCAAGTGTCCATATTGGGCAGGCCCAATTTGGTGCCCATGGAGAGGTTGGATACAAAGAGTTCTAAGAAGGGGCAATGCAGTGGGCTGTGGGCAATTCATTGGTGATCCTGACAAGACCTTGAAGAAGGCCTGATTGGGGTGGTTGAAAACAGAATAGATAAGGAAGAAGAGACAAAATTTAAGATACATCTCATTAAAAATGAGACTTAATTGACAAAAGTATAGAATTCTATTGGAGGACCAAAAATATTGAAAGAATTAAAATAATGCAATCATCATATCATGGTTTGAACATAAGGGGCAAATAAACAATTTTCTAAGTCATGAATAATATCAATTCACCTACACTAACAGTCTGTGTACAGTGTAGACAGACAGCACACACACACAAACACACATGCAAAGTCATAGTATTCGTGTTTTATAGAAGAAGGTTTCAAAGAGGAGGGACTTACTACTATAGTCAGGAAAAGTCAGAGGAGGAACTATAAATAAGACTCTGCTTGTCCATCTCATAGTCTGAAATTCTAGGAGTGTATGCCTGTGCACATACACACACCCCTGAGAGTAGTGCTTGCTGGTATTTTACTCTGTGAAAGGTGACTGGCTACAAGACTTGTGCCATAAAATCTTATCTAGAAATTTTTGGCTGTCTTAGAAATTTTTGGCTGTCCAGCATATTTATTCATCTTTCAGCTTTATTGTGGGAGCTAAGAAGACCCCCACCACAGTGTGCTCTACTTCTTAGTTGTATATTGGTTACAATTATTGTTTAATTTATTATTGTTAGTTTTGACCTAAGTTTATAGTGAACACAGATACCCCTGTTCCCATTTATTGGCACATCCCAGTTAAATTTACTGAGCACTTACTATGTGCCAGGCTCTGCTAATATTGTCAGTCAATACTGGCATTACATGCATAGATTATGTCCAGCAGAGAAAGGAGGACATGAAAAGACTTCTGGCTTGGAAGGAGTTAATTACTAGATATAAAGGAGGGTCTCATCTTCAGTGCAAATGATTATATACTTCCAACCTGTTATGGATGGGCTGAACATGAGTGGCAGAGTGAATGGGGACCTCAGAAAGGCTGCTCTTCTGACTAGTCCAGAAGGGGCCTGAATGTCCAGGAAGCTGCCCATGAACACCAACTCAGTTTGAGGCTGAGTGTCAGGCAGACATGCGTGTGCCACAGACCCCAACAACTGGGATCTCTTTGCATATCAGTCTCCTTCAGATTGCAAATTTCTATCATGGTCCTGACTCTCCTAAAACATTTGCGGGGTTGTGTTTGTAAGGTGCAAAAGGCACATATGCTCTGGTCACCAGATTCTATGAGACATTCTCCCTAGCTCCAAACCATGCTGAGTTATGGCTGCAATCCTTACAAGAAGGCCTCAGCAGAAACTTTGACTCCCGGGCCATTTGTATTCCCTAGTCTCAGCGTTAGTTGCCAAACAGCAAATCTGTCCTTGTCCTTGTTCATCCCTTCTGTCTTTGAGCTCCTCGTCACCATCCAGGCCTCATAAACCTTGTGCTTCCTCAGAGGCTGCAGCATCAATAAAGGTTTATCTATTAAACAGGAATTCAATTTCAGGGAAGACAAATTCTGCTCCTGTTTCCTTTAGAATACCATTGACATTTTCAAAATAGATAGATAGCTACTAAAATCGAACTTTTTGCTAATAATAAAATTGGATTTTTTTAAAGCTCCATAAAATGTTCAAATGGTGTGGCTGTGCAGTCTCTGAAACTCTACTGGGTGTCAGGGGCTCTAGGGAAGCAGAACTTTCTACCCTGCCTAGATTATATATGTGATCTGCAGACAAGTTCAGGGTCTCTCTTTGAAATAACAAAAGCTGTGAAATGTTCCTTAAAATGAGTACTTCTCCAAGGTCTTTGTGTTTCCTTAGTCCTCACCATACAGGCACTAAAAGACACTAAAAGACATTGAGGTCTCCTCAATGTCAATACTTTACAGGTGGAGCAGCTCTGTTTGGGGCCACACACATGGTTGGCCTGGGGTCACATATCAAGCTCGACGCAAATTTAGGGGTTCAACTGCCATACCACGTATCTCAATTGGCCATCAGTACTGCAATTTGGATATTGTCAATTACTTTTCGTAAATGCTTTGTTTCATTCATTCATTTATTCATTCAATCAATATTTATTGATGGCCACCTCAAGGGATAAGAGACACTTAACAAGACATATTTCCAGATGGACTGAATGTTTCTGTTCCCCCTAAATTTGACTGTTGAAACCCTAACCTCCAATGTAATGGTGTTAGGAGGTGGCACCTTAAGGAACATATTAAGATATTAATTAGTAGTAAATGACATGATGAGGGCAGAGTCCCATGATGGGATTAGTGGTCTTATGGGGAGAGAAAGAGACATCAGGGCTCTCTTCAACACATGAGGACAGATTGAGAAGGCAGCTGTGTCCAAGCCTGAAAGAGAGTTATCCCCAGAACTTGACCAACCCCATAGTGGTGCTATGGAGACTTTAAGTGACAGATGAGGTACTTAGCACTGAGTCAGGTGTTATGGTTTTCACAGCAGCCATTTTAGAGTCAATATTTAATAAACATCATCCAGTAGCAGGAGCTAAGACGGGTTCAGGTGTAGTGGTGGCACCCGCAGCCCAGTCTCCTCCCCAGCAATGTGGGCAGCATTTCTTAGATGTTTTGCATGTAAGACTTGGAGGAAGGATGCCTCATACCAATCTGCCTTGGAGTGTCTGCTCCATAGATACCTTTGTTATTCAAATATTTGAAAGTTTCTGAATCTTACCAAGAATACAGAATATGTTTATTTGCTGTTTCATGCTGGAATCTTTACTAGTGCTGATTTAATTTTTTAAAATTCAGGGTTACTATGCTACCTGTGATGGTGAAAAATGAGATTGTCACTAAAGATGGCACCAATTCTCTGCCACTTATCTCATTGAGAAGTGAGGTCCAGTTCCCATACACTTGAAAATGGGCTGGTTTTGGTGACTTGCTTGACCACTTGAATGCTTGCATGCAAAAGAGAATACGTTCTGGAGTTCCATGGATAGGTCATGAGAAGGCTTGCAGCTTCCACTTCAGTCTCCTAGGAGACTGCTCTTGGATGCTTTCGTTTCCATGTAAGAAGTCCAACCTTTCTGCTTCAGAGGAAAGGAGAAGAGTCCCTGGGTTACCTGGAAGAAGAACGGGGCCTCCTAGACATGTGTGCCAAGCAGCTGGGCATGTGAATTAACCTGACCTGCACCCTTCAGATCAACCACTTGATGAGCTGAGTACCCTAAGTGCTCCAGTCACTCCATGGGGAGCAAAAGAGTCTTTTGGCTGAGACTTGCCTGAATTCCTGATCCACAAAACTGTGAGATATAATGAAACGGTTGTTATATGCTGTAAGTGTGGGTGCAGTTTGTTATTCAGCAAGAGATAACTAACCAGTGTCTTGAAGTGATTCATTTAAGTTGCTGAGGTCTTAGCTAGAGACTGCAGTCATTCAGGTAGGATGTATCAAGGACACTTAGCGATGATTCCACAAATCATAAAAGGTTCTAATATGAACTCCATACACCAAAGCATTGGGATTTACACCTATTCTCTATCACCAGGCCTCATTGTTCAAGGCCATCTTGTTTTAATATGAGTATTAAATTCTCTGAAATGAGTATTAAATTCTGTGCTGAGAAGTGACACTGCACTCAAAATCAGGTGCCTGGACTCCTAGTAGCTTCTGCCTTTCACGTTAGTACTGCAGGAATAAAAGTTAAGCCACTCTGAATTTTTTATTTCTGATTTTTAAAATTTCAGAAGAAGAAATGATGCAAGAAAAAGCATTTATGATTTAGTTTTATTTTCATCTTTCCCCTGGAGCCAGTCACTTGTTCATTTGAGCGGTTGCAATGTCTGTTGCCTTGTGGTTCTATCATAACATTCTATTCAAGAAGATAGGTAAATCATTGTGGTTCAGTAATACCGCAAACTGTTTTACAGTATCCTTATGGATTATATTTTTCAGTGCAGAAGAGTTCTTTTAAAAAAAAAAAAACTTGTGTGAATTTTATGGAAAGAGCCTATAAATTCAAGATTTATTTATACATACTATCCTTCAAATGGAAGATTTTTCACTTAGAGTAAATTTCACTGACCCCTCAAAAAGATATCCATCCCACTTCCATTGCTCATCCAGAGGCTTTGCAGATTGGTGGAGAAATATGAGACCCTACCTCTGTTCTTTTTCTAAAGATCTATAACAAATTGTTTCATCAGTAAATTTAAATTTTATGAAGTGTTCGAAAGTCAATAAAAGTTATAGCTGTAAGCAATCTAAGAGACTCTTGAAAGAATTTATCTCCAGTCTTTCTGCAAGCCACAGTCCAGTAACAGATTTGTGTCCATGGTTTCAAATTCAACACACATAAGCGTTATGAGACACTCACCAGATAGCTAGTATTAACAGGAGAAACCAAGATTTATAAACGGAGGAAATAGCCCTTTTGCTACAATCCCCTTAAAAACAAATTTAATATCTTCAAAATAAGAACTGTGGAACTATTAAGAGTTCAAGTCCCAAAAGGCAAAATTGTATGCACTTTAAATTTAAAAAGGTCTTGTCTGATTTAGTAAGAAAATAGATTTTTAGGATGGCTTAAAACATTTTCAAAAAGAGTAGCATACTCATTATAAACTAACATAAAAATCAACTGCAGAACTTCTACTTCCCAGAAAACAGAACAGATATACTTGGCACTATTTCTTTCAACAAGTACAGCTAAAACTTTGGAAATTATGAATGAGACAAACATAAGAAGACTTAGAGAGGTGGAGAGAATAAGACAAACTGATTAAGGATCTCAGGACCCAATAAATTATATGGCAGCAAGTTCCCTTGGTTTTCCTTTTGCCTTATATATTCCAGACTTGGAGGTGAAAAAGTTAGCAACCCAGAATGTCAATCAGCACAGTCAAGAAAAAAGCCAACAAAAATCTGCCTTCTGTCCAATAACAGATGAATGAATAAGTAAGATGTGACATAAAAGCATAGTGGAACATTATTCAGTCTTAAAAATGAAGGATAGTCTAACACATGCTACAACATAAATGAATCTTGAGGATATTATGCTGAGTGAAATAAGCCAGTCACAAAAAGACAAATACTATATTACTGCATTTATATGAAGTACCTAAAATAGTCAAATTCATAGGAATAGAAAGCAGAATGGTAGTCATCATCAGCTTGCTGTAGGGACGAATGAATGGATAATTGTTTAATGGGAATGGAGCTCCAGTTTTGTAAGATGTTTGCAAGTTCTAGAGATTGGTAAATACACTTAACACTACTAAATAGTACACATAAAAGTAATTAATATGTTAAATTTTATGTTATATGTATTTTACCACAATGAAACATTTTTCATAAAGCTTACTCTCTCTAGCCAAAGAACTAGAAAAGGAACAACCTTCCAAGACAATAACCATTCTACTCCATCCAAACATCACAGAAGAACTGAGGCACCAGCCCCACCCATGCAAAGATAGGCTGTGTGGGGATCCTGGACTTCCACCCTTGACAGGCTGAAGGACCCCCATCCCACCCCCTGCCACTAGGATGGGGTCGGAAGCTTTCATTCTTGCTAGGCAGTAACCACCCCCAACTCACTACAATGTCAGTGTGGAGCCTGGATCTCAACCCTCCCTCAGCAGGGATGTAGAGGCACAACCCTTTCCTTGCAGGAATGACTTCAGAGAAAGCCATCTATTTAAATAAAATCTGGAGTCTCATAACATGGGAACAAAATGTTCAAGTTTCAAATAAAATCACATGTCATATTGTGACGTAAAAGATCATAAGCTAAATGAAAATCTAATCAATAGATCCCAACACCAAGATGGCAGAGCCATTAGAATTATCTGACCTAATTTTTAAAGCAACAATTTTAAAAAGTGCTTCAACCAGTATTTATAAACATGCTTGAAGCAAAAGAAAGTCTCAGCAAAGAAACTAAAGAACTAAATGACAATTTTAGAACTAAGAAATACAATAACGTAAAAAACTCAGTAAATAGGCTTAACAGCATATTAGAAAGGACAGAGGAAAGAGTCAGAGAATTGGAAAGCAGAACAAAAGAAAACAACAAAGAGAAAATAGACAAAAACAAACAAACAAAAAAACAAGTAAACAAACAAAAACCATAACCTCCAAAACTTGTGAAACCAAAGCAATAAAAGTGCTACCTTTGATATCATCAATCTCTTAGAAGGAAAGGAGAAAAAGGAAGGCTGAAAAATTACTCTAAGAAATAATGACCAAAATTTCCCAAATTTGGCAAAAGTCATAGACCTACAAATTCAAGAAGTTGAGTGAACCTCAAAGCAGCATAAACCAAAAACCTACATTAAGACACGTGAAATTTAATGTGAAAACTGAAGACAAAGAAAAATCTTTAAAGCAGCAAGAGAGAAACAATTGGAATTACAGTATATTTCTCATCAGAAATCATAGAGGCCAGAATGCAGTAGCACATTTTTTAAGTGCTTAAAGGAAATAATTATAAACCAAGAATCGTATACCAATTAATATATTCTTAAAAAGTGAAGGAAAATTTAAGATTTTCAGATTAGAGTAAACTAATAGAATTTGTCACCAGCAGAACTACCCTAAAAAAATGACTAAGGGAATTATTCAAACAGAAAAAAAAAGATTAAAGGAGAAACCTTGGAACCTTGGAAGAAAGAAAAGAAAACAAAGAAAATAGTAAAAAACATGGTAAATAAATGCATTTTTCTTTTTCACTTGGGTTTTCTAAATTGCATTTGATGTTTGAAAGAAAAAAATTATAACGTTGTCTTATGTAGTTCTAAATGTATGTAGACAAATACTTAAGGCAACTCTATTATAAAAAAGAAAGGGCATATAAAGGAAGCTATGATTTTTACACTTCATTCACATGGATACATCATATTATTTCACTCAATGACACTATTAGACTAAATAAGATGTGTACATACGTTGTAATAAATACAATACTTAGAACAACCACTAAAAATGTTATACAAAGAGATACTCTCAGACATACTACAGATAAATAGATAAAATGGCACCCCAAAAATGTATAAGTAACCCACAGGAAAACATGAAAAAGAAAACAAACAAAAAAGAACAAACAAAAAGCAGAAATTAAAATGTCAAGTTTAAGCCCCTAATATTAATAATTACACTAAATGTAAATGGTCTAAATATAAAAGACATAACTAAAAGACATAAAATGATAGCCAGGATTTTTTAAAGTTACATAAATGCATGCTTTCTAAAAGAATCTCACTTCAAATATAACAATATAGGCAAGTTGAAAGTAAAAGAATTTAAAAAAGATATATTATTCAAGCAGTAATCAAAGAAAAGTAGGAGTAAACTAGTCTAGAGACAGAGAGGAACTTTGCATAATGATAAAAAAGCAACTCTTCACATAAAATGTAGTAATCCTAGGTGTGTATGTACCAAACAACAAAGCTACAAAATATGCAAAGCAAAACCTGTTAGAAATGAAAGGAGAAAAACACAAGTCCACAATTATAGCTGAAGACTTTAACACTCTTATCTCTACAACCGATAAACCAACTAAACAGAAAATCAACAAGTACATAGAATAATTTAACAATACCATCAATCAATAGGATTGAATCAACATTTATGGAATATTCCACACAACAGCAGCAGAATACACATTCTTTTCAAGAGCTCATGGAACATATTCCAAGATGAGCTATGTCCTGGGCCATAAAACAAATCTCAACAAGTGGAAGAGAATTAAGATCTAACAGAACATTTTCTTTGACCACAATGAAATCAAACTAGAAATCAATAACAGAAAGATGACAGGAAAATCTCTAAACACTTGGAAAGTAAACAATATACTTCTAAATAATCAGTTGATCAGAGAATGTCTCAAAGGAAATAAAAAGTACATTGAGCTGAATAAAAATAAAAATACAACATATCAACACTTGTGAAACCAGTTAAAGCAGTGATAAAAGGGAAACTTCTAGCACTAAATGCATACATTAGAGAAGTGGAAAAGTTTCAGATCAATAACTAAAGCTCCCAAATCAAACATCAGGAAAAATAAGAGCAAAATAAACCCAAAGCAATCAGTAGAAATGACATAATAAGGGTAACATAAGGAATACAAGAATATGAAAACAAAAAAAACACAATAAACAGTAGAGAAAGTCAATGAAACAAAAAGCTAGTTGTTTGATAAGACTGGTAAAATTGATGAACCTGTAGCAGGACTGACAAAGACAGAAAGACAATTTATCAATATAAGGACTGAAACAGGGAATATCAATGTACACTTAGCAGACAACACAAGGATAATATTATTAGTTATTGTTGTTAATGTCTTACTGTGCCTAATTTATAAATGAAACTTTATCATGTGTATGTATGTACCAGGGGGAAAAACATAATATATATAAGATTCAGTACTATCCGTGCTTTCAGGAATCAACTGAGGGTCTTGGAATATATCCTTCACAGATAAGAGGGGAACAATACTATTGTAGATAATTCATATAGGCCTAAACTACCAAAGAAATTGAATTCATAATTTTAAAACCCCAAAAGAAATAACCAGGACCAGATGATGTCAGTGAAGAATTCTACCAAATGTTATAAAAGAATCAACATTCTATATTACTTCTTCCAGAAAACAAAAGAGGGGGAAACATGTCCCAATCCATTTAATACAGCTAATATTTCTGTAACATAAAAATCAAAGATAGTACAAAAAAAAAACTAAAGAAAACTGCCAAAATCCCTTATAATAAACACCAAAAATCCTTAACAAAAGAAAAATAAGAGCCTTGACCTCAGCTTTACATTTTATATAAAAATACCCAGCACTTTGGGAGGCTGAGGCCGGCAGATCATGAGATCAGGAGTTTGAGACCAGCCTGACAAACGTGGTGAAACCTCATCTCTACTAAAATACAAAAATTAGCCAGGCGTGGTGGCGCATGCCTGTAATCTCAGGTACTTGGGAGACTGAGGCAGGAGAATCCCTTGAACCCGGCAGGTGGAGGTTGCAGTGAGCCAAGATCACGCCACTGCACTTCATTCTGGGTGACAGAATGAGACTCCATCTCAAAAAACAAAACAAAACAGAACAAAACAAAACAAACAAACAAAGAAACCTCAAAACGCATTACTGACTTAAATGTAAAACGTAAAACAATAAATAAAACTACAATAAACTTTTGGGAAAAAATAGAAAATCTTCTACATGTAAGACTAGGCAAAGACACCAAAAGCCAAAAGCCCAGTCCATAAGAGTAAGAATTGTTACACTAGACTTCATTAAAATTAAAAACTTCTACTTTTCAAAAGACCCTGTTAAAAGAATAAAAGACTAAGTTACAGATTGAGAGAAATCGCTCACAAACTGCATGTTCAAGAAAGTACAAGTATCTAAATTAAAAAAAAAATCAGAACTCAATAGTAAAAAGGAATAACCCAATTAGAAAATGGACAAAAGGCATTAAAAGTTCATATATGGCAAAAAAGCCCATGAAATGGTGTTCAGCATCATCAGATGTTAGGAAAATGGTGATTAAAACCATGAGGAGGTATCGATACACACCTGTCAGAGTCGATAAAATACAAAACAGTGACAGTGATGCAGGGCAGGCAAGCCCCCAAAATGGGACTTAGCCTGGGGAGATTCTTGGCTTCCCAGAAAAGGATTAAAGGGCAAGCTAGTGGACTTGTTAAACAGCAACTTTTACACCAACTTTTATTGAAGCAGCAGTGCATGGCAGCAGCAGAGGTACTGCTCGTTGCAGAGCAGGGATACCCCACAGGCAGTGTGTCCAGAGCAGCAGCTCAGAGGTAGTGCTGCACTCATATTTATACTCACTTTTAATTATATGCAAATTAAGGGGGCAGTTTATGCAGAAATTTCTAAGATGAGGGTGTCAGGTGGTTGCCATGGAAAGGGGTGGTAACTTCTGGATGTTGCCACGGCAATGGTAAACTGACATGGCACACTGAAGGGTGTGTCTTATGGAAAGCTACTTCTACCCTGGACCTGTTTTAGCCAGTCCTCAATTTGGTCCAGTGTCTGAGCCCTGCCACTGAAGTTGAATTCCACCTCCTGCCACAGTAACACCAACTGCTGGTGAGAATGCAGAGAAATTGCACCACTCATACATTGCTAGGGGGGATCATAAAATGGTACAACCACCCTGGAAAATAGTTTGGTAGGTTCTTTAAGAAAAACTAAACATGAAACTACCATATGATCCAGCAATTATACTCTTGGGAATTTATCTTGGAGAAATTAAAATTTATGTTCACACAAAAAACATGTTCATATAAATGTTAATAACAGCTTTAATCATAATAACACCAAACTAGAAAAAACCCAGATGACTTTTCATGGGTGAATGGTTAAACTCTGCTACAGCTGTACTATGAAATACTACTTAGCAATAAAAAGGAACAAAATATTGATACATGAAACAACCTGGATGAATATTCAGAGAGTTATACTGAGTGAAACAAAAAAAATTCTGAAGTATTATATATTGTATGGTTTTATTTACTTAACATTCTTGAAATGACAAAATTATAGAAATGGATGACAGATGGTGGTCGTGAAGGGCTGAGGAGGGACTAGGGATGGAAGGAAGTAGATGTGGCTATACAAAAAGTCCTCATTAGGGGTCCCTGGGTGATGGAAATGCCTTGCATCCTGACCGCATCAATGTCAATATCCTCGTGTAATATTGTACTATCATTTTGCAAGATGCTACTTTTAAGTGAAATTAAGTAAAGGACACACAGGATCTCTCTGTATTATTTCTTACAATTGCATGTGAACCTATAATTATTTCAAAATAAAATTTAATGTAAAAAATAATTAGAATGGCTAAAATGAAAACGATGGAAAATACCAAGGAGTGGCAAAAATGTGGAGTAATGGCATTCTTATGCAGTCCCAGAGAAACGGTAATGTATCTTTCTGTACAGTCAATTGACATTTCTCTAAGGTTAATTAACACGGGTATCACACCTTGTTAAATGTTTGGCAGTGTCTATGAAGTGGAAATGTACAAACTAGCAATTTGCTTCTAGATGCACACCCACCAGGGATGTGTTCACATGTGCCTAGAAGACTGTAGATATCTGAACATGCAAAACCCCCAATGCTCCATCATAGGAGAATGAATGAATTGCCAACAGTATATTTGCCAGTGAATACTAGACAGCATGAGAATGAACAATCAACATTCACACGACACAAAATGCATGAATCGTAGATATATTATTGGGCTAAAGAAGCCAAACACAAGAGAGCACATTTGCGTAGTCCCATGTTCATAGGACTTGAAGATCAACTGTTGAAATTAATCACTGTGGAGAGAAGTGAGGATACCCCTTGGAGGGGCAGTTCCTGGAAGAGACACAAGGGGACTTGAAGCAGCTGATATCATTTTTTTCCTTTATCCTTCTGGTGTAACCTGAATGCGTTCACTTTGTTCACATCAGGCTCACTCTGGATTTTGCACTTTCCTGTGTACATCTTACACTCCACAAAAAATTAGAACCCCAAATGAGGTATGCATCAGGAAAAGCAGCATGATTGTGAGTTACTTTGTGAAGAGGAAAGTCAGGACACCCCGCATTTTTCCACTGTGAGCTTGGCTGCCACATGCAGGAGCATGGGAAGTGCTGTGGAAATTTGCCCCTCCAGATTCACCAGGGCTCTGCCCTTCCTCAGCCTCATTGCTTTGGGACTTTCCGTCCTGGCGACCACCCCACTTGGAACTTGCACTGACCTCATGGCTGCTCTTTCTGTCATTATTCTAAACATTTTAAAGTAATTTTCTGAGGTTATGTGTGGACAATTCATTCATTCCCCAAATGTGGGCTGAGGATCTGCATATCTTGTGCCACACATCGTGCAAGGCCCAGATGGTAAGAAGATGAACAAGACTAAGCTCCTGCCATTGTAATACACACAGCTAGTGAGAAACACACCGCAACAGCCATGTGTGGAAGAACGGAGGGTGGCCCATGTGCTCTGGGCGTGGAGGCTGGTGTAAGCGCCTGGAGAGGTCTGGGGATGAGCCATTGGAGGGGGTCTTGATGATTGATGGGTGCTAGACAGGGCCATTCCTGCATGGTGACCTATCCATGTAGGAGTGGGCTGGAGACTTCAGAGGAGTGAGTCCATGGCAGCAGGTTAAGAAAATAGACTGAAATAGCCTTCCATCCCTACTGTCTCACAGCAAAAAGGCTCCTTCCACCCTGGGAGGCTTGCTTCCTTCTGGTGTGTTTGTGCTTGCACATGGTTGCATTTATTTCCCTTTCACTCTCAAATGCCAGGTGCAGCCTCCTGCCAGGGCTACTGCTGAGTGAGCTTGTGATGGAAAAGGTTAGAGGCTTCAGGCTGAGAAGAGCAGCCAACCTTTTCATGGAGGGCCACACTGTGGCCTCAGAGATCTTCTCTCCCAGCCTCTGCCTCCCAGGAGAATGGCTCCTTGAGGACCCCAGGCCTTGGGTCAAAAGCCAGCTATATGAAGCACATTCCTGGGAGGCCAGGCGCTGAGGCACCAGGGGCCAGGAGGAGACAGTGATGAGGCAGTGGGTACCGAAAGCACTTGGGAAGGTTGCAAAGGCAGACTGACTTGACTTTGCATTGCTGCTCTGTCCAATCACGAATGGCCAAGAGCTATCCTACTGATATTCCCTGTTTTTTTGTTTGTTTGTAAGATGATGGCATGAAGGATTAGTGGTGGAGAATCATATTTGCTCAACCAATGTGTTGATTACCATGGTTCTTCCTGCCCACCGCAGGCCAGGCCCTATGCCCTGCAGTAATCCTGCTTCCTGGGGCTTTCTAATCCCTTTATCTTTTTTTATATTTGAGGCTCTGTTGCCAGGCCTAGTAGAGGCAACCTTATACTCTCGTGATTCCAAATGGCTCTAGGCTACTGGAGAAACCCTGGAAACCACACACAACTTTCCAGGTGTTAAAGAAAAAAATATCCAATGGCATTAGTTAAAGCACAGTAAGGAAGACTTTGTTTGGGACTGCCATGGCAGGCACAGGGATAATAGCAAAGGATCTTGCAGCGAGGGAGAGAGACTGGGCTCAACTCTGAAAACAGCATAGGCAAGTGGAAATTTATAGCCAAGGACCAGGGGGAGGGGTCAGTGGATGGGCAATTACTAAGAGGCTACTTTAGGGGTACAGGGATTCTGGCTAAGCCACCTCACAGGATTCCTGCTGAAGGTAGGTCGGGGTGATAGGTCATCATGGGGGATGGTGGAGCATGGTGAGCCTGATCAGATATCACCGAGGGGGATCAGATATCAGGGGCGGGGAGTTCTCGCTAAATTGACAAAGCAGGGATTGCTAAAACAGATGTCACAAGGAAGTGTAGGAGAAGGTTCAGAAGCCCTAGGAGAAGGTTCAGAAAACTGACTAAAGTTTGGTCAAGCAGAGAATCTTTGTCATAGGTGATCATCCAAACCAAGGACTCAAATCTGTTTGATCACATCCTGCTATGATGAAACACACTCCATGTGTCTACTTAGTGCTTTATAAATGATGGCCACAAACTCCTGTACCCTGCATACCTTGTACTCAATACCTTGTGAAATATGCATTACAATAAAATATTTAAAAGGTTGAGATAAAAATAAAAGCATGTTTTATTACTTTGTTTACCCTGATGGATCAACTTGAGAACACTGCCTTGGAGTATTCTTTTGGGTGTTCTTGGCACCCAAGCCAATTGGCTGGACCTGCAGGCAGCCTCACGGAAGTGAGTGTGGGAGGCCAGAGACTGACCATGCTGCAGGCCTGGTTCAGATCTTCTCTCTGGGGCCTGAGTTTATTTGGTTTCCTTCTTTTCATTTTTTTTTTTTTTGGTTCATTTCTTTTGTTTGTTTTCCATTCTAGACAAGCTCTGAAATGAAACAATACCAGGCCAGTACTATATCCCCGGGAAATGTCAAAATGAAAAATGATCTCCTCTCAAGCTTTTCTTTTCCAGGCAAAATAAGCTCCCTTATTCTGAAACGTCCTCACTTCTCCACCCTGTGAAAAGTCACAGGGTGGAAAGTAACAGTCCAGTTTCTCATCGATGACGCTTCCTGGAAGGAACTGTGCCCTGGGTCTGCTTTGGGCCTAGACTGTGCTTAGAGAAAAAAGGCCAAGTTTATAACATGTTGCTCCTTTGTTTTCCTGCCCCACCCCTAATTCCTCCATCTCTAGCAAGCAGGAGATGAGGTGAGGAAGCCTAAAAATTAGCATTTTGTTTTCTGCTGACATGGTGGCTGATTGTGTGTTTTTTAGACACAGTTATTCAGCTGAAGTCATGGAATATTGACACATGGGGCAAGCTTCGTGCAAGAGTTTCACCTCTCTGACTGTGCCGATAAGGGTATATGTTAACACTCATTCATATCACATTTGTTTTCCTGAAACTCAAGGAAAATTAAAGTATCAGAAATCAAAACTTTCCTATGAACTGCACAGCCTATAATCTCCCAACTGGGGCAGAGGAAATTGTGAGCGCTCAAATCCAAACCAGGCAGTGCTCGCTGGGTGTCCAGGCAGGGTTGGTTCTAGAAGCATGAGCTGGTCTCGGAGGGCAACTTTGTGCAAAGTCCTTTCAACATGGGAGAAAAACTAGCACATATACAAATGCAATATTGGAAATTACTTTCTATCTTTATCCTGTCTTGTCTTTATTTGTGAAATGCTGAAAAACACAAAAAAGTAAGACAATCATAATCCCAGCCAACCCTCAGTGGGGAGCAACTTATCAGGAGTGCATTTATTTTGCTTTTCCTGAAGCCTTCAGTGTCCTGGAATCTAATATTGAAATCCTAACCCTTCATTCAACAAGGAAACGACCCTGATGAATTCCAGCAGCAGGGGGCACCAGAGCCCCAGCCGCGGGCAGGCGCACCTCAGCAGTACTGCTGAGTGGGTTCCAGGCCACCACAATAAAGAGAATCCCACAGGATTTATTTTTGTTTCTCAGTGCATATAAAAGATATGTTTACATTACATTGTAGTCTACGTGGTGTGCAATCACATTTTTCTAAAAAAACAATGTATATATCTTAATTTAAAAATACTTTATTGCTAAAAAATTGCTAACAATTATCTGGGCCTTGAGCAAGTCATAATCTTTGCTGGTGGAGGGTCTTGCCTCAGTGTTGATGGCTGCTGACTCATCAGGGTGGTGGGTGCTGAAGGTTGGGATGGCTGTGACGATTTCTTAAAAGACGACAGTGAAGTTTGCCACATCAGTTGACTCCTTTCAGAAAAGATTTCTCTGTAGCATGTGATGCTGTTTGATAACATTTCAATAGCATCTACCTACAGTAGAACTTCTTACAAAATTGAAGTTAATCCTCTCAAACCCTGCCACTGCTTTATCAGCTGAGTTTATGGAATGTCCTGAATCCTTTGTTGTCATTTCAACAATGTTCACAGCATCTTCACCAGGAATAGTTTGCATTTCAAGAAACTATTATTTGTTCATTCCTAAAATGAAACTCCTCATCTATTCAAGTTTTATCATGAGATTGTAACAATTGAGTGCATTTTCAGAGTCCATTTCTAATTCTAGTTGTCTTATTATTCCCAGCACTTCTGCAGTGACTTGCTCCACTGAAATCTTGAATCCCTCAAAGTCATCCATGAAGTTTGAAACCAACTTCTTCCAATCTCCCGTGAATATTGTTATTTCCATCTCCTCCCCTGAGTCATGAATGTTCTGAATAGCATCTAAAACGATGAATCATTTCCAGAAGGTTTTTAACTTACTTTGCCCAGATGCATCTAAAGAATCACTACCTATGGCAGCTGTAGCCTTACAAAATGTATTTCTTAAATAATAAGACTTGAAAGTTGAAGTCAGTTTTTGACTGTAAAATAGGTTGTGTTAGCAGGCAAGGAAACAGCATTAATCTCCATCTCCATCAAAGCTTTTGGGTGACCAGGGTCTCTGATCAATGGGCAGTAACAGTTTGAAAGGAATTTTATTTTTTTCTGAGCAGGAGGTCTCAAAAGTATACTTCAAATTTTTAGTAGGTGATTCTGTAAACAGATGTGCTGTCATCCAGGCTTTGCTGTTTCATTTATAAAGCATTGGTGGAGTAGAGTTAGCATCGTTCTTAAAGGCCTTAGGATTTTTCCGAATGGTAAATGAGCATTGGCTTCAACTTAAAGTCACCAGCAGCATTAGCCCCTAACAAGAGAGTCAGCCTGTTCTTTGAAGCTTTGAAGCTAGGCATTGACTTCTCCTCTCTAGCTATGAAAGCCCTAGATGATATTTTCTTGCCAGAGAAGGCTGTTTCATCTGCAATGAAAATCTATTGTTTAGTGCAGCCACCTTCGTCATTTATCTTAGCTAGATCTTCTGTATAACTTCTGCAGCTTCTATATCAGTACTTACTGCTTCATCTTGTATGTTTTGTAGGTGACTTCTTCCTTAAACCTCATGAACTTACTTCTGCTAGCTTCCAACTTTTCTTCTGTAGCTTCCTTACCTCTCTCAGCCTTCATAAAATTGAAGAGAATTAGGGTCTTGCTCAGGATTAAGCTCTGGCTTAGGGGAATGTTGTGGCTGGTTTGATTTTCTATCCAGGCTACTAAAACTTTGTCCATATCAGCAATTTGACTGTTTTTCTTTCTTATCATTTTTGTGTTCCCTGGAGTAGCACTTTCAGTTTCCTCCTAGAATTTTCCTTTGCATTTACAGTGTGGCTAATTTCTTGCAAGAGGCCTAGCTTTTGGCCGATCCCAGCTTTCAACCTGCCTTCCTTACTAAGTATAACCATTTCTAGTTTTTGATTTAAAATGAGAGATGTACAACTCTTCTTTTTACTTGAACACTTAGAGACCATTGTTGGGTGGTTCATTGGCCTGATTTTAACGTCACTGGGTCTCAGGGAATTCGTAGCCCCGAGGAGAGGGAGAGAGACGGGGAAAAGGCCAGTCAGTGAAGCAGTAAGAACACTCCCAACATTAACGATGTGAGTTTGCCGTCTCACATGGGTGTGGTTTGTGGTTCCCAACAACAATGATAAAAGTAACGTCAAATATTAATGATCACAGATTACAGTAATAGGTATAAGAATGATGAAACAGTTTGAAGTATTATGATAATTACCAAAATATGATAGAGAGATATGAAGTGAGCACCTGCTGCTGGTAAATGGTGTGGATATACTTGGATATACTTGTACTTGGTTGATGTGGCGCTGCCACAAGCCTTCAATTTGTAAAAAACAAACAAAAAAGGCAATGTCAGTGAAGCTCAAGAAAGTGAAGCCCAGTAAAACGAGCTGTACCTGTATCTAAAGGAGTCCAGTGAGCACTGGCCTTAGCTGCGTCCCCTCAGCCCTGGAGGGTGATTAAGGATAAGACTGCTCACACTTGTCTTCCGTGGCTCAGAAGTAGGTTGGACCCAGAGGCCTCCTTAAGCTCTGTCCAGGTTGCAGAGTCTCTGAAAACACCTAAATACAAATGGTAATGAAAATGCACTGTTAATGCGGTTGCCCATCATATCCTCCAATTTTCACTGCATCTCTGTGCAGAGGCCAAGAAACAAACAGTCTTGCAGAAGGAAAAACCCAATGCTGGACAAGATCACCAGGTGAGTCTTTTGTACACACACACTCATAAACACATAGGAATGCACAAACTCTCTCATTAGGCTCAGTCCTTTCCACTCATGATCAGACATTCTAACCTACTACTTGCTACGTAACCAGCAATTTTATTTCCCTTCTATAAGATTCAATTGCCTTTTTAGAAAGTTGAAAAAAAAAAAAAAAGCCAGAGAACTTCAACCTTTCATTTCAAGCAGTGGAAGCTCTTTCTTCAGAACAATATATCCTGCCAGAAGGTCCAATATTTAAAACTGATGCAAATGGAGTGGCATTTCTTGCAGACATATTGGCTACTCTAATGCCCTCTCCTCCATCGCAAACAGCCTATACTCCCTGTTCCTTGACCCTGCCCTAGAGGCAAATTTTTTGAGGAGGGCTTGAATACCACTGAACTGTATTATTCCAAATGCCTTTCCACTGTCTTCTGTTCAATAAAGCCATCCCTCATGCAGCCCCTTCATCCATGACACAGCTGGGACTTTGTACAGAGGGCAAAGCAATGTTATCATCCACTTAATTTAGAGTACAGGCATCTGTATTCCTCAGGCCACCTGCAGGCCATTTACTTGATAAGTGGCTAGAGGTGACCACATCAGCCACAGATCAGTGGCTCTTGCATGCCACACTTGATTCTTTCCATTCCTCTCTTGTACATTCATGCTCCTGGACTTCAAGAACAGTCCCAGTGCTCAGAGTCTCACCACATTATCTTCCCTGGTTAACGGTCCTGCCCACATAATTTCCCGGTAACACTGGCAAGGTTTTTGCTGACATGTATGATTGACTTTAATAAAGCAAATACATCAACTTTGGGGAAACTTTTGTGAAAATAAAAATGTTACTCAAGGATTAACCTAACAGGTTTAAATATTAATTAGTGTATTAACATGAAATATTGATGGGCATGCCTTTAATATTAAAGTGAAGCTATCAGAATACTGCGTTTTAGTTCTGTTTTGAAATGAGCATTCCTCTTTCAAACCACATCACCAGCTCTGATCCCATCCAAGGATACATGGAGGGAGCCAAATGCTCGCATGCTCCCTCTGCAGGACAGCAGTTGGGCAGCAACTGCTGAACATGAAACACATGCCTTGGAAACAAGAAGCAGTGCTCACCCCAAGATGCTGGGCTGATTCCACAGGAAGTTCACGGCTTGGTGGCTCTCCTCTAAGTCATCTACTTACTGACTATAAGACATTCCCCCATTGCTTTTGTTTATACAAGTTTGTTTAGGGAATGATTGCTCTTCTTAAATGGCCAGTCTCATGTCCGGACAAGGCAACAGAATCACATTCCTTCATGGCAAGAAAGGACCTTGAGCTTGTATAATCCGATGCCCTCGCTTACAGATGTGGAAACTGACCACCAAGGAGGGTGACTTGGCCACAATGATGTAGCTAGAGGAGCAGTATAACCTTGGCTGGGGGCAAAGGAAGCCCTGTCCTGGGATCCATGATCTAGAGGACCCTCCAGCTATGACTGTCCCAGACTACAAGTCATGAAATCCGTGATCCCAAGGGAACTGCCCACCTGGAGTCTGTACATACATTTCAGGTACCCAGAACCCTAGAATTCTCTGCTCAGTGGCCATATCCACTTTTGTGTGCATTCTGATGCGAAGGTGTGACCAAGGTATGGCTGCCATTGGCAGGTGTGAACATTTAGAATGTCAGTATGTGTACACAAGTCCTTCACATTGTAGGACAGGACCAGAGCCAGTGTGGGAAATGGTGGGGAGCTGAGCCAGCTTGCCCCACTCCATCCCTTTTGCTGTGGAACTCCAAGGAGTCTGAGAATTCTAAATTAAACCTGGCTTTTCAGATTTTTGTAAAGGTATATTTAAGCAGGCGAGAAGGTAGAATATATTTTATTTAGTAATTTGTTTGCTTTATTTATACTTTTAAAATATTTGGACTCATGCATGTGGGTTTCCATTTGTGCTCTTGGTCTGGACCCTGCATGTATTGGGGTCTGGCCTGCTCAGAACCCAGCTCCCTTGGATTAAGCCCAGAGCCACTGGCTGCCTTACAGGGAGCAGCCCATGTAATGGATTGTGACGGGCATGGCAGAGGATTGAAAGCAGAACTTGACGGATAAGCAGAGGACCTATTTTACCACTGTCTACTTGTATGATAAGCAGAGGACCTATTCTACTACTGTCTACTTGTATGACTGTGGAAAAGCCATTTACCTAAACTGATTGCCTATTTTCTGATCAGCAAAGAAGATAACAACTAACTGCCTTGGGACAATTTTTCTAGCAGCAGAGCCCTAGATGGGTGCCCTTGGGCAATGGTTTGCTGAGGGAAGGCTCTCACGGGAGCAAGAGAAGCAGGAAAAGAAAGGGAAGGAGCTGGACAAAGGGGTCTGCTGCAGGCCAGCATCAACCCAGTGCCATGGAAAGCTCTGGAGCTTTAATTGCTTTCCTTCTGTTTTTGGAGAACAAAGCACCACTGAGTCAGTTCCACCTTGAGGCATCCCCTTAAAAACTGCATGAATCAGTCTGATCCAAAAAGAGGTCTCAGTACTTGCTTTTGAAAGAGTGCACCAGGCCCACTGACCATTGGAGACATACTGGAGGGGCTTCCTTAAACACCCACATGTGTCCTCTCTACCACACATCTCACTGTATATATATGGTGGAAAAACAGAATCTGTTTTTCAAGGCACAGCACTGTAAACAAAATGTGAGAATATCTGGCAATAATTTCTGAAATGTATTAAATGCAAAATAACCAAAGGGCAAAGATGGGAAGAAGGGCCTGAGAGATAATTCTATCTTGCTAAAGGAAGACTGGTTATTAATACTAATGAAAATGCAAAGTAACCATACAAAATACTGTTCGCTTTGATTTTATTTAAATTCTACTGGTGTTGTGGAGCTCATTCTCTAGTTGACTTCACCTTGCTTTATCTGAGAAGAGCTGATGACTGATGGGAGTCACGCTTCTTTCAGCATTAACCATGATCCTAGGACAAAATGGCAGAGGCAAATGGAGGTGGATGTGAAGCAAAGTCAGCACGCAAATACACTACTTGCTGAAGCCTGCGCTGACAGATGGCCTGAACTCCTCACTTTGCTTTCTGAAATAGAATCTCCTTTTGCAACCTCCAAGGTAGATTAAAAAGCTCCATAGAAACATCACAGATATGAAAAGCACATGAAGTTAACCCATCTAAAAGATGGGCAATTACTATTCAATAAGTGAGAGCAGGTGGCATCAATCCCTTCTCTGCCTGTTGCATTTTGATTTCTGTCCCAGAATAGCTGCCATCAATCATTCCCTATCACCGAGAGGCTGGAGAAGCCTTGCTTCAGCGGTGGAAGCTCCTGGGAAGATGCCAGCTCTCTGGGTGGGGAGTTGTCAGACTGAGCTCACCAGAAATGCTTGTCTATAGTGCCAGATCAGGAGAAACAGTCCTGAGTCTCAGGAACAGACCAATAATCAGTAACTTGGGGTTTAGGTGGATGGCTGGAATCCAGGGAAACATATAAATGAGGATATCAAGGTTGATATGGGACCAGAGCAGAAGGATCCTAGAAGATTCAGTAATATAATGAAACAATGGCATCAGTGGTCCTGATTCATTTATCCATTTATCCATGCTTTTGTCATATGAATTAAAGTTTCTTCTGCTGGAGTAGCTATACTTGTATCAGATGAAACAGGTTTTAAGTCGAAAATGGTAAAAAAAAAAAAAAAGACAAGGTCATTTCAGCAAGAGATTATAACTATATAACAAAATATATATAACTAAATATATATATATATATATACACACACACACACACACACACACACACACACACCCCGCACTGGAGCACCCAGATTCATAAAACAAATACTTCTGGACCTAAAGAGAGATGTAGACAGCTATACAATACTAGTGGGGGGCTTCAACACCCCATCCACAGCATTAGACAGATCATCAGGTCAGAAAGACAACAGAGACATTGGACTTGAGTTTGCCTTCGGACCAAATGGAACTGACAGATATTTACAGAACATTCTACTCAACAACTGCAGAATTCTTTTGGTCAGATAGAGAATGGAGACTCAAAAGACAAAGGGAATGGGAGGCTAATGGATAATGAGAAATTAGTTAATGGGTACAATATATGTTATTTGTGGAATGGATACCCTAAAAGCCCTGACTTGACCATTACACAATTTATGCATGTGATAAAATTCCACATATACCCCATAAATTTGTACAACTAATAAATAAATGAACTTTCTTCTGCTAAACTAAGCTAAACAGAATGTATTTTTCACTCTTGGATTTTGTATTCGTCCTCATGACTCATTTTAGCTAGTGGAAGTGGGTTGAAGTGACAGTGTGCGTGTGCACCATGTGACTTGCTTCAGCCAATGGGAAGTGGTAAAATGGCCTGTTCTGTGGCCTTGTTCATTTTTCACTTACGTCCTGCCTCTGCCACAGGGAAGAACATGACCCTGCCAGACTGCTGGTGCAAGAAGGCTGAGAAGTATGTGTGGCAGAGTCACCCCAAATGACCCACAGTGTGATCTGCAGTCAAGCAGCCCCTGCTGCAGCACCCTGAAGCAAGCCCAACCTAGATCAGCCAGACCCCCGTTGCCCCACAGATGCAGGAGTAATAACAATGATTGTTTTCAGCCACTGAATTTTGGAGCATTACATGGAATAATTATGACATTAACTGACCAATGTGGTCAGCTGTAAGGAACACTCCGAATGGACACTTCTATGCATTTCTTTTGCATGTGACTGGCCGTATGTCATTTGGGAGGGGATGGTGTGTTAATGCGGCAGGTTGGTAACTGAGACTTCTTGCCAATGCTATATTAGAAGTATTCTCCAAGAATTCACCCAAGCTTTGCAAGAAGATCAAATAAACTCTGAATATTCTTCAGTTCCCTAGAGGGCTTACTGCTTAGCTGCTTAGCTGTTTGATTTTTTTTCTCTCAGCCTACATTTCCTTTCTTCCTCCTTTCCTTCTTTTTCTTTCTCTCTCTCTCTTTCAATCTTTCCTTCCTTCCCCAGAAGCTCCATGCTAGTTTTCCATGCCAACAGTGCAGGCAGGGTGTCCTGAAAATTTTAATGTATTTAGAATTCAGAATATTTGTTTCTGAATTAACCATGTATGGTTTTGAATGGCTGTTAGAAAATGATCCATCCTAATTTTTAACTTTGCTCTGGATCCAGTTACCTTAAGTAGATGCCATTGGTTTTACTCTTCTTAGTAACCAAAGGACATTCAAAATTTGCTCTTGATACACTCGGGGTAATGATTCCATTAGGAAATAAGGATACTTTTAGAGCTCTTTCCACTGCGAGAAGGAGAATGACACAAACTTGATGGAATTAGAGTCAGAGACATTTAGAATTGATAGAGATATTCAAGAGCTCATTTTAGGTAGAAAAGAAAGATTTCAGAGTTTGTGAGTCCTTCCCAAAGCCACACAGTTTACAAATGACAGAACCTAGTCTAAAGCCTGGTGTCCCAATTCAGACTCCAGTGCTGCTCACTAGGAATGGAGGAGACTCCAGGCTTATGTGTAATCACACCCCTGCTCCTGTGCCCACGGTATTTGTCACTCATCAGCCATGATACACTTTCCTGCAAGGTTGTTGCAATGTCCTATTTTCATCCTTTCACATTCATCAAATGGGAAGAAACTGGGTATGACTGAGGCAGGATTCCTCTTGGCCAAACAATGTCTCTGTGTACAAGAATATTGCATTCTGGAGCCAACAGTGGTACAAGGTTCAAAGAGTAAGGAAACATCAGACTAAGGCTAAAAGTCTTAAAGGAATGCTGGATTGTTCAATGTGTTGCTGAGTTGTCATTTCTGTACCTAATCTTTGTATTTTTTCAATGCAGCCTTTAAAAATGGCTGCGTTGATGTGGTATCTTAAAGAACTGCTCTGGGACATAACGAGATCTCCTGTCTCTTCCCTATCTTCAGTTGCTCAACACAAGAACTTGGATGTGTGGGCACATTCAAAATCCTGTGCCAACACTCACCTGCTGACCTTGTTCTCCCTCCAGTTGTGCAATGACATAGACAAGACCCAGAGCCTTGGCCACAGGGCCTTGGGTAGAAACCTTTGGTTCCTTGGTATCCATCTTCATCGTGGGAGCACGTTGATAGAAAAACTCAAGACCAGCCCCAGGGAGCTGCCTTCTAAATTGTGTCATATTGCAACATTTCCCCTATTTTCCTCCCATTTCTATGACTCTGAATTGACCTCCCAAAACAACCCAAATTCCTTAATAGAGACCTCTACTAGAAGAGAGTTAAAACATGTCTTTAAGGATACCCCACACACAGACAGTGTATCACTGGGTGACCTAATGACTCTGAGAGGCACTGATCCATCAAAAGGAGTCCTTAAAATTATTAGTGCTAGGGAGATTGCACATAGTCAGAGAAGCCATCGATCAATAGATACAGCAAATAACCAGATTACAAATGTCCCTCAGAGCAACCATCAGGAACATCAGCAATGCTAGATCCTACTGATCCTGTTCCAACCACCAAGGACCAGAGGGTCCTAAGATGAAAAGAAAAGCAGGCTATCTCCAAGAATGCATAAACGAGCAACACAAAAGAAGCAGTTTTGAAATGTTCGGCGACCACAGCCTCTGCCTGTGGCCCTGGGTCACCATCCCAGTGTACCTTATTTCCACTTGGGCATCACCTTCTTTTCTGTATGTGAACATTTTCAGCCTCTACTGGAACTTCCCCCTGAGAACATAATCCTGTTCCAACCTCTCCCTGGAGACACACATTCACCCCTGTGCACAGTGCCTGCAGAAACAGACGCACACAAAAGCCTCCAATTACCAATTGTCACCTGCCCCTTCAAGGCCCCTAGTTAGTGCTCCCTCAACAGGTGCCATCTGCTACCTTGAAAACCCCAACGATCTATCTGTCCTTTTCCAACATCTTGAAGACCCCCAAGGTAAGACTAACAATGTAGCAGCCCTTTCTGCAAGCTTTGGGTAAAACATTCTCCTTATCGTTTGGCTTAGTGATGCCACAACTCAGTGCTCACAGGAATAGTTTCAAGTAAAACTGTCACAAATAAATAGAATACATAATGCTCATTATTGATGGATGGATAGATACAAATACAGATATATTCTTTACACTTGGGACATTGAGGCTCATGAATGCCATATGTGTGATCTCAGTATATAAAAAATGAGAAAAGAGAGATGCCCTGGGGTTGTGGATGGGTCTGCTGCAGTGGTTCCTGTTGCATGTGTCTCCACCCATGAGGAGCTCCTGCCACAAGCTCCCTGGGCTTCCCTTGCTTGGGGTTTAATGGCGTGAGAGTAGGATGTTGCTTTGCTTCCTTTGGAGATGTGCAGTGTTCAGAATGGCTGAGTGAGAAAATCCTCACCTCCCTTTTTCTACCAGATCAAACAATTTCTATTATTATATTAGCACAGTAGAGAGAACCTAGAGGATTGGGTGGTTGTATTATGCGTGTTGTTGCCCCAACGTTATAAATTTGGACAGCAGAGAACTGGTGACGTTGCTAGCAGAGATTAAAATGTATGTTTTGCTTTTGGAGGCTTTGATGTTTTCCTGAAGGAATTTTGGTTATTATTTTTCCAATCTGCCCCTAAGTGTCGTATGCATGGGAAATGTGCTCCATGTCTGGGGTTAGGGGTGTTGTATCATTATTTTTCACAGGGATCCTAGAGAGTTCACATTCTTTCCAACAGTAAAGGGAGGAGAGAAAATGGGATTTCAAAATTTTTTGGTATAAAAGATTATTGCAGAAATTAAGGTAAAACCTCTTGCCGAAATTTCCAAAACACTGTGGATAATGGTAGCCAGTGGCTTATGAGAAAACATGTGGAATGCCATGCAGCGTGCTCTTTGGAAACTCAGCCCTCCACTCGGGTTTAAATTTATAGTCTGACTTCATCCTGTTCTGGGTGCCCAGTGCCTGGCAGGCATTCTGAGGGCCAACAGTAAACTGTATACCCTGTCTGCAAGAAGACAACCAAGGAAGACCACTGTGACCTGAGCTGTGGGGACAACTCATACCAGACAAGGTAAGATTAGAGCTTACCTTGATGACAACAAGTGACAACAGAAAGACCTGAGTGCGGCATGAAAAGGAGAAGAGAGAGCATTGGAGCCTGGACGGGAGTTTGTCCAGGGCCCAGGCGTGCACCCTGATGGCGCGAGACAGCTGGGAGGGAACAGATGGGCACTGTGCAGCCCACACTTGCCTCTGGAAAGCTGCTTGCAGTGTGAACAGTCATGAAGGACTGCAGGTCTCCTCTTGGCAAGAGCACCTCTCTTTGCATTTAGAGAGCCCCTGCAGAGCTGTTTGACGCTGTAACAGGAAAGAGTGTGTGGGTGCCTGCAGGAGGGAGAAAAGTGAGACACACACAGAAGTAATTTGCTGTGAAAAAGAAAATTATGTTAAATTGAAAATGGTCTCCAAGCAGCTTGAGAAGAAAAGGTTTGCAGGAGGCAGAAGAGGGCTTTAGCAAAAGAAGTGGGGCCAACCCGTGGGAAGGCATGCCTCTGAACCTCGAAGCCTGGAAAATCCCCACGGCTTGCAGAGTTGAGGAATTTTATGTAACGGTGATCCTGGTGCACACGTTCTATTATTTTCCTGTTCTGTATGTAGTCTAACCCACTTCCATTACCTCCAATGTCACGTATTTCTGCATAGTGTTAGTGCTACTTTAAGAAATAAAAGAAGGGGGGGTTTGCAGAGTAGGGCAAGGAGGAGAAAGGGTGGAAGAGGTGGGATTCCAAAAAGACCACGCCTGGACCTACATGATAGGGAAGCAGGCGTAGGCAGTGCAGGACCAACAGGGAATGAGCCTCTTTGTTTGCCAATGCACCAGAAGCAGCAGGACCAGGCTCTGGGTGGGGAACATGAGTCCCTGCATTTCCTAAGCGGGGAATATCCTGCCAAGATATTCTTGAATTAGATGTGTTAATCATAAAAAAAAAAGAAAGAAAATACCTAAATATCAGTGTAGACACAAAGCTGTAAAGTTTTTGAGAAGGTGTTATCTTGGGGGGATGGGCTATTTTCTTGGAAATAGACCACATGAATGGCTGGAAGTAGACCACATGAATGGCTGTGTGGGGAGACGGCCTGTGGGGTCCAGATCTGGCTGGGCCTCCATCTTTCTTTGCAACTTTGGTTCTCCATTTCTTCATCTGTGAAATGGGCTACATAACATCCACCCTAACTGTCCAAGCTTTTGTGAAGATCCAAATCATTTGAAAGTGTGAAATTGTTGTGAAAACTATGGTGTCTTGGTACACACGGTGAGCATTATTATAAGTTCGTAAGACAGACTCCATCAATTTATGGTGTTTAGTTTTTTTTTTCTGGTTTGAAAAATCCCAGATAACTACAATTGTGGGGATTCTGTCTTTTTTTTCGACTCCGACTTTTAATCAGGGTTTATTTGACATTATAGATGCATTTGTGCCTTCTTACCTGCTTCTTACACTTCAGGCTCCTTGAAATTAACGCTAATATCCATGCGTCAATTTGTCCCAAACATAACTGTCTTGATTTGGTCTAATATGAGGATGTGAGGCTGGAGACATCTTCGGGAGCTGCTACCAGGGAGCACAGGCATGGGGTTGGGTGAGCCAGGGAAGGGTAGGAGGGCAATAGAGCATGCTCACAGGGTTATCACAGTGGCAGCCAGCCTCATTCCCATTGTGCTCCTGGGAAACAGCCTGGAACAGCCTCAGAGTTGACCCGCCTCTCCCCACTGTCACTGCCTGAGGACTGTCAGCAGAGTTAGCTCCTTTGAAACTTCTGGGCTGCCCTGGACCTCACCCAGGAGAAAGACTGTGATGTGTAATGGTGAGAGTGAGGGGGGCTGCATGGACATACCCTATACATGTGCAATGCAATTTGCTGTGAGACTCAAGGAAGGAAGGAGTGACAAAGAGAGAGCAGGATGAAGAACGGGTGCAAGTGTTAGACAGGGGACCCCATCAAGCCTTGTCAGGATGTTCTGCTCTGAGAAAGGACCGCAGACCCCACACAGCAGCTGTCAGAGCCCAAGTCCTCCAGTATAGCCAGTCACAGACACGGTTTGCAGACCCTCTTCTCAGATTTGGGAAAGGCATTGGGAAAGAAAAGACCCCCAACAGCTCTTAACAGGCACCCTGGTACATCACACAACTCAAGCTGTTTTCATGTTCCTTTTTCTTGCCAGTTTTTGACAGAATGAATCAAAGTAAAGTAAAAAGAGAGGAAGAATGTGTGTGTGAGAAACATGTTTCTGTGTTTCCAGAAAGATCCAGCAGGAGGGAGCTGGGAGCCCACTTCTCAGCCACATCTGCAGCCCAGGTGCTTTACCTGGCCCTGGCTGCTGCAGAAGATGAGAGCCTGCTCCAGGTTCCTTGTCCCTCCACTAGAGGTTTCTATATGAGTTATAATAGTGAAAACATTAGTAAAGAAGAGTTACCATTTAATGAACACCAAAACAGATCGCAGTTTCAATGCACATCACGCTCTAGTCCATTCTGGAAGCCCAACAGGATCAAGTTGCCATGGACCCTACAACCAGGGTTAGAGCCAATGTCCACCTGCTTCCATCTCCCTGGGGAATTCTGGGCATTTTTCAGGAATCCTGGATGCTGGATGTCACTCAGACCTTCTTCCGGACGCAGGCCCAGCAGCTGGACAGGTGGCTGCCCACAGCTTATAGCTGAGGACTTCTGGGACTGCCTTCAGGCCAGCGGAGCTGCCTTGCTCAAGGCCAGGCCTCTCTCTGTGGGAGTCCTGCATGCCCTGCCTCCTGGAGGCAGAGTTTGAGGCTGGGGCCCTTTGCCTCCATGGAAGACACAGGACCCTGTGTTGGCTGAGGCCTCAGTGCTAAAGTATCACAGTCCAGTGTCTCCCTCCTCCTGCTTCCTGCTTCTCTCACATCATTTTTTACGCCCCCCAGAATATGATTTAAATTCTGATTCACTTTGGTGCCAAATGAGGGCCTGGCGGTGGTTTTGGGGTTTCCATTTCATTATGATTCTTCCTTCACAGGACAGGGGATGGATATGAGGTTCTGTCAGCTGCTGAGTATACTCAACATCATCCTTCATTCTGGGGTCAGGGAAGTGGCTGCAGCTAGCGGGCCCTGTGTGGGGTGAGCTCCAGACGGGTATCCACTTGTCACCTGACCTCCGTGAGCCTCCCCTCCAGTCAGAGGGACGTGATGACATCTCAGGTGTCTGATGGGCAACAGTCCTTAAAACACCACGGCACAGTGCGGATGGACTGCAGGGGTAGCCACCACCTACGCTGGGGAGGCTTTGCAGATCCTGCCTTAAGGGATCTGTCCTTCCCTTGGCCATGCTGGACTCTGGGTCTGTGAACTGATCAGTGAGGAAACAGTGAGTTAATTTCCGTTCTATCCCCTGTGAGCTGTCGCCACAGATCTTTGCTGATCAGCATACCTGGTTGTCTTTCTGGCTTCGCTGCCCATTATGATAAATCATTCCCTACTCGCTTCTGGCCTTGGCTACTACACAAACCCTTCCACTGGCCCTCAGCAGCGTCTCTCTCCATTGACCCCAGCTTCCGAGGACAGCCAGTGCCACGCCAGTGTCTGCTCTCGGGCTCCCCTGCTGCTCAGTGGAGGGAGTGCTCTCTGGGCTTCCCTAGGAGTCTAAAGCCTTCCTCGCTTCCATGCCAGCGCAGTTTCAACACCTCCGCCTCACCCATGCATGTCCTGGTGCCTGAGATTCAATGAGCTGTCCCAACACAGGGCCAGGACTAACTCCAGCGTCCCTGACTGAAGTTCAGTTCCAGTCCATGGATGAGTACTGCATATTGACAAGTCCTCCCCTCTCCACTGCCACACAAGGAGAGGCTGTTCCCTTCCGTCAGAGCTGTGGACTTCATCTACCAGCATGAAGGATTCAGGGAGCTCTAGAGGTCAGATTTCCAGGCTCATTCACATCAAGTTTTTATTCTGTGTTTCCAGTTCCTATTCATCTCTATGAGGGTCCCGACCTTTAACCCAGGAAAAATATGGGGGTGTGTACCTTGCAGCTTCAGGGGATGAGCCTTCAGTCCTTCAGACATGCCTGGAGTTGACAGTTGGGGTATCTGAGCCTACCTCTTCCAAGGCTCCTAATTCAGTTTCAAAAAGCCAACTGACTACCCAAATTTTACCTTTACCACTACCCCACACTGCTTACCCACCCTCCTAACAAGCAAACCCATTGCTCTGAACCTTCAATCTGTACCTCATGTCAATCAGCCACAGCCTTACTAAATGATGCTGCCTGTGCCAATGTTATCACAGCCAATAACTATGAGCAGGATCCTTAGTGATGCCTGGGTGGTGACTTACCCAGCCTTAAAAACTAATCCCAAGACTGCTCACCAGGGACACACCCGGTACTAACTGCCTGAGCTTATGATTCCCCAAAAGCAATGTCTGGGACAAAGCCTTATGTGTGAATAGTTTATCTGGAAGTATGACCTTAGAATGGAGTGTCAGAAGTATTGGCCATGACTCATCATGCAGGGGGTAACTACTACTGTGGGTGGATGCTGCCAAATCTCTTTCTCAGGACAGCCTTCCAGGAGAAGGCAAGGAAAAAGATTTTCCATTGCTTTTGCTCCCCATTGATCAAGGTTTACTTCATCATGTGTTAACTACCTGTGGTAGATTTTATTTTCTAAAAGTGACACAGCAAAATTTCTGGGTCCACTCGCTCTTTCGAAACCTTGCTACTCCCCATCAAGATGTGGGGCCTATGTTCCCTCCCTCAAAACTCGGTGGGACGTTGTGGCTGCTTTGACCAATAGAATTCTGTGGAAATGATGCTGCATGGCTTGTGAGGCCAGTTCATAAAAGGTGTATGTCTTCCTCTCTTTCTCTCCCCACCCTGGGAACCCAGCTGCCATGCTGTGAGGAAGCCCAACCATGTAGAGCTCAGGTGCAGGTGTTCTGAGAGGCATCCCCAGCTGAGGTCCCAGCCAACTGCTGCATCAGCTGCTAGACTTCAGGCTCTTAAACATAATGAACATGGTTATTTTAAGCTACTATGCTTTGAGATAATTGTTACGCAGCTGTAGTGACTGGAACACACCCCAGCACTTCTGCATTGCACGTGCTGAGGGTCTAGTGGGCGTCCTGTACATCCTGTACATTCCATGCAGCTGGGTCAGAGAACCTGGGGGCTGAGGGAGGAAGTGAGAGGCACTTGACCCAGCTCAAGCGTGCACGTGTGTCGTCAGTTGAAGACTGTGGTCACGTGAGCAGCTGAGGCAAGAAGTAATGCTGAGAAGATTGAAGAATGTCTGAGGCAACATGACCACTGAAACCAGGGGAACCAGCCACAGTCTCTGAGCAGCTGTGTTTGTTTCCTCTGTGAAGGACCATGGCTGTGGCTCCAGGGCTGTGACAAGTGCTCTAGAACATCTGGGAATTGTTCTTAAAATCCTGGATCAGGTAAAACTTCGGGAAAATACTAGTTATCTTCTAGTCTTTATCCAGGCCATCACCAACAAATTAAAAAGAGGTGTGTGTACATTTTCAGGAAGCTTCACAGCAGCACGGTTCACAAGTGTGCTCTGAAATTGATCTTTACATCAAGATGACTGGATCCGGTGAAACTGATGGCTGGGCTTAAGAGCCAATGCCTATTCAGAATCAGGTTTTCAGCAAAAAGACTCTGGCCAGACTGCAACTGTGCTTGTGTGGGGAACGAATTTACTCTCAGCAGAAAAGAATCACACCCAGCAGTCTAGACTTGCTTTTTGAGGCTGGCTGGAGTTTGACAAGAATGGTGGGGTTTTCTTGGGTGCAGGGCTGGGTGCAAATTAATTTAGATTGTCCAGAAATAGGCTCTAGAAAGTTTGGTAAATTCTCAAGGAACATGAACTATGGAGGAAAAGGAAATGAAACAAACGCAAAAGATAGGAAAGGCTGAGCCCATCAGGTGAATCTGCTCTGAGGTGGATGAGCAAAGAAACAATGCTTTCCAGCAGCTGCAGTCCTCGTGGTGACCGAGGGGTCAGATCAAGAGAGCCTTTGGTGAAATGCAGGAGCCAGCTCCAAGCTTCAGATCATAGAATGGAAGGGCTTGAAGATGGCCAGTCCTGGCTTCTAGTCAGCACCTAGTCTGACTTGGACAGATGGGAGGGGACACTGCGTGGAGGGCTGGGGTGCCAGGGTTTCATTTTTGTTTTTGATCTTGATGAATAGGGACCAGAGTTTGCTTGTCTTCATTTAACTGCTGTCATGTTGTCCCTACTGTACCAAGCGTGAGGTGGCATGTGCTCCAGTATATGTCTCCCCTACCCTTCTTCGGCAGGAAGTAACCACTTCAAAATTCCTTTCAGGGTAGGGAATCATTTCACCCAGATGTCATTATTGTTTTTATTGTTACTATTTCCTATATATGTGATTTCTAACACTTAGGTGGGTAGCACTTTTCCAAATAGATATCAAAGAGTGTTGGAAAGACAATTTTCAAAAGGCAAAATAAATAAACTAAAAAACAATTGGGAATGTTATTCTTTTGAAAAAATGGGGCCAAATGTATTTACACTGAATAGCACAAATAAAAAACATGACGTGTTCTCACTCAGCATGGCTCCACTTAAGATATCACAAACCCAATGTACTGCCCTTTGAAGAAGCATCTATCTTCCTGGCTTTTTCTTTCTCACATTCTTGTACAATTTTTTTGTGATCTCGTTGAGGTACCTGGTTACTTGCTATCTTGGGTTTTCCATCTTCAAATGCTCCAGGACTTTTCTTCTTTTCTTACCTAGACTATACTGAATTGTCAATCATTTAAATTAATAAATCATAAGCACTTTTGATTCCCTTTGTACTATTTTCCTTCTGCCCCTAAAAAATTCCTACCCTGGGTTATGGTCACTAATTTTGGAGAAAACCCCATAACTGTACAAATTAGAGCCACAAAATCACCCCCAACTTCAGCTGGGTCTCTAAAGCTATCTGTTAATTTTTCTGTCTTTTCTTATGCAGATTTCTCTTTTATTTTTAAATATTTATTTTTATCCCTCTAGCCTCCTACTAACTAGGCTCAATTAATTCTTAGTGGTCAACTCTGACTCTGAATTCGCTATGGAGTCAAGACACCCATGCATTAACTTCTTCAACCTCCAGCCCCCGACCTGAAGCCTCACCCCCAGTCTTTCCCTCCTCACCTCTTTTCCCTTGTATTGGGCAATGGGGGTTCCCTGCTTTTCTGAATATCAATCAATACCATGTCCTTGCTGTTGGCCTGTTCTGACACACTCTGTTTCCAACACATCAAAGGTCCAAGGCCACCTGAAAGGGCTCAAACAAGAGCTGATTGGCCAGCCTCCTGGCAGATAGTTCTAGAGAGGCTGCAAAAATCCAGGGCTTGGCAGGAGTTCCAATTTCCTGTCTAACTCCAAGACTCCATGATCAAGCTCTGTGGGCCAAAATTACAAAGTCACTGCATCACTGGGTGAGGCAGAATTCCATAACCCTGTGTTATACAAGTTGCTGGCAGCCAAGTGTCCCCATCCACACAGATACCACTTCCATTCCTAACCTCCTTCTCTCATGCTTTCCCCATCTCACCTTTGGAAAACACTGTCTAGTCTTGCCCTGAAGTTCCCAAGGAAATGAGTTCAATGCGAGTCAGTGCAGTGGGATGACCCTCCTCACCCGCCTCAGTAGGGGATAAAGAATGTCTAATTGTCACCTGTCATGCACCTGACTCTCAAGGTAAAATAATGCTTTATACACTTCAGCAGAAGAGGACTGCCCAAAATCAAGAACAAAAACAAAAACAAGAAACATAAATAGCAATGACATGACAAGTAATATAATTAGTGATTTATAAAAGGCAATCTTCTTTGTAGAAAACAAGTTAATGGACACTGAGGCCTGACTTAGATGCTTGAAGAGCAAACTCATTCAGAGAAAAATGTTCCCAGAGATAGTTTTTAAGAAGGGTAAAAAATGATGCTCCTCAAAATCCTAATCTAAGCTTTCATCATTGCAAAGAAAAAACATCCTGAAATTGTCAGGAGGGTGGGTTATAAATAACAGATACTAACTTTTTTAGAAAAAATAAAAAGGATGGCCCCAGAAGAGCAGAAAATCTGGAAGGTGGAGATAAAAAGACACTGAAAATATGTCTGAGCAGAGCTAAGAGCTGGATAATTGAGCAGGTAAAGAACAGGCCTGTGGGACTAATCGGGGCAGGAAGGATGTGAGGCTGTAATGATAATAAGATAATTGCTGAGGTGTGAAATACTGCTCAGGAGCTGCAAGTGCACACTGAAGAGGGAAGCTGGGCAGAGAATCTGCCTATATTCATCATGATCAATAAAGTGTAATAAACTTGTATTGATGATGCTGAAACTGCCTTATGATTGTGTACTTAGTTGTTTTCATTTTTATTTTTAGAGATGGGGGAAGTCTTACTACATTGCCCAAGCTGGCCTTAAACTCATGGGCTTAAGAGATCCTCCCACCTCAGCCTCCCAAGTAGCTGGGACTCCTACAGCACCTGGCTTGCCGTATTGTAAGAACCCAACAGACAGAAATAAAGGTAGTGATGTGGATGGTGTGGGGTGGAAGGATGGCTAGATTGGGAGTCAAGAGACTTCACATCAGCTCACTGACTGAGTGGTGTGGACAGGCTCTTCTCCAACCCAGGCCTCAGTTTACCCATCTGTGTACTGAGCGATTGGACTAGAGTCAGGGGAGTCAAGCAAAGGAACACCTCTGCTTGGATCTAAATGTTCCAAAAACACCCAGAAATTGTAGGCAATATTGTACGCATCACCAGTTTTCCAGGGGTGGGTCTGTAGCTTTCCTTAAATTTCCAAAGGGATATGAGGCTCAAACAAGATTAAACGTTACTAAACTAGATTATGTCTAGGAAACATTCTACTCCATGATACTATGTGTAATGGATGACCATGGAAATAGGGACTTTTAATGTCTTTATAGACATCAGGACCTATGACAATTGGCTATTTAAATGCAAGTCAGCTATAGGGTAGTCACACACAATTCTAATATCATAACCAGATTATGTTTTATGTAGATAAATGTCTTAATTTGAATTCACCCAAAAGCAGACACCAGGATGTATGAGCAGATAGTTTCTCGGTGGTGAGGGTGAGGGGGTTGGCGGTTGGGGAATCCGGGAGTGAGGGGTGGGGAGAGTGAGAAGGGAAGGCTGTGTTGGTGAACCTGTTACTGCTGTGGGCAATGAGGCCCAACCCTGCTGCGACCTCTGAGGAACCACATAAGACGCAGCTCAAAACCGTCCCAACGAGATGAGGAAGCTGTGTTGATTTACCCAAGGACTCCCGCTTATCCTCAGTTGAAGGTTGTCCCTGGAATGTAAAATCCAGGTGCTTTGCACATGTGCAGAGGAGGCTCCCTGATAGAAAGACAGAGAGGCAAATGCAGCGGGTTGGGGGTGGTCAGCAGAGAGGGGTCGGTCCATTCCAGCTTCCTGTGGACACTGCTGGCTGAGGGTTGGAGGTGGGGCAGGAACAGACTGCACCTGGCACACAGGCCAGACCCCCTCAAGCCCCTCCATGGTGAGTGCCCCCATGAGCCATTAGCCCTCAAGGCCTGAGACGTGTGTGTGGTAGGAGGTTGCCTGGGACAGCAGCCCGCACTCACAGCCTGGCTCTGTCCCGCTGCGTCCTGGGATGTCCTATGAGGGGGAGGCAGTGAGCACAAGACTGACCTCAGGGGCGGGAGCACTCAAAGGGACTAGCATGTGTGCCAGGCTCAGAGGAGGCCCACACGGGAGAACAGTCCTGGCCACTATCACTCTTACTATTGCTGTTGCCATTTTATGTTTAGTCTTACTTGAACACCCTCCAAGCTAAGTCTTCACTTGCAAAACTACCGAACTGTCCTTTGAAGGTCATATGTGGGGACAAAAGTGAAGGCTTTTCATGGCAGGAATCTGGGTTCAGCAGGGCTTGATGGCTCTCTGAACATTATTGGAAGAAAACTGTAGAAGAAGGCTAGTCACCTTTTTAAGAAGGCTGGCTTCTTATCTCAGGGTGGGCTGCCTGACGTTTGTGACTTAGGGAAGAGGAGAGGGCAGCTGTCAGGATGCTGTCATGGGGGCAGTGCTGGTCCAGAGCACACTCTCTGAGGAGGCCTGTTCTGGGCTGACCAGTAAGCCCATCCCAGACCATGTCCCTCTGGCCCACAAGCCATCTCTCCTGGAATTAAGCCCAGGTAAGGATTGGCCCCTGGCACTTGTGGGTCTGGTGCGTTCTGCATCACCACCTGCTCCCATCTTCAACAATCTGCTCTGTCTTGGCCAAGTCTAGAAAGACTTCCCAAGAAGGTCAGCTTCACTTTCACTGCCTTGGTGAGGAAGAAGCTGAGCAGACAAGATCCGGATCCAGATCTACCTGCAGGATCCCCAAAGCAAAGCAGGATTAACACAATTGACAGGAGAATTCAGACAACAGGTGTTGTGCATTCACAGGCTGCCAGAGTAATCCTGCTTGGGAAAGACCTGAATGTGCTTGCAGGAGAAATGCTGGGGCCAGCAGATGTGTGAAGCTGGCAGGAGAAGCTCCCAGCACAAGTCTGCCGTGGGGGAGTGCCAGGGAGGAGGGCAGCCCAGGGCACTGTGGGGAGCCACACCCCAGCACATGGCCCTGCCCTCATGGTTCTCAGGTGGGGTGGGAGGGAGCTCAGAGTCTGGTGATGGAGGCAAATGGGAGGGAGGTTTTGTGAGGTGCTCTTGGGACAGCCTAGGGTATATTGCCCTGACACTTAAACCCAGGGTGTGAGAGGATGTTTGTTTTAAACTTCCCACTTTACTTTGTCAGGCAGGAACTGGTATTGATCCCATTTTAAAGCTGTGAAAACTGCGGGGAAAAAAATGAAGTGACTTGCTTGAGGTCCCAGAGCTAGTGGCAAAAAGGAGCAATGAAGTCCATGACGGCCTGAGTCTGCTGGATGTCAAGACCCTCAGTTCCAACGATTCGACCTCATTCAGCATCATCTGCTGTGCTGATGTCCAGGGGCCAGAGCAGTTATTGCAAAGGAAGATTTCTCTAAGGCTCTTCCTATTTTTCTGTTAGCCATGCAAAGTTTATAAACTTTTATTAGGATAGCAGTAAATTGCAGAGCAGTGACAATATGTGAAAAAGGTCTTGCTTCACTCAATTAAGTATGTTCTGGATGGTTACAGACTTCATGTAGGAAAGAGTTTGCATCCCCTTCAGTCTCCTAGCACCTACCCAAATACGTGGAGTGGAGTGAATTTATGTATAATGCTGGCTATGTCTAATCTTGTAGGTGATGTTTATTGAAGCACCAAATGCCAGACAGTTGAAATTCCTGCTACATATGACCTCTCATTTGATCTTCAGGATGAAGTGAGTGGGATGTGCACCACCCCCTGACAGGCAAAGAACCTGGGGAGGAATGGGGGAGATTTGCTCGGGGTCACATGGCAGCCAGAGGTGGGAACAGGCTTTCCCACTCGGTGTCAGTCCCCAGACCAAAGACCTTGTGACTACAGTGTGCTGCTTGCTTCTCCAATTGAAGGCTGGTGGATTTTAGATGCATGCCTGCTTGTATGAATGTTAATTTACAATTAATAAAATTTAAAAAGTAGTAATTATGAAATAGGAAAAAAATAGAAGGGAAGGTTAGAATGTACACAACTCCCCCAGATGAATTCCAGGGATACTTCCTTATGAAACCGAGCAGAGTGGGATATCACTGATGAGGCTGTTCTCTGGGGTTAGGAAGAAGAGAGGTGATGGGGTTTATGCTTTAGGGAGAGACATTTTATCTCAAGACTTAGAACCTAAGTGACCTTAAAAAGTGTGAGAGAACTTCATGATTTGAATGGGAAAGAAAAAGATAAAAATCAAGACTAAATCTTTGTGGAAACTTTATTGGTTCCAATGCAGGCAGGAGGGTGGCTCCATCTGCAGGAGGATGGCCTTTTCAGGCACCAATGCTGACAGTGACAGGAGGCAGTCAAATGCCTAGGCAAACAGGGGTGGTTCCCTGGTGAAACCTCACCTTCGAGCCAAAACACCCTGGACTGCTGGTTCCGGATGAAACCCACGACCCAGAGTGACAACTTCTGTTCCTGTTTGCCTACCCTTCCCCAATTGGTTCTTTCTGAATAATGCTTTTAGCCAATTGAATGTTGACTTTCCCAATACTACATCATTTGGCCCATGGCTCCTCCATCCTGTGCCTATAAAAACCTCAGACTCAGCCACACTGGGGAAGACAACCTGACTTCGGGTGAGAGACCACCTTCCTGTTCCCTCTCTACTGATAACTGTTTCGTTGCTCAATAAAACTCTCCGTCCTCATCACCTTTCAATTGTCAGCATGACTTCATTCTTCTTGGATGAGGGACAAGAGCTCGGGACCCACCAAAGGCGGGTATCCAGAAAGGCTGTAGCACTGTGTTCCCCTGCCCTCACAGTGGAGGGTAGCTGCCCCACACAACAGAAACAGGAGTGGGGCCCAGCCAGTCCCACAGCTGTGGGTCAGAGTGGGCCACGGGGCTGACTGAGCTGCTAACACATTGCTGTTCATCAGGCTGTGGATAGCAGAACTAAAATAGCTAATTAGCACACTGTAATACCCCCTCTGAGGCTTAGGGGTCGCAGGCACCCCTGACTTGGCACCACCATGTTCCCCTTGGGGTGACACACCTGGTCTGGTGTGGGCTTTGCACAGAGCCTGCTCCTGTGTCTGTGCTCAGACTGGCTGGCCAGACCCCATACTTGCTCACTCACATGTTCCCACCAGTCAGAGGCTGAGCGCACAGTCGTGGCAGCATGAGATCCACACCAGAGGCTTGCCTTTAGGCATGGCTAGGTGGGCTGAGTCGATGGGGCATCTCCTACCGGGAGCCCAGCAGAGGGGCTGAGAAAAATCTTGCTTTAGTGCAACAAGGGAGAACTGGCCTTGAGCTACTTGCATGGGGCTGGGTTAGCTGCTACTCATCCTCACTGAGGAAGGACAGGACAAGAAAGAGGAACAGGCAGCCACACATCCTGGGACACCAGCAGCACCAAGTACAGGCATAGCACCCTTCTTTCTGTGGGAACAGCCCTGGCCACCACCCTCTCCCTAGGGCACCTTGAGCCTGATCAACTGCATGGCCCTCCATGGGTCCCTGCACTTCATAGGCCGACTAGGTGTTTTTTGCCCTAAAATTAAAACAATAAAATAGATACCAACCACTACGTATGTGGAAGCACAAAGATGAGGTGTGCAGTTCACTCCTGCATGACAGTTCTAGAGGGGAAGGCATCAAGTATACAGATGTCTGCAATGCAATGGCATGCACTGGGATTTGGGGAGAGATTCAGGAGCAAAGGGCAAGGACAACTGAATTCTTGGGGACTTGGGGACAGGATATTGGGGTGGAAGTCTCTTAGGGGAAGATATTCAAGTAGTAACTGATTTGTACCCACTCCCATTCCCACAAGCCCCTCCTTTCTTTGCTCCCTGAGACTTTGTCTCTTATCCCAAATGCTTGGCCCAAGGACCACATCCTTTGGGCCTGGTCAAGAAGGGACAGCAGTTCCTATCCATGCCCTGCCCATGTCTCCCAGACCCTTCACTGTACTCTGCCAACTTACAGCTACAGCTGGAAGCATTTCTATGCTAGGAAGCTCCTTCTAGAACCACAGAGGCCCTGCCCTGGGCCTGAGCCTAAAGGTGCCCAGAAATGAGCATCCTCTCAATAGCAGCAGTCAACCAAGGACTGGGGTAGCTGGGGATAGACAGCCCACCCCGCACAGCCCTCTGTAACAGAGTGCCACTCATGAGCAGCTTAAACAACAGAAACTTGCCTCTCTCAGTCTAGAGTCTGCAAGTCCACAAGCAAGGAGTTGGCAGGGCTGTGCTCCCCCAAAGCCTCTGGGAGTTCCTTCCTTGCCTCTTCTAGCTCAAGACTGTGGCCCCATACATGGCCTTCTACCTTCTGTGTCTCTGTGTCTCCTCTTCCTATAAGGATACCAGTCCTTGGATTTGGCTTACTCTGGTGATGCCATCTAACTTGATTGCATCTGCAAAGACCCTGTTTCCAAATAAGTCACACCCACAGGTACTGGGGCCAGAATGTCGACATGTCTTTTGTCTGGACATCAACTAACCCATAACACTGTCTGACGAGAGACTTCCCAGGCGCGGCAGAATCTATACATTTCCTAGGTATCCCCGAGTGATTAAGCTCCAGGTGACCATGGTAATTGGCTTATCAATACGCCCTCCTTCCAGGGACTATTCCCTCACCTCCTAAATAAACCACTTGACTTTGAATTCAACCTGAGACACAGGCTTCAAGTTCATGGCTTCAAGTTCATGGCTTTGGTGAGGGGGAGGGAGAAGAAGGACAAACCATGGGGACTGGGGCCCAGTCAGCCTCCAGGCTTCTTCCCAGAACATTTTGGGATTGGCCACCTCCAGGTCCAAACCAGGGAGTGACCTGGAAGCCAGATGGTAACATCACATGGGGGCCAGCAGACCTGGGTCTTTCAGAGAGCAGCATTGGGTGCAGAGTCCTCTTCTCAGCAGTAGCCAGCATAGCCTCCCGGGCCATTCAGCAGAACTGGGGGCCTCTGTGACCTGGGATTCTGCTCAGCACCATCCTGTCTACCCCATGTGGATGCCCTGTTCCAGCAGCACAGAACCCTTGGAGCCCCTTACTGCAGGTCAGACCAGAGAAGCCCCACCCTGGCCCCAGCAAAGGAAGGCATGGCCAGTGCCCAGGGTCCCCTCAGTGGACGCACCTTCTGTACCTCCTGTGTCATTTAAATGAACTCTGAGTCAGGCCCTGCAGGGTGAAGACACATTTTCTAGGGGGAGGAACGGGAGTGGCTCTAGGCAAAGGAACACCATGTGAATGGCAGGCCAGGAGGACAAGCAGGGCTGTGCCCAGGGCAGGGGTTTTTTGCCGTTCAAGCCCAGAACCAAAGCCCTGATGGGCACACACAGAGCCATGAAAGATCTTAAAGCCACCAAAGGACAGGCTGGACAGGGGAAAGCTGCATTTCAGAAGCCTTCATGGTGAGGTAGGCAGGAGGAGAGAGAGAAATGGGTGGCTGAGAATGTGAAGCTGGAGGCTCTCAAATAGTCTTGTGAGAGAGGATGGAAACCTGGAATGAGGCCGCAGGCCAGGCTGAAACAGAGGCCAGGGTTGGACTTGAGAAACAGGTCTGTAGTTGCATTTAAAGGGCTGGATTCCCTGTACGATGGAAAGGAGACTGGCATTCCTAAGTAAATGATGGGGAAAATGATGTTAATGTCACTACAGGGATGCAGTTGGAAGCTCCTTTGGGACTTGGGGACTGGAACTCTGTCATTCTGCTTTCTGCACTGGCAGGTTCATTGCAAGCAGTTAAATGGGAACCTTCACAGGCTCCACCTGCAAGTGTGCTGCCAAAGAGCATTGAAGGAAACCACTAGGGACCAGCAGCCTCAGCACTGCCAGGGAAAATGACAGAAATGCACATTCTTGGCCCGGCAGCTTACGGAATGAAGTCACAAACCCTCCAGGTTCCACCTTGAGAACCACTGCCCAAGAGCAGGCTGTCTCAGGCTGCACCCACTGGGGTTGGAATGAGGATCCTGTATTCTCTTCTCCCTTTCCATCTTCCCCATCCCCGCGGGCTCACAGCCCCTCCTTCCAAGTACAAATATTGGCCACTCTTCTATAGAAATACCCCTTTGCCATTGAGCACTGTTTGCCATTGGCCTCATAGACATCTGCCAAATTCTGAGGACATTCCTGAATATAAACCTAAGGAAAAGAAAATTCCACCTGGGGTGCAAAAGCCCCAACTTCATATTGGGGGGCACTGACGTTGCAGTGAGGTCCTGTTGAGTGGCCCCAGCAAGCAACCCCACTGCTGCCTGGTGCCAAACTGGACAGCGGTGAAATGAACACAACTTATCTTTTAGCGTTGCCAGTCTGAGGATGGTAAAGCATCACTTGGGTGGGAGCCCTCTGGGGCCATGACGATAGTGGATAGTGCACTGCTGGCATCCACAGAGGGCAGGAAATCCTGCAGCCCTGCTAGTGAATCCCTTAATCAGACAATATCACACCAGACCAGGTAAAAAAAGATAATGCCTCTAGTAGGTGTACCATCAAAGCCACCCAAAATGCCACCATGTTCATGTAAACGTAATCCACAGTATCAGGTCATTCCAGCTCCCTTTTCTTGGTGTGCACCCAGGAGGAATCCAGGAGGGATCTATGAGCATGAGAAACAGACTTCTCACCAGCATTAGGATCATGCCTGCCAAGCTTTCGAATTGATGCTGAAATTTACTAACATGGAAAGCACTCATACCAGTACGAAGCAAGGTGCCAGATGCTAACTAAATCCATTCCACCTTAAAGAGCATTTTAAGGAATCAGATGCTTAGGGCCTCTTACCTAATTACTGTTTTTATAACCATAAAGTTTCTCTAAGCATTTATAATGTAAGGATCTCTGGGCTCATTTTCATACTGCTGCTTTTTTAAATCTATAAAGGATACAATTTTTTTGATCTTAGGGAATTAGAAGAAGAAATTTATTCAAATAATTTTCAAAAAGAAAAAGTCTGAGGGAGAAGTGCTGCTTTGGGACAGGCACAGAGTGGGACGAGAATGGAGACTTCAGGCTCCATGTCCCCGCATGAAGCAGCTGTGGAGGCCCTGGGGGTTGGGACAGCTCAGCTCCTCTAAGTCCTGCACTTATTTCCTTGTTTCCTGGGGAGACACCTCACCTCCCAGCCCATTTTTAATTCTGTAAACTGGAGACAGGCCCCACCACAGGCATGTGAATATTACACAAGATACAAAAAGGGGAAGGTACAAAATTAGGTCACTCTGATAATTACTGTTCATCATGGTAACTAATATTCCCTGACACTTTACACTTTCCATGAATTTTTTTACACCTTCCCTCCTTTGATCAGAACACAAGTAAAGATGACACATAGGTCTGCCCACAGCACAGGGCATATGGCAGCTCTGCACATGATCTCACTTACTAGTCAGCACACCTGCTCCAGGAGTCAACAGCTGGGCCTGATAAACTCTGCTGACATCTGCAGAACCCTACAGATGCCAGGCTTTCAGGAATGGAATCCAGGATACAGTGACAATGTCCCAGAAAGAGTCAGACTGGACACTAATGAGCACCTGTCATTTATACCCTGTGGGCTAGATCTTCACTGTTCAATATGGTAGCCACCACCCACACTCAACTTTTTAAATTTAAATGTGAATTAACTAAAATTAAACTAAAATCAGTGCGCCGGTCCCACTAACTGCATTTCAAGTGCTTAACAGCTACGTGGGTCTGGTGGCTGGTGTATGAACAGCATCAGAAAAGAAATGCCTGTCTCCACAGGTGACTGGGCAGCACTGGTCCCGTTGCACCTTAACCCCCAGGTGTTCCTCTCTGTCTAGTTCCAGGGGTTATGAAGGAGACGTCCACACCCAGGAGGGTCCATTCCTCTGTAACCCTTTCCTGCTTGGCCTGGCATGTGGAAATGAGAAGCAAGCCTGCCCAGCATGGGTGGGTCCTGCGCGGCGGGGGCCTATCACCTACACTACCTGTGAGTCCCTCAGTGTCCACAGAGCAGGTCCCACCATCCCCTTCATAGTTTAGGAAAGAGATGTGGCTGAGCATGGAGGGCTGGCCGACGCAGCTCTGAGCACGGCTCCCTCATCTACCCTGGGCCTTGTTAAATTCTTAAGTGAGGCTCTCAACCCCGATGATCACTTCTGACCCCGATAGGCACACAGGAGACTGTGGGTTGACACTCTGTAGCCGAGGGGCATGTGGCTTCTTGAGAACAGAGGCGCATCCTGTGAGTGTTTCCAGGAACTGCTGGTGCACGGCCGGGAAGCAGGAGAGGCTCAGGCTGTGTGGCTTCTGGGTACGCAGCGCATGTGCTCCCTGGTTGGCTGTTGAAGTCCGGGTAAGATGCTTTCTATTGCTGTAGTTTAATTTCCCTAGTCATACCAGGCATCCATTTATTCCGAATTTCCCATAATGGATCCAGAATGTGTAAATGAGTTATTTGAGGGTCTGAGAAAAGCCATCTGTGTTGTAAAGATTACCCAAGTCACTACGGAAGTCACGCTGCCCTGACCGAAGAGGCTAGTGAAAGCCCGGTAACAGGCAGGGAGCACAAAACAGGAGTGGGCTTTTTTTTTTTTTTTAAACTTTCCCCAGAAGTCCAATGCCTCCTTCCAAAGGTAAGCTCCTGCTCTGCCCAGAGATGCAGCACCCGGGTAGACCCCAGCTCTGCCCAACATTACCAAGTGAGGCAGTGAGGCTAGGAGGCCTCCTGGAGGCCGCCAGGGCAGCTGTGGGGTCGTGGAGTTGCTCACCTGGCCTTAGGCATGCTATTTAATCCTCTGAACCTGAGTTTTCTTACGTGTGAAGTGAGGACAAAATCCTGCCCAGGGTTTTGGGACAGAATGTAGGAGATACAGGCACAGTCCTGCCGCACCAAAACGCTCAAGCAGATCTGTCATCTCTTTACCAGTGAGCGGGAGAGACCCGCAGAGCGCGGGGCTGCGTGAGCATTTGTGCCTGCCCCTTCCCCGGCGCCACCACCTCCGCACCCATGTGTCCATGGACTCACCTCACAGTGTCCCTACCTCGTACCTGCTTTGATCCAGAATCTGATCCCAGCTAACCCCAATCCAGGGCGGTTTCGCGGCCTCTGCTGCCGGGGTCCCGACCCGGCGCTGCCCAGGCTCACCGCTGTCCTCTCCAGCCTCTGCTCCACTGTCCCTGAGTCAGCTGGGTTCTCTCAGAGCCGCCTCGGTGGAGACTCAGATAGAAAGGGAGGCCCTGAGAGCCGGGAGCAGACCTCCACCCTGAACCGGGCAGCACAGGCCAAGGATCTGCACTGGAGATGGGACCAGCAAATCTCCTTTTCAGAGCTGTGCCCTAGAGTTCTGTTCCAGTTACCCCGTTCTCCCCAGTGGCTGCTCCAGGCTGGGCTCCCACACTGTGCGGTGGGCAAAGGCAACATCTTTGCCCTTATGTAAACGGCAGGACCTGGTTTACATGTATCAATAAAACAAGCCATTAAATAAAATGTATCCTGTCTTCCTGCCTTAGCAAATACCCCTTCAATTGTTCTAGAATTCATAGAATCCTAGGAATCATCCTGCTGGAATGTGGCTTTGCAAGGAGAGCCAGCTCCAGGCCAGGGCTGACCCCCTTTTCTGTTCTAAATAACCCCCTCCCTTTTGTTCTTTATAGCCCTTTCCTGCTTTGCCTAGCAGTGTGGAAAACGAGAAGCAAGCAGCACCCTGACCACATGTCCAAGCTCCATCTGCACCCCTTGGCAAGCCTCCACTTTAGGAGTGTCACAGCGTGCTCTGCTCCCAGGAGGTCTGGTCTGGGCAGAGGCCCTGGAGGTAGGCTCAGGAAGTTGAGACAGTTCTCTCCAGGCCGCCAGAGACTCTCCTAAATTGCTCTTCACTGAGCCTCCTGTTCCAACCCTTACTTCTTGTTATTGAGGTGTTCTGTCATGCACCTAAATGATATGGCTTTGTGGCTACTTCTTGATTCTGCCTTCTGGGTGTTACCTCTAGGCTTCCCACCACAGCAAACAAGACCCATGCTCTTTCTGTCACCCCTCCCACCCCTCATGTACTTCCCACATGGTTATATCACAAACTGGGGTAGAGGAGTATTCAGTGTCTACATGATTGTGATTGTATAAAGATCATTCACAGGTGAGCCATGTCATATGCACAATTATCTTGATATTTTAGGAGAAACATTTTAAAAATTTTGTTTTCTATAGAGTTAAAACTTATCTTGGCTTTTTATGTGCTTAGATTGCTATGAAATCACAACTAATTTATACTCTGAGTTCACTCACCTTGTTCAAAATAGGACTCAGCAAACAATGCCCTGCAAGTCAAATCTAGCTTGTTTATCTTTTTATAAATAAAGTTTTACTGGAACACAGCCACACCCATTAGTTTCTGTATTATCTATGGCTGCTTTCACTCCATATTATAATGACAGAGTTCAATGGTTGTAACAGAGACTATACGGCCTGCAAAGTCCGAAATGTTCACTATCTGGTCCTTCAAGAAAAATGTGCAAACTCTGGTATAAATCATTTACCTGTAACAGGTATTCCACCAACTGCATTTTCTTAACATCTCCCCAGGGTCTCTGTAGCCTGTTTCATTTAAAACTGCTCATCCTCTGGAACTGGAGCACAGCTGCCATCCTAGGGTCATTTTGTCATGCTGGGGATCCACTTTAACTCTCTCTCTCAAGTTTTACCTCCTTTTCTGGATCTCTCGTCTTCCTGTTTCTCAGTTTAGCCCCTTGTTTTGGTGGAGCACATCCTCCAAGCTCCAGAACAGCTTTCTCTGAAAGGACATGTGAAAGATAATTTTTCAAGATCTGCATGCTATACAGTATTTACTCTTGTGTTTATTGACAGTTTGGTTAGGGAAAGGATTATTGGTTAGAAATAATTTTCCCTCAGAATTTTGAAGACATTGTTTCATTATTTTCTACCATCCAATATTGTTGCTATATACCCAAAGCCACCCTGATTCCTGCTTTTTTTGCACTCCTCCCCACATTTTTAGACTTTCTTTCTAACTCTTGGGAATCATTTAGCTTCTTCTGTCAGTTCTGATTTCAGAACTCTTTGTTTACCCACCTCTTTTCCATCTTCTTTTTTTTTCTGCCACCCAGATAATTTTTTTCTCTTCCAACTTCCATTAGGTGTTCCAGTGTGCTACCATGTTTTTATTTTTTCCATGGGTTTATATGTGCTCTTTACTCTCTGTATGGCTCCTATCTCCTTCAGAAAACTTTGTTGACCTCTCCTATTAGATGCTGAATTGAGCATTTCCCATGTATTACCTTGTATCCTCTTTGTCCACCCTTCCTCCAGCCATTTGCTGGTGTTCACCTAAAGGAAGAAGCTGAGGCACAAAATATAACTTTAAGTAGTTTACTTGAGGCAAGATGCTCACAGCTGCCTAGAATACTGAGACCCTAGATATGTACTCCATTTTGTCTTTGTTACAAGCAGGTTTTTAAAGGCAAAGGGGTACAGGGAGTGGGAAGATACAAAGTTGTTTGTTGGGAGTTCTCACTGGTTTATGGAAATTACATTAATTAGTGATTGACTAGACATTGTTATTTGTATCATGAATTCCAGGAACATGAAGATCATGGGTGAGGTCACATTGTGAAACTTGCAGTAACATTTTAGGTCATTTATCAGCTAGTCTAGAAACTACAGGGAAGAAAAGAAAGAACTAAATGCCTTTAAATAATTGCCCCTGGCCATGGGTGCAGGGCTGACTGAAGTTTCCTACTCTCTGGGCCTGATAAATTTTGCATAACTCACATTCCTCAGACTGCTCTGAGCTATTTTTCTTTCTCACTGCATTGATTAACTTTGCAAAGTGTGGCCAGAAGAGTCCACTTCCCTGAACCCTGCACCTCTTGCTCTCCACATCAGGGTCAGGGGAGCCATATAAGTGTGGCTGACATCAGGGTCAGATGACACCACATAAGGGTCACCTGTGGAACTCACCTGGCATGCACACGTGTGCTACCTCATAGCACATGGACATGGCACCACAGGGGCATTCTTGACGATTTGGGGTATGGGGGTGGTGGGGACATGATATAGTTTGAATATGTCTCTACCGAAATCTCATGTTGAAATATAACCCTCAATGCTGGAGGTGGGGCCTGGTGGGAGGTGATTGGATCCTGGGGGTGGATTTCTCATGAATGGTTTAGCACCATCTCGTTGGTGCTGTTCTAGTGACAGTGAGTGAGTTCTTGTGAGATTTGGTTGTTTAAAAGTGTGTGGCACCTCCCCCTTGTTTTCTTGCTCCTCCTTTCCTCATGTGATGAGTCTGCTTCCTGTTTGCTTTCCACCATGATTGTAAGTTTCCAGAAGCCTCCCCAGAAGCCAAGTAGATATTGACACCACACTTCCTGTACAGCCTGCAGAAATATGAGCCAATTAAACTTCTCTTCTTCATAAATTACCCTGTATCAGGTATTTGTTATAGCAATGCAAGAATGGCATAACACAGGATGTCAGCTTTAAATAATGAGATTCAGAGAATGTGATTAAGTATTGCAAACCAAAAATAAAATCCTAAGCCACCCAACCTGTTGGAGGCATTTAAGCCAGACTGATTCCATCTTGAATAAGGGCTAGGTACAGTAAGGATGAGACCTGCTGTGCTGCATTCCCAGGAGATTAGGCATTCTTAGTCACAGGATCAAACAGAAGGCTGGCACAAGATACAGGTCACGAAGACCCTGCTGATAAAACAGGTTGTGGTAAAGAAGCCTGCCGAAACCCATCCAAACCAAGATGGCAACGAAAGTGACCTCTGGTCCTCCTCACTGCTCATTATATGCTAATTATAATGCCTTAGAATGCTAGGAGACACTCCCACCAGTGCCACGACAGTTTATAAATGCCATGACAATGTCCAGAAGCTACCCTGTATGGTCTAAAAAGGGGAGGGAACCTCAGTTCCAGGAAATCTCTGCCTCTTTCCCAGAAAACTTATGAATAACCCACCCCTGTTTATCATATGATCAAGAAATAACTATAAGTATGTTCAGTAGAGCAGCCCATGCCCTACACTGCCTATGGAGTAGCCATTCTTTTATTCCTTTACTTTATTAATAAACTTGATTTCACTTTACTCTTTGGACTCACCCAAAATTCTTTCTTGCATAAGGCCAGAAACTCTCTTTTGGGGTCTGGATCGGGACCCCTTTCTGGTAACAAACTGACTGAATAGATTCCCCCATCTTGGCCACAGGAAACTTAGAGAATTGTGAAAAGCTGAATTCCAGACCATGCTGGAAAGTGATGTGAGACACACCTCATTATACCCATCCTTTAAAGGTTTAGGGACAAGGGACCAGCATTAGCATTAAAATAGAGACCACAGACTCAAAAAACAGACCCTTTGTGGCAAAAAGGTGCCAAATTCCAACCTGACTCTGGTATCAATCACAAGTCAGAAGCAGACCCTGAAGGAAATAAAAATATTTTATCCCAGAATATATTTCTTTGACATGTTTTGAAATGGTCCTGAAAAGCTGTCTTTTGTGGGAGAAATTTGCATCTGCAGTGAATCTCCATGAGTATAATCAGGCATTTCCTAGATCTAGCAGAGAGTAACAACAAGTCTGATACCTTTTAAGATCTGGAAGGAGACATTTATCATCCATTCCTTCTGAAGCCAGTTACCTGGAGGCTTCATCTACATAACAAGAACCTTGGTCTCTGCAACTCCCCTTTATCTTAACTCAAGCACTTCTTTCTGATGACTTCGAGTCTTTAGACAAAGCTTAACTCTTCAAACCAATTGTCAATCAGAAGATCTTTGAATCTACTTATGACCTGTAAACCCACCTTCCCCAAGATATCCCACCTCTTTAGGTGGAATCAATATACACCTTTATGATTTTACCTACAACTCCTATCTCCCTAAAATGTATAAAACCAAACTGTAACCCAGCTGCCTTGGGAACACTTTCTCAAGATCTGTTGAGACTGTTTCCCAAGCCATGGTCACTCATACTGGCTCAGAATAAACCTCTTTAAATATCTTACAGAGGTGTTTTTTGTTTTTTTGTGTTTTTTTTTTTTGGCTTTTTTCTTCATTCCATCCAGAGTATAGAGTTTATATGAGCACAAAGCTTGAGGGTGGCCACCCAGGAAAGCACTGACTCCAGATGAAAGGGGGTCAACATTTCCAGAGTGGGAAAGTTATGGTTTCATTTACATAGGCAGAGACAGAAAAGTTCCAACAGAATCACAACAGTTTCCTTACAAGACCAGGTGCAGGTGCCACAGCTATTTGGTTGGTTACAGATTACTTTATTATTCCATGAGGAGGGGTGGTGATCTGAGGGGGTCTTTTCTCTGGTGCACTTTGGTCTTAATCATTTATAGAAAAAAGGCAGAAGTCACAGCTGCTTGCACATGACTCAAGTTGCATAGCCACGTTCCCTCAAGGTCAGGATAAGTTAAAGTTCAAACTTTCATACATTTGAATTATTTTAAGTTTGAATTTTTGAATTTAACCAAGAGGACTCCTTTCTTCTATATCTTGTGTGGAAAATTTTGAGGGGTATTCCACATGACCTCCCAGAGGAAGCCCAGCAAGAGTGAACCCCAGTTGCCCACAGTGGCGACCTGCTCAAGGCACAAGCTTGAATTGTCTTTATTCCTTTGCCTGCTTTGCTTCTTCCAGTTTTTATTCCTATTCTCTAGGGTCATGCTCCCTGAATAAATTCTCCTCCACCAAACTATTTTCTCAGCATCTGATTTCCTGCCTGGAACTCAAACTAAAGCAATAGGTATCTGCATTTTTTAAGCGAACTTGCTATGTAATACTAAGAGTTCTATATTAAATTAAGGTTTCCTCCCAAAACCAAGTTTGGGAGGATAGCAAGTGGTGGGGATGTAGAGTTAGAAGTAGTCTGGCCAGGCCTCAGCCTGTTGTCCCCAAGGAAGACAAAGGGAAGCCCCAATTCCTTACTCCATTGTTGCAAGTTACTGTCATGGAGGGAAATGTCTCCTCATGAGCATGTGTATTAAAATAGAGACAGCTGCAGCAATGGTGATGCTGAATTCCATTCCTTTTTTATTATTGACTTCAGGCCCTAATAAAGCCCATTTGAACAGAATGAGTAGAGAACAGAATTAAATGGAGAAGGATAAGCCAGCTTCAAACTGAACATTGTTAGTTCTTCCATGATTTGCAAAATACATCTAGGTTCTAAAACATCTGTGGAAATGACAATCAGTAATTTTCATTTAAATAGAGGAAAAAAAACCTTCAAATGATAAAGGAAAGTGGATTAGACTGTTTTCTCAACTATGTCATGCTAACTTTAAACACAGATTAAAGGGGAAAATGTCTTCCAAATTAAGCTAATATTTCAAATTGCATCTTTAATGTCATCTTGTAAATATATCTCTCTTCAGTGGGTATCAGTTTGAACTGAAAAGTAGATGTCTTTGTTCCTCAACTATTAGTTTGGTTATTTTATCCCCTGCAAGGATGTTTGGATTGCACTTGGTTACAAGTGACATAAAACCTGAGACAATGACCTGAACAATAACAACACAAAAGGTTGTTTCTCTTCACCTGACAAGTCCGAGGTAGGCAGCTGTTGCCATTGGTTCAGTGGCTTGACAACATGAAAGCAGGTGGTATTCATACTCTCTTGACCCTTCTTTCACATTTGCAAAATGGCTGCTGCAGCTCCAGTCATCATAACCATATTCAAGGTAAAAGAAAGAGGGCCAGGGAGGGGGTGGTGTCCAGTGTGTATGCTTCCTTTTACTCAGAAAGCAGAACAATTTTGAGATGCTCCACAAAAGAATTCCTTTGACTTTCATTGATCAGAACTGGGTCAATGTAGAGTAAATGCACCTGATAGCAATAATTTAAGTTACACGGGGAAATGACCCAGTATAGCAGATGCACCTGAATGTGTGTTCTGAGCTAGGGAACCTCGATGTGGCCAACCCGGTGATTAGTTCCTTGTCTGTGAGAAACATCTGAACCCCTGGCCTGTCTCATGGAACATGGGCCATACAGAGGATTGAGGCCCCAAGTTTTGGATTGGATGAAAGTTGTCAGCTGGAGGTCGATAAGGTGAGGGTATTAATTGAAAATGCTATATAAATTGCATGCTGTTTGCAAGCAGTTGTGGCTTTACTGCCCAGCCTGCTGCCACTGGACAATTTCTGCATGTAAGGCAGTTTTCCTGTCCCATCCACAGCCACTAGACTCTCTCCTGTATGTAGCCCCTAATAAAACCCCATGTCTCATTTGCTGGCTCTGGATCTCTTCTTCAGCCTCTTGAACCTGGTGCTTTCCCTACTGAGGTTAATAGGGATTCTGCACAACAATCACCTGACCCCAGCTGCCAGGGAAGCTGGGAACTCTAGAAGTGGATTGGCTGGGGCTCCATTAATAAACTTCAATAAGACTGTGCTGCTGCTGGCAAGAATGACAAGGGATGGGTGTTAGCTTAATGGTTTGGGTCCCTAGAAGCAGAGTCTGAGATGAGGATTCTTGAGAAGCAATTTATTGGGGGAGAGCTCTCCAGAGAAGAGCATAAAGAACAAAGCAATCAGGATGGGGCAAGCATCATGTGATTTCTTCAGAAGTCTAGCCTCTGTCTGTATGGAGGACCATATTCTTTAATGCCTCTGCCATTGAGAGGTGAGGTATATGGCCCCTCCTCTTGGACCTGGGTGGCCTGGGACTACGTTTTTATTTCTAAGTTGTATTTTAGGTTCAGCGGGTACATGTGCAGGTTTTTTACATGGGTAAATTGCATGTTACTGGGGTTTGGTGTACAAATGATTTCATCACTCAGGTACTGAGCACAGTACCTGACAGGTAGTTTTTTGACCCTCACCCTCCTCCCTCCTTTCCTCAAATAAGCCCCAGTGTCTACCGTTGCCCTCTTTGTGTCCAGGTTTAGCTCCCACTTTATAAGTGAGAACATGTGGTATTTGCTTTTGTTTCCCTGGTTAATTTGCTTAGAATAATGGCCTCTAGCTGCATCAGTGTTGCTGCAAAGGACACAATTTCATTCTTTTGTATGGCTGTGTAGTATTCCATCGTGTATGTGTACCACATTTTCCTTATTTGGTCCTCTATTTATGGGCATATAGGTTGCTTCCACGTCTTTGCTATTGTGAATAGCACTGTGATGAACATATGTATACACGTGCTTTATGGTAGAACTATTTATATTTCTTTGGGTATATATCCAGCAATGAGATTGCTGGGTCGAATGGTAATTCTGTTTGAAGTTCTTTGAGAAATCTCTAAACTTATTTTCACAATAGCTGAACTAATTTACATTCTCACCAGCAGTGTATAAGCATTCCCTTTTCACCATAGCCTTGCCAACATCTGTTATTTTTGACTTTTTCATAATATCCATTCTGTCTGGTGTGAGATGGTATTTCATTGTGGTTTTGATTTGCATTTCCACATTGTCCTTTGCCCATTTTTAATGGGATTGTTTGCTTTTTGTTGATTTAAGTTTTTAATAGATTCTGGATATTAGACCTTTGTCAGAGGCATAGTTTGTAAATATTTTCTCCCATTCTGCAGGTTGTCTGTTTACTCTGTTGACAGTTTCTTTTGCTGTGCAGAAGCTCTTTAGTTTAATTAGGTCCCACTTAGCCTGTGACTACTTTGACAATAGAATATAGTGGAAATGAGGCTGTGATGGTTTCTAGGCTCAGGACCCAGGAACTGGCAGCTTCCATTCTCTGTTCCTTGGACCACTGGCTCTTGGAGCCCTCAACTGTCATGTAAGAAGTCTGGCTACCCTTCTAATAAGACCACACAGAGAGACCCCGAGACAACCTGAGGAGGGAGAGGAGGCCAGCTGTGTCTACCTTCCTACTTCCCCACCAAAGTGCCAGGTACTTGAATGAAACTGTTGGGATACTCTGGGCCCACTTAGCTGCCAACCGAATGCTGAAACCACAGTTAATACCCTGTGGAACAGAAGAACTGCCCAGCTGAGCCCTGCTGAATCCCTCACCCAAAGGATCAAGATATATAATAAAATGTTTGTTGTTTTAAGCCATTTAGTTCAGGGCTATGTGGCTGTTATGCCACATAGATAACTGGAATCCATAGATAAACTGGGAACTCTGGGACACAAATGGCATCCAAGGGTTACTTCACCTGAAGCAGGAAGCTGAGCCCTTGTGTCCCAGGATCAGTCAATCTTGGAGCCAGGAAGACTCTGGGGGTGTGAGGAACAGCAGGGGGCATTTCCAGGTAAGGCATTTCCCATCAGCCAAGGGCAATTCTCCATCACCCAAGGGCAGTGTTCCAGGGAGAGTATGGCTGAGGGACTGAGCAGTAAACCTCCTGGCAGCTGGAGGATGGGTGCACCAGCCCAGTAATGGTGATCTGGGTGAGATGCACCACTAGCTTATTTCACAGTGGACAACTAAGTGCCAGCCAGAGGTGGACATGCCCACACATGCACACACACTCACACACACACACACACACACCCCATATATATTTAGGTAAGCACATAAGTATCTCAAATATCAATAGAAATACTTCACTATTTTCCTTCAGTTCTGAAAATCGAGCAGTATATTTTTAGTTCTCATTGAATTCACCACCCTGTTGCTTTATATAAGAACTCTCTCATCCTTACTCTTTATCTCACTTCTTTGCTTTCTGTTGGCTGGCTATGGCAGCTTTCTAGATGGGAGGTGGAGCTTGTTCATGAGGAGCAAGCCGTGGTGGCCCAGTTTTCCAAATGCACCTGCTTGGTGAACACAATGACAGGCTCTGCGAGTGTGTAGATCTCAGGACAGAGCCTGAACCACTGCATAGAAAGAAAGGAACGGTGCTCCAGCAACCATGACATGTGGTCCAAATGTGCCATCAACAATGCAATGGCATTTCAAATGTCTATTAAAATGTGGGAAGTTGCCAGGCAGACTGACTACACATCTGATAACAACGTTACTTAAACTCAGTCATTCACATGCTCATGTATTCTTTCAGAGATTATTACCGAGGGCATACCTTGTACTAAATACCATTCCCACATAGGCTCAGGGTAATGCCCAAGGGCAGATTCAGAAGACACCATCCTGTGTTTGGACGTTAGCATCTGCTGAATGTGTGAGGCTCCTGGGGAAGCTCTGCTGCTTTCAGGCCGTGTAACCCAACTTCTCTCTGCCTTGCAGGGTTTTGTGCAGACTTACAGTACGTATGCGGTGGCTTGTATGGTGCATAGAATATAAGAGGGACCTCAGTGGTTCCTCTGCTCCTCCTTCCTAAGGGTATCATTTTGTATGAAGCCAGTACACCCACAAAAATTAGGAGATTTAAGATCTCACCAGGAACCTAGCTGCTATTCCATGATTGACAATACGTTTATAAAGTAGATTGACATTGTTTCTACACTTTATATAAGATGAAAGGTGCTGCATAGAAGGAGGCCAACATGACGATGGTGGAAAATAGGGAAGATCAATACAGAGTGTCAGAAAGTCAAACTTCTCATATGGAACATGGCTTTTAGGTGTATATTCATTGACTTGGGAATTTAAATGTAAGTTTGGAAGTGTAGCCTGTGGTGGTGCTTTGTTTTATCTTCAGAGCAAACTTTGAGTTTAAATTTAAGAAAAAGAGGTTTGCATTTGAGGAGAGGAATGACAAGGGCTCCCATGCAGTGTGGACTGTTGAAGTATGGCCCTCCCTTCAGAGCAGCACCTCACCTCCTAGAGGAACCCCTCCCCTGGGTCAGAATGGTTTCCTAGAGGCACTGGCTATGCTGAGGATTCTCTTCAGGGCTTCTTCTCTTAGGTACTCAGTATGACAAGCCCTAGCAGTCACAGGGTTCCAACAGAGAGCAAAGACTAGCGGGTGAGGAGCCGCTCTATAAAATCCACCTTTCTGCCCAGGCATCTGCCCATCTCTCTTCTTATCTCACAGAGAAGGTCTCAGGATCTCTGTGGGAAGTCCTCTGTTGGTCACCATGGAAACACAGTCTTGGTCCATGCTTTTTACCAATTACACAGACTCAGGACATTCAGCAGCCTGATGCCAGAACACACACACAGTCAGAGAAGAAAAACCCACTTCCCCAACGTCCTAGGTACAAGGAAAAACCCATTACCGCAACACCCCAGGTATGAGGGAAAACAAAGTCTGGGTGTTTTCTTTATTCCTGACCTCTTTTCTCTAGTTCCCTCCCCTAATTTTCAGCATGTGGCACCTTGGTCTCTCAAAAGTCATGAGTTTGATGTGGCAGTTCTTACACACCCAAGCCTGCATAAGCTTTGGGCTTGGTCCCACATAAATTTCCAACAAGCTATTGCCATTTCAGATAACAACAGAGAAACCGATTCACCTGGCCCGTGTATGAAAACCACATGCCTGCCACCTTTACCATTTCCAGCCTTGTATCTCACTCATCTCTCCCCAAGTCATTCACACTTTCTAAGCACCCTTTCACCTTCCCTTCCCCTCCACTCCCACCAGTCCCAGGTCAGGAATAAAGCCTTCTCCAAATGTTTAGCTCCTGTTCAGATAACTCTCAGACTCAATATCACTGAGGCCCATGCAGGTCACAACAGGTCCTTGTCTGTTGTCTTTGCTTGGTTGCATGTGTGGTTTAGCCCATCACTGCTCTGTGTCTTTCACAAGTTAAGTGAAGTTTAGTAAACCGGGATGGTTCTGATTCCTAGCCAAAATGAAATGCAGGGTATTGTCTCTCTGGAAAATAGACACAAGTTCCCCTCACCACTGTCCCTGTGCCCTGTTCCGTACTTCCCATGCCCTGTTCAGAGAACCAAGAAAATTATTGCAGCAATGACAAATCCTGGCATCCTTCCTGCTTGCTCTGTCCAGCCAATAGCAGATTTCACCCTCCATCCCCACTTCCTAGAGACTGGGTGAATGACTGTGATGGTGGTACCTGCTCAGATGGCCCTTTTTGCCTACACTCCAGCAGTGACAAGAGGGAGCAATGACCCACTTGGTTTGTCAAAACACAGTGTGGACTTGATCTTTACCCAATGACTACATTACTGTCTTGTTATTTTAAAAAGCAGTGCTTATTTATTCAAAGAAATCCATTTCCTCTTAAGTAACAAGCTATAATATTACTTTTGCTTTGGGCAAATATAAAAAGAAGGAAACTTAGAACCACATGGTTTAAAGGAGAGAGGAGAGCCAGATTCTAAGATCAGGCTAAATTGCTTTCCTGAAGGGCAAAGATTAGAACAGGACCTTCAAGATTTAAAAGTGATTTCTCCCTTTGTGCCAAATTGATTGGACACCAACTTCCATTTAAGAAGAAGGGACATGTTCCTATTTGGCACCTACTGAATACCTTGTATCCTGCTCAAATTACCACATGAACTTCCTGCTGTTGAATGAGTTCCCTTTTCCTTTCTCCCTAGTACCCATTATTTAGGGCTCCACATCTCTCATCTCCCCCTTCTTTCCTTCCTAAAGAAAGTGAGGCAGCAGATTAAAAGACCTATCATTTATGAAGTTCCTGCCATGCATGCCAGAGATGGAGCCAGCTCCTTCCTGGGGTGGGACTTGTTATTGGAAGCTGATGTGTACCGTAAGAGGCCTCTCAAAGGCATTATAGTTTAAGCAAAAAGTGTGTGTGTATGATATATTTATTGAATAATGAATGTGAAATTTATAAGACAGGTTGATTTTGGAACATGCCTATCCAGCATGAATGCTTTTACTCCCACAGTCCTATGCTAAAGATGGAAGTTTAGGGGTAGAGGTGGGGGATAATATTCCAAAGCTTTGTCTATTTTAGGTACAGCTGCTTTAAATCCACTGATATTTGAGCCATCGTCTTTTGAAGACTGTGCGGTCAATCTCAGCAAGTTTTCCTACTTTTTGCCCTGCCAGGCTAGTTCCTCCAGAACCAATGGTGTGTTGCTCTCCAGTCAGCCCCCAAAGTCAGCCTCCTTATCTTCCTGAAATCTTGCAACTTCTTCAAAACTGATGCTTTCACTTTCACAGTTGATTTGCATTTTCTTTGATTCATCCCAAGTTAACAACTATCAACAGAAGGATACTGACAAAGGTATTAGTGGATTAGTAAAGGCAGATGTCAGAGTTAAGCAGAGAGAATGAGACTGAACAGAGACTAGTTACACAAGTGGCTTGCAGCTTTTAGAGGAATATTTTCATGCCAGGGTGGCTCCCTGTGAAACCACAAAACTGTGCAGGATCAGGGAATGGCACTCAGACAAGAAGGATACTTTGAAGATGCAATTCAACCCAGAGAACATCTAGCAGGACTCAGGCATCTGTTCCCACTTCAAAGAGAGAAAACTGAGGCTCAGAGTTGGAAGAACTTGCACCAGTGTGCCCTGCTTCACCAGCACCACATGGAAGTCCAAGATTATAGTCCCTTCCACCTCTGCATTATATTAAGTGAGGTCCTCCTTTCCATCACTAAGCGCTAAATGCTCCCTGTGAGCACTCAAAGCCACACCCCACCCAGGTCTCCCAATTGTTTTCCATTCCAGAACACATTCAATCTTATCAAGCCCAAAGACTTATGGAAGGAACATCTCCACCCAGATACCCCAAATCACCCCAAACTGCAAGTGTTCCAAATAATAATCAGTATCCCTCACCTGAAATGAACACCCACCCTTGATCTTCCCAACTCTCCGTTAACCAAATGGCACCAACATTCACCCAAATGTCTGATCCAGGATCCGAGAGCTGTCCCTGTCTTCCCCTTTACCAACCAATCCAGTAGATTACCTTCTCTTTCCAATCTATTCCTTCTCCTCCAACACTATCCTCACTACCCTAATCCAAACTAGCACCACCTCTTACCTGGATGATTATGATTGTTATAAACAATTAGCTAGCATGCCTTGGATCTTATACATTCTTAAAGTGGCAGCTAAGGTGGTTCACTAAAATGTAAATCCAATCACTCTTAACACCCACCCCCACCACCAGAGATTCCTTGTGCCATAAAATAGAAACCAAACTCTTGTGCAAAATATGCAAATCTTTCATTTCCTATTGCAGCTTAACCTTTAACCCCCCTTCCCACCAGTCGCCTTAACATACCTCTCTGTCTCCTGAGAGAGAACCACCTCTCCGACCAGGGCCCTCAAAGCATCAGTACAGTCCATGCTCCCCAGCCAGAGACCACGAGTCAAAGTCTGGTCTATTACCTACTGCAGCTCAGGAGAGACTACAGGCCATGGAGAACCTTGATGTTCCCAGTAAGAGGTGTAGAGGAAATTGTGATGGGACCTGGGCTAAGGTTGGGTGATCCTCGGAGTAGTCAAGGAAGCAGGAAGCAGAGCCTATTGTGGATATCGTCACGACATGGAGTAACTATGACTGGTTATTCACTGATTTTTATCCAAGGGGTACGAGGAATAGGGAGACTGGAGCTATAGTTGCTAAGGATGGGTGGTCATGTTCACAGCTTGTAGGGTTCCTGTTCTTGGCTGTGCTCAGACACAATGATGGAAGGTTCTTGGTTTTGCCTACTTCATGATGGCTACAGAATGGTCTTTTCTGATGCTGGTTTCCTGTGAATGGTTTGGGTTCAGCAGGAATTTTCCCTCGGAAGGCTCTAGCTAGTTGGATGAGGAAATGGGTTCTTCTTCCTTCTCTCCCCACTGCTTCCCTGTCCTTCTGAACAGCCTCTGAGCAGTAGCCATAGTGGTAACAGTGTGGAGTCCATCAGTCACAGCTGTAGTGCCACATGGGGAAGGGGGAGCTCCTGCTTTTCAGTGAGAATGGTGTAGGGGCCAGCTCCTGTCTTCCACAGGGTGGTCCTGGAGGAAATGCCTCCTCTCTCTTGGGCTCCTTCTGAGAGACCACTGTGCTGATCTCATGGGGCAGGGTGCACAGCCATGGGACCATGCAGGCAAAGTCATTCACTGTGTCTCTGGGGGTGTTTCCCTCTGTCCTCTGAGAGCTGGGGTGAGGTGACCCCATTCCCTGCCCTCCTTCAGCTTCTCTTGCATAAACTGTCCCAGACTCAAGGAGAGGAGGTGGGAAGCATGTGGCTTTGTCTCAAGCTCCTTGTCCAAGCCGTGATCTCCAGAAGCTTTGCTCAGAGCTGACCCCCAGGATCCTTCAGCCTGCTCAGTGTTAATACAATGGCTCCCCATTCCCATTCAGCTCTGTCTGCAAATTAGGTCCCCTCAGACAAAACACAAGAAGTGAGCAGGCAGACATTGGTCCCAACCCACCACTGAAGCCCACACAGGCCCCTGACATTTGTGCCCCATTTATTCTTCCAACAGCCAAGCCGATCCTGGTTATCCCCACTCTCCAGACAAAGACATCCAGAGCGAGTAGCTCAGCGTCTTTCCCGTAGTTCCACAGGCTGACAAGTGGTAGATCTAGAAGGCCCAGCCTGTGATGGTGACACTGTGCTAGTCTGTGGCTTGGCCTCTCAGTCCTCTTTGCCACAGTCATTGGCCGGCATGAGACCCAGCTAAGCTACTGGGCCCTTGTCCTGCCCAGGGACATGGATCTACTCTACAGACTTTGCATTTTCTTGTTTACAGTCGCTGTCTTTCTGAGATGTAAACCTGTCTTCATTTATGGTCTGACATCTACTGACACTTCAGAGAAGTTGGGGCAAAGACATGCTGGGGAATGTTGCTACTTGTCCTCTGTCCTGGGATGAGTGATCAAAAGCATGTGGCCAAGGGGATTGCAGAAGCAGCTGCAGCTGAGTTTGCTGTTCTCTGATTTCCCACTAAACTCCACTTGCACCAATATCTCTTTCCATTCCATTGTCTCTGTAATTGCCAAAACATCTTTTATTAAGAAACAAAAACAAAGAAGAAACCAACTAAATTTCTCCATGTTGCTCACAACTTGCCAACCTTCAGTCACCAATAATATACTGGTCACTTTTGTAGCACTTGCTGTGTGTGGGGAGGTACTCAGAGTTCACACAGATTGGTCCAGTGAATTCTCAGAACAGCCCCATGGGGTAGGTGCTGCTAGGACCGCTATTCCTACATATGAGGACACAGAGGCACAGAGAGGCTCCATAACTGGCCCAAGCTCACACAGCCGAAGGGCGGAAAACAGGCAGTCTGGCTGCAGGGCTTCAGTCCCAACCACAGCACGTTCTAGGTCAGCATCTGGTGACTCGAGGACCAGTGGGATCCCAGCACCTGCTCACCTCTCCCACCCAGGCTAGTCCCTGATCCATTGCCCCAAACTCCTGCAGTTCCCAGAACAAACCAGGCTCTTTGGCAACGTCCTCCTTGGCACCAGATGTTTCCTTTTCCTAATCTGGGCTTGGCGAGCACCGACTCCTTCTCCAACATAATGACTCATCTCTGCCCTCGCCTCCCGGGGAGGTCCTTTTCAATCATCTGATAACTGTCAACGTTGACCTTCTTTCATCAGGACCAGCACTCCTCAAACTTCAAAGTGCACAGGAATCACACAGGAAGCTTTGAAAAGTGCAGGCTCTGGCTCCACTGGGCAGCAGGGCCTGGGCTGCATTTTCAGTAAGATCCCAGACAAGACCCTCGGGCTACTGGGTTGTTCCAGGGACCACTCCCGGCAGCAGCCCGCCCATGGCTCCTGTTTGCCCCTGCCACCCACCACAGTGCTTGGCCCTCCGGGGGGTGATGCCTTGCCTGTGAGTCTGTCCCACACCATCCATGCCAGCCTCCATGGCAGGTGTCACAGCCACCCCTTTCCCTGTTATTTATCCCAGTGCCCGACACATCAGAGAAGTAAAATACGTGCTTTAATTTTTTTCCTTCAATTCTAAAGGACATCTCAATGCCAAAAGCTAGACGTCATCTAGATGAAATGTAAATAAGGCAGTGAGCATAAGCCACTTGCATTTAAGCTTATTTTTTTCATGAGAGCCCAAAATATGAGAAGAGACAGAAGCCTGATAAACACAATACATCAGGAATCGGAGCTGAGGAAGTCAGCAGACTTTCAGATGAAAACAGTCCAACTCGACACATCTGCCTATGATTTTCTCAGCCAGCAGCCCATGAAATAAAAGTCCTCTGCTTTATAATTTCTTCTATTTGTTTAACTTAAAGGCCCATGTACAGCCACACAGTGTATTAAATACTGAGCAGCCAGAACTGATAAAAACGACAAACATGCATCGCAACCACTCAAGCTGAAGAATCAGTTTTAGCCAGCTGTGCTTCACCTGCCAAAAAAATAATCCCACTGCTTCCCCTTGAGTTTCCCCAAAGCAGACGCTGGGAGGAGGAATGGGGCCAGGACCCTACACAATGTGGAAGTGAGCACGCCGCATGGGAGGAGAAGGCAGGAGAGAGTGTGGCTGTGCTTCCCGGCAGCGAGGTGACCCGTCCCCCACTGGGCAGATGAGAAGCGCAGAGCCCGGACATTCGCAGAAAAAGGGGCAGCAATGTAGCCTGTCGTCTGAGGCCAGGGTGTGAAGGAAACTTTGGGAGCAATGGCTTTGGGAGAGCAAAAAGAACCCAAGACATCAGAAAGGACTTCCTTGAGCATGTTTGTTGTCAAAAGCTGCTTTGAAAATTCTGTTTCAGGCATCTGTTTCCAGAAAGACTTGCACAGTCCTATAGTGAGTGATAAGATTGGTGTTGAAGGAACCCTGGGGTTTCCTCCAGGGGCAGAAAGCATCACGGATGGCCCCATGAGCACAGCATTTTAGCTGCATGGAGTCATCGCACATTCCAAATAGAAGGGAGCAGAAATTATATGTTTCCTTCAAATGAGAAAACAAATCCTCAGGAGAGTTAAGAACTATCCCCAAGGTCACACCACTAGGTAAAGACAAAAGCAGAAGATGGATCTAAGTTTCTGAGCTAATCCCTGCTCTTTCCATTTTGCGAGAAACTGAACATGGAGTCAATCCGGGAGGGGAAGGAAGCCTCAGAGGCTGTGAGAGCCACCTGCGTGCCTGCTGCCAGTAGCTGGCATGGCCACCCAAGCAGCAGTGCCCCTCCTGGCCTTCCTCCTCCCCCTCTCTCATCAGCACAGAATGCTGAGGCTGGTGGTTAGCTAATTTATTCCTATCATGTTATAGATGAGATAATCACCAAGGTCCTAGGGAGAGCCCCAGGGTAAGTAACTAGGAATGGGCAGAACTGAGACTCTGAAATCAATACCGAAACCAATAGGATTCCCACCTACTCATGAGGCAGGAAAATAGGGTCTGGATGCAGGGAACTTAAGGCCAATTTGCTCTGCCTCCCCAAAGCTGAATCAAAGGGAGAAACCAAGATCTGGGGGCAGGGAATCAAAAGCCAATACGTGGTAATTTCCTAAAGCTAGATCCAAAGGCAAACAAGGATCAAAGGCTACACTCCCTACAATTCTCCCCCTTCCCCCACATCTCAGATGGAAAGGGACAGTGCCTTGGATTGGCTGCGGGCCAGGCAGGGGCCATCCCTGCATCTGCATTGGCCGCAAATCCACTCCAGCCTTGGGTTGACTGTAGGCAAGTTCACATCAGCTTTTAATTAGCCATAAACCAAATCCTTCCTCCAGATGAAGGGTAGCCCACAGGGACCTCAAAAGGAGTACTTAAAACCCAGAAAACTGTGTAACGGGGCCCTTGAGCCACTTGCTCGGGCCCACTCCCACCTTGTGGAGTGCCCTCTCGCTTTAATAAAGCTCGGCTTTCTCTGCTTCGTTTCTGCATTTCATTCCTCTGCTACTTCCTTTGTGCATTTTGTTCAATTCTTTGTTCAAAATGCCAAGGACCTGGGCAATTCACACGCAAGGCTTTCCTTCCAATAACACTCACTGTCATTAAATTTAAAAAATAATAATGGAGAAATACATGTAGATACATATTTCAAATAGCCCTCCCCCTCTGCAGTGGGCTGCCCCATCATCACACTGTCCTGCAGCACAGCCCCACAGCAGCCCGCAGTCTGCTTCATGAGGTCCTAATGACCCCAGGCACTAACCATGCTTATGGAAGCTACCCATGAGGTGTTGTTAATGCAAATCTAACAGCCATGTCACAAACTGGACATACTGTATTAGGAAATTTTTTTCTTTCTTTCTTTCTTTCTTTCTTTCTTTCTTTCTTTCTTTCTTTCTTTCTTTCTTTCTTTCTTTCTTTCTTTCTTTTTTTTTCTTTTTGAGATGGAGTTTAGCTCTTGTAGCCCAGGCTGGAGTGCAATGGCACGATCTTGGCTCACTGCAACCTCCGCCTCCCAGGTTCAGGTGATTCTTCTGCCTCAGCCTCCCGAGTAGCTGGGATTACAGGCACTGCCACGATGCTAGGCTAATTTTGTATTTTTTTAGTAGAGACGGGGTTTCACCATGTTGGCCATGCTCCTCTTGAATGCCTGACCTCAGGTGATCCCCCCATCTTGGCCTCCCAAAGTCCTGGGATTATAGGCATGAGCCACCGTGCCTGGCCGTTGTATTAGGAAAATTAAACCCAGTTTGCCTGGCTGGATGCAGACATCAGATTTTGTTCAGTTCCAACCTTTTGTGAGAATGCTACTTGGCTTCCAGAGGAAGAAAATAAACTGAAGATAGATAACGTCTAAAAGAAGTCCAGAGAGGTTGTGTGAGGATGTGTGTGTGTGTACGTTTGTGCATGAGTGTGCATGTGGGGTATGTCAATGGGTATATGAGTGTTGGGGAGGTGCGAGGGGTGGATGCAGGGCTTTTTCCCCTTCCCAATTCCTACCTGAAGCAACCCTGGACTGCATCAGCTCCTGAGGGAATTAAATGCAGACAGCAGTGACAGCTCAGTTTCCTGCTTCTGTCTAAATCAGTGACAGCTGAGTTTCCTGCTTCCGTCTAAATCTTCCTTTCTTCCAACATCTCACACATCAACAACATCTTTTGCAGCACTATAAACATTATTTGGTTTTGTTACCAGAAAAGGGTCCAGATCCAGACCCCAAGAGAGGGTTCTTGGATCTCATGGAAGAAACAATTCAGGGCGAGTCCAGAAAGTGAAAGCAAGTTTATCAAGAAAGTAAAGGAAAGTAAAAGAATGGCTACTCCATAGAGCAGCTCTGAGGGCTGCTGGTTGCCCATTTTTATGGTTATTTATTGATTATATGCTAAATAAGGGATGGATTACTCATGCCCCCCTTTTTAGACCATATAGGGTAACTTCCTGACATTACCATGGCATCTGTAAACTGTCATGGCGCTGGTGGGAGTGTAGCAGTGAGGATGGCCAGAGGTCAGTCTTGTGGCCATCTTGGTTTTGATGGGATTTGGCCGGCTTCTTTACTGCTGTCTGTTTTATCAGCAAGGTCCTGTATCTTGTGCCAACTTCCTAGCTCTTCTGTGACTTAGAATGCCTAACCTTCTGGAAACGCAGCCCAGTAGTTCTCAGCCTTATTTTACCCAGCCCCTATTCAAGATGGAGTTGCTCTGGTTCCAACGCCTCTGACAGCTTGTTCCAGAAAAAATAAAAATCAAATATCTCTAGAGGTGAACATTTCTTAACTCAGTTTGAATTGAGTACAGGTGAAATATTTCAGAGGTGGTCCTGTATTCTTAGCAACAACAGCATGCTCCAATTAGGTGCCTGTTACATGCCAGGTGCTTAATTTTGAACTCTCTTCTCTATTCTTTGAAGTTGTCCTACATGTGGGACCAAATCATCTTGTACATATGAGGATACTAAGAGAGGCAAGAGGCCAAGTTGACCTATGAACCTAGATGTGTCTGATTCCAAAATCTGGATTTGAAAATCACTGGTTTAGTGGAAATAGCTGGACAGACCTGAGATTAAATCCTATCTTTCCTGAGTAACCCTCTCCTTGGCAAAGTACTCTCAAGAAAGTGGAAGAAATGTCTGTGAGGGCTAAAACTGACACCTGTGGTGATGGCCCAAATTAGCCAGTTTTGAGGTCCTCCACATTTGGTGCATATTGGAATCAGCTGTGGAGTTTCAAACCTCAAAACTCCAGGCCTTTCAGACTGGAGAAGGCCAGATGTGGGATTGTGGTAACTGCACAGGTGAGCTGGATAGACAGCAAAGATTGAGCATGGTGACCCATGTCAGTGGTCCATGCTCCTCTCCAGCTTGAATGTCAGAATCACCTGGAGGGGTTGTTAAACCTAGAGTACCTTTGTGAGCAGGCCTCAGAATGTGCGTTTCTGACAAGTCCACAGATGCTGCTGGTCTAGGAACCGCTGCTATGTTGTAGCAATGGCATGAAGAAAGGCAAGTGAAATACCAGGCCCGGGTCTGGAGGAAGCCAGTCCTCAGTGATACCCGTGGTCACTGGCTCCAGGCCTGGGAGGTCTCTCCCTGCACAAACTCAACTGTGTTGACCACTCCAAGATGGACAAGACCCATCTGTGAGCCCATGTGTTTACTCCATATTGAAGAGAGACTTTTGAGCCACTGATTAATTCAGAAGAATTTATATTTCAGGTAACAGAATATTGGTGTTCAAAAGGATAGCATTTATTATTTTTAAGCTACATTTTATGAGTAAGCCAGTAAAGTCAGTCGAGCCTCAGAAAAACAAAGTGACTTGAAGAAAACCAGACAGCTAGTTAGCTATGGCAGAACTGGACTAGGACCCAACCCTCCTGCTTTCCAGTTCTCGAATTCAGGTTGGTACCAAGAGCACCTCAGATGTGTCAACATAGGCACTGGAGGAGCAGCTGCCCTGCTGCTGCTGTCCAGCTCCAGGAGCCTCACACTTCCCTGTGACTTGGGGAGGGAGCTTCTGTGCGAGTCCTTCAGACCTGTGAGTTTAGAAGTTGGGAGCATGCACTCTCTGCTGGGCTGCATGCCCTGAGCCCTCTGCTCTGAACTGAACTCCTCATCTCCTCTGTGCTCTGCTGGGCTCAAGAGAATCTGGGCTCAGGCGACTGTGATGCTGCCAGTCTCTAATCTTATTAACTCACTCCAGAGTATCCCTGCAATGGCCTCTCTTCTTCCACTCTGTCCATCTTCACCCACGATTTGAATTAGGCTGCCCGGAGACATCTCGGCTGAGTCTGTCTGGCCAATTTGCTGTTGATTACTTCTGCCTCCTCATTCTCTGACCACATGGATGTGAAACCTGTTAGTTTGATTAGGAAGTGAGAGGCAGTCACGGAGCCAAGTGTCTGGGGAGAGATTTCAGGCACGCACAGAACAACCCCGCAAAGGTGACTGGACCAGGAAACAGGCAGTTTACCGCTTGGGCATGGGGAGGTGGAGGAAATAGATTCTGTGAATGCCCTGAGAGAGCAGACAGCCAGGGGAACAGCGATGCTCCCTGGAGAGCGTGTGCAGGCTCACCACTTGCTCTCTGGCATCACAACCCCTGGACATGCTCCGGGCTTGATCTCCCCACGGGGCTCCCTGCCCTAACTCCCCCAGTCTGGACTCCTAGAGACAGAGCTACATGCCTTCTCTGTAGGGCAGGGAGGTGATCTCACTCTGCACTGTCCCATCACCTCTTTGGGCCTCAGTTTCCTCATCTGTCCAGTGAAGCTGGTGACCCATGCACAGGGTTGCCGAGAGGCCCCAGGGCAATTTCGAGGGTTAGGCGAAGAAATTTTCCAGGGGAGGAGTTGGTGTGGGGCAGGGCAGTGTTGGCCCAGAGGCTGCCTGCTTTTGCCCACGGCATCTTTCTGAAAGGTGAACCCCACAGGTGGTTCCCCTGTGAGCATGGGATGGACACCACCTGCTGGTGAAGAGAGTCCTGTGTGGGGAAGGGAAGGGGTGAAATGGGTCAGATAATGGTCTGAATTCATCTAGAATCCCCCCGGCTTTCCTCTGTAGTGGAGGCCAGAACCACCATTGATTTCTACCTGCTAAAGCCTGAGAGATTCGACTTAATCCCCAGGACACTGCAAGGGGCAGCTGGGTCCCTGCCGCTTTGTGACTGAGGGCACCTATGCAGGGAGAGCTCAGTCACCTGCGCAGGGTGCCCAGTTGAGGGAAAACTCATCACTTTTGTTCCCCACAGAGACTTAGCAAAGTGAGAGAAGGACCCCCTGGGCCCCTCAAGTCTGAGAGAATCTGGCCCTGGAGCACCGTGGCAGATTCAGCAGAGCACAGAGGAGGCCAGGCTCCTCCTCAACTAGGTGAAACCAGCTTCCCCGCCAACACGGCACCAGCCCTGGGGAGGGAACAGTGCCCGGAGGAGTTGCAGGGATGTTAGTGGACATCTGCCATGTGCCCTGTGTGCCACTGGGAGGCATGGGTGGAGATCAGGTTCCAGGCACACCTCTGGGACATACCACAGGGCCAAGCTTTTGCAGGTCAGGGGCAGAGAAGTGAGACTGATTTCTGCCAGGACACCTGCGAACAGATACCAGCTGCCTGGAGTCTGTCAGTTGCTGAGGAGGCATAGGAAGAAACTAGTTCACCCATGTCTCTCTTACACACAGGTTAAAATCAACCTGTCAAATCTCATGAAAAACCTGGTGAAGTTTTGTTGGAATTGTATTATACTGGATGATCAATTTGGAGAGATTTGACAGCTCCAGAATATGAAGAATTTCTGGCTACAAATATGGTATGTCTCTCCATTTTTTTAAGACTTGTATAATGACTTTCAATAAAATGTCATACATTTTCATGTTACGGTCTTACATTAAAAATTATAGGCTGTTTATATTTGTTGGCCACCATAAGTGAAATATTTTAATTATATTTTCTAATAGTTGTTTGAGTACAGAATACCACAGATGTTAATATATAATCTTTATATTAAACAATGCTAGGTTCAATTATTATTTCTTATAATTTGTCTGTAGAATCTTTGAATTTCCTATATAGACAATCGCATTTGCAGATAATAGCAGTTTTGTTATTTTAGTCCCTGGGGCCTGAGCTTGTCTTGTCACTCTGGCTAGAAGGTGCTGCACAGAATGGAAACGGTGGGTGGTAGGGATCCTTCCTTATCTTTTTCCTATTTTAACAGGTGATGCTTCTGACATTTCACACTTCAGTGGAATTTTTTTTTTCATACCTTTCTGGTATGTATCTCTCATGAGATTAAGAATTTTTCAGTGATTTCTCATTTGAAAAGAGTTTTTGCCTTGAATTTTTTATCAAATTTATCAAGTGATTTTTCTGATTTCATTGAGCTAACTATATGGTCATTTCCCTTTCATTACGAAAGTGGCAAACTATATTATTTTTAAGTTATAATTTTCCAATGTTTGACAAAATTGCTTTCTTCAATAATCTCAATTTAGTTGAGTGCTATCTTTTTTATATAATGCAGTACAGTCATATGTCACTTAATGACAGAGACACATTCTGAGAAGTGTGTCATTAGGCGACTTTGTCATTGTGTGAACACCATAGAGTCCATTTGCACAAATGTTGGCGGCATAGCCTACTGCACACCTAGGCTATATAGTATGGCCTATTGCTCCAAGGCTAGAAACCTGTACAGCGTGTCCCTGTACTGAATACTGTAGGCAATTGTAACACAATGATAAGTGCTTGTGTATCTAAACATATCTAGACATAGAAAAGGTACACTAAAAATATTGTATTATATTCTTATGGGACCACCATCATACACATGGTTTGCTCATTGACTGAAACATCATTTTGCAGTGCATGCCTGTATTTTGTTTAAAGACATTTTGTAGAAAATGTATTTATATCTCTGTTCCTGATAGAGATTGGTCTAATTTTCCTTCCCTTTCTTTATCTGCTTTTGGCATCAGGGTTAGAGGTCAGCCTCAATACAAGGAGAGCTGGTCTGGAAAGGTTTCTGTAAGTCGGAAATTGTCTTTTCCTAGGAAATCATCTGTGTGTCCAGGGCATTTTGGGGTTGGGGAATCTGTGCACAGACTGCTTGAGTTCAGATCCTGTCTCTGCCATTTGTGTGACCACGAGCAAGATGCTTAGCTCCCCCATGCCTCAGCTAACTCATCTGTGGATTAGAATAACACTACCTGCAAGTGGAGTCCCAGTGACAATTAAATCAGTTAATGCACATAGGCCAATGAGAATAATACCTGGCACATGGCAAATGTACACATGGAAGAGCCCTTATGAGTCTTAAAAAACTTGCCTGGGAAACTAAGCAAAACCTTTGTGGGAAAGGCTTAAATACTCACGCAGTTTATTTAAAAACAAAAGTAATAGGATTTTGTTCAGTGTTCTTTTTCTTCTTGATTCAGTCCTTTAGAGTTTTCTAATAATTTGTCAATTTTACCTGTTTTAAAATTCATATTTAAGTCTTTGCTATATCTGTATTATATACTAGTTTTTATTCCTAATATTGTTTCTTTCACTTTTTCTTCAATCAATTTTGTACTGTGGTGGTTCAACTTCACCGGTCAATAACCAGCTTTTGATGATGTTGATTTCTCTTTCATTAATTGCTACTTTTATTTTTATTACTTCTTGCCCTGTTTTCTTTGAGCTTAGGTTATGGCTCCTATGCGTAGCTTTTTGGTTTTCAGTGTTTCTTTTTCCCTAGTAGAGACATGTCAAACACGCGCTTCCCTTTAAGTACTGCTTCGGTTTCTTTCCCTTTCGGTCTGACCGTTCGCCGTTTTGTTGGTTTTCACTGAGTTGCAGCGGTTTGTAGAGGTTTCAAGTTTTCATTTTCACGAAATAGTCATTTTCAAAGAGTATTACTTCATAACTTACACATATGTTTGAAAATATGTAATTATTTCTAGCAGTGTTGGGGCTGCCAGCCATGTGGCATTTTTTATTTATAAGTGAATCCCATTATGATCAAAGATTGAATTTTACACAACACAGAAACACGCGGTGAGCTCCAGGTGTGGACAGGAGGCTCATTTTGAGAGTTCCCAGGGAAGTGGGGCAACAGTCTTGGCGGTTCTGGAGAGAAGTCTTCATCATCTCCCAACCCATAACCCCGGAAGTCCCCTGGGAAGTAGGCGGACATCGCTGGGCCCCTTGCCGCCCCTCACGGCCCCATTGCATTCCATGCGCTCTGTGCTCTTCCTCCTCCCTCACTTCTACTACGTGCTGCCCGCACCCACCTTCCTGAAAGCAAGGTTCTGGTTGGCTCACTGTGCTGCCACCCAGACGCCAGGATTGGACAGAACCTTTGTAACAGGCCATCTCATTGGCTCCTGGCTTTGCTTTCTCCTGCACTAGGCTGGATTCTGATCCTTTCTGGTGCCTAGGGTGACAGGCGATCAGGTTGCAAAAGATGTGTCCTTTATGCAATCACTTAGCCTATCGCAGATTTCCAGGTGCCCTGGCTATGACAACGACTCAGTCTTCCAAGTCAGGGGCCAGTCATGATCTGGCTTGGGGTGTGTCACCTTGGACGAAGCAGAGCTCCAGGATGACTGAACACAAATGCTTCTCCTCACTTCCCTAGCTCCTACTCCAAGCAGCTAAACCTTTGGGCCCCGGGCATATGTAATGCACAGACTCCCTATCCCTGCCTGCAAGGAACTCCTCACCCATAGGGAGAAAAGTATAAGAAGCTCAAGTTACTATTCTTATGTCAGAGGAGAAAATGTTTGAGATGTTTCCAATTTGTAAAATCAAAACCAGGGAGCAGGACTCTGGGATGTTTTGATTCTTTGGACCACACCAATTTTTCCCTGTGGGAGGAGAGAAGGCCAGGACCAGAGGCTTAGGATTCCTTTCAATAGACTATGTAGACGCTCTCTTCTCCCCTCCTTCAGCCCCAGACTCTTTCCCTGATGCCACCTTAAGAGATGGACACAAGCCCATGGCAGCAGGGACATCCTTCTCCTTGTATTGATTGTTGCTTTCACAAGGAATATCTGCTGGGTCAATTCAATTTTTGCACCTGGAAATTGGCATCACAATGCTGCTTGCCATCAGAATCAAAAGGGAAAAATAAAAGGACACCATCTGCTTTGAAAAATACCCCACTGTGATATCAATCTGACTTTTGTACCTTGAAAAAATTGTGGACCATCTTGCAAGAAACCGTGTTAGAGGGAGAGACAATCTTTATTCCAGAGATTTGGCTTTCCTTGCTGTGTTCAGTTTAGGATGGGTCAATCTCAGACAAGATTTAATAAAAGATGCTATTTCTGGTCCCAAATGACATCATCACAGAAGGCACCATTGATCTCCAGTTATGGTGAAGAATATAAAATCTTCTTTGAGAGGTCATTTTTCTTCCTGGGGAAATCTATATTTTGAAATGACATTTTATTATGGCCCAAAAAAGTGTTCATTTCTGCTTCAAAACATTTCTCATACTTCATCAGATGATGCATTAAAGATGAGTGTTTTTTTTTTTTTTTTTTTTTTTTTTTTTTTTTTAGATAGAGTCTCACTCTTGTCACCCAGGCTGGAGTGCAGGAGTGCAGTGCAGTCTCGGCTCACTGCAACCTCCGTCTCCTAGGTTCAAGCGATTCTCCTATCTCAGCCTCCTGAGTAGCTGGGACTACAGGCGCCCACCACCATGCCTAGCTAATTTTTGTATTTTTAGTAGAGATGGGGTTTTACCATGTTGGCCAGGCTGGTCTCAAACTCCTGACCTCAGGTGATCCACCTGCCTCAGCCTCCCAAAGTGCTGGGATTACAGGTGTGAGCCACCACACCCAGCCGAATGAGTTTAATTTCTTGTACTTAACTAATTGATTGGAGAAAGTATTTCTAATCATTTAATAAGTGTTTTCTGAAATCATTGCCTGTCATGAAGAGACCCAAATATCATGTTCTGTCCTGTTAAAATTGTTTCTGGTATTTGGCAAAATATATCAATACAGAACAACTATATGTGTGGCTAATATAAAAAAATACATTATTTCTATCAACTGTAGGGAGAAAAAGTCTCTATGTTGAAAAGGAGAAAAAAAAATGCTAATGGCATTTCCTTGTCAGGAACAGGATCTTCTGGGCACTAAGCAGAAATGAACCTGGCAATAATCAATATTTCAATGCAGAAGGAGACTGGGTTTGATTTAATCGCTGGGGAATTATTTGATCACTGCCGGCATCTAACAGAGAAGACCTATCCCATTAGCAAAGTGGCTCTCTGGCTAAGAGGAACAGGAAGCCGAGACGAAGTACAAACAGAGGGAAGCTCAATGCCTGATTAGGAAAAGTGGAGACAGAAGCCACAGGGCACATGCGTCGCCCTCACTAATTGATCAGACACCACAGTGCAGGGATACGAAGTCATGTCGTCACAGTTTTCTTTAATAATAATATAATCAAACACATTTTAGGGAGCTTTACAAACTAACTTGATTGAGGTAAAATGTACCTACAACAGAATGCATCCATTTTAGGTTGACTTTGATGGGTTTTGACACATCTATGTACTGTGCAGTCATCCTCATAATCAAGGCATCTAGTATTCTGTCACATCCAAAATTCCCTTGTGCTTTTTTTGCAATCAATACTCATGCCCCCAGCCCAGACAACCACTAAACTGCTTTCTGTTACAATAGTTTAAATTTGCCTTTCTTAGAATTTCACATAAACAGAATCATACAGTCTATATACATTTGTGTTTGAATTATTTTACTCAACATGTTTTGGACATTCATCCATATAGCTGCTTGTGTCAGTAGTCATTCGTTTTTACTTGCAAGTGGATACTTAGTTTATTCCAGGTGTTTGGCTGTGGGCATTGTTTGCTGGGAGCATTTTTGTACAATTCTGTGTGTGCACATACTTTCATTTCTCTTGGGTAAATACCTGGGAGTGGAGCCGGTGACTTTTATAGTAAGCTTATGTTTAATTTCATAAGACACCTCCAAACACTTTCTCAAAGTGCCTGAATTCCAATTCTTGCAAATTTTAGCCAACACTTAGTATTGTCAATCATTTGTTGTTGTTAATTTCAGCAATTCTCGTGTGTGTGTGTCTGTGTGTGTGTGTCTATGTGTGTGTGTGTAGTGGTAGCTCATTGTGATTGTAATCTATATTTTCCTAATGACTAATGAACATTTTTTCATGTGTTTATTGGTGACTCATGTATCTTTTTTAATGGTGTCAGTTTGAATCAAATTTTTAACAGAGCATTACTAAAACTCAAAGAATTAAGATCTCCCTAGCAAATGAATCAGATAGATCAGTGGTATCTGCGTATGTATTTTTATCATACAGACTATGATATAAAGTATATTTTTAGATCTTCTATATGAGTTAAGTTTCATATAGGAGAATTTTATATATGCCTCCTATGTGTTTAAGTCTCCTAAACTTTGTGGCTTAAATCCCCAACCCTGTGGACTAATTCCCCAAATTCAATGATGAAATCACCAAATCAAGGTTTACCCTGTGGATATCAGCTAAGGATTAGAACAGGCTCTCATTGTATGATGATGTTCATGGCTGCTGGTGTTCTTCATTCCATGGCAATTATTTAGTCACTTTGGGATTGTCACAAAAACTGCACTTTCTGAAATTTCAAACAGTGAATATTACCTGGAAGGCTTTTCTACAAGTCCAGGGAGATGGCTGGCGCATATGAAACTGCATTAGTAGAACTCCTAGTAATGAAAGCTCTACTCTGCAAAACTTAGTCTTATGGTTACCGCTGTGTTCAGGTCTCTGCCACCAGGAGTCTGCTTCATAGTTCTTGACTCAGGAATCTCCTGTTTCTTTGTAGTGAGACAGCTGTCAGTAAAAGCTCTTTTTAGCTTTTCACCATCCAAAGGTTTTTACCTCCTCCTGACCATAATGGGTGAGAATGCACTGCCTGGCTCAGGAGTCAAAAATATGTGGTCCCATGGGACCTCTGCTCTGTCCCTTGGCTTGGGGAATGTGTGGCTGTCCACCAGGGACTGCCTCCTTTCACTAGTTTTGGGGTTGCAGCAAGAGGACCCCTCACCTATGCATCACCAATGCTTCTCTAAACTCCATGTTGACACCCAGGGCTCCTACAAGAGCTCCCTGCATGGAGGGTTTTGTCCCTGTGCATCAGTCTGGGGGGCCTATCAGCCCCTGCACTCCATCACTCAGCTCAACTACCCCTGCATAGCCCACTCATCAGCGCAGGATTCCTGGTGTTGGGAGCACGGCCTCTGTGCAGGCCCAGGTTTCCCAGGATGAGCCTGCTGCCTGTTTGTTTCTGTGCAATGCTGACTCTCCATGCTTAGGTTCATATATTTCTACCAGCAGTGAGGTGTCCAGACACCACATCCATGTGTCACCACAGAAAATAAGGAGCCAGTTCTGGAACCCCACAGTCTTTTATGGGATATCATAGTCTTTTCCCCATGATTCAATTTTATGGGATATCATAGTCTTTTCCCCATTATTCCAGTCCATCCTGAGAGGGCCACTTTCTGCAAGCTGCACCTCCCCACCCCGTTAAAGCATCGTGAGATCACCAGTCATTCAAAGGCAGTGGTCCTCATGCCACACCCCAGCAGCACACTCTATACCCAGGGAGACTTCTTACTCCAAAAGCATCAGAACCAGATGATTTTGGACTAAGGACCACTGGTTTCCCAGTGCTTCTAAAAATCTAGAAGATTTCACTTTTTTGTCTGTGATGCCTTACACACACAGATGCACTTGTTCTCTGCATATGGCGTTTTACAGACTGAGAGCTCAGAGGAGCTGGAACCCACAAGTGGTGGCCATAGAGGATACGGGCAGCCTGGGCTCCTTCAACGACTCCATTCATGGATGTAGAGAAATGCTCCCTTTCATGGCAGCTGCAGGTGGTATCTTTGCCCCTCTTCATCCCACTGCCTCACAGCCCTGCCCTGGCCTCACTGATTCCAGCACTGAACTTTCCATCACAGTTCTGTCTCCGGTCAGTCTTTTCCCTGGGGCACTGTGGGCTGACCATGTTTCAGGATCAGGCTCAGGATGAAATCGAGTCTCCCCTCACCAGTGCCCATGAGCACATCTACACATACATGTCTCAGGACAGTCCCTGCTACAGAGCAAAGGCAAGGGCTTTTCTCTTTATCCACTGCTTTGTTCCAAGCCTGTTGCCTTTATGGCAACTGTTGATGTTACTGTGAATCTCTCTAATTTTGTCTCAGTCTCAAGCTAGCACTAGTCTAGATCAATACAAGTTACTTGTACTGATGCGGTCTGTGCTGTGGCAGATCGTCTGGTTCAGGACCCCCCATGAGCTCCAGGGCCTTTACAATGCCATGCCTCCTGTTGAGAGAAGAAGTCTCTTTCCCAACCCCTGAACCTGGGCATTCCCGTGGCTGCCTTTGATGAATGGACAGTGGGGGACAATGAACTGGGCAGGCTCCTGAGCCCCAGTATAGGTTACAGCCCCCACCTTCACTCCCTTGCAACACTGAGACCACAGTGTTGTGGAGAGTCCTGGATCAGCGTCCTGGAAGATGAGAGGCTACTTGGGCACACGGAGGTACCCCGACCAACAGCCATACCACCTGCCAGCATGGCCATGGGGCCAACTTGGGCCCTCCAGCCTGGTCAACACCAGTGGCTACAGCACATGTAGGAGCCAGGGGATACCAACAGAAGAACTGCCCAGGCTGTCAGCCCTGGAGACTGTGAGAAATAATAAATAATTGTGAGTTTCAGCCCCAAGTATTGGGGGGCTTTATTACCTTTTACTGCATAAAAGGTTTTCAGGAAATCTGGCTCTCCTTCATTATGCTGGCTTCTACCCACTTAGAAAGGAGTTTAGGCTGGGGATCAGGCCCTACACTCCCAGGCATTGAGATAAGGACATTTTGGATGTTTTGTGACAGCAATCCGTGAAAAGCAGACTCCGACTCAGCTGTTCCTGCCACCTCATCTGTAACAAAATGAAGCAAAACTCCCAGCTTCTGCAAATGCTGAGAACAGATCACAGTAAACTTGAGGTCATCTAACATAGAGAACTTTGGATATTTGGCTAAAAGCAGAAGAAGAATTTGGCTCTTATTCTATTTCTTTTTTTAATCATTAATTGGAATAATGCATCTCAAAAATTGTATGCACAGAAATGTCTTAATATTGAAGTTTCCATCTGTCTTTACCCCCCTTCCTGTACTATAATCTCATTCTAACAGAGCAGAAAACATCTTTCTAAACTTCTACTGAAATAATAAAGTACTTTCAGAGAATCCATTCATTCATTTTAACAGACACATTTCAGCATACTTATGTTCCAGATTGAGTGGTAAAGTTTGTAGAAAGAGCTTTGGACACCATCTCTCCCTATGCTGAAGAATCTGTCAGCCTAGATTGGAAAAGAGATGATTAAAGAGTCTGAGAATTGATGTGACAGAAGGATATTTATATAATAACAGTCATCATGAAAATGCATAGAAAAGGCACAGAGGGCAGACTTCAAGGAGGCCAGGGAAAGGTTTTTTCCTGAGGAATTCATGAATGAATTTAGTCATTCATTAGTCATACTGAAATAACATTTTTGGTAATGTCATGTTAGGTGAAAAGGTTATCACAAGAAAGAAGTTGGGGAGAGAGGAGAGAGAGAGAGGCATTTAGGATGGCTCTTATTTCAGGGTCATAGGAGTTTTTGGGTGCTAGTGGGGATGAGGAAAGTCATGAGGTTGAAGTACTTTTATTTGCTCAGATAACAAGTTTAAAGCACATATCGAAGGCAGCTAAAGCCACTGAAAGACGAATCTGACAAGCAGCATAGTCCAGAATGCCTATTAGGAAGCTCACTTTGAACGCAGCCTGTGTGGCCATGGGCAGGATGGGCTGGGGAGGAGGCCCTTGCTGAAGTCCAGGTGATCACTGATAAAGGCCTGAACTGGGATGGCGGTGGGAATGGAAGAAGGGGACCACGAAGGGGATGTGTAGAGCAAGACTGCTGAGGACTCGGTGACTGGAAGGGGAAGTTGAGGAGCTGCCCTCTGCTGGCCTGGCATGGCTACCGCCAAAATACCCTTAGTCTGAGATGTGTGCCCCAGTAGGAGTCCAAGGGTAGCCTTGCATTGAGCAACATTTTCACCTAACGACAGTCACATCAGTGGTTTGCTTTCTTTTGTTGGTATAATATGGCTTATGATTTCTGCACACACAGATAAAGACACGTCCTACAAAAACCAGTCACACGGGACTGTGGCGCTGATGGTGGGCTCACACAGTCACAGATGGTCCTTCTATTTTTGTTAATTCAGACATTTTTTTTCCCAGTGCAGGAGTTGTTACAACATGAATTAGGTATAATGAGATTCATGAATTAGATAAGAGGATTTGCTAAGACTTGACTGGGATTGGCTCTAACTTGATTAGAACCAGGAACTAAAGCTGAAAGTAGGAAAAAAGGAGACCTGCGTTCTTTTGTTTGCCTTTGAGATTTTATTGTCATTTTTGTTTTTAACCTTCCAAGTTCACTTGCAGCACATCTCACCACCACCAACAAAGATGACAGAACACTCCAAAGAGCTACTGAGCACACGAATTTAAGGACAAAGAAGGAAGCTTTTGAGTTTGTTTATTTGTTTTAGCATTGATAAATTAGTTTCAGAATTTTGTTTTACAATAAACAAAACACACTTACAGCTATAAAGCACCTGATCATTGAAATTCCTGCAGGAGATAGCATCTTTGTTGTCTTGGGACTTTAGTCCCTAACCCTGCTTTACCTTTGAAATTTTTTTTGTGATAAATGATGTTTTAATAATACAAAGATATTTAGTAATGTGATAATGCCATATTCTCCAGGTCCTTTACATGACCCCGAGAGACTGGACCAGCAGAGCTGCTTTTCTTTCAACTTCCCCTGTATAACCGTTTTCTGCCTTTCTCAGCTCCCTGTAAGCCAGCCCCATTTGTTGGCCCAAGCAGGATTTAAATGTATGAGCCTTAGTCTTTCCCACTTGGCCCAGGCTCCCAGATTTGACTTAGAATTAAGTCTCACTTCTTAACCTGGATCTGGTTCAGGAGACCCCTAAACTCCAAGTCTCTGAGCTGAGGCACCCAAGAGAAAGACACGCAATGGGATATCATAGTCTTATAGGATATGCTGCCTTAATTAACAAATGCATGATTTAAAAAAGTCAGTAAGCCATACTATGGAAAACTATTCAGCAATACAATGAGTAGAGAGTTAATACAGGCAACATTTGGTGAACCTCAAAGAAATTACAGTAGTCTCCTCTTCTTCTTGGGAGATGTATTCAAAGTCCCTCAGTGGATACCTGAAACTGGATTGTGAAAGCGATCAGTCAGAATTGTGTGAGTGATTGTTTATTAATAGTTGACACTTTTTTCCTGACAGGTAACTGGAGACTGGCACAGAGGAGGCACCCAATGGCACTGATTATTCTTGGCCAATATGGCTGGAGCCATAGAAGGCTGATCTTGCCTAAATTTGCCCTACTTGGTGTTGAACAACTTCCCCTACCTGCTTTCTGGGCCTTGTCTTCCTTTTGAATGATAAGAACTTTGCAGTCATATCAAGTCCATTTTGATGGTCATTTGACTCCAGGCCTCCTTCTTACTCAAAGCAGTTTATGTCACTGTACAGTGCATGTACTGCACACTAGGGGGCTCCATAACGGCATCCTTTGGAGTTGTGCGGTGCATAACAAGCACAGCCATCCATGGCAACCCTGTTAACACTTGCCAATCCACTTTCCAAATCAAATCGTGACCTGTGTCCCCCAATTTCACACAATCAACCCTTCCCCCTTCCTGCTTCTTGGGTATTTGGTTCTGGCCTGGGTTTCCTGCTTTATCTGATAGACCGATTAGGCCTTTTCGTGCCCCTAGCATGTGGAAATTAAGCAGAGACTACTCCTGTCAGTCACTGTGACTGCACACCCAGCTGCCCTTATTGACTCATCCTCAAATGCTGGAAGAGGCCCTAAGCCTGGCAGACATGTAATGCAAAGCTCTGAAACTCACAGACAACTCATTTATTTAACAGGTGCCACTGGGTGCCTCCTCTGTGCCAGTCTCCAGTTACCTGTCAGGAAAAAAGTGTCAACTATTAATAAACCATCACTCACAATTCTGACTGATCACTTTCACAATTTCTAGCTTTCGGAAAGTTTTTATGAAAGTAATTATCACTTTCATAGTTTTAGCTCATAACAAGCAGAGTAGCAACTGTACAGAACTTTGCTTAAATGCTGCCTTAATTAACAAATGCATGAATTTAAAAAGTCGGTAAACCATACTACGGAAAACTATTCAGCAATACAGTGAGTAGAGAGTTAATAGAGGCAACATTTGGATGAACCTCAAAGGAATTTACAGTAGTCCCCTATTATTCTTGGGAGATGTATTCGAAGTCCCTCAGTGGATACCTGAAACTGGATAGTATTGAACCTTATGTACAATGTTATTTAATGTGTAATTTAGGCACAGTGCTCTTGCACTTTTGAGCCATTATTATGTAAAATAAGGGTTATTTTAACATGAGCACTATGATACTGCAACAGTCGATCTGCTAACCAAGACATCTACTAAGTGACTAACAAGTAGATAGAATCTACAGTGTGAATATTATAGACAAAGGGATGATTATGCCTAATTTTATCACACTACTCAAAACAGTGCATGATTTAAAACTTAAGAATGATTTCTGAATTTTTTAATACAGTGTTTTCAGACCACAGTTGACCACAGCTAACCAAAACCATGGAAAGTGAAACCACAGATAAGGGCTCAACTAATGTAATGATACGAGAAAGCCAGTGTCAGGTATGACAACTTATATACATGGCGAAGCTATTGATCTCTCCACCTATCCATCCATCCATTTGTTAACCTAAGAAAAATGGCACTAGAGAAAATTTTCTCTAATTATGTGGGGTTTGCTCAGAAATAGAAATAAGGATTATGATCTGGAGTGCATGGAATGGCAAGGCACCAGCACATCCAGTGAGGGAAGAGTAAGGAGGGCTTTCATTAGCAAAAAGAGACCTACGTAAGCTGCTTGGAAACAGAGTTCACTGGTTCCAGAAGTTCAAAGCAGAGTTGCTGTCATTTCGTTGGTAGAAATGCTGTTACTGGGAAAGTGTTCTTCTGAGAACATCTTTTCTAAATCACTGCAATCCTAAAGGATGTCTAATGCTGTCAATGTCACTTGAGAGTAAAAAAAAAATTAAAAATATCTAGTAATAAATCTTATCAAAGCAGATGATACACGAAGGATGAGAAAGGGTCTTTTGAAAGTCCTTGTCTTATCTCGAACAGGTAAGCATGAGCCTCCTCTCCTTCTGGACTTCCTGGCCCTATTTTGTCTGGGTCTGGCAAAAGTGATTCATCCTGGTATCTTCAGCTTTCACACATGCATCCCCGTGGGAGGAGGGTGTTTACTGAAATCATAGCATGAGCTGCCAACAAGGAATTCAGAGGAACAGTCTGCTGGTTCCTGTGTATGCAGTGTCCATTTTCCTTCTTCTTTCTCCATAAAATTTCTACCTCCTTCTGTGAATTTCCCAGGGCTATGTCTACCTTCTGTACCACAATGTACAAGGAATAAACACAAAACTGTTCAGTCATATTCCCCAGACCTTCGGATCCATTAGCCTTGTATTTGTTGTTTTAGTTATTCTCCTCCACACCCACCCCCACCATCAACTACCCAAAAAGTCCAAATTTGCATGCTAGCCTGCCTTCGAATCCTTTGGGAATGGGCTGGGATGCCCGAGAAAACTATGATACATCTAAAGGAGATGCCTGCACAAATGATAGAATGGAAGACCAACATAAAACTAGGTCAGGGAAGCTACTGGCATGTGAATTTTAACATCTATTATTCTGCGTTCACTTTTTTTCATTAAAAGATTCCAGGAGTCAGGCAAAACTGGGGGCACAGAGTTAAAGTCAAAATGCAGAAGGAGGCCGGGCGTGGTGGCTCACCCCTGTAATCCCAGCACTTTGGGAGGTCAAGGCAAGAGGATCACTTGAAGGCGGGAGGATCACTTGAGGCCAGGAGTTCGAGACCAGCCTGGACAACATGGCGAAATCCTACTAAAATACAAAAATTAGCCAGGTATTTTGGTGCATATCTGTAATCCCAGCTACTGGGAGGCTGAGGCAGGAGAATCACTTAAACCTGGGAGGTGGAGGTTGCAGTGAGCCAAGATTATGCCACTGCACTGTAGCCTGAGTGACAGAGCAAGACTGTGTCCCCCTCCCCACCAACCAAAAAAAAAAAAAAAAAAAAAAGAAAGCAGAAGGAGCTAGCCAGATCACCTAAAATAATGAAAAAACTCATTCCAGGGATTGGAGCTGAATTAGGAACAGAAAAGGCCAATGTGGGAAGTGTCACTTGCTAAGCAAGGAAAGTTATTTCTGCTGGCTTTTTATGGCTCATTCATGCGTGCGGTGTTTTCACCTTGAGCAAATACTAAAAGTCAGCCTTTGATGGGAGGTACCAGCCAGGTGGCTCTGATGTCTACCCCCTCATTTCTTTATGCCCTACCCGCTAAGCCATCTCCATCTTGCAAATTCTTTTGTTCTTTTTTTTAATATCTTTTTATTCATTATATCTTATTAAATGCTTGGAAGTGTGTGTGTGTGTGTGTCTATATATATATATATGTTTCGTTTGACCTATTTCTTAATGAAGGTTTGCAATGTGGCAGGCACATACCTAGATGTGTATCTGGTATTAGCTTATCAGATACTCATGGGCGAGGCATGCTCACTTTACAGGTAGACAACCAAAACTCAGTGGGTTTGAATGACTTGGGACGTGTCACCCAGTCAACCACTGATTGATGGCATGTGGACCTAACCCATTCACTGGCCTCTTGTGCAACTCTCAAATCCATATTTCCATCCCTCTGCTTTAGTTTATGTTCAAGCCCTTATCATTCCTTACATAAATTATTGAAAAAGCCTCCTCACTTTCCTCACTGTCTCAAGGCAAGACAATTTTCTCCTAAAATGGCTGATTTCTACTAGTTGTAGGTCATCACTTTTCCTATTTTCACCATTCTTCAACCTCAGGTTCTTGTATCCATACAAACATACTCAGTGAGTTTTAATTCAGCTGGCTGCTAATTTCACATTCCAGGATGTAGAACAGCCAGTAATAGCTGCATCCATACAACAGCCAATATTCAACAGCCACTTATCAACCACTTCCGATGCTCTTCCGGGCACTGAGTAAGATGGGAAACCTCAGCACAAAGACAGCAAGTGGCAGAAGAGCGGGAACAGCGGCATTTAAGATCTGGGCCTGGAGGAGGATTTCAACACGTCCTGGGAGAGGGGGAGGTGGAGAGAGGCTTTGTGTTTGGATGCCCCAGGAGAGGCGAGAGGCACGACTCTGGGAGGCGAAGGGAAAAGAGGAGTGTGTTGTTAGATGCGCTGGAGGGAGAAACAGATAATGCCTGGTTGGCCCCGCTAAGGAACTTGAACCCCGTTCTGAGAGTCCTAAAGGGCTTAACATAGACAGATGAGATTAGATCTGCATTTCTCCAAGAGCGTCTGCTAAAGGACGACCTGGAAGGGCAGCTGGAGGTCTGCAGTGTTCAGAACAGAGAGTGTTCAGAACAGAGAGTGTGGATGTTCTGCTCTTTGTCTGCTCCTAACAATGGATTTTAAGGAGCAAGAGTGGAATTATTCTTTTGTCAGAAAACTCTACAGTCCTGTGTTAAAAGAAAAGGACTACGTTTCCTTAGCAGTTTCAGCAGAAGGATCACCCCTTAGGACATAAGATCAAACCCTCACTCCACTGTAAAATGCTCAACTGGAGCAACAGAAGCAGCCACAGGCCCCCAATCTCCATGTCTATTGTTTGCTGCCCCGGCAGTGAGTGTCCGACAGGTAGAGGCTGAGAATGGAAGTGCTCAGTGGCAGGTGCATTTAGCACAGGGACTCCCTCAGTCTGTAGCTCCTGCCCCTTTTTAATCCAGGGACTGTCCCTCACAGCTTCACACTGGCCTGCCGGGTCCCAGCTGCCAGCAGGCTTCTCAACATCTTCATTAAAGCCCTGGAGGGATTGATTTCATTTCAATTAACTTGTGCTCCCTGAGGTCCTTGATGGCCTGTATTCAGTTTGAGGATGATTCCTGAGAGTGGCCGCCCCCTTTCTGGACAGAGGCATCTTTTAGGTACAGATTCTATAAATCCTCTTGCCACTTCTCACCAGGTGCCGCCTTTTCCATCTGCACTTTGGATTCCTTTTAAAGGACAGCACAGTCAAAAGACTGATCTTAGTGATTGAGGAGTGGGAAGCGTGGAGAGGGGCACAGCAGAAGGAAATGTGGGGGAAATGGGCTGGAAAGGCAGCTCTATCACCGGCTTCTCAGAGACATGTGCCGGCTGCATCCCATTGCCCCTCCTGAGAAATCTCATGGGTCTTTGTCTTTTTAACCAACAGCATGGAGCTACGTCAGTGTGGAAATTCACCTGCCACGCTGGGACATTTCATTTTCATGAGTCATCAGGTTTTCATGTCTACGCTTGCCATTTGAAAGAACACCAATAGTGAGGCGGCAGGCACATTTATTATCACTCATAAATTATGAAGAAAAACTTGAGCTGCCATTAGTTGTCAAGGCCTACCTTGAAGGCACAAATATTTTCAGCAGAGCCAGTGGGAAAGGGAGGGCGTTTCAGCCCAAGGTAATCAAGTTACTGCATTGTGGAACCTCTGGGCTGAAAGGAAACTTGGTAGTCATTTTTCTATTCTCTCCTAGAAGTCCCTTTTCAATATTCTTAGAGAGTTTAAGTGATTGATATCCTCACCCACTTACAAGGTTTTGAAAAACAACTTGCCAGAAAATGTGCAATAATTTTTAAATAAAATAATATTCAAAATAAAAAAAAACCCACCAACCAATTAGACAAGTGCCAAAGTAATGGTTTACAGAGGAGGCAGAGTTTGGGCCAGTGTCCATTTGAGCTTTCCTGGCAGCCAGGCAGAGGTAGGGCACAGCTTCTGTTAGAGATAAAGGGGCTGGCCCTTCAAGGGGAGGGTTCCCTCCTACTGAGTCCATCAAGAATGCCTATGATCCCTGTACACTTCACAGGGAAAGTAGCAGCCACCTGCATGTCATCTGCTCTCCACAGCATTTCCACATCAAATGCTGGAATAGACCCATGTCTGTCTGGGTGAAACCACTCTCACCGAGTTAACAAGAATTACATGCCAAGTTCTAGACAGAAATAGAATTAAGCATTAATCTGCTGTGCCCCTCTCCACACTTCCCACTCCTCATTCACTAAGATCAGTCTTTTGACTGTTCTGTCCTTTAAAAGGAATCCAAAGTACACTCATTTCCTTGTAGCTGCTTGCTACCGAAAGTCATGCAGCACTACATACTGACCACTTGCATCCGTGTTGTTCCTATAGATAGGATTTCTGATGCTAGAATAATAATGTTTCTGTTTAACAATTGCTTAATATGTTTTTCAGATCCTGAATTCCAGTGGAATGGCTGATACCAAGCAGCATGAAGACCCCCCCAGAGGAGCACTATCAGCATGAAGACCCCTGCAGAGGAGCCTAATCAGGATGAGAATGAGGTTTCTTCATCTCCTTGTCTCATGACTTCACCCTATGCTCTTTGACCAGTCAAGGATCCCCACACCTCGGCCCACTATTCATCCAAACCCCTTAAAATCCCTACTTCCAAACTCCTTGGGGAGATGGAGTTGAGGTTTCCTTCTGTCTCCTCATTTGGTTGCTTTACCATGAAACCTCTTTCTCAGCTGCAACTGGGTGACTTAGCGTATTGCCTTGCTGTGCATCGTGAAACAAACTTGGTCCTGTTACATGGGTTCTCCTTGAGTAAAACCAAGGACAGAGGAGGCAGGGAAGCATGGCTTAGTGAAGGAAATTCATCAGGGGCCCCAACTGATTCAAATCAGGGCTTAGACTATCTGAAGAAATAGATTAACTGAGTAGTTTTTAAAGAGCCTTTCTGAAGTGGCTACGTTGTCTGGGGTAAATACCCGGGGTTTGTTCTCTCAGTCCTCTCACTCCAGGAAAATTTAGGACAAGGACACTCATGAGGAGTTTAGGAGTGGAGGTTTAATAGGCAGAAGAAAAGAGAAAGAAAAGCCTGGGCGTGGTGGCTCACGCCTGTAATCCCAGCACTTTGGGAGGCCGAGGTGGGTGGATCATGAGGTCAGGAGATCGAGACCATCCTGGCTAACACAGTGAAATCCCATCTCTACTAAAAATACAACAAATTAGCTGGGCATGGTGGCGGGCGCCTGTAGTCCCAGCTACTCGGGAGGCTGAGGCAGGAGAATGGCATGAACCTGGGAGAAGGAGCTTGCAGTGAGCAGGGATAGCGCCACTGCACTCCAGCCTGGGTGAAAGAGGGAGACTCTATCTCAAAAAAAAAAAAAAAAAAAAAAAAAAAAAAAAAAAGAATAAAAGAGAGAGAGAAAAACAGCTCTCTCTATAGAGGGAAGGGTCTTCCGAGCAGAAAAGTCTGGCTGGCAGGGATGCACCAGATTTTATAGTCCAGCTTGAGGAGGCAGTGTCTGATTTATGTAGGGCTCACAGAATGGTTCGATCAGGTGTGACATTTACATGGGGGGGCAGGGCGGATGTGAAGGCTGGTTACCCCACCCTTGTGCAAATGAACGCTCCCCTAGGCCTGCTCCATCTTGTCTGCTCCTTCTTGAACACGTGGCTGACAGAGAAGGGAAGATGGAGACACCATCTTGAATATGTCTAGTCTCTAGTTTCTGGGGGCTTTCACCCATTCAAGCTCGCAGTTTGCTTGTCCATGTCTGCAACTCGACTTTACAGGCTGTTCTTTGTTAGAAAATGATTTGAGGCTGCTTGAGTAAGTAAAAGCCTTACTGAGGACTCCCATACCCTCACTATCTGCCTAAGTGATTTCCTCTGAACTCCTATATCACTCCCAAAAATGTCTTTTCAATCAGGCTTTGTATGTGTACCATCAATCAATAATTGGAGGCTGACTGCCCTGGAAAAGCTGGGACTTGCACTGAAAATTGGGGCCTGATTCATATGCAGGAGATGGGATACAGAAGCTGAAGTTCATGCGTAGGAGCCTATATATCCTTCTCAGAAAGAAGGTGGGACATCACAGAACTTTTTCACGAAAGTTGTTCTTTGCCTATTCTAACTACTGAACAGAACCATCAGTGAAGACTCCATAGAACATGAATATAATGATTATGGCATAGGAAATTTTAAGTAGTTATTTTCATGTGCCGGACACCACAGGAAGATCTCAATGATGCTTCTACTGACAGTCTAATTTTGAAGGACACCATGTCACTTCCTGCTGGAATGAACTCATGGCTGACCATGAGCATCTCTAGGTAACTAAACAAGCCTGCATTTTGGAGCTAGTGAACATAGACCCATGGAATTTGGAAGACAGCTGTGAAAATGCTGCCTTGGCCTTAGAATTGCTGGTTTTGATATTTTTTTAAGGCACATGTTAGGGTGCAGGTTTTTCTACTTAATGACAACAAGAACATATTTTCAACATGCAAACACCCAGGTTTCTGTGGCAGGGACATCATGATAACGTTCCAGATATTAAGATATTTGTTATGAAAGAAGAGCAGGATCCCGGCCCTGCTTTCTTCATCCCAGGTGTGAGGGGGCCATCAGCTGCTTTGTAGCCTCCATTCCAGGATGCAGGCTGCCCTTAACTCTTGGGTCTCCATGCTTACAGAGGCAGCAATAACTAGGTGCCTCTTGTAACACTGTTTGGTTTAACCTGGACACAGAGACAAAAGACAAGAAAGGATCGATTGCAGCTACACAAAGTGTTTCTTTAGTTGTAACAAACTTTTCAGTAGGATGTTAGGAAACTTGGGTGGGGCTCTCTCCCAGCACACTGGGAAGCCTTGGAGGGTTTCAAATGGGAAAACAGTAGGACTCTTGTTTTTCAAAAAGCGTTCTTGCTGCTAGGTGAAGAATGAATATGGTGGGGGCAAGGTCTCTAATACTACGTAAGAGTGGCTTCCAGGTCCCAGAATGAGAAGTATCTAGGGTTTTTATAAAATTTGAGGCTGCTTTATTAAGACAGAGCTGGAAGAAATGTCTCAGGGGGTCACTAGGGGTAAAGGAATGTATCAGAGTCATAGTATTCACAACTTTTTTTTTTTTTTTGATGGAGTCTCGCTGTCGCCCAGGCTGGAGTGCAATGCTGCAGTCTCGGCTCACTGCAACCTGTGCCGCCTGGGATTGAGTGATTCTCCTGCCTCAGGCTCTTGAGTAGCTGGGACTATAGGTGCATGCCACCACACCCGGCTTAGTTTTGTATTTTTAGTAGAGACGGGGTTTCACTGTGTTGGCCAGACTGGTCTCAAACTCCTGACCTCATGATCCACCCGCCTCGGTCTCCCAAAGTGCTGGGATTACAGGCATCAGCCACCACACCCGGCCATATTCATGACTTTCTTACCAAATTCTTTCTCCCTGTGAGTTGGCAGACCCCTCTCTGGGGTTTATTCTCCAGAGATGGGAGGAGCTGGAGGTCAGTAGGGACAGAGTCATCACCAGGGTCATCAGGGAAAGGAGAGGGAGGAGGGTCTGTGCTGTTGGCCAAATAAAAGGAAAACTGTTTGATGTCATTCAACACAGATAGGCTCCTGCAAGGCCACAGAGTGTATGTCCTCCCAGCTGGACGAAGCAAGCCTGCCCCTGACACCTGCAGGGCTCCAAGCAAGAACATAAATGGAGACCCTCATACCACAGACCAGAATTTAGAGATTATACATCAAAATCTCAAACTGCTAAATATACTACATTCTAACCTCTTACTACTTCAGAAATGTCTTCATAACAACAAATCAGGAAAATATTAACAAGGCTTTGGGTGTGTGGGTGCGTGTGTGTGTGTGTGTTGTTGTTGTTGTTGTTGTTTGCTTTTTTGAGACAGGGTTTCACTCTGTTGCTCAGGCTGGAGTGCAGTGATGCAGTCATGGCTCACTGCAGCCTTGACCTTCTGGGCTCAAGCAGTCCTCCTGCCTCAACCTCCCAAGTGGCTGGGAACACAGGTGTGTGTCACTATGCCTTCCTGATGTTTTTACATTTTGTGGAGACAGGGTCTTCCTATGTGGCTCAGGCTATTCTGGAACTCCTAGGCTCAAGCAGTCTTCCCACCTTGGCCTTCCAAAGTGCTGGGGTTACATGTGTGAGCCACTGTGCACAGGCTATGGGTTTTATACAACTAAAGGGTGGCAATATTTCAAAAATGACTGAATTAAATTTGGATTCTGAGTATTCTGTTTATGGATTGTTTTTGTTTATAGTAGAGTATTTTGTTTATATATAGGTAAGAAAATTAAAACACATGTGTGATTCATACATTATTATATATTTAGTGTATAAAATTTATTGTTCTTGTGTTCATTTCAGCAAAATCATGAATTGGCTATTTTTAATATCATCATATAATTCATATTCTAGCGATAACGTTGTTTAGATGATGAAGATATTAAATGTATATATTGCAGGTGGTATGAAAAAACATGTTAAATAAAATTGTATTCAAAATGCTCAAAATTTGGATGCATTTTTATCATAAATGTAGATCATAATAAATAAGAAAATGCATTTTTTGCATTCAAAATTTATATTTCTTTTAAAATGTTTTATGATTATTGAAACCTAGTGGCAACAGGATGCTAGATTGACATAAGTATCCATGTTTAACTTAATATAGGTACAGATGGTTACATATGAAAATATATTATTGGGTTAGTATACACACATCTATCTCCTTACTCTCTCAGCTGGGAGAGCCTGAAAATCATACTTTGCTAGCAATGAGCATACCTAGTACCCAGATCTTGGTTTTGTATGCCATTATCCAACAAAAGGAACCATGGGTCCTTGGAGAAATGGCTGATTCTAAAACTGGGGCAGAAAATATTCAAAGTGAGCCTAAAACACCTTGTAGTACCAGAAAGTAAATATGTGCTCAAAAACTAGACAAAAACAACTACAACAAAACCACACGCAATGATGTGATATCTCAAAGGGACACAAACACCAAGCAAAGGAGATTCCAGTGGCTAAAGCTGGGACAACTTCCACACCAAAATTAAGTTGTCTTGGGTTATTACTCAATGTATAAAATAAATAAATAAATATATAAATTCATATTTATATAAATAGATGATTGAATAAATTATTAATTGGGTATGAGGAGGCAAATCTCCCATGCAGAAGAATTCCAAATAAATTATGTAGTTAATCTACCCTAAGGGGAGGGAGCATAAACCTCTACTCCTTAACTGTGAGCTGTGTATGGTGATTTCCTTTCAAGGAGAACAACATAGAAAGGAGAAAAAGAATAGCTTTAAAGTAGAGAAACCTGACTAACCTGACCTCAGCCAGGTAATCAGGTTCAATATCAGCAGTCACAAATCATGTTGAGAGTGTGATATGATGGGAAGGACACTTCTGAGGTCTTCCTCTTCAAAACCCATGATCCCTATCTAAGCATGTAAAAATCAGCCAAATTCCATTAGATGAGAAACCTACAATACACCTTACTAGTACTCCTTACAATTACCAGGGTCATTACTAGGGAATCCTGAGAAACAGTCACAGTCTGATCCAGCATATAAGAAGCCTGGGAGCCATCACTCCCAACCATGAAAGAAAAACACTGAACAAACTGAACATCAACAGCCTTCTCAGATCCGTCAGACAACTGAGGTCACAGGGCAAACTGCTGCCCCCGCAAATTGAAAAGTAGATATGGAGAATCACAATTTAACAGAGTGGAAGCCCAGGGGCAGAAAACTTTACAAGAACTGGTACTGGGGTGGGAAAACTTGAACTGTAATTGACAAATCTGGTCCTTGCAGACAAGCCTGAGAGTTAAACACTATGAGGGGCCCCATCTTAGGAGTCCCCCACACTTTAGCAAGTATTGCCCCCAGGGGCTCTACCAGGTTTTCACAGTGGCAATGGGAGAAAAATTCCCATGTGCTTGCAGCAGGAAGGGTGGAAAAGGAGCCACTTTGAAATATGCCCTGAGCCTTCTGTTCTTGACAAGCCTGTCCCCAAGAAAAACAGTTTTACCTACTGGGGTTTTATCAAAGCCTAAGTGACCTGGGAGGAGGAAAAGATTTAACTTCTGGGCCACTCTATCCTTCCTGTCTCATCTAAGGAGGGAAGGGCTGAGAAGCACTTGTGAAGGTCACAGCTAGTTGCACAGGGTCGCTAAAAGACAGGCCTAATCATAGGAGTGTCAGGTGATTCGCAGCACCACACCACACCATGCCACGGCATTAACAGGGCTCCTGGCTGGGCGCAGTGGCTCACTCTTGTAATCCCAGCACTCTGGGAGGCCGAGGCAGGTGGATCATGAGGTCAGGAGATTGAGACCACGGTGAAACCCCGTCTCTACTAAAAATATAGAAAATTGGCCGGGCGTGGTGGCGGGCGCCTGTAGTCCCACTTACTCGGAGAGGCTGAGGCAGGAGAATGGCGTGAACCCCCACCCCGGGAGGCCAGCCTGGGTGATAGAGCGAGACTCCATCTCAAAATAAAAACAAAAAACAAAAAACAAAAAAACAGGGCTCCTGTATGATAATGGTGAAATACAACTGAAAGACCCATGTGACTCAGACCTTATTTAAGAAGTCTCTAGGGAAACCCAAGGCAACAGAGGCGATAGAAACAAAAGCACCCAAGAAATTTTATCCTCAAACCCTTAGAGCTGTAGTAACTGTAAACACAGTCTAACCCCTAGCTAGGTCAATATAAAATTTTACACTAAAGGCCTACTTGCCTCAGTCTCTATTATCCACTACATTATGTCTGGCTTTCAACAATAAATTGAAACGTCTATTACAAGACCAAAAACACAGTTTGAAGAGACAGAGCAGCAACAGAACCCGAGTCAGCTATGGCACAGACGCTACCATGTAATGTCATGGTGAATTTCCTTATTCCAACCCAATGATTAGCAGTGAAACTGGAGTGAAGGAGGGGGGCTAAAGGGCCAGGTAGTTGTTATCCTTTCTGTAATTTATATTAATTTATCTTAGCTTCCAACCACTGTGGACACATTAAACATGTATAATACCTATTCCAAACCTCCAAACCGCAAATAATTGAAAAATCACTATAAGTTATTAATGGGTGTTCTGCCCTTGTTTCTGCATATAATTTTGCTAATTAATCACTTGCTAATTGATCATTTGGTAATCAAGATACTGTATGAATAGACAAATAGATCAATGAAACAGAATACACAGCCCAGAAATAGACCCACATAAATATAGTCAATAGACTTTGACAAAGGGGCAAAGGCAATACGATGGAGAAAAGTCAACAAATGGTCCTCGAATGACTGGGCCTATACATGCAAAAAAGTGAGTCAACACACAGACCTTACACCCTCTGCAAAAATTAACTCAAAATGCATCATAGCCCTAAATGTAAAACACAAAATCATAAAACCCCTAGAAGATAACATAGTAGAAAATCTAGATACCCTGATTATGGCAAAGACTTTTTAGATATAACATAAAGGCACAATTTATAAAAGAAAAGTTGATAAGCTGGATGGCATTAAAATTAACTTCTGCTCTGGAAAAGATAATCTCAAGAGAATGAGAAAACTAGCCCCAGACTAGGATAAAATATTTGCAAAAGACACATCTGCTAAAGGACTGTTATTCAAAATGTACCAAGAATTCTCACAACTCAACGATAAGATTAACAGTCCAATTAAAAAAAATGGGTAAAAGACCTGAACATACAGTTCACCAAAGAAGACGAGCACATAGCAAGTAAACATATGAAAAGATGCTCAGCATCATTTGTCGTTAGGAAAATGCAAATTAAAACAAAAATGAGATACCACTGCACACTATTAGAGCGGCCAAAATAAATCCAAAACACTGACAACTCCAAATGCTGGTGAAGACACGGAGCAACAGGGTCTCTCATTCATTGCTGGTGGGAATGCAGATGGCGCAGCCACCTAGGAGGACTCCCTGGCAATGTCTGACAAAGTTAGACACACTTTCACCCTATGATACAGCAATCTTGCTTCTTGGTGTTTATTCAAGTAGTTAGAAACTTATGTCCACACAAAACCTGCACACAGATGTTTATAGAAGCTTTACTTATGTTTGCCAAAATTTGTAAGTTACTAAAATGTTCTTTAGTAGGTGAATGGATAAACTGTGGTACTTCCAGACAATTAAATATTATTCAGTAAAACTCGAAAAACAAATGAGTCATCCAGCCTTGAAAAGACATGAAGCAGATTTAAATGCATATTAGTAATTAAAAGAAGCCCAGCAGAAAAGGCTACATACTGCATCAGTGCAATTATATGCCATTCTTGCAAAGGCAAGACTATGACCACAGCACAAAGGCAAGTGGTTGCCAAGGCATGCAGGGAGGGAAGGATGAACGGGTGGAGTGCTGGGGACTTGGGGGGCAGTGAAGCGACTCTGGTGATGCTGTAATGATGGATACATGTCATTACACATTTGCCAACATCCATAGAATGTACACTGAAAACAAGCCCTAATGTAAGCTGTGGACTTTGGGTGATGATTATGTGCATCGGCTGTAACACACGTGCACTCCAGTGTGGGAAACGGATCATGGGGGAAGCTGTGGGACAGAGGGCAGGGGTCTATGGGAATTCTCTGTACTTTATACTCTTGAAACTTCTCTAAAATATAAAGTTTACTAATTTTTTTTTAAAAAAGCATTTGTTCCTCTCCTGGTAGATTGACCCACTTTGGTATTTTTCCAGACTTTTCTGCACGTAAGAATTATCTGGGATGCTTACAAAAAGTCAGATTTCTGAGTTTTGCATAGAGCAATGGAATCTCCACAGAAGAGATCTGAAAATCCACGTCTTTCACAAACTCCCAAAGGCAGTTCTTATCAGTTGGAAACTTTGGGAAATGTTTACTTTATTCTAAACATGAGCTTCCCTAGACAAAAGATTTTTTTTTCCTTTTAAAGTATTGAGTAATGAAAATACTTTCAAAGACATTCTCATTTACTCCTTATCTTGACATCCTGAAGGACAATCAGTGGACATATGTCTTCTTGAAAACTGGGTGACGGTGTAGGAGAATCACACCTCTCACCAACATTCTGAGCACATGGATAGATGAGGCACTCTTGCGGAATCACAGGATCTGTTTGTCATCAACCACTCATGGCCAGGAGAGGAATGAGAGCGCTCCACGCCAGTGAGGGAAGGCAGGTGTGCTTCATTTGCCATGGGCAGAGACTGGCTGTGCCAGGCAGACCCCACACCGACAGCATCATTAACTTCTCTGATGAAGAAGATGTGATCCCAGCTCTTTGGGAGGCCGAGGTGGGAGGACCAGTAGAGGCTAGGAGTTCAAGACCAGCCCAGGTGACTTAGGGAGACCTCTTTAAAAAAAAAAAGCTGGGCATGGTGGTGTTTCCCTGTAGTCCCAGCTACTTGGGGGGCTGAGGTGGGAGGATCACCTGAGCCCGGGAGTTTGAGGCTGCAGTGAGCTGTGATCATGCCATCGTACTCCAGCCTGGGTTGACAGAACAAGACCCTGTCTCTAAATAAATAATAACAATAATAAATGCATACTCCAAGTCTAATATAAACATGATGAGTATCCTTTTTTGTCTACTCTATCTCAGTGATTTGGAAGAGGAAATCTCAAGGACCATTTTTGTTTGTTCCTCATCAAAACAAAATTCACAAAATATTTGGCCTGAAATAGGAAGGTGAGCCCAGCTATACTTTCAGGATCCAAACCTCCCCTTTGGATATTTGAGAAAAGGGGCCTTGAAGAGACTGAGACTGAACCTCCAATATTAGATGAGGAGGGGAAGGGGCAGCTCGTCCACTCAGGAGGAAGTTCAAAGAGGTCCTCACAGATGCTCGCCAGTACATGGTGGAGAGAGCACCTGTGTGCAGAGCAGCCTCCTGACCAAGGTGAGCCTAGGCCTGTCTTCACACCTGTGCCCTAACACAGAGTTCACAGGAATATCCCACAAAAATCTCCTCCTTTCCAGATTCCTTAAGACCCAATTCTCAATTACTCGGCACTTCAGGGTCTCCTCTCTCTATGGATTGTGTAGTAAGGCAGGCTGGGCCACCACCTCTCTTTCCCATTTGTATTTAACATCTATGTAAAATTGAGGGACTCAGTAGTGAGAGCACTCTCCAGTGGAGGAGGATGTGAGATTCTAGAATCTCAGGGCTGCAGAGAACCATGAATCACTTCCACTCAAACCTCCACTTCTAACAAATAAGAAAACATACATTTATTAAGTGGGCCCAAAATCAAATCTCATGTGCAGTCAAGATTTCTTTGAGGAGAATACTCTGAGGAAGAAAGGTATGGGATATGCCTGATAAAATAAAAGCTAAATAAAAACTGGGAAGTGCTTCTCCGAGCAGTTGTCCAGTGCTAACTCTGTGCCGAGTATTTCTAAGTGTTTTACGTATATTAACTTATTAGTACATAATTCTCCAAAGAACTCCATGAAGTAGGAAATTTTATTATCTCCTCTTTACAGAGGTGGAGATTGAGGCACAGAGAAGGTGAACAACTTGCCCAAGATCACACAGCCAGGAAGTGACAGAACTGGGATGTGAATAAGGCTCCCAAATGAACCCAGGCTCCTAATCAGAAGCTGGAAGTTTTAGCTGGAGCTTTAAAGACACAAAGGATAGTAGGACTCAAGACAGAAAGGGAGAGAGGGCGGAGGGCACCCAACGCACCAGCGCCAGCATAATAGCTGCCACCCAGCAGGGGTGTTTGCTGTGTGTTATCCTTCCAGGCTGGTCAAGGTGCATCCAAAGAGCCACGTTCAAACAATGTGCTCATTTGTTTAACCCCCATTAATAGAGTTCTGGATGCTTTGATGAGAGAAAGACCAAAGAAACAGGTATGATCTTGTTCTCATTGGTGTGTGGGCACAGTGGCAGAGAGATACGCACCAGTTTCCACCTGAATCCACTTGAAATGATGACTGTCGCCAGAGTGGGAAGGAAGCACATGCCAGGTGTTATTTCTTGCATACCTCCTATTTTGAAAGTAAAAAGGCAGGACAGGCTCCCTGAAGACCACTGCTGGAGCTGAGATCTGAAAAAGGAGGGAAAAAAGGCCCTAACCAGGCAGTGGGGAGAGGACAAAAACCTAGCACTGGGTAGGGAAAGCAGCTGGCCAGAGGTGGCCAAGATGAGAGGAGAAGGGATGGGGGCAAGATTGGATTTGCCTCCTGAAAGGATCCTCCTGACTGCAGGGAGAAGAATGGACAGCCTCTCAAAGGCAAGAGGGCAGACAGAACAATATGCTGCAGGATGGTTATGTCTGCTGGGAACATGTGGTGGGTAGAATGTGGCCCTGCCTCTAGGCTGTGTACATGGACCACTGTGGACACCTGCATCTTCTAGGAGCCTTAATCTTACCAGATGTCTCCAAAGGCACCTGTGGTCATCAGGAAGAGTAATTATCGGCATAGAATAAAGGCCATGAGTGAGAGTTCTGGGCAGTTTTAACCCCAAACCACATTGTTCTCGATGACATTGTTCAGACTCTTTACAAATAATATACCAAGTCTTTCATTACCCAGTGTGTCTCACAGATTAACAGAGTTGCCAGATGAATGTGTGATGGCCATATCTCTTGGAATCTCAGTGGCTTATGTTTTATATGGCGTATGAGTTCATAGTTCTATGAACTACGTCTAATTCCATCACTAAGACAAAGAAAATTCCCCAAACATGCCAATCATCCACCAAAATCCCCCCCAAAGTGGTGCATTCACTTGCTTGGGTGATTTTCTTTATGAATGGCTCAAGTTTTCATGTGTTTGAATTTTCACAAATAAAAGGAGGGCAGTTCCTCCAGCTCATCCACTCACATACTGCTTGTGTTGATGGGCTAACTTTCCTTAAAAGGTTTTCAGGCAGAAAAATAAAGTTCTATTACTAAGCTACTTTCTCTCAGTCATGATTCTTCTTATTAGTCTTTCTTCTTTCCAGCAAAACCCACTATTAAACTGTGGTCACCAAGGTCACCTCTGGACACAGAAGTCACTTGTGTGGGGTGGCTGGGATGTGGCCAACAAGGCGTCCTGGCCACATGCTCTCCCCACTGAAGCCAGGAAACACACCACACGTGAGTCCCTGAATAATGTGAAGTTATTTCTCTCCTATTTTGAAAGTAAATACTTAGAAATGCAATACATTTGTTGAACAAACACTAATATAGAATATTATGTCAAGCACTGTTTTAACCACTTTATAAATGTTAAGCTATGTAGTCTTTCTGATAACTCTGTGAGACCCAGGGAAGCCATGTAACTCATCCAAAGTCACACAGCTGCAGAGCTGAGCCTCGTGGCTCTGAGCCTGTGCCTCCAGCCCTCTCTCTGTGCCCTGATACTCTCATAGTAAGGGGGTGTACTCACTGACATTTCCATCTCAGTTGGTCAACCACTGAAAGGGAAGAAATAATGATAAACAAGAAAGAGGATCCAACCTTTGTCAAGGGCAAATTTGCCTACCTTGAATGTTTGCTATGCAGGATGAATCAGAGGAGACTCCAAGATCACTGGTAAAGAAGGGGTGCGAGGCCAGGAGCTTGAACCTTGGCCGTATTTTCTAACTGTGTGAACCATGGGTGTCACTTTCCCTTACATAAAATTACATGAGATTCTTTCAAAGTCCAATTCTTCAACTCTAAACCTCGAATCTAATAATCAACATAATCTTTGTTTGCTAAGAATTCTTTCCATTTACCTTAATTCCCTGCTGTTTGTGCTGTTCTATAAAAATAAGTTGCAGAAACATTATAGGAATATTAATTTTTCTCTGATAACTTTAGAGTTTCACAGTCCTCAGGGTTATCATTTAAACATCAATTATCCTTGCTTGGTTGCTAAGGAGAAGACTTCATTAATAGAAACTCTGTTTAATAGACACCAAACAGCAGAGTGCTTTCTATAATTGGATGGGCCACAAGTTAGCAACTTTTGAACCTCTGGGTGCCTCTTGTATATGTATCCAGTCCCTTGCAGCCAGGGCATGAGAAGGCCAGGTTGGGAATCCCAGATAGGTGGGCAGGAAGGATACATCACTCACTCATGCAAACACATGGGGCAATGTTGCCCCCTGAGAAACCCTGCTCCTCCCTGGATGCAGAATGTGAGGGAAGTCCAGGGGCCTCTCCCTAGCCTTATCACTGTAGGTCAGAAACCCATAACCCAGAGACACTCATGCTCCTATATGGCTCTCCACATCGTGAGTCCCATCTTGTGGTGTGTGCAAGTGAGAGGTTTGTGTGTGCAAATGCACACATTTGGTGGTAGACGAAGACAAAAGCAGAACTAACAGATTGATGAAGAAATCTTTGGTTTATATTCAATTTATTTATTTATTGCAATTTGGTATATTCTGTTTATGAGTAATATATGCTCACTGTAGAAATTCTGGAAAACACAGAAAAGCTTAAAGAATAAAATAAAGAGCACCGTAATCATACTGACCAAAGACACTGACATGCATATACATAATACACATGTGTATGCGTATCAGTATCTTTTTGCTATAGAGTTCTATTTATAAAATTGAGATATTGCTATCTTGTTAATTTACTTATTTTATCCTGAACAATTTTTCATGACAATCTGCTCTCTAAAATTATAGTTTTAACAGACGAGTAAGTTTTCTATTACGGATATATCATGATTTAACTGTTTTACTGTTGATGTGAATTTTTACTATTGTAAACATTACTGTAACCATCCTCATATATAAATATGTTTCATATCTCCATTTCCTTAGGGTAGACATAGGATAGATTTCTAAAAGTAGAATTAATAGATTATATATGGCTTTTGGACCTGTATTTCTTTATCATTAACTTGTACCAAATTATAAGTCTGACTCTGAGTATGGAAATGCCTATCCGTATGTGTATTTATCTGCATGTGTATTCAATTTAGAAGTGAAGCTAAGGAGAGGTATTTGCCTCAGCAGGAGTTTTGGGTCATGCCATGCCTGCAGATATCACTCTGGACATTTCAGTGTAGCCAAGGCTGGAGAAAGGACAGCAGCAGTGGGGACCCACAGTGCATGGGTTCTGGCCAGGGCTTTCTGTGCCATGCATCCAAGACCTCAAAGTCAGTGTAGAAGAAGCTAGCCACAGGACGCTCATGTCCTTTGACCCCGTCAGAGGAAACAGCACAGTAAGCAGGGAAGCGGCCCTGGGGCAGAGCACGCAGCAGGCCAGGCATGTGAGGGCCTTGCTGTCCATCCTGCTTTATGTGTATGCGAGGGGGCACCAAGAGCTGGAATATTCCCTGACCTCACGATCTGTGAGAAAAAATACAAAATATGTACTGAACCCCTTTGACTGAGATGAAGAGCCATCACGCAGGAATTACTTAACTCTGGAAAGAGATATTAATTTCCCTGAAAACCCTGTCTGAATATTTTACCTCAGTGGCTGTCATCACCTGTCCTGCCTGCCGAAGAGCATGTTCTTGCCCAGAAGGCTCAAAGTGCTTTATCTTATTTATACCTGAAGAAAGGCCCTGCTGACGTTCATTGTTTAGGCTTCATGTGACTTATTAATCAAGTCATCCTCCCTGCTATGCAGGCATTTCACACATACTGATAAAATGTTCTCCAAAGCAAGAATGCACAGTGAGAAGTCATCAATATTTCAGCAGGCATCTTTTCTTACAGCTGAGCTAAGTCACCTGTCCCTGCAGGTACATCGTGTACATCCATTCCCTGCCTCTCCAGTCAGTTACAGTGATGCATAGACTGGAGCTCCAGTGATGCCCAGGCCTACAGCTGCACCCAGCCCTGCAGGAGGGAAGAATTGACAAAGAAATAGATTTGGGAATAAATATTGTACCGAGCAGACACTGTGCTATGCCAGGCCTGTGCCGATGGATGGAATCCACAGTGACACACACAGCCTTGATCCACAAAGAGTTTAGTTCAGTGAAGGAGAAATAGATATAAAAAACAAATCACAACTCAGTATTTGCCATAGCTAAAAGAAGAGGAGACCTAGGGAAACACACACAACTCATATTATTCATGAATATATCAGAGAAAACATAAATACCTTTAGGAATTTGCTACAGAGCTCAGTTTGGCTTTGAAAGTGGAAGGAGACGGCGTTTGCCCAGTGCTGGGAGTCAGCCCCTTCAGGGACAGCCTGGCCTGCACAGAGCCAGATCCAATGATTCACTGATGCAGGAATATGAAGACCTGGCCACTTAGGCCCAACTCTGTACAACTTGAAAGGGCACATTCCAACTCCAGAGCACCCTGTGGGGTCAGCCTATATCAGGGCTCCACTTTCCCTCTGACCAGCCAGCTTCCTGACCCTTCCACATGAACTGCAGGGGATCCTTAATAAACAGTCTGCATGCTAAACCCCATGTGAGGGTCTGCTCACCGGGAAACCCAATCTGTAGTGAAGGCAGAGTAGGGGTGAGGCCCCCTGGGCCAGAAGCAATGGGAGGTAGAAGACTTTGTCTGCCAATTAAAATCCACTGTTGACATCACCTGGGAGCTTCCACAGAGGCAGATCTCAGCCATGCTTATTTCCTGGTATGACCCACGGATCTTTCTTTTCCTTGGAGTATAACTGACTCATTGCTTGCCAAATGTAGTTGTAGGATTTATTGTTCTCTCCCAGGGGTAACCGTCCATGCTAAGCCACATTAGATGCCTTGGCTCTTGATTGAAGCCCATGCTGCCTCCTTGCTGGGGCATTGTAAAAGCCCGCTCAAGTCCCCCAAGTATCAGCCGTCATGCCTACATTGCTTTCATCTGAAAATTTTACAAGATGAACTTTATTGTTCAGACCATTCATGAAAATACAGTTATATCGGCACAGAAAATGGCCTGTGAGTCAATCTATTTGATACAGTATTTCAAATGAAATAGTCTCCATGTAAGTCTGACTGTTTAATATAGTTTTGAGTTCTATTTTTACTTGCTAACTTCAAACTTTTATTGGACTTATAAGAACCCATTACTTGGGTAATTTAACCATATCTGACTTAAACAATTTATCAAACAATTTCTCTGGCCAAATGTAGTGTTTTAAGTTGTAGAGAAAGTTAAAATTAATCTTGACCTAAAATTTTTACAATATTCCTGTAGATAAATTGTCATATCTTCTTGTTTCTTAAACCAGGATGGAAAATTGTTGGTGAGGACCTTTATTTATCAGAAAGTATGCTGCCCCACTCAGTTTTTCAGCCTCCTTGCCTCTTCTCCCGCTGACAAACTCCCTCTTGGATCAAACTTTAGCCAGGCTTCTCTGTGCCCTCTTCTCAATTAGGCCTCAAACTTGACCTGCTGAGCTAGTTTTAGAAAAGGCCTCCTTGGCTGGGCACGGCGGCTCACACCTGTAATCCCAGCACTTTGGGAGGCTGAGGCTAGCAGATCATGAGGTCAAGAGATCGAGACCGTCCTGGCCAGCATGGTGAAACCCCGTCTCCTCTACCAAAATTACAAAAATTAGCTGGGCGTAGTGGCACGCTCCTGTAGTCCCAGCTACTTGGGAGGCTGAGACACGAGAATCGCTTGAACCTGGGAGGTGGGGGTTGAAGTGAGCCGAGATCTCACCACCGCACTCCAGCCTGGTGACAGAGTGAGACTCCATCTAAAAAAAAAAAAAAAAGAAAAAAAGAAAAGAAAAGAAAGAAAAGACCTCCTATGTTAGTTTGTCACAAATCTCCTCAGCCTTGATATCTGATCAAGTTCCTCATCCCTCACTCTTGATACCTAAGTTCTTGGCCTGCTTTCAGCAAGAATTCTGTTAAGTTAGTTTACCCTTGAGATCTAATCAAGCTCTTTTTAGTAATTTTCCCCACTGACCCCTCACTCTGCTTGTTGGTATAAACCCTCCACCATCCCTGCTGAGTTTGGAATTGGACCCATCTCTTTCCCCCGCTGCAACAGTCTCAGGGAAGCCTTCTTGCCATGTTTAGCAAGTGGCCGGTGCGTAATTCCTCTCTAACTTTTCCTTGATGAAGCCCGTGGTTCTCAAGCTCTAGGAGATATAGACCCCTCACAGAGGCATGTGCCTTTCTTGCTGGTGGAGCGCAGGTGCACATCCACATGTGGCCCAGGCATCCGTGAAGAGGCCTACTCACTGGCACGTCTCCATACCTGCACTGACTCCATTTATGTATTTAAGGGCAGAGAAATGCAAAGCCAAGCCAGGAAGAGCATTCACTCTTTTGACACAAGCAGGGGTGTCTCTGGGTGGAAACAGAACCAGACAAATCTCAAGGTGGGTGAGTGTGATGCCCTCTCCTCCTCTTCTCTACTCAGCAGCCTCCCTGATGCAAGCTCTCTTCCTTTCTACCTTCCTGTCAATACTTCCAAGACTGTCAGTGGGCACACCTCGAGTGCGTGATTCACCCCAGGCTGAAGTCATGGTCCTTTCCTAACAGTCCGCGTGTTCACAGAAAAATAATCTAAAAATACTGAAGGATTTAACCACCATTCATGCATATGTCCAGGCCCGAGCAGGTTGGGAAGAGAGTCTTTCCCAAATCATTCAAATCAAGGAGCATAATATATGGCACAGCAGTTGTCAAAGTGGGCGGCTGGACCAGCAGCATCCTATGGCCTAGGACTTGTGAGAAGCACAACTTCTGCAACCCCTGCCCAGACCTACTAAATCGGAAGTACTAGGCATTCAGCCCAGCAATCTGTTTCCCAGGAAATCCTCCAGGGGATTCTGATGGATGCCAAAGTTTGAGAAGCACTGAAGGTGTGTTTCAGAGTGTGGGCCCCAACTCCATCCCCAGGTTTGAACTCCGATCCTGCCACTTACTAATTATGATTCTCCCAACCACTTCAATAAGCTTTCTGCTTCATCTTCCTTCCCTGTCATATAAGGACATTGATAACAATTGTCCATAGATAATTAAATAGGTGACTGCATTTAAGACATTTGGAGCAGTGCCTGACTCAATGAATGCTACAACCAGAGGGCTGAAGCAGAGGGTGGAAAGCTTGAACTAGAACCATATATACACATACTCACATACACACACTGTCACATACACACACAGTCACACACACATACAGTCACAGGCATATACACAGGCACATACCCACACATGCACACACAGTCACACACACATACAGTCACAGGCATATACACAGGCACATACCCACACATGCACACACACCAGAGTGGGCCAAAGTGGGAAAATATCTTGTGAGTTTAACATGGACAGAGACAGAAAACAAATAAAAGTCAAGAAGAGAATCAGAGAAGGGCCAGATGCCAAGAGCTATATGTCCAATAGTCCACCCAAGAGGGGTGATAGGAAGCTCCTCCTAATTGTTCTGGAAGTGGACAGATTAGGTGAGAGAGGAAAGAATTGAAGAGCATCAGCTCTCTCCTAACTCTTAATCTAAGGGGCACAGTGAATGCAGTAATTGGAGACTTGTTCTGATGGTAAGTGCTAATTCACTGGCACTTGCGATGGTTTGAGGTCAGAACATCGTCCTCCTTGGGAAGATCAAGCAGTGATAAAGACACTCTTGATTTGGACCCTAAACTGGGTTGACCATGTTATCAAAATTTAAGGTTCTGCAGCTACATTATACCACCAGGAAGCCAACGACAACGCTGCGCATGGTTTCCCCCCATGCTTCAATTTCTAGGTTTATTTCTGACAAAAGCACCATTTGTCTCAACTGCTGACACCCTACAGGAAGAAAAGACAGGGTTAGATGCCACTTGGTAGTTTTCAAAAACACTTCTGCATGTATTTGAATTTCTGCACCATCCTATAAGGTATGCAGACACAGGTTGATTATTTATTTTGTTCATAATCATTAGCACTGTCCCAATTTACAAATGAAGAGACCATGGCTCAGAAAGCTTAAACAACACACACAGATTCAGTGTCTAACAGGACGCAGGGCCAGGGCCCAGACCATGTGGCTGCAGGCTCATTGCCTGTTCCTGCACACTGCTTGTTCTGAAAGTCCAGCAGTCCCAGCCTCAGAGAGGGGACTCAGGTCAGGATTCACATGGTAGTGAACACAGATAATTTCCATCCAAAGCCAAATCCTCAGCAAGACACTGCTTCTCCATCACTTGCAATGGTGCCAGAAATCAAAATGATGGCAAGAAAGGGTCCAGGCTGAGGACCTGGGTTTCATGCGTGCTGTGGGTGGAGAGTGGAAACTTGGCTGAAACTGTAGGCCCGGGAGCACTTGCACTGCCTGCACAGGCGCCAAGCATCACATCCCTGCACCACAAATCCACCAAGAGTTACACTTTCTAACAGCCATTTTAAACAGCACCTCACTTTATCATTTAGACCAAAACTTGAAAAGAATCTCTGGAGGAACACTGTCCTGAAACCAACACCTAAGGGAGAGAAAAAGTGGGTAGTACTCAATGTCTTCTTAGCAAAGAAATTCTCAGAGGATTGAGGAAAGGGCCAGGTATTAGTTTCCTATTGTTGTGTAACAAATTACCACACATTTAACAGATTTAAAAAGCACATTGATTATCTTAGTTTCTATGGGTCTGAGGTCCAGGCATACTTCAGCTAGGTTCCCTTGCTTAGAGGCACACAGGCTAATATCAATGCTGGCTGGTGCTGCATTCTGACCTGAGGCTTGGCTGTAGAGCTGGGGCTTCAGGTTCTTGCTGACTGTTGGCTGGTAGCTGCTCTCCACTCTTACAGGCCACCTGAAGTTCCTCACCACATGGACTCTGAGATGGCTTGAATATCTGTCCTACCCAAATCTCATGCTGAATTGTAACCCCCAGTGCTGGAGGTGGGGCCTGGTAGGAGGTGATTAGGTCACGGGGGCGGATCCCTCATGGCTTGGCACTGTCTTCATGATAGTGACTGGATGAGTTCTCTGGAGATCTGGTCATTTAAGTGTGTGGCACCTGTCCCTGCCACTTACTCCTGCTTTTGCCATGTGACACGTCAGCTTCCACTTTGCCTTCTGCCATGAGTAAAAGCTCCCTGAGGCTTCCCCAGAAGCTGAGCAGATAGATGCTGGCACCACGCTTCCTATAGAGCCTGCAGAACTGTGAGCCAATTAAACCTCTTTCCTTTACAGATTACTCAGCTTCACATAATTCTTTATAGTAATGCAAGAATGGAGTAGCACAGAAAATTGGTTATGAGGAGTGGGACATTGCTGTAAAGATACCTGAAAATATGGATGTGACTTTGGAACTAGGTAACAGGCAGAGGTTGGAAGAGTTTGAAGGACTCGGAATAATAGAGGAAGATAAGGGAAAGTTGGAAATTCTCAGAGACTGGTTGTGACCAAAATGCTAATATGGACAATGAAGTCCATATTTTCCCACACCATGGGTTAGGACACACGTGATCTGGCAAAGAAGTTCTACGTTTCTTTCAAATGTGAGGAGGAGTCTGAGAACTTCACAAAAACAGGAACATTGGGAGGCAGTGATGATGAGTGAGGGCACCCCAGAGCCTGTCCTCCACAGGGCATATTGTTTTCATCTGTGAGTGATAGAAATAACAGCTCTCTCCCTCTTTTATCTTGTTAGGCTTGGTTCAGACCCATGTGGTGGCCAGCATGTCACTGATAGTAATTTTTATATGTCTGCAAACACAGCAAGGATATTTCATGTCCCAAAGCCCTGTGCATGTCCACTACTCTGTGACTTCACTTACATCATTCCATCAGTCTGGAGAGATACCCTTTTCCTCTCAGTTCATTCTTCACAAGGTCTTTCCTGATCACCAGGTTCACCCACGTCAGAAGAATCCCTACCTGAGTTCTCATAGCATGTTTCACTTACATTTATGGAAGCACGACTTTGCATTAGGTGAAGCTCATTTCATATGTGCTCTGTGAGTTACATTACGAACTTATATAAAGTAGAGATCATCTCCCTAGCATGATATTTCCAGCATTTGACAAAGGTTGTGATCCATAGTAAATGCTTAACAGACGTTTGATCAATCAAAGGAAAAATAAATGTGCATAAACACCTCTACTTTAAATACTCTCAGAATCAAAGGGGTTTAAAGTCAAAGGGAATATTCTTTAGGACTATCTTTAAATAACAGAAAAGATATACATTGATTTTATGACATTCTCTACATCACATAGAGATGGTCCTACTGAGGCTTCACATCAATGTGATTTGACAGTGACACAGAAGGTGTGTGTTTAAGTCTGAGTCCCCTAAAGAGTCAGACATTTCCTATATATGTGTATTCATATCCCTTTGTGTCCAGGAAAACACATGAGGGAAATGGTGGCTTGGCGTGGTCAATGTGCACAGGATACAGTGAAGTCCACTAGACCACGTGGCATTGTCATGGATGATGCTGACCCCTGGATCAAAAAGTGGCGTTCCTATCATTTACTTCCCAATTTATCTGCTTAGAAGTTCTCACTGAGATGGTCTTGACAGTTACTTAGTTACAATATATTTTGTGATGAGGTCAAGAAGCCAACGTAACTTATGGAAAGTGAGGTGAGATCTTAGGGAAACATTATTTAGATTTAGCATATCCTTAGGAAAAGGCCAGATTACTGGTTAGTTCTCACTAATGTAAGCAAATGGGCACTCAGACCTCAATAGCATCATCAGTGGCTGAGATGCTGTATAGATGAGATGCTCTCCCGTCTCTCCTCCCCACACCCCCTCTCCCCACCCCCCTCCCCCCTCCCTTCCCCCGTGGAGGGGAATAATCAGCCACTGGTGGGGCTCTGCATGGCCCCAAGCCACTTCTCATTCCTCCTCCTGATGTGCTTTGATACAGTTCTTTTACTTGCCATGGTACTTCCTGTAGAAATAGATATATTTAAGCAGCTGTTCACTCTCATCTTAAGGACTCATTAGCATTTTAAGAGCTGTTGATAAAGAACCTAAGTGAAAGGAAAGAAGTCTGGAAAAGGAACTTCACATAAAGACAGATCATTGCTGAAAAGTCTCCCCTCTTCCTAAGGGCTCACGTGTGGCAGGAAGTTCGCAGCACTCATGGCAATTGATCCAACAGGCATGTTTCAAATGGTAGGCAGGTATCTCAGAAAGTTGGTATGACCATGCTTTAACGTAAAAAAGATTTGTCTTTCCACACTTTTGATAACACAATTAGAACAGTCTCACTGGTTCTCAAAATTAAAATGATTTTAACACTGGCCTGTAAACAATGAGGTGACAAATTAAAAATCCCTGGCTGGCTTCTCCAACGGTCTGAACAGATCTTGGGGTAACTGTTCCCTGATTCCATTTTCATCTGAATGATGCCATGGAGCTCCCTCCACCCACACTTCAAATCCAAAAATCTTAGCAACTGGAGTCCACTGCAGGGTGTCCACTAAGATCACAGCCATGCTTCTAGAGAACAGATATGAAAACCCCCTCAGGGATCAGTGGGAAAGAGAATATTTAAAGGATTTTTTTTTATGGTGGCAAAACTTCCCTAACTTGAGCATTCTTTTTTCACTATTGTGTACAGATGGGCCACAAAAAAGTTAGGGAGAAAATAACAAATTGTATTCCCTTGAATTTCTTTCTTCAGGAAACCTGTAACAGTACACATTTTGATTAATGCAGGCCTTTTTTTTTGAAAAGAAATTTTCTCTACAATGTATGAAAATTACATAAGAAATGAAAACTAATTAGAAAACTGAAAGAGAAATAGCTTCCAAGAAAAAAAGTGGAGGAAGGGGATATGTAAGATTACTATTGCTATTCATCTCATTCTACAGAAATTTATTTTCTTTCAAGCCATCTTTAAAGGAAAAAAAAAATCTCAGCATGATGACTGATAGGGCTACTCTTCTTTCTCTAACACCCAGGGCTTGGGGGTTGGGTTATGACTTCGTAGTATGAAGTTATGACTTCCTAGTTATGAAGACTTTTGCCAGTTGGGTACCTCAAAGATCTGTCCCACATTCTGCTTCTGAGACACAAGGACAAGGCCCACAAATCATCCCTGTGTCTCCAGCGAGTCCTAGTGAAAAGGAAGCCAAGCTTCCTTAACCCCATTGTTTTATGTGCTAGATGATTTTTTCTCAAATCATGAAAATTTCTTCTGTCACTTCTAAAATGTGACTTTCATAACAACTGGAGCAGGTAACTCAGGTATGATACTCTTCATTTTATTGACAACAAAATGGAGTCAATGGAGTGATGCCACTGGGAATAGTGAGGTAAGGATTTCCAAAAGTCTGCTTCTCAATAACAGCAGTGTGAACACTGGCAAAATTTATCACAATCACCTTTTTCAAAACTCTACAAATTAACCAAAGGACTGTAGTAATCCAAAAGGAGTTTACTGAAAAAACAACAACAACAAAATAAACAGATGAATCTTGGTAATAACAGTGGTATTTTGCTCAATCTTTTCCCATGCCTCTCTCCCCAGCTCTGTGGTAGCCTTGAAAACATCAGGTTCCCAATCATGGTAGCTGTGAAAAACAGCAGCCTAACAGGCACTGAGGGGATGAAATGAATTTTCAGCTCCCCAAAGCCCTATCCCTTGAGAAATGTCATTATGTGACTGCCCTGGCAGCTCTCAGGAAACCCCAACTTGCAGTGCCTGTCTTTATTTGACCTAACTCAGAGCTCTCTGCCTGTGAACAGCTTTTCCTCACGACATTTGTTGAAAATAATTGGTAGCAATTATTTACTATCTTAGCTGCCTGAGGTGGTGACATGGAGGAAACAAAAAGCTGATCAAAAAACTTAAAAGGAATCGCTGAGGAAGGAGATATCTATAGGAGACTTTGAAAAACTTCAAAACATCCATGGTAATGTAGGAGGCCATATGCATGTGTGGGACTAGGTACGTACCCAGGACAAATCCCTAGACTCCAAGCTCTTATCTCTGGCTGACTTCAAAGATAGGTGACCAGGAGGTAAAGACTAAGGCAGTGTTGTAAACTGCCTGCCAGAGTGCTGAAACCATGCCCCAATGAACACATTTACTCACTCAGCAAAGCCTGTGGAACTTATTGACAAGACATTTAAAGAAACTTCTGTCTCATCATTAGTTGACCACTAAACTAACTGAACAGAGGCTTCAGAGGCCACAGAAGACAAGGAATACAGACTTTACAGAATTACTTCAGGAAAGTCACTAGGCAAACAGAAACAACAACAATTAAAAATAACTACAAACCTAGGAGAAGAAGGATATGATTTCCAAGTTATTGGATTATATTATTTAAAATGTCTAATTTTCAATAACAAAAAATTAGACATGCAAAGAACAAGAAAATACGGCCCATATACAAGAATAAAAAAATCAGTCAATGGAAACTGTTCCCCAAAAACCTCAGACATCAGATTTGCTATTTAAAAAAAGGCCTTATGTAACCTATTTTAAATATGTTCAAAGAACTTAAGGAAGCTTTGTCTAAAGAAGTAAAGGATAAGAACCGTATCTTCCCAGAAAAGAATATCGATAAAGAGATACAAGTGATTTTTTTTAAGAACCTAATAGAAATTCTGGAGGTGAAAATCACACTAACTGAAATGAAAAATTCCCTAAAGAGTTTCAAAGGCAAATTGGAGATGGCAGAAAAATAATTAGTGACCTTGAAGATAGAAAAATTCAGATTATACAGACCAAGGAATAGAAAGAAAAAATAATAAAGAAAAAGGAACAGAGCCTCAGAGAACTGTAGAACTAATCCAGCACACCAACACACAGATAGTGGGAGTTGTGGAGATAGAGAACAAAACAACAGGGGCAGAAAGAATATTTGAAAAAATAATGACCAAAACCTTCTCAAATCTTATAAAAATACATGAATCTACATGTCCAAGAAGCACAATGAATTCCAAGTAGGATGAACTCAAAGATATTTACATCAAAACATATCATAATCAAATTTTCCAAAGCCAAAGACAGAGAATCTTGAAAGAAGAAAACTAGAAGTAACTCATTGTGTATAGGACATTCTAAGTCAAATTACCAACTGATTTCACAATAGACACCATAGCGGCAAGAAGGTGGTGAGAGGACACTTTCAAAGTGCTCGAAGGAAAAAGCAAGCAAACAAAAAGCTGTCAACAAAGCATTCTATAAAGAGGAAAACTATCCTCCAAAAAATAATAAGAAATTAAGACATACCCAGATTTATTTTAAAAACTGAGAGAGTTTGTTGCTAGAAAATTTTTCTTATAAGAATTGATACAAGGCCAGGTGCAGTGGCTCACGCCTGTGATCCCAGCACTTTGGGAGACCGAGGTGGGTGGATCACGAGGTCAGGAGTTCAAGATCAGCCTGGCCAAGATGGTGAAACCCCATCTCTACTAAAAATACAAAAATTAGCCAGGCGTGGTGGTAGGTGTCTGTAATCCCAGCTACTCAGGGGACTGAGGCAGAGAATTGCTTGAACCCAGGAGGCGGAGGTTGCAGTGAGCTGAGATCACGCCACTGCACTCCAGCTTTGGTGACAGAGGGAGACTCCATCTCAAAAAAAAAAAAAAAAAAAAAAAAAAATTGACACAAAAAAGAACACTGGTAATCCCAGCACTTTGGGAGGCCAAGGTGAGTAGATCACAAAGTCAAGAGATCAAGACCATCCTGGCCAACATGGCGAAATCCCATCTCTACTAAAAATACAAAAATTAGCTGGGCATGGTGGTGCACACCTGTAGTCCCAGCTACTTGGGAGGCTGAGGCAGGAGAGTCGCTTGAACCTGGGAGGCAGAGGTTGCAGTGAGCTGAGATTGCACCACTGCACTCCAGCCTGGCAACAGAGCAAGACTCCATCTCAAAAAACAAACAAACAAAAGAACACTGGTAAAGGTAAAACAGGTAAACATAAAAGACAGCAAAGATGCAATTTTAGTTTTAATACTTTGTTCTATTTGATTTTAAATACAACTACATAAAGCAATAATCATAAAACTGTACTAATGGGCTTATAATGTATAAAGATGTAGTTTCTATGATAATGATAGCACGAAGTAGGCAAGTAGGAAATGGAAGTATATAGGAGCAATGTTTTTATATACATTATTGAAATGAAGTTGGTATTAATCTAACTATATTATTATACAATTAGATGTTAATTGCAATCCCCAGGAAACAATTAAGAAACTAACTCAAATTATAGTTTAAAAAAAGCAACAAGAAAATTAAAACAGTAATCTACAAAATATCTATTTAATGCAAAAGAAGGCAGAAATAGATAAATACAAAGGACATAAGATATGTAGAAAACAATATAATGTCAGATATAAGTTCTCCCTTATCAGTAATTATATTAAACATAAATGATTAAATATTCTAACTAAAATGCTAAGATCAAAACTATCAGTAATTAAAAAAACATAATCAACCATCTTTAAAAGATAAACTTTAAATTCAAATAAACAAGTAGTTTGAAAATAAAAGAATGAAAATGATTAGCCATGCAAACAGTGCGAAAAGACAACTAAGGGGCCTATACTAATATCATACAAAATAGACTTCAACATAAATAATGCTGCCAGAGACAAATGAGGACATTTTATAAAGATAAAAGTGTCAACCATCAGGAAAACATAGCAATTATTTTTAAAAATGCACCAAATAACACAGACCAAGAACAGAAAGCGATAACTGATTTAATTAAAGGAAGAAATAAACAGTTCAACAATAATAGCTGGAGACTTCAATATGCCACTTTCAGTAATAGATAGAACAACTAGACAGAGGAAGAATAAAGTTGCATGACTCTCACTTTTCAGTTTCAAAATTTACTACGATGCTATAGTGATCAACACAATGTGGAACTGGCATAAGGACTGATGTATAGATCCCTAAAATGGAATTGACAGTCCATAAATAAGCCCTTATATTTATGGTCAGTTAACTTTTGACAAGGGTGCTAAAATTATTCAATGGAGACAGAAATGTCTTTTCAATAAATGGTGGGAAGACAACTGGATATACATATGCAAGATACTCTACCTCACACCATATAAAAAATTAACTCAAAATGTATTAAAGAGCTAAATGCAAACCTAAAGCTATAAAACTCTTACAAGAAAATGAAGAAAACCTAGGCATACATATTCATTATCTCGGATTAGGCAATGGCAATGTTTTCTTACATATGACACCAAAAGCACAAACAAAAACAACAAAAAATAGATACATTGGACTTTTTCAAATCTTTTATGTGCTTCAATGGATGCCATGAAGAAAGTGAAAATTCAACCCACAGAATGGGAGGAAATATGTATCTTACAGGTACCCAGACATTAAAGAACACTTACAACTCAATCATAAAAAAGACAAGTAATCCAATTTAAAAACAGGCAAAAAATACTCGACATCATTTTTCACTAGGCAAACACAATTAAAAACCCCAGTGAGATATAACATTATAGCCACTAGGCTGGGTATCAGAACAAATCATAGCCCACTACAAGTGAAGTGCTGGAGTAGATGTGAAGAAGTTGCTACCTTCCTGCATTGCTGGTGGGTGCACTGGAAAATGGTACAGCTGCATTGGAAAACAGTTTGTCAGTTTCTCAAAAAGTTAAACATAGAGCTACCAAATGACCTGGCAATTCCACTCCTAGTTATCTACCCAAGAGAGAGGTGAAACATACCCCCAGAAAAATGTATACACAAATGTTCATAGGTACTTTATTCATAATAGCCCCAAATTGGAAATGACCAAAATGCCCATCAGTTGGATCAATTGGTGAACAGATAAACAAAATGTAATATTATCTATACCATAGACTATTATTCAACCATAGAAAGGAAAAAAGTATGGATACATGCTACAATGTAGATGAACCTTGAAAACATTATGCTTAGTGACATAAGGCAGACACAAAAAGCCACATACCGTGTGATTCCTTTTATATGAAATACCAAGAATGGGCAAATCTACAGAAACAGAAAACTAATGAGTGACTTCCACAGGCTGATGTGAGAGTGGAATGGGGAGTAACTGTTAATGGGCACAGGGTTGCTTTTGTGATGAAAATGTTCAAGAATTAGATAATGGGGACGGATTACAACATCTTGAACATACTAAAAACCACTGAAATGTGTACTTTGAAAAGATGAATTTTAGGACACATGAGTTAGAATAAATAATTGAAAGAAAAATATATCAGTTGATGGACAATTCAGCAGCAAGATTATAAAGCATTCTTAAATGTATGCTGCATTTGGGCTACATAAATACAAATGTAATTCTGACAAGTCACATATTTCGAGTATTTTCTTTTGAGCTTAAGGTTGCTCAAAAGACCTTATATGGATCATGTCTCATTTAATATCAAAACAGCAATCTTATAAGGGAAGTACACTTGTTTCCCCAATTTACACAACAGAATTTGAGGCACACAGAATTTAAGTAACTTGCTTTGAATGCCATTCCTGTATTGTCAGCTGAATAAATTTTAAAATAAAGTAACTTCATGTTGCTATTTTCTAAGATCCCAAGAACAATGCAATTTTCTTTTGTTTTTGTTGTCCCTCACTTTAGTTTGTTTGTTTGCTTCCAAAGATAGGTATTCTAAAATTCTCATTTTACAAATAAGAAAACAAAGTTATTGAGAATTGAAATAAAATATCCAAAGATATTTAGCTACTGAGTGACAGTACTAGAATTTGAACCCAATGAATCTGTTAAAGAAGAAAAGGATATCTGTTGAAACATGTCTGCTTATGGAAGCTGGAGTTAGGAGAGGCTCCACGTACCCACCTCCACGGTGGGCTTTTTAATTCAAGAAAAACAATGATAGTCACAGTGCACTATTTATTAGGCACCTTGGCTGTTAAAATGCCTATGGACTATTTATATGATATTTTGAAAAAGGAAAACTATAGGTATAGAAAGCAGACCCGTGGTTGCCAGCTTGGGGTGGGTCTGAGAAGAGGAGCTGACTACAAGGGGCACAAGGGAACTTCTGAGGTGATGGAAATGTTCCGTGTCTTCATCATGGTGGTTATAGAATGGCATACATTTGTCACAACGTATAGAGCTGCATACTGAAAAGGGGGAACGGAATGTTACTGTATGTAAATTATATCTGACAACCTGACATTGAAATAAATTGAATCAGTGACATCCTAGGCTGACCTGTGGGTTAGAGACAGAGCCAAAAAGGGGACCAAGGTCAGCTGTTACAATATGATAAGCAAAGTCTGAGAGCCCAGGACTCACCGCCATGCCTACTTCCCCTCCACCCCCCGCAGGAAATGTAGGCAGCTCCTCCTCCACCTGTCTGAACAGAAACCTTCATTACCATATGCTGAAACTTTGATGTGAAAGCCTGCCCTCTTAAATCTTATTTCTCCAGCAAGTATATTATAAATTCTTTTTGGAACTATTTCTCTAGGGGCTTTCCACTCCAAGAGCAGAAAAGAAAACCAAAGACAGATATATTAATAACCACATTCTTTAGCAAGAAGTGTCACATTGGTGCCTTGTGAGATTAGAGAGTTGGGACTGTTAGCACACATGCAGAAAGCTTCCTCTTTGATTAATCTAGTTTGCCAATTTATAGTTTACAGAGCCAGCAGATCCATAACATCAGCAAGAGGTATGCTGGGTTGTCAGATCTTCTAAGAAGACACAGAAATGGGGAGCCACTGGTGGTGCTGGACACATAGCTGCCCAGGGGTCCCCAGAGAGATCTGTCAGCAGATTCCATGGGAGATGAGTCTGTCTAGTGTGCACGCTTTTCTCCAGCAAAGTACAAAGGCCCTCTGTGCATCCATGGATCATATCTGGGCAACAAAATGTGTGTAGTTAAAGAAAGGTAGAGAATGGAAACAGACAGGTTGTCACCATGCCATGGATGTAGACTTCTCAAGACCTGATTTTTAAATCAGTATTTTAGCAAAAGTAATCACGCACACTATGAGCCTGGCACCATTCTATGTATTTTAGAGCTATTAAGCCTTAATCCATTGAAAATAATATCTATGGAGTAGGTAATATTATCTCCATATCCAAAATTGTGGAAACTGAAGCAAAAGGTGGGTGAGAAATTTCCAAAACCACCAAGGTAGTGAGGAGCAATGCCAGGACTTAAATCCAGACAACCCAGCTCTGGTGCCCTGCTCTTTACTAATGTGTGCTTCCTTTCCATGTTCACATAAAAATGCTTCATGTATTTATATGTTCATAGACAGTACAGGTAGATAATTATCAAGATGTATAGATAGAAAGTATGTATGTATGTATGAATGGATGTATGGATGAAGAAAAAGAGGGAAGGATGAAGGGAAAAAAGGATGGATGGATATATGAGTGGATGGATGAATGGATGAATACATATGCATGAATGGAACAAGAGAGGGAAGGAGGAAGGAAGAAGTGAGGGAAGAAGGAAGGAAATAGGGATGGATGCAGGGAGCAAGGGATAGAAGGAATCAGGAAAGGAGATGGAGGAATATATAAGTAGGCAGAGAAAGGGTGAAAATAGAGGAGAAAGGGGAGGGAGAAATTTATGGATGAGTGGGTAGGTGGCAGCATTGAGGGAGGAGGTGATGGATGAATAGACAGATAAATGGAAAGATCAATTTTGGGGTTAAATATTTATTTATTGGGTGTTTTTTGACTTCAGTGTATGAAAACACAGGATACTGCAACAAATAACAGAAAACTCTACATATTTGCAGCAAGTAACAATACTAAGCATTTACAAATTTAGGCACTATTTTTCTTAATTCAGTCTCAATGATTTTGAAGCCACCAAATAAGGGCCTTAATATGCATTTTTAAGAAGAAAGAGGAGGTGGAAAAGAGGAAGATGCCAACCAAAAGAATTGCTATCCCAGATTCCACCACTAATTAAGCCCTAGATATATTAATACCCACATTCTTTAGCAACCCATGCACTAGGTCAGCGCATAATTCAAGCACATCACATTTATTGTGCACTTTATTTCTATTATCATGACATTGTAATATATAATGAAATAATTATACAACTCACCATAATGTAGAACAAGGGGAGCCCCCAGCTTGTTTCCCTGCAACTAGATGGTCCCATCTGCAGGTGATGGAAGAGAGTGGCAGATCATTAGACATTAGATTCTCATAAGGAACATGCAATCTAGATCCCTCCCCTGTGCAGTTCACAATAGGGTTCATGCTCTCATGAGAATCTAATGCTGCTGCTGATCTGACAGGAGGCGAAGCTCAGGTGGTAATGTAAGCAATGAGGAGCAGCTGTAAATACAGATGAAGCTTTGCGCACTGGCCCACCACTTACCTTCTGCTGTGTGGCCCAATTCCTAACAGGCCAAGGACTGGTACTAGTCCATGACCCAGGGGTTGGTGAACCCTGCTCTAGTTCACAAGAATGAGCTGCGGATGCCAAAAGCATATTGAAACATTATTAAAGCGAAGATAAGGATTTAGGGTCTGAGAAGAAATGACCAAGCCAGGAGAGAGAAGGGTGAACTCTTGGCTCAACCTCCAGCTCCCATGAAGCAAGCCCCTCATCCTGACAAGTTAGTGTTGGGGAAACAGGAAGGGGAGGGGCATTGGGAAATGGAAAGGGAATTAGATGAACCTTCATCTACCCATAATGTCTGATTAGCAGCATTGCAGAAGCTGACATTCACCTATGGGTGGACACCTAGGAACAATAACTCCTATTTAACCCTTAACTTGTAATTTTAATACATATTAACTTGTAGATGTATACACTCTTCTTATATACAAAGGAACCAAATTACATAGTGCTTTTATTTTAGTAAGAAACCATGCTATTGTTGGCCTACTCAAACACTGCTTCAGCTGCTAAAAACAATTCAAAGACTGTACCTCTATCTTTAGGAGCCTCAGAGAGAAGATTATGTACACTCTAACCAAAAAAGGTAATAATCTAAATTACGTGGAATATTAAAGTATATATGTTCTATCAATCAGCTTTTGCTATGTAACAAATCTCCCCAAAATTTAGCAGCTTAAGAGAACAATCATTTTTTAGCTTGGGATTCTGTGAATTAGTAGGTAGTTCTTCCAGTCTAAGCTGGCATGGCTGATCTTTGTGGTCAGTGGCAGGGCTGGCTCATGGCTGAATAACCCAGGGTGGGCTTACTCACATACCTGGCACGCTGAGGGCCAGGGCATAGGGGTGACCAGGCCGTATCCCTCTCACCATCCAATAAGCTAGCCTGGGCTTCTTCAAACAGCAGCAGTCGAAGGGCTCCAGAAGCTGCAGGATAATAAGTCTCAGTGCGCAGCACCTTTCAGAGCCCTGCTTGCATCACTTTTGCTAGTGTCCCATTGGCCAATGCAGGTCACAGGGCCAACCTAGATTTAAGAGAGAGAGAAAGGACTCCTTCGTGCCTTGATGGCAGGAGCTAAGTCACTTTGTAAGGAGAGGAAGGCACACAGGAGCATCTGTAGCTATTTTATAATCTGCCACACACACCAGTGATATACATATTATGTATATGTACACATATGCAGATTAAGATTCAATATTGAGTCAATCCAACTATCTCAGTTCCAGTGGATTTTAACAGGTTGGGAGATATAGAACTCATCTGAAAATCTCATGAACTCTCTACGTCTTCTCTTTTAAAGGTGTATATGCATATTAGCATGGTTTTTTTCTCAAATGCTGCTTAACAAATTGAGAAACATGTTGTGAAGCAACCGGTCTGTACTCCTAAAAAATGTCAAGGTCAGAAGATGGAAAGAAAGACTAAGAAACTTCCAGATGAAAAGACACTAAAGAGGCATGCCAACTACATGTGGTACAGGACCCTAGAATGTGATCTGGACCTGGAAGGAAAAATAGCTATAAAACATGATGTGGAGGCTGAATAATGGCCGTGCAAACATGCCAGCGTCCTAATCCCAGAATACGTGAATACATTCCTTTACATGGCAAAAGGGATTTTGCAGATGTGATGAAGTCAATCTTAAAATGGGATATTATCCTGGATTATCTGGGGCTGGAGGGGTCTAAATGTTATCACAGGTTTCCTTATGAGAGAGAGGTGGCAGAGTCACAGGTGGAGAAGGTAGTGTGACAACAGAAGCCTGAGGCTGGAGTGAGCTGAGCGTGAAGACAGGAGCCAGGGAATGCGGGCAGCCTCCAGGAGCCAGGGAAGGCCGGGAGGAATGGACTCTCCCCTGAAAGCTGCAGAAGGAATCCAGTCTGGCCAACACCTTGATTTTAGACTTCTGATCTTCAGAACTGTAACTGAATAAGCAAGTGTTGTTTTAAGCCACTAAGTTTGTGGTAATTTATTATAGCAGCCACAGGAAACTAGTACAGCTATTCCTGGCAATTGGCAAATGTGCATATGGGCTGTGGGTGAGATAACTGTACAGTATTAAATTTTCTGATTTTGTTCATTATACTGCATTTATGTTAGAAAATTCCCTTATTTTTAGAAGGTACATTCTGAAGTCACTAATGGTAAATACATACAAAGCCTCCAAATCACTTTCCAATGATTTAGGGAAAAGATGCATACATATGTATGCACACGCACACACGCACACGCATATACACACACGCATCTATATAATGGCTGTACATATAAGAGATCAAATACATATATAGTTACATAATAAACATCTAAAACTTTATGAAATATAAATATATATTCACATCATATACATGAAGTACGCAAATTTATAAATACATTTTTTACATCTCTACATAAAATACATATTTGTATATTATACAAAATATATAAATGGAAAACAATGTTTATATATTATATTTATATATTTATCAAGAGAGAATGATAAAGCCGATGGAAGAAAATGTAAATAATTGGCAAATATGGATAAAGTGTATAATGGAAGTTGTTTTTCTTATTCTTGCAATTTTTCTGAAAGTTTGAATTACATCAATATAAAACGTAACACACAAAACAATTTTCAAACCTTGGGAAATTAGAAAAAAGATTCCAGGATTTATAAGTAGCCTAAAGGCCAACCCAAAACCTCAGCTCACAAACACGTGGCCTTCATGTGGCATACAAAGTGAAGAGTAAGATAAGAATGCTTTGAAATAACAGCATTTGTCCACACATTGAAGGGAGCAGATGACCTTACTGGATGGGATGGTTACATGGCTATTCTTCGGTTTTTATCCCCAGGGTGTACCAAGCCTCAGTGCACAGGAATCTGTTTCTCCTTCCAAACTGCAGCCCAAGTAAACTTTCCAGATCCATTTTTCAGAGGGCGGGTGGAGCCTGCTTGGGTTGAGAGGCACGCAGGCTCTTCTCCCCTTCTCCAGGCTCCACCCTCCCCTCTGAAGGAGGCAGCGATCCCCTGGCTCAGGCTCCCCTGGCTAAGTGCTGTGCGTCCCAGGGCACCGCACTGTGGAGACGCTCATTGTGATTGGCCTAAGGGTGTGGAGATGGGGACGACGGAGCCCTGGGCTGCTGTCACGGTGGAGCTGGCTGTGTGGTGGAGATGGAAGGGAGAGTGAGGGTCCCAGGATGGAGCTCAGCGTGGCCTACAGACCCCTGGAAAGAGGGTTATGCATGGAGTGGGCACCAGAGGAGAGCAGGTGTGCGAGAGCTGGGCTGGGGAGCCTCTGGAACCCTATTGTTTGGAGCTTATATAATTGCTGGGTTTCACTTGTAATGTTTTCTCCTCTAAATATTGAACTTCTTGAGGGAAAAACACCATCCTGCACTTTCTTTGCACATCTCACAGCACCTTCCATGATGTAAAAGAGCAAACATTTGTGCATGAAATTATAAACCTATAAGGGATCATGATGTACACAAATATGCAGTTTCTTAACATCCATATAAAGAAAAACATACAGTGTGGTGGGAATGTAACATTATATCTTATTTAGTGCTTGGAATAACAAGAAATCAAACTATGCCTCTGAGAACACTGTCATAACAGGGAGTTTTTCCTGGTTATAATTTTTGTTTTTAATTTCAGAATTCATGAATTCTAATCAAGATGGAGAAATGGTATCTTAGTTTTCAGGCATAATCGCTACCTCTACATTTTCAAATCTTAGCCTTTTTTATGTGTAGCATATTTTATTCATATAGTAGCTCCTTGTCTCCATTACTGAATAGCATATTTTCTAATTATGGACAATTATTGTAAATGGTTGTTACCCAATACAAGAATAAAGCAACAGCAGAAGGAAATAGAGGCTTGTTAGAAATTAAATAAATAGGCCGAGCATGGTGACTCATGCCTGTAATCCCAGCACTTTGGGAGGTCAAGGCAAGCAGATCACTTGACGTCAGGAGTTCAAGACCAGCCTGGCCATTGGCCGACATGGTGAAACCCCATCGCTGCTAAAAATACAAAGATTAGCTGGTCATGGTGGTGGGCACCTAATCCTAGCTACTTGGGAGGCTGAGGATGGAGAATTGCTTGAATCTGGGAGGCAGGAGAATTGCTTAAGCTTGGGAGGCGGAGGCTGCAGTGAGCCAAGATTGCACCACTGCACTCCAGTCTGGGCACCTGGGCAATAGAGTGAGACTCGGTCTCAAAAAAAAAAAAAAAAAAAAAAAAAGAAAGAAAAAAATTAAGTAAATATAAAAAAAAAAGTGTTTGCTCTCAAACTCTAGAAGTTTTCTGTTTTGTCTATGCATTTCCAGACAACCTGCTTCTAAATTGCTCAGCACACTCAGAGATGCTGGGTTCAAGGCAGCTGAAGCTGCATGCCCCTGTCTGAGGGGGAATCCTTGGCCCCTGCCTTCTCAGGGCCCAGGTGGACCTTATGTGATTCAGGTCTGACTCTACCTGGCTCCCTGGTGTGGACTCTGGGTCATCACAGTGCTTCTGTTATTATTTAAATGACATTCCTCCTCATCTCAAGCCACGTAAGTCTACCTGACACTTCCATTTCAAGCCCTTTCCCTTCCCACCACTCCCCAAGCTGTGGCTAGGTCTGGCCGGGTTTCCTCAGCTCTGAGCACAGAAGGCTGGTTCTACCAAATGGAGTCAAAATTCATGAATTTTGAATTTTTCTCTCATTTTATGTCATAGGTAGTTGTGGTCGGGTTTGCCTTTCTCGCAGGATCTGATCCTTTGGGAAAGACCCCGGCAGTGCCCCCTGGTGCAATGATATCCTGCATGTCAGGCAGATAGGGGCTCGGCTCTGCTCACAGGTGCTTGGGCTGTGCTCAGGCCACACTGAGCCTCTCTCTATCCATAGGGACCAAGAGCGGACTTCCACTCATTTACCCTCCACTAGCCCATGCTAGGGTGAGTCTATGGGGCCAAAATAACCCTCAAGTCCACTCAGCAACTAGCCTTCTTTCCAAGTTAGACAATGGGTTAAGAAAACTCTTAGCAAGGAGACAATCATTATCTGGTACCCACAGTAGAAGGAGGGAAACTGACCTTTGATTGACAGGCACACATGCCTCCTTGACTCTGCATTAACAGAAAAATATTCTTTATGTGATTATTTTAACTTATGCAATTAATTCATATTGGTTATGGCAAATAAAACAAAGCCAAAGTTGTGTTAATAAAGATAGCACCCTCCAGACATCTCACCCTCCCACACTCCCAGTTCCTCTCATAATTCAGGCACACATTTATGAGGCTGTGTGCACATTTATGAGGCCTAGACTGTCGGTTTATTATTTATCATGGTAAAATATACATGATATCAAATTTACCATTTTAGCCATTTTAAATGTACAGGTCAGTGGCATTAAGTACATTCACATTGTTGTGCAACCATCACCACCATCACCTCCATAACTTCGTCATCATCCCAGACTGAAACTCTGTACACAATAAACACCGACTCTCCATTTTCCCTCACCCCAGTCCTGGCAACCACCATTCTACTTTCTGTCTGTATGAACTTGACTACTGCGGGGAACTCATATTAGTGGAATTTCACAGTATTTGTGTTTTTGTGTTTGGCTTATTTCACTTAGCATAATGTCCTGAGGTTTCCTCCATGTTGTAGCATGTGTCATCATCCCATCCTTTTTAAGGCTGAGTAGTATTCCATCGTATGTATATGCCACATTTTGTTTATCCACTCTTCCATTCATTCATCCATCAAGGGACTCTTAGGTTGATTCCTTATCTTGGCTATTGTCAATAATGTTGCTATGAACATGAGTGTGCAATATCTATCTCTGCTTTCAATTTTTTTTTTTTTTTTTGAGACGGAATTTCATTCTTGTTGCCCAGGCCGGGGTACAATGGCACAGTCTCAGCTCACTGCAACCTCCGGCTCCCAGATTCAAGTGATTCTCCTGTCTCAGGCTCCTAAGTAGTTGGGATTACAGGCGGGCACCACGACGCTCGACTTTTTTTTTTTTTTTTTCATTTTAAATAGAGACAGAGTTTCACTATGTTGGCCAGGCTGGTCTCAAACTCCTGGCCTCAAGTGATCCCCCCCGTCTCGGCCTCCCAAAGTGCTGGGATTACAGGCATGAACCACCGTGCCGGGCACCTGCTTTCAATTCTTTTAAGTATGTACCCAGGAGTGGAATTGCTGCATCATGTGGTAATTCTATGTTTAATTTGTTTGTTTGTTTGTTTGTTTTGTTTTGTTTTGTTTTGAGACAGAGTCTCGCTCTATTGCCCAGGCTGGAGTGCAGTTGTGCCATCTCGGCTCACTGCAAGCTCCGCCTCCCGGGTTCACGCTATTCTCCTGCCTTAGACTCCTGAGTAGCTGGGACTACAGGCGCCCGCCACCACGCCCGGCTAATTTTTTGTATTTTTAGTAGAGACGGGGTTTCACCATGTTAGCCAGGATGGTCTCGATCTCCTGACTTCGTGATCCGCCCGCCTCGGCCTCCCAAAGTGCTGGGATTACAGGCCTGAGCTACTGCACCCGGCCCCTATGTTTAATTTTTTAAGGAACTGCCATACTGTTTTCTGCAGCGAGCACCATTTCACATTCCCATAAGCATTCCTGCAAGGATTCCAGTTTCTCCGCATCTTCACCAATGCTTGCTACTTTCTAATTTTTCAGTAGTAACTGTACTATTGGTATCTCACTGTGGTTATGATTCACATTTCTCTATGAGTAAAGATATTGACTGAGCATCTTGTCATGTGCTTATTGGCTGTCTGTACATCTTCCTTGAAGAAATGTCTATTCAAGGCCTTTGTCAATTTTAATTGAGTTGTTTTGCATTTGTTGGATTTTAGGAGTCTTTTATGTGTTCTGGGTATTAACTCCTTATCACATGTGTAATTTGCAAATGTTTTTTCCCCTTCTGTAGGCCATTATATTGCTTTCTTGGTAGTGTACTTAGATGCACAAAAGTCTTTAATTTTGAATAAGTCCAATTTATCTATTTTTCTTTGTTGCCTTGGTTTAGGTGTCATATCCAAGAAATAACTGCCAAATCTAATATCATGACAGTTTCTTCGTATGTTTTGTTCTAAGAGTTATAGAGTTTTATCTCTTCTGTTTAGACCTTCAATCCATTTTTAGTTAATTTTTGTAGATGATATAAAGCAATGGTCCAATTTCGCTATTTTTTGGGTGGATATTCAGTTTTCCCAGCACCGTTTGTTAATGATGTGCTCCTCTTCTCATTGAATGAACCTGACGCCCTTGTGCAAAATCATTTGACCCTCCATGTGAGGGCTAATTCTGGGCTCCATATCTATTTCATAGTCTGTAAGTCTGTCTTTATGCTGTTTTGGTTACTGTAGTTTTATAGTAAGTTTTGAAATCAGGGGTGTGAGACCTCCAACTTTGTTCTTCTTTTTCAAGATTGTTTTGACTGCTTGGCTGTTCATTCATTTTTTAACCAAACAGAGCATACTTTACACACTAACTGCTTTCTCTCACTTGGCAGTGTGTCATGGACACTCCCATTAATGAGTGGCTACAGAGATCCCTTTTCTACACACACATAATTTAACTGAAATGGATCACGTATAAATGCTAGTTTTTCTAAAGCACAATTTCTTGGCTTATTTTTATTTCCCTTTATAGTCTGCTTTCCTCCTTTTGCTTGTAACCACTCCCAACCACACATGGCTGCTGTAAATCTCTCAGGCACATTGGCACACGTATGAAATCACATCACCATACCTGTATGGCTGTCTGTGCACAGGGCCTTGGTCTTCCTTTCTATGACCACAGTGTAGTGCCCAATACCTGCTGCTGCACCCTCCTCAACCCTCTCCAATATACTTCATGGAGATTCCTGCGTGTTTGGAACTGCTCTATGTTTTTTCTTTTATTTTAATGCCTCCATAATTTTGTGATGTGGATAAACCATGAGTTATTCCATCATTGCCCCAATAATGGGAATATTAATATTTCTTTGTTTCCAGTTTTTGTTGGTCAACACAAAACCTGTAGTAACATTCTTAAAAATAAAATATTGCTGTAACCTGATAGTGTCATTTCTAACGTGCGGATTCCCATGAGTGCAATTTCTGGGTCATGGATTTTTTATATATTAAAACACACAAAAAGCATCTTAATCATGTTTCTACCAGGTGTAGATGAGGATTCTCACCTCCCAGCAATAGATTTTCTCACACCCTGAACAGCAAATAAATTAATAGAAGTGTTGTTATAAAGCTTTAGAAAAGTAAGAAATCCTGTGGAATTTTGGCACTGGTATGATTTTTCCTCACTAAAAGACAGGAACAACTTTTTAATACTTTTTGTGTTAGCTCATAATACCCTGCAAAATGTGATGCATCTCACTTTAGTTCTCCAGGAACAAATGGACAAAGTTCATAGATGGGTGATTTGGTTTTATTGTCCAGTGAGATATCTGGGGAAATTACATATCATGGTTTGGTGATGGCCCCAAAAAGAGGTTGTTTGAAGTTTTAAAAATATCAGTGAGCCCATGAATGCAGGCCAATGAAAGGATACTCTTTGGAGGGAGGAGGAGCTGGGCCAGAGGCCACAAGTCAGCTCTGTTATACCCAGTAAATACTATCCTTGGTACAGCATGAATTCATATATCCAGTGGGAGCTCTTTCATTTCATCAATAATTTTTGAACTCTCACTGTAGGGGGTGCATTTGGAGGTTGGGCTCAGTGAGGGCCCTTCCCTCTCTCAGGGCAGATATGAATAATCCACGACAGCACACCTCCCCACTCACCTCAGGCAGCCCGAGTGCTTTTCTGTCTGACTTTTTAAGCTCCCGCTCCCACTGTCCCCACCATACTCAAGACTCATCTCCTGAGAGCTAGCCCTCCCAGCAGAGCCCCCAGAATGGCAGCTCAGGCTTACAGCCATCCATGCCCCAAGCCAGAGACCACCAGGGCCACACCTGGAGTCAAAGTCGGATGTGTTACCTGCTGCAGGTTAGGAGATCACAGGCCATGGAGAGCCGTGGTGCTCCCAGTAGCAGGATGTGGAGGTGATGGTGATCAGGCCTAGGCTGGGGTCGGATGCTCTTGGGAAGAGTTAAAGAAGCAAGGACTGTTGCAGGTGACTGTGCATTTGAAGCAAGCTTATCCTGCAGACCCATAGTGTGGGTAGATTTGGAGACGTGGAGACGTTGTCTGCTGTGCATGGCTCTGCTGAGGAGACCAGCACGAATGAAGTATTCATACTCCAACTGTTGCCCAGAGGCCTTCTTTGCCTGTCTCTATATACCCAGAACAGCTGGAAAATGCTTTATTAGGCCATGCTCCCTTGTCACTGGGACTCAAACAAGCCTTCTCTTACCGCACAGTTTACTTTTTTAAAAAAAGTGAATTATGCAAAATGCCAGGGAACAATCGACATGTTATTTCTGCTCCACAATTATTTTAGATATTCTGATAGGTGGGCTCTGATATTTAACATCTTATCTATATTTATTTACCTCCTACTTGTTCTTTTGCTTGGATTAACTCAGAATATAATTCACAACCCCAAACCTGGAGGCCTGTTACTTACTATGCTGTTCTTTCTAAAACTTACGAGGTTCCCACATACAAACACTGTCTTGGCTTTTAAAGCAGATGTTTTACACAGGGGGAAAGTGAGTTTCAGGCGGAGTGACTCAGCTACGGGCCACTGATATACTTGTTAATCATCACATGGAGAAAATCACCAAGATTAACTTGGGAGGATGGCAGGGCTTGAGTCTTTCCTGGCCATCGTGGGAAAGAGATTAAGCATGAATGAGGACTCAATTGTCTAGGCACCCAAGCCTGATACTTCCAAAAAAATATTCAGCCAAACATAGCCTTTACAGTCATAGTTAGTGGGAATTGTCTTCAAGCTTGTCAGTTAAAAAAATTAAAGTAACATAAAACAGAGATCTTTCGTCTCTTTCTATATGCATGAATATATGCATACATGAGATACGCACACACAGAGGAAGATGTATGTGTTGGTTTCTTAAATAATTGATGTTCCAATTAAATGATGTGGTTGCCCGCTTTCCTAGAATGAAAAATGGACAAATAAATATTATTTCTTACATTCTTAAAAGTTTTATTGTCATAAAAAATTAGCCGGGCATGGTGGCAGGTGCCTGTAGTCCCAGCTACTCAGGAGGCTGAGGCAGGAGAACAGCGTGAACCTGGGAGGTGGAGGTTGCAGTGAGCCGAGATTGTGCCACTGCACTCCAGCCTGGGCAACACAGTAAGACTCTACCTCAAAAACAAAACAAAACAAAACAAAAACAAAAAGAAATGTTTTATTGTCATGAAGAATGCTATTATTCAGCCATTCATTTTTCTATCTAATGTTGTCAGAATGATCTCAGATCAATTGTACTAAAACTAAAATCAATGATTTTGAAATATGACCTTCAAAATTTACTTTATAATCAATAATACCAAAGAAAAGCAATTTCTTTAGTTACATTTGAATACATTTTACAACCAACTCATTCTAGCATTTCACCAGAAACCACACAATTCAAAACAAGAAAGGCTTCCTAGAGCTTTTAAAAATATTGCTAAGTTTTGTTGGCCTTCATAAGGAGCTAGAATTCCTGCCTTGAAATATCCCTAGGTCATGACCATTTCAAACATGCTCTATGTGTATGAGTCAAATTTTCATTTGTCCATATAACGAAGAAGATGCCAGATTAATAACACCCTTCATCTTGCGTGAAGGGGTCCTCCGAGTCCGCCTGTGTGCAGAGGTGAGAGCCGCTGCCCAGAAGCTTGGTTGGGCTCCTCACTTTCTACCAGATGAGGACAGACCCAACTTAGTAGTAACAGCACTCACCCTGCAGCAGAGCCCCACCCCTGCCCCAGCAGGTCAAGAGGTCAGGGCCCTGGGAGTGACGTCTTGCAGGGGTGCCATGCAGGGGCTGGTGAAATGAAAGAAGTGTGACTATTTTGGAGAAAGTTCAGGTCCCCCTTACATTAGAGGTTGTCCTGTTGGCTTCTGTGGGTACAGGCAGCAGGCTTCTGGGACAGCACCGGGGATCCCCTGCAGGTCAGACACTGGCAGAGAGCTCACAGGACAGGCAGACTGGGGAGGGCGTTTATGTGAAGGTGGTGGCCGGTGGCCGGTGCCTCCCCATCCATGGCTGTCACGCCACTGTGAGGTGGATGGAGAATGCCCACTGTGGCAGCACAGTCCACAGGACGGGGAGGTGTCATTCCCATTGGATTTATGGGAAAGTTGAGGTGCAGAGCATAATAAATGGCTTATTCTAAAGATGAGAAACAACTGCCTCATCTCTCAGCCACCGGCGGTCAGGCTGGTTCTCCCCAGTGAGAGCTGTGCATCCACCGCAGGGCTAGACTCGCCACGCAGACTTCCTGAGCCTCCAGTTTATTGCTCAGCCTCCAGCCTCGGTGCGGAAGCGTGCAGCGCCGGAGTGGCTGAGCGCTGGGTTTTATTACGCGTCCGGCAACCCTGCCACGTGCTGGGGAGAGGAGAGAATCCAGAGTGGAGTGATGCCCTCTTTCCCACTCAAAGGGGCTGTTGCTTTAACACCTCAGGGTGGTCGCCTTGTTCCGAGTGATTCATAACTAGTTACAGGATGCAGTGTAGCCCTGCCTAAGGCACACTTCCTCGGAGAATCCTTCTCTCTCTGCTGTCAAAGGTCCAACGGGTAAAGACTTTGACCTGAGATGCGTGGCTGTCCACAGGTCAGAGGTTCTGGGGGCTAAGACTGAAGCAAGGAACTTCCAGGGCAGAGCAGGGAGATGAGGCGGGAAGCACCTTCTTGTTCCCAGCCCTTTCCTTTTCTAAACATGCTCCGAAAAGGAACTGTCACTCTTGGCATTTGCTAGAACCAAAGATTCTAAAGCATTAATTCTTCTTCAAAACCAGCCCCCCAAAGGAGGCTCAGAGTAAAAAAGGTAAAGAAAGTCATTGGAAACACATTTGTACTAAAGCCCCATCTCATGTCTAGTTGTCTTCACGGCAATCGGGCCAGCACTGGGGAAGACCGCCTGTGTTTGTCATGACAGTGGGATAGAGCGGGCAGGCTGATGTTCTCCCAAAACAGAGCAAGTCCCCAACCTGCAACTGTGCCCCTGCCCATCCTCCTGTCCAAATGCGGGACGTGGGAAACCCAGGGTGAGTGGCAGCCTCCCCCAAGTTTTACACACTGGGCATCTCAAAATACACAGAGATAGACACTTTACGGGAAGCTGCATCCGTACTCAGCAGTGTTTTATTTATTTTGGAATTGTAAATGCCATTAAGGAAGAAAGAAAGATTAGGTGATATGGTTTGGATCTGTGTCCCCACCAAATCTCAAGTCAAATTGTAATCCCTGGTGTTGAGGGTAGGGCCTGATGAGAGGTGATTGGATCATGGGAGCGAAGTTCTCATGAATGAGTTGGTACCATGTCCTCGGTGCTGTTCTCGCGATAGGAAGTGAGTTGTTGAAAAGTGGGTGGGCAGCGCCCCTACCCTCTCTCGCTTCCTTCTGCTCTGGCCACGTAAGACATGCCTGCTTCCCCTTCGCCTTTTGCCATAATTGCTCCCTGAGACCTCCCCAGAAGCTGAGCTTTTTACCAAAAAGCTCCCTAAGACCTTCCCAGAAGCTGAGCAGATGCCAGTCATGTTTTTTTGTAAAGCCTGAAGAACCATGAGCCATAAACCTCTTTGCTTTATAAATTGCACTGTCTCAGGTATTTCTTTATAGCAATGTGAGAAAAGACTAACACATTAGGTTGTTCAAAAAGAGGCCTAATCGAGTTTAAAGAGCATTGAATAAACATGAGTGTGGCATGAGTTGCTGAGGGTCACACCCTGAGGATGAGACAGGTGGTGGTTCAATTCTTGAATTCCGGAAGTTGTACAAAGCACTTCAGATCTGTCACTAGATGTTTTCTCTGGCTGCAATGTATTTCCTTACCAAAAGATTTTAAATAACTGACTTTACATCTTCCTGTTTGAATAATGCACAGATAATCACTGTTTAGATAACTTATGAATTGCACTGGCCTTTTAAATAATTAAAATATTTCCACCTCAAAATTAGTTTGATGCAGACCCACATCTATGAAGGGCAAAGCCAAGCTACCAGGAGTCCACAGAATGATGGGGACACCCAGGTCTGTGTCAAATTTTTTCCCCAGGCAGAAGTTACTAGAACATGGTTCCAGCACAATCGGCTCAAATGAGGCTGGTATTCAACATGCCACATGCCACATCACACCCAAATCATGTTTATAGATTTGTAGTGTTCGGCAAATTAGGGATGCCCTTCTCTGAGTTGTACAAGGAGCACCAAAATGTGTGCATAAGCAACATAAAGACCTCGCCAATGGAGATGAGTGGAGGAGGAGGGGGCAGGTTGGGGTCGGGGAGGGTGGGCGCTGCAGCAGCCTCTGCTTACCCAGAGAATCGGCCCATCCATCCTCCTTGATTAGTCCCTGAAACGACCTGAATTTGTTTTAAAGGAGAGGAAGATAAAGAATCTAAATGTGTGGTGGTCCGTGCATAAAAAAGTGAGTAATGTGAGCACTTACAGGAAGATGAATGAAATCCTGTCCCAGGACAGAGGAGAGAGAGAGAGAGAGAGACTGAGACCAAGAAACAGAGTAAAAAAGACAGAGGTGAGGAGGGAAGGAGAGAGAGAGAGAGGGAGCCAGTGGAAGAGAGGAATGAATGAGGAGAAATAACCTGACCATTTAGGAACTGAAGCATTGTCCTCCCCCTGAATCTTTTTCATTCTGGTTCTCATCAAATTAATCCACACCGCCCCCCCACCAGACTGCTTCTCCTCATTGCCTGTGTCCCAGCCTCTTGTACGGGAGCCCTGAAGCTGGCCCATGGGAACACCCACACAGATACTGGAAAGCCACAGTGCTCTCTTTGTTCCCACAAATGGTCCAAACAGGAACATGCAGCCCTGTTGGGACCTGGGGCATTTCCTGGGCCTCCAGGAGCATATTCTGAGACAGGATGTGCATGCAGGTAGTGACCCCAGGAACACTGCTGGGGCAGGGGCAGAGAGTCAGGGACCTGAGAAGGTGACCGGGGGCCTTCCTGAGCAGGGAATGGTAGTCTTGCTGAGGATCCCTGGGAGACAGCACAGGCTTCTTGTCACAGCAGCTGAAGGGTGGGAGAACTGGCATCTTTATTCCTGAAGCTCTATTGGTCACCAGTTGATGGCTGCTCCCAGGGACATCACCCCCTTGGCACCTGGCCCATGGACACCCCAGGTGTCCTGCACCTGCTCTTAGGTAAGCAGCAGCAGATGAGGGATCCTGGAAACCATCTGGCCTGGGTGGATGGAAACAGCAAGTGCCAGAGGCTTATGGAGGGGACACCAAGAGAGCCTGTAACAGGGAATAGTATCCAGCTTGTGCACACAGAGTAATCTTCCTAGCATGGAGGACAGTGCTTCAGAAACCCAGCTTGATGCACAGAGCAACCATAAGCGGTCACGACAGACGCTGTCAAAGTCTTGTTCCGTTGCACACATTTTCATTTAGTTAACATTTGTTGTTAAATAGGATGCCACTCACCACTAACCAGGCACAGGGTAAGGAAACAGGATGGAAAGAGAAATTCAAGCTGCTAGACGCCGTGTCGAAGCTCAAAGGTCAAGGCCTGCGAGTGAAGTAGAAGTCAAGGAGCCATCTCTGCTTCTTATGTGCTCTGAAACTTGGGGCAAGTCTAAGCCTTCATTTCTTAAATAAAAGTTGAACACACACTATGGGATTAGTCTGAAGATGAAGTAAGTTCATTCATGTACCTGCTTAGCTCAGCACCTAGCACAGGTTAAGTCTCACCAGGTATCAGCCCTTTCTCTTGCAGAGGCATCAGCTTCTTCAAGGCTTCCTGAGAACAGAGAAGACGTCAGAGACCAGGCTTGGTTTCACTTGTTTGTCAGCAAGTGAAAAGTTCTCTTTATTCTAAAAGGGTAGGTCAAATATATCATCCAGAAAATATTACTCAGCCCCTGCAATACCTGTAGCACTGACCTAGAGTGAAAGGAAGTACAAAATGTCAAGAAGATGGTCCCTGGCCTCAAGATGTTTACAATGCAATTGATACAATGGTTTGCACAAGTAATCTCGGTCAATAGTGCTCAATGAGCTGTGGATAGTGACACATTCTCTGCCATCAAGGATAGAGACATAAAGACATATGAGTGTTTTGCAGGAAGAATTCACAAAAGAGGGGTTTGGATTGAAAGCTCAGAATGTCTCTTTGCTCAAAACTTCTCCTGTCACCCCAAAGCATAAAGTGTGTGAATGTGCATGTGCATGCATGTGTGTGTGGCACGTGTGTGTGTGCACAAGTGCGTGTATGTGGTGTCCACTCATGACAACACTGCTAAACATGGAGAAAATAGTTGATATACTTAGGAAGTGGTTAGATGTAGGAGGGAATTCCTCTCAAGGAATAGGGTCAATCAACCTTCCACTTTCTAATCTGGGTGACTGCAGGGATGGTAACGTGGTAGGCAGAGGCTGGTTTGGAGGGAAGAGGCAAGGCAACTGAGGAGCCTGCTTTTAATTTGGGCTTCAACAGGCAAAATTTAGCTATTTTCAGAGGCTCCTTGAGAATGGGGTAAGAGAGGAATTAGTGAATGCAGCATTAGCCCTGAAAATAAATCCTACTGCATGACACCAGCCAGGCGCACGTCTCAGCTGCGGCGCAGCAGTTCCCCGATGCAATGCACATCTGGCCTCTCCCTCCTTGTTGGAATCATTGCCATGAGGTATTGGGTTGTTTTGTTCCTCAATCTGCTCAGTGTTTACAGTGCTTCGGAGGGAGAAGCTACGGTGTGTAAATGTTTTAATTGCTTGGAAATCTCTCTCAAAATAACACTTGAAATCCTCAGGCTAAGTTAGAAGCAGAGGGTAAATAAAGCACCGATTCAAGTGGAAAACCAAGAAGTGGAAACAGCGACGTGAGCATTCCACTGAATTCCATGTTTGTTCAGGTGTGAGGGTGACCTGCAACCCACCGCTCTCCCAGAGCGAGCCGGTGTGGCTGTCTCTGCAGTCTTCCCTGCTGGCAAATACATTTGAGGAGTCAGGATTCAGGGTGCCTTGTGAAATCACCTCGGCAGCTACAACCCTGAAGAATAATTTATGAAATGCACGCAGAGCGTTGTTCCTCCTCATGACAGAGCCGATTATGAAAGGCCTCATGGCAGCGGGACCATCCCTGCTGCTGGGACCCAGGTGGAATCTTTCACGGGTCTTCTAGACATTCCTGGGCATGCAGGACAGAATTTTTCAGTGATCAGCTGCTCCAACCACAAGAGTCTGGCCAGGTGCAGTGGCTCATGCCTATAATCCCAACATTTTGGGAGGCTGAGGTGGGAGGATCACTTGAGCCTAGGAGTTTGAGATCAGCCTGGGCAACATAAAGAGGCCCTGTGTCTACAAAAAAAAAAAAAAAATTACCTGGGTGTGCTGGCACATGCTTGTGGTTCTAGGTATCTAGCTATGTGGGAGACCAAGGCAAGAGGATCACTTGAGCCGAGGAGGTCAAAGCCGCAGTGAGCTGTGATCACACCACTGCACTCCAGCCTGGATGAGAGAGCAAGGCCCTATTAAAAAAAAAAAAAGAAAGAAAAAAAGAAAGAGAAAAAGAAAAAGAAAAAACAAGTAATTAAATCACTGGGGTGTTGTTATAAAGGATAATTTTGGAGGAGGATCAAACTCTGAATCTCTTGACATGAAAAACTCAATAATAAAGCTTATGATTATAAAAGATATATTTAACAGGGTGAATGCTGGTGGGCCCCAATGGGCAATTGCTTTACTTTTCTTTAGTTTCTGCTTGTACATATTCTTTTTCAGATCGTCTTTTTCTATTCCTTGACTAAAATTCAAGAAGATTTAATTTCCTGTTACTTTCAATTATTGCCTCAGACTCATTTTTAGATATAAAAAAGTGCAGTCCAATCTAACTCAAAACTGCAATCTCTCATGTCATTCAAAGATTTCTTCTCTTTCCATCTTGAGATAGATGAAGGAGGGAAGGAAACAGCATGCGGGAGGTGAGTCACATGGCAGATCCTCCTGAGAACTGTGGCCCATCCCACAGAACTTGGCACAAGGACACAAGCTCTTGCAACTTGCACATATTCATCAGGACAGTGGAGGTCTGCCCTTTCTACAAGCTCCCACCACTGATGGACTCTTGTTATCAAAAAGAAAAATGCTGCCAACTTAGGCTACAATCAGCTCTCTGCAGTGTATGCCCCAGTAGATTTAACATGCCTAATCCATCCTTTCAAGGTGAACATAGTGCTTTGACAATGAGTGTGAAAAAAGCTGTTTTTCAAAAGAACTCACAGTAAAAAGAAAGCATCATGAAAATAAATATTTGAAAATATTTTCATTGTCACATAATTTTATTAAGAAGAACAGAAATATGTCACCTCAACATCGCTCTCATCTGTGCACTATTCAAATTTGAAGGGAAAAGAAACCATTTTCCAAATGAAAAGTTTCCATAGGTTATGAAGTGAATCATTAAAAACAACAAAGAAAATGAAAATTTACAGCATTATATACATATTTACATAATTGGTAAAGGAGATTGAAAAATGGAAAAAGGATTTAGAGTGCATAAGTGACACTTTGCATCTGCCAGGACATCTGCTATGGCAGCCCTTAAAGCCGAATATCAAAATTAATCAAATTTCTGTATTACAAAATATATAAAACAATCCTCAAGCATTTTGAAGCATATTTGATTCAGTTGCCTCCACTAAACTATTTTTGCTAGAATATTTTATCATTGATAAATTGAATATTTAAAATGTCCTTATGTTATATGAATTAATATTCTTGCATAGTTTAAAATGTAGATATGAGTAATATGCATATACACATGTACATGAGACATGTTAATACATGTGTAAGTACATACACATATTTACAACTTATATTGGTTGGGTTACATGATCAGAAAGTTTGGAAATGCTAACATTCTTAAGTTGAAAGTCTTGAGGTGTGTATGGACTCGCACATCTGTTGGACTGATCTTGACCCTGGAATCTGGGCCTGCGGCTGTCCTCCGCCTGCCGTGGGAATCAGACAGGCTCAGGACACAGCAGAGTCACAAGGCTACAGTCCCTGCAACCTCTACCAGATGCCTCCTCCAAGCTGTTCTTTGTTTTCTAGAAGAGAGACGGGACTCTGGGCTTAAGACTAATCTTTTAGGGAGTTTGAATTCATTAAAATGAAGCAGAGAACATGGCCCTGGCTTTGTGAGTACAATTGTGAACTGAGCTCCTGCAGTTAGTTATCTGCTTCCTTCCTGTCTGAGGTCAGGTTCCCCACGAGCAGATACTAAGATGAGTATTTGTCTGCAAGTGACTGATTTGGGAAGAATACGATGACAATCCAGAAAGGGGTGGGGAGCAGGCCTGCTAGAGAAGCAACAGCACGGCGTTGGGCAAAGGCAGGTGGTCTCTAGCTCAGCCTGAAGGGGCGGGGAGCTCTGGAGCATAAATCACAACTCTGAGTCTCCCCTTCCCAAGCAAAGAGTCTGGGCTTTCCCACTTCTGCACCATCAGGCATGGATTGCAGGCCACCCCAGAGGACAGGAACTCCAAGGCACCTCCAGCCCTCTGAGCTCCTGCAGATGCAGTAGTCCAATGGCAGTCCTTGAAGGACGCTACAGGTACAGCTGTTAGAGGCAAAGCTGGAAAAGGGGCATGCAGAGCCGGCCAGAGAGATCTCAGGAGATCTAGGGCCACCATCCCATTTCACCCCCCTGCTCCACTAGAGAACCACCACTCTAAAGCATCACCAGCAGTACCAGATTCAGTGTCATCAGTGTGCAGAGCAAGTCTGCTTTCCTGGGCCTTTAGGGGCTCACCGAAGCCACATTGTCATATAGAGAAGGATGGAGACCAGATGCCATCAGCCCAGTTTTTATTTTATTAATAGCAAAACTGAATCATGAAATATCATATTCAGCATCAGCAGAGAACTAAATATTCTAGATGATGTAAACTTATTTTAATGCCAACCTACATGTAGCATATTAAATAAAATTTTTTTCTAAAATATGTAATACCTTTATTTGCCTACTTAACTAAATGTTTCTAAATATAATCATTGTTTTCCTAATAACTCAAGACCATAATTACAAGCATCAGGTATTTAGTATTATCATACAGCCATACATTATACAGAACCTATTAAGGCACGAGTAGGTACTCGATCTTGCATTCAGAGGCCGTTGAAGCAGTTTCTGGCATTTTCTGCCATCTCCACACCCTATGTTCTGCTGATGCTTGCTGCTGTTGGTGTTTCTCTTAGCTTGCAGCCTCCAGCTTGTGTTCTAAGGACCATGATAAATGAGCATGTTAGATCTGTCTTTGAACTAAAACTTGCCCCAACCTAAGGAAGGAGTAATTCTATGGATAAAGTGCATCAGCCTCAAGGTGTGGAACTCACGCCATCTTCTTGCCTCTACACAGATTCTATTTCTTTGTTCTGGCTTGAACTTCAAATTTTTAGGCACAGAATGAAGAACCGTTTATACCAAGTGCTGCAGCTAAAACTAAAAGCTTGATCTTTCTCTAGATAACTAAATCCTACCATTGTTTTGATCAGGACAGTAGAGAGAAGGCAAGCATATTTATTCTGTAATTTGATGGCTGCAAACACACACACACACACAAAACACCAAAGGCCATCAGTTCAGAGTTCAAAGTGTTAGAAAGGGAGCTCATCTGTCAAATGTTAAAATTAAAAATGACATTTATTCAGGTTTTCAGGGCTTCAGATAGCAATATATTTCCAGCGGCTATGCTAAAATTTCACCACCCAAGACAAAAACTATCTTAAAATGTAAGAAAGAATCTGCTTAACTTTAAAAATCAGCTCTTTGGTTAGGCTGATAAAACAGACCTGTAAGAGACAAAGCATTTGCCCCTACAATCAGCAGTTAATTTTTCCTGTTTTCTTATGCCTGCTATGTTCCCAGAACTGAGGGAATTCCTCCTTGGCAAGAATCAGGACCCCGGGGATATGGTATAACCCTTCACCATAGGAGACGTCATCAGAGACGGGGCTCATCTGGCCACCCAGCTTCCCTTGCTGGCAGGTTGTGGCAACGTGACTCAGTCTGGCCTGTGGATGGTCTGTGGCAGTGGCCAGTGGTCTATGGGACTTCAGGGCTGAAGCAAGTGAGAGTGTGTGCCCTTCCTCCATTGCTCCCTGGCTCTTGCCACAAGGACACACAGGGACCCACAGAGCCCCACAGGGATTCACAGGGATCTACAAGGCCGTGTGTTCCAGATGGAGCTGTACAAGGTGTGACTGGCTGCCAGACCTGCTTCGACTCCTTTCAAGCAAGAAATAAATCAGTGTTGTACTAAGCCCCTGAGAATTCGGCATTTTCTGTTATGATAGCTATTGGTTATTTTCCTGTCCTGTGCATTGCAAGACATTTAGTGTCATTGATCTTTGCCTATAAACACCATCAGGGCTCTGACAATCACAGTGTCAAGCAAAGATGACCTCACAAATTCCCAAAATACCTCAAGGACCACAGATTTAAATTCATGACAAACTAAACATTTTCACTAGAGTGATTCTTCTATCATTTGCCTAGGAACAGATTTCTGGCATTGGCTTGTGTTGATGCTTTTGAGTCATATTTAAAATAAAGGAACAATCACTCCCATCAGTCAGGGTAATGGAACAAACACACCCAGGCAGAAAGCAAATAGCTTCTGCTTCTGACCTCTGCCTCTTCCCCTCCAGGGCTCTCTGCGTTCATCAGGGCATCACATAGTTTGGCCTCCATGTATCATGAGATATTCTGCATCTCTGGAATCAAGTACTTTGTGTGGGATGACTTTGTCCAGATCAAGAGACCTGTGATGGAAGCTGGTGTGCTCTCTTGATAGGGTGCCAGTGAGGGAGATGGTGCCGTCAAATGAGGTCCCCTTAGAGAAGCCCCACCAGAGCACAGCAGGTTGGGTGGTGCATTCAGCTGCAGCCACCACTGGCTCCGGAGCTCCCTGTGCCCCCATTGTTTATGTAATTGCATATACATGGCACTTGTCTGCAGTGACACTGAATCTGTGTCACTTGGTGGGTGATGGTGATGGCAGCATGGGCCCCTCCTTCTCCTGCCCCTCGTGCACCCTCCTGAGCTGGCTTTAGAGGACTCTGAAACTGACATGCCTCTCCACAATGCCCTGGTGATAGCGACTGCCATGGAGAAAGCCTGTGCCCACTGTCTCCACAAATGCCAGGTTCAGCCACAGCCCATTAATAGTAAGGAAATGAAGCCAGCAGCCACACATTGTTTCTATCCCCAAACCCACACTCTGTGTCAAACCCACAATAGCTATTGCTATGCTAGGTCAGCTCTGCGGGACACCAGGAATTTAACCATCATGTCTCCTGAAAGTCTTCAATTAATATGTCTAATTATTACCAAGCACTACATTGAAATTAGTAGAAGAAAACATGACCAGAGGTTGGATTTTGTTTGACTAGGTTTAAACTACTTTGGCTTTTACATATGACTGAAAGCAAATAAGCTAAAATTTAGTAAGATATTTAGTATACCTCTCCTAGTCAGCTGGTAGAAAACCATTTGCGAATTCAGTGTTTGCTGTTAGTATTGGGACAGACTTCATGGAAACCAGTGATCGACCACACCAAATTCTATGGGATGAATGATCACATATGAAAGGGAACACCAGTGTTGAAAAGACACAGATTTTATCCTTGCCATGATTTGGTAACATGTTCAAACACAAAGAGAAGGCTCACAAGGAACACACCAAACAGCTAGGCTTATTCCTCATTCATTCAACGGGCACCTTGGAACACCTACTCAGTATCTGACACTTACTTTCTTGGGGAATGCAGAAGTGGGGGAAAAAAAACAAAAATCCCCTCACCTGTGAAGCCGATTTTACAGTGGGGGCAACAGATAACAAATCACTCAGTAAAGTGCATGGGGCCTAGAAAGTGGGTGCTATGGGAGAATCCAGTGGGGTAAATGGGAAGGAAGAGATGGGTGTGTGGAAAGAAGGTGGAAAGGACAGGAGCCAGGCTGATGGCTGGTGGGGACGTTCTCAGCAGAGGAAGCCAAGAGGGCAAAGGGCAAAGGGCAAAGGCTGTGAAGCAGAGAGGTCAGCATGGCTGAAACAGAGTGAGCAAGGGGTGCGAAGGAGGGTTGGAGAGTCACCCTGGGTGGGAGCAGATGGGGGGACTTTAGCTTTTACCCTGGAATGGGGTTTTGAACAGGGGAGTGAACTCTAAAATTCACATTACAAAAGGCCACACTGGCATGGCTGGGAGAAGAGGGTGGCAAGGGAGGTGCGGAGAAAGCAGCAGGGAGGCCTTTGCCATCGCCCCAAAAAAGATGGTCTTGCTGGATCCATGTGGAGGTGGTGGAGGCTCTAAGGAGTGGCCAGAATCCGGATCTGTGCTGAAAGGCGAGGCTCTAAATTTGCTCTTAGGCTGGCTGTGAGTGTGGAAGAGGAGACGCATAGCCTATCATTCCAACATTTCACCCTGAGACACTGCAAGGATAAAAAACGTAAAAAAAAAAAAAAAAAAAAAAAACAAAAAAAACAAATAACAAAAAAAAACCCAAAGAAGCAAATATTTAATACAAAAACTCAGTCTGCAACCAAAATACCAAGATAGGCTTTGGTCTCCAGAAACCTCTCTGGAGGGCACGGAGTTGTCACTGTGTGATTTCCTTGAGGAGATGGAATGAAGATATCATCCACCAGAAGTCAATTCCGTGTTGGCTGGGGGTAGCCAGGAGGCTGGAGGCCTTAGGAGAGCCTGACCAACTGGACAGATCCCCAGGGGTGGTAGTGCTGCCCTTCTAACCTAGGAAATTAGCTCCAAGGCAAGAAGCTAGCTCACATAATGGCTTGACTGCTGAATTCACCCTAATTGTTTTATCTATTAATTGCTTAATTAACTTGTTAAATGGGAATAAATGTGTGGTTAGTTTGCAAAAAGTGTTTTGTACTTCTTGGTTACCTCTTCCCATTGACTTCCTCACACTGGGAGCAATTGCATGTAATAATTGCTAGTTGGCTCAAGTACAACAAAAACATTGCAGGAACTTCAAGTAAGGTGAGAACTGAGCATTCAGCTCTGTATTTTGCAGTGTGGCCATCAATAGTAACCTTGAAATGGGCAGTTTTGGTTGAGTGGAGGGCATGGACACTCAATTGGAGTAGAATGAGGAGAAAACAGGAGTAGGTTGGGTAGAGGTGGAGGAGGGTACAGGGTGAGGCCTGTAGTGAACCCAAGGGGCCCCTGTGGTAGTCATGGGCAAAAGAAGTTAACACTGCCAAATCTTTAGACTTTTTTCTGAAGTTACAAACTTCTCATAAAAAATAGGTTTTTATGATAAATGAGTTGGTCATAAATCAAAATTTTTTTAACAGTATGGCCAGTGGCCTCAGGACCAACATTGCCACTGAGACTTCACTTCTCCAGGATCAACTCACCTCACCCACTAGGTATCATGGACGTCTTCACTTCCAACATTCCTGAAGAGGATTCGCCTCAATAGTCTTACCAGAAAATGGGCATGGTGCTATGACCTGGCCTCCCCAGTTCATCTACAGCAGGATTTCTGTCTTTGCTCCAATACTGAAAATTTCCATTAACACAACCTTTGCTTATTTCAGCTTATATCATTTAGATTTCTGTTTAGCCAAATCTATCCTGCCCTGCATGTGTACAACTAATTTTTTTTAAATTTTGGTGTGGGGGACTTTTTCTGCAACTATTAAATTATGTTAAGATAAGAGGTGGTAAGGATGTGGGCTGCTTTGAATCCAGATGATAGAAGTTTCCCTGTTTTGTTTGCTAATGACAAGGTCTCGGGGGTGGGCAGCATGAGTGGCTGCAGTGAGTGGAGGGCAAGGCTTTGTTATGGAGGCGCGAAGGAGCTGCGAGGCTAGGGCACTGGACAGAGCCTCTGCGTGGTCTTCCATGTGGAGGACTGGATGGTCAGGGAAGCTGAAACCTCCAAGGAATAAAGGAAAACGGCCACAGGGGTCTATACCCAACTGTCTAAAGAGGGGCAGCAGGTGGTATGGCTCACGTCATGAGCCTCGGGGCTGGGATTTTAAGGAGGGAGAGTGGTGTGGAAGTGGCAATGAGGAGAGAGAAGAGCCATTGCACCCCAAGTTCAGGCCACATGCTAAGAGGCCTGCAGGGGAGACACATTCAGCACAAGAAGCTGCAGAGGAGCAACGTGCTCAGGAGGAGGTGGGAGGAGAGGGGCGCAGACTTCACCTCTAGGACAGCCCCTAGGACCAAGGGGACCCGGTCCTGTGTGTGTCTGCACATGCACTTCTTACACTCTCTGGAGTTGTTTTCCTCACCTCCTCAGCAGGCATGGAGTGTGTGTCTCGTGGTTTCCACGTGGGGGCAAAGGAGGAGCATCTATGCATGGGTCCAGCCCAGTGCCTGGGCTCTGAGGGAAGGCTGCCCACATTTGAACATGCATTTAAATGTCAGTCTAAAGAGTGAAATGCTTCAGATGAAAATGATAGTTTAAAATAGCCAGTGACTCCAACAACCCAGTAAGTTACTGGAACTTGGGGCTTAGTTGGGAAAATCAATTCACACAGAGTGGAAAGGAATAAGAAGTCCCCATTTTCCCGCCCTGCAGGGCCCTCACCAGGGGCCAGCAGGCAAACAGCACCATGGAAAGAAGCCAGCAGGCGGGGAAAGATCTCCTGGGGACACCCAGATTCCAGCTTTTTCAAGGTACCACTAATGAGCTGCAGCCCCAGGCAATCCTTGTGGGTGTCAGGGCTGCCACCCTGCCTGCTGTCCAACCAGGGTTTTGTGCTGCATGATTTATGAGGCCCTGTCTCCATGCTTCCGGGTGGTTATAAGGATGATGATTCCCCTGTTCTGGCAGAACATGGTGGACCAGCTTCTGAGGCTTCAGCTACATGGGCCCTCAGTGTCTGCATCTCTCTGTGGAAGCTGCTCTTGCATTTCACAAGGCCTTTGCAAAGGGCAGGGCGTTCATCTTACCTGGGCTTGACCTGTAGATGAGGTGGGGGGAAAGACACAGCATCTGAACACACCTTGGGAGCCTCAGAAGCCTCATGCTGCAGCCTTTGCCTGCATGGCTTCAGGTGGAACAGGGAGCACACTCCAGGCTGACTCGTGTAGCTGGACAGTCCTTGGTGGCATGGGGGCTCAAAGCCACCCAAGAAAGCACAATGGTTATGAAAAATGCTTCTCATGCCTGCAGATGCAGAACTGCCTGGAGGCCAGAATTTCATTTTCTTTGCTGAATGGTCCCAGATGGATATTCTTTTTAGAAGGTCTGAAAGGATTGAAATTTCTGGCATTCAAAATTGTATAGATCCAGAGTTCAGCTAAAACTCTTAAATCTCACTGACCTCTTTCGAACATCAGGCTTTGCAAGATTGAGTGTTGGTTAGAAATAAAGCATTTTATTGTTCTGCATTATTTAGAGTTTCTTGAAATGTACAAAAAGTTATTTAGTTTGAGCTTTGCTGCTACAAACTTGGAATTTCCATACGTTTGAATTAAGGAGTCACTAGTATCCTTCTACCCCTCCAAAGAAAACCTGTCACTCATTCCCAGCCTCCTCTTTCCTTCTGCTTGTGACTAAATTTAAAGGGCTTAAGTGTCCTCATAATTTTGGGTAAAAAAGCAAGTGAATATTATCACTAAAGTTCTATTTTCTGCAACCAGTGGAAACCAACTGCTTAACTTTAACTGCAATATCTAAGCAACAAATAGGGTCTATGAAAAGGTGAGTGGACACCTCATGAGTTCCAGGAAGGACTGAGCACCCCAGCAGTGAGGTGTGAAACAACCAGAAAGCTCAGCAGAGAAAGGAAACCCTTCCCTCCAAATGCTGCCATCAGCTTAGCTATGCTCCAGCCACCCCAGTGCCTGCCTCAGTTAGTTCTTCATATTAAAATTTCTGCTGAACAGGATATGATAGGCCAAGTTCAGGTCACATGACTAGCCTAGAATCAAGCACAGATGACTGCAGGGCAAGAGTCACACTGTGCCAGCCAGGCTGCTGGGGCTATCCCTGCAAATAGTTGAGGATTCCAGGGAGAGGCGCGTGAGATGGTGAGTCCATATTATTGTGCTGAGGATGGAGCTCAAGCCAGGTTGCTCTGTCTGGCAAAATGGAACTTTAGGGTTGATACCCAGTTGAAGGAAAAGGCAGGCTCTGGAGCCCAGGGCTGTGCTCTGTGCCTGCCACCACGCTTTGCTCAAAAGTCCACTGAGCAAGTGCAGTCCTGTGAGGAAAGGAGAATTCAGGTACCTGTGGAGCAGAACTTGTTCTGACCAGGTCGCCAAGTGCCAGTGGTCACTCAGTTCTCAATTTATTTGAATCCTTTGTAACAGAAAACATGATGGAGCATCCCTATCTAAGGTTCCAGAATTTCTTTAATTCTTTACATCCTCCACCCCACTTGATTGTCTTTCTCTGCCTCTTTAGGATCCTTTCTCATACATTCCCAGCATCCCTTTCACATCAGAAACTCAAGACCTCAAAGTTGGGTGAAAAAATCATTTCTCTCCAGCATGCTTGGAGTCAGGATTTGTTCACTATACATAGCCAATACATAATAGAAAAACTTAGCTGGGATGCATGTTGACCACAAAAACTCATAGTTCAGATAAGCTTTGTTCAGATTCCAAAATTCAAATTTTCCAAGAAAGAGAATCTGATAGACTCAGCTTGGGCCATGTGGCCCTCCCTGGGTCAGTTAACTACCAGTTGGGGTCCTGCATGATGTCGCCATGACTGCCCACCTTGGGAGCCCAGTGGAGGCATTGCTGAAAGAGGGAGGGACTGCTGTGAGCCAGGAGGTCCCCAAGAGCCTCCCTAGAGGGTGAGGGCACAATCAGGGCCCTATGCAGATTTCCCCCTTACAAACTACCCACTCCTCAAGCAGGGGACTCCACATTTTTATTACATAAATAGTCCTTTGTTGCTACAACAAGTTGGCTTTGAAGGTGGGAAAGGTGGAGGATGAAGTTGTGAAGAAACTTTTCCCTGATCAATGAACAGGCCGTCTTCTCAAATATGTATTTTCTCTTGGATACTCTTGAGCTTTTATTCACTCTGCTTCTCTGTGCTCTGCAGGGCCCCCTCCAGAGGATGGCCAGGAGGTCTGAGGGGAACCACTAGAGTTTGAGAAATGTTGTCTTATAAGCCACTCATTTAAAGACGAAAGCTCCTCTGATTAGCACTGCTTCTGCTTCCACTCCAGGTAAGGTACCTCCCTTATTTTTGGAAATAGTGTCCCCAAACCCCTACAATAGCATAGTTCCAAGGAAAACTATCGTTCATAATTCACTCATCTCCCACTCCTGCCTTCCATTCATTTCAGAGCTGGGCAAGTGAGCCATGCTGTGTCAGTCTGAGTGATTCCACAGAATTTTAAAACTTGGAAGTTCAAATTCATTTTTGGTAGCAATGCTTGGATGATATGAGCCCTGAGAGGCCCTCAATCACATTTCCATACTGTGGAGAAGCAGGTCTGAGAGTACTGCTGAAGTGCAGAGAAAGCAAGAAGTAAGAGACAGAAAGAGTAAGAGGCCTGACAGTAATGGATTTCTGGACCCAGCTATCCCTGATGCCTTCTTCTGTCTCTTTCCTTACTACGGTTTGGAGACATAAACCAATATTTCCCTATTTTTATCCCAAGCTAGTCTGCAACTTGTAACCAAAAAGTTCTGTGGCAGAAACAATAAATGGTGAAACTAGATAATCCCAAGTGATAGTTTCCAAAAGGGGAGAACGAAGTCACAAAGGGAAGGAAGAAAAATGTTAAGGAGTATCGTAGGTCCCTCCAGCTCCTATTTTGGTAGAGAAGCCACTGGTTCACTAGGGTGCAGATATGGCCGGTGGCCTATCAACATGCCCCAACCCAGTGCTGCCAACCGAAAGCTTCCAGCCCTAAGCCTGCCTTCTCTCCACCTGAAAAGCTCCCAGATCTTCTCTGCACACACATGCCAGAGTGGCTGGAAGTGCCAGGGAGTTAACATCTGGAAGCAGCAGTGGACAATCCCAGCTCCCACACACCTCTGTCAGCATGACTGCACATATCCACATATTGTCCGAGTTCCCTACTGGGATTAGCCCTATCTCCTATACTCAGTCACCTGCTTGATAATGTACCTTTCATTGGATCTCTTCCCTCCTCTGTCTCACTACCCTGCTAGTGTTTCCACAGGTAACATTGAACTCACAATCTTTGCCTCAGTATCTCTTTCTGGGGAAATCCAAGTTAAGACAACAGATAACAGGTTTTTCTCTTGGGACTTCAACTCTCGCCAACAAGTAGAGGAATAAAGATAGCTACAAATTCGTTGATATTCCTTCCACTGAAAGGTGGGGTCTATGTTATTCTGCCCTTGAATCTGGGGAGACTCTGGGATTGCTTTGAACAATAAAATATGGTGGAAGTGGCACTGTGCTGGATCTGAAAACTCTCCCCTAAATCCAACAGCCAGGCCGTGAGAAAGCCCGAGGTGGTCACTTCAAGAGGCTGCATGGAAAGAGAGATCTGTTGGCCAGCTCCTGCCAGTCAGCCATCTCAGCTGGACATCTGACATGGGACAGAAGAAGCCACCTTGAACTTCCAGCCCACTGAGCCTTAAGATGCTTCTTCTCTTAGCCAATATGTAAATGCAATAACCTGAGAGACCCCACATGAGAATTCATCAGTTGAACCCAATCATGAGAGATAATAAATTATTATTTGAAGCCACTAAACTGGAGAGTAATTTGTTACATAAAAAATGAATAATAAGAACACTGGACAATCTTGGATTTTTGAAAAAGACATTTCAAAGTTTTCTCATTTTTTTTGTACTGCTGCTTTTGAGTTTTAATAAGATGCCATAAGAAACAAACTGGTTCAAATGGGGCCATCGGAGTGCAGATAGAAAAGAGTAAGATTATGGTGCAGACAGTGTTCCTCAGGTCATGACCATGGATGCAAAGATACTTGGACCTGACACCTGTCCACCTTGCTGAGTCATGGGGCTGGATTCTGTGCCTCAGAGTGTAAGCAAAGGTTCAGCAATCATGACATGACTCGATTTTTGGCATTGGTTGCAAGCCAACAGTCACTCAAGGCAAAATAAATATGCAAAGTTCAAAGGGATCGCATTACAGGAAAATCCCCATGCCTGTGATGGCCCAATCTGAGTCCAGCTTCAGGGCTGGCACCAGCACAGATGGGACCTGGGCTCTCACTGAGATGCTCTGTGGTTTTATCCTGGCTTCATAGTTGTATGCAATAGCTAATGACTGGGGAATGTAAACAAACAAACAAAAATGTGTTCTGGAAAGCTCACTGAATCTTGAAGGAGACAGGGGAGCCAGGCTAGGAAGCAGTGCAGCCATCAGCAGCCCAAAAACTGGCCTGGTAGAAGTACCTCTGTTTCAGCTGCTGGCTGAAGATGCACCTCTGACACTGAACACTGGGTGCTTTCCTTAGAAACTCTGCTGCGGATCCCCACAGAACCCAGGGCCAGCTGCCCAGGACCACCATCATCACAGAATGGGTTCCCAGCAGCCATGGCCACCTCATATCACAGGTGTCTTGTAAGCTGAGGGCAGGTGCCTGATTGGCAGAGGCAGGTCATGTTGACTAGGCCCCAGCTGCAAGGGAGGCTGGGAACGCACTATCCGGGCTTTTCCATTTACATAATGGGGGCCAGATTCTGCCACAGTGGGTAGAGGATCCCCAAAATATAGGAAGGTGGTTCAGATTCCAGGCACCCGGAAAGAAAAACAAATTCCGGCCAGGCACGGTGGCTCACTCCTGTAATCCCAGCACTTTGGGAGGCCGAGGTGGGCGGATCATGAGGTCAGGAGTTCAAGACCAGCCTGGCCAACATGGTGAAACCCCGTCTCTACTAAAAATACAAAAATTAGCCTGGCCTGGTGGCGGGTGCCTGTAATCCCAGCTACTCAGGAGGCTGAGGCAGGAGAATCACTTGAACCCGGGAGGCGGAGGTTGCAGTGAGCCAAGATCATGCCACTGCATTCCAGCCTGGGCAACGAGAGCAAAACCCTGTCTCAAAAAAAAAAAAAAAAAAGAAAGAAAGAAAGAGAAAAAGAAAAAACAAATTCCACCATGAGTCCTCAACATGTGAGGTCTGCCTAATTCTGCTCTCAGCTCTAAAGGCCATGAGACAAAGGGAATCTTCCAGAGGGCAGAGCTACTTAGCAAGGAGCATACAAAATCAATCTTTTATCAACCTCACCCTCCCTGCATGAGAATGTATGGTAAACATACCCTGGAATGATGTTTCTTTTTTCTTTTCTAAAGAAAGGTTTCCATCACACTCAATTGCACTGAATCTGAAAGAGCAAACTTCAATGTGGCTCACATTCCTAGTTCTAGTCAACCAAGAGTCCGCAGTTGCACTCTTGTACTTGCTGCAGCGTGGTTCTGTGAACCAAAAAATTCCCCTTTTTAAGTAAGTCAGATTTTATTATATTTCTGTCACTTGCAATTTAATTAATTATGATTCTGAGACTAAGTAATGTTACCCTGGGCACAGTTGCTCCGTACCTGCCAGCACCCTGATTAAACCAAGGAGGTTTCAGAGTTGATGTGTCAGTTAGTTTTTGTGGCATAACAAACCACTTAACAATGTGGCAACTTCAAACAGTACACATTTATTATTGGTCATGATTCTGTGTGTTACTGGGCAACTCTGCAGAACTGTCTAGGGTTGGTTGATCTTAGTTGGGTTTGTTCATGTGTCTGAGGTCTACTGAAAAGGTTGGTTGGAATTTGGCTGGTCCAAGATGACCTCAGTCACATGACTGGTGGTTGGTTGGCTGTCATGTGAGATGATGGGAGCAATTGGGCCTCATTCTCCAGCAGGCTAACCTGGCTTTATTCACACAGTGGTTTAGTTGATTTCTAAAAGGGGTTGTGGAACTTCTTGTAACTGGCACCTGTCACTTCCTCTGACTTCTATTGGCCAAACCTGGTCAAACTCAGGGTCAATGAAGAGGGAAACTGATCCTGCCTTTTGATGAGTGGAGGTGCATAGAACTGTGACCATTTTTCCATCTACCACAACTGAAGAAAATAAAACAAATGAAATACTTTCAGTTTCCACTGGGGACACACGGCTCCCTGAAAATCTTTAGAAGCTTTTCTCAGGAGGCCCCAAAGAAGAGATTTTCCTTCTTGCCTCCAATCATTGGATGATTTTTAATATAAAATCCTTGCCCCAAACCCAGAAATCATGAACTCCATTTCCCTAGTATGAAGTGTGATAAGGACTATTACACTTATACCTAAATTACCCAACAACAACAACAACAACAAAAAATGGGAAGTAAACAAGGAAGAAAGGAAAGGTGGAAGGAAGTCAGGCCAGCCTGAGCTGGGTTGGCAAGATGGAAACAGAAACAAATATTGAAAAGGACTTCCTCAAATTGTATAAAGTTTGAGATGTTCATTATAATCTTCCTTTCACCTGATGAAATCACTCAAGTATATGCATGAGGGAAAGCATGCACTTGGTTAAAAGGAAGTGGGTTCTGGGGAATGAAGCCCAAATCCGACGCGTGAAAACAGAGACTTTAACCCCAGCTAACGCACTGGAAATTTGCTTTTTCCACCTTTATACACATCTATTTGAGGTGCTAACAAAAAACCATGAGATCTGTGGAGGAAAAGTTGAGAACTTTATTTTTTATTAAATAGAAAACAATCTAGGTATCGGGAAGACACAGGCTTTGGTGGAAAACAAAAGCACATTCTGGAGAACAAAGAAAGGGTCTGGCTTAAATAAAGAAAATTCCTGTCACAGTCTTCAATCAGGTCTGTATATGTAAATGAATGATTTGAACACATTCAATTCTGATTGGTTGAAAATAACAGTCTTGACTGGGTACTTTCTAAACCCCAAACCATAAGTGTCTATTGGATGCCCTTTCAGGCTGGTTGGAGGAGATTTCCAGCCATGGTGCCTCAGCTCCCTTTACAAGAACTGTCTTAGCTCAGAGGCACAGACAGCATGTTTGTTTGGAACTGCCCTCTTCAGAAACAAAAGGCACGTGACCACCCTTCTCTAACTATGGCCATTGGGTTTCCATTATTTTAATTTGGGTGTTTCTACTAGCCATAGAGAGTCCTCTTCTCTGGAGAGTTTGGGATCTTATTAACAGTTTCATTTCACATTGGTCAGTTCTATCAAATTATGTGAAAGGCTGATTATAGGACTACAGCTGAATAAAGCACCCATAGGAAATTTTCCTGCCTCCGGGGTTACCCAAAAGCTTTTCCTGGTGGTGTGCTCAGGTGGTCCAGCTGAGAAGTGCATCTCCCTGGGAAACTCATCACAAGCCAAGTGCAACCCAAACTCCCCACCACCCAGAGCGTTCAAGAGCTTTAGTTGTAAGAAAACGCACTAATGAAAAACATCAATCCTGATTTTTCTCTAGATTCCTTAAAACCCTGGATTAAGTGAGAACACAGAAAACCAATAATCGTATTAATTTCCAAACACAGCAAATTCCATCTCCCCATCCTCTAGTTCTCTATTTTTGCTGCTTGGTGTTATGGCCTATATTAAAATATTTTATGAGATTTAGCCTTTACAACTTGCATAAGAATGTAGTTAATGCTGCGCCCTACATCGAAGAGTGTCTTCTTTATGAAGACTCAAAGGAAAACTCTCTCTGAATTTCTTACCAGAAATAGCTCTGCTTTCCCTAAGCAACTGTTTAGTTTATTTCTCATGGACTCTGAGGCCTATTGCGTTGATATTGTTCCTACTGTGTTGCTTATTGGAAAGCTTAGAGGTGAATATTTAGCCCATTTCTAGTAATTGAGTAGGACCTCGAGCCATCTGTGAATGAAACTCAGCCCTGGTTTTAGCTCCATCTTTCCTACCCCATTGTCTGTTTGTCTAGATGTCTTCACTTTGTTAAAAATATATTTAATTTTGACAGATTTTTAAACTCTGCCTCAAATCATTAGAATAAAGCTGAGTAGAAGTGATGTTTTATGGTGATGAAAAAATCCTTGGGTAAAAACATGAGTTACCATTATATCCCATATCTGATTGCATAAATCATGGAAGCACACTTTTGGTAGACAGATACACTCATGTAACACACACCATCATAACATAGAATGCCTTCATATCCCTAGAAAGTTACCTGGCAAGTAGGTGGGCTTTGGCCTTGGGAGTCAGCACACCCACTTACTGGCTGTTGATCCCTGGATATACAGCCTCAATGGGCTGAGCCACAGCTTCCTCCTTGGCCATCATACTCCTGATGTGTTTGTGATAAGGATTTGGGGCAATGTGTAATACGTGCCTAGCACAGTGTCTACAACGAAGCACAATGTCTGTCTACTATGCATTGTGTCCAGGGCACACTCACACCTAGAGACCAAATCCACACTGTGCAAAATATCTGCACACAATGGAAAGAGATAGAGGCAAGCTTTCACATTTAATTTGGCAAATAATCGGATTTATAGAAATATCTGGATTTTTGTTTTATTCCTCTCTTTATATCTTGTCAGTTCTGTCTCTCTGTAGAGCCCTGACAAAAATGGAGCCCAGGGTAGGAAGTAGTCAGCTCTTCCTCCTGAAGCTTCACTCCATGACACCCTGGTGACCTCAATGGAGACAGCTGTCCCAAATCATATTAGTTAATTGCATCTTGTACCAATTGAACATGATGACTCTTCCCCAGGCTCTAACAATCTCTTCATTGAACAACTTGCTTGTCAGATGCTTTGTCTGTTTGTATTGCTACAAAGAAATACTCAAGTCTGGGTAAGTTATAAAGGAAAGAGGTTTATGTTGTCTCCCAGTTCTGCAGGCTGAACAAGAAGCATGGTGCCAGCATCCACTCTCTTTCCAATGAGGTCCTCGGGTTGGTTCCATACATGATGAAAAGTGAATGGAAGCTCGTGTGTGCAGAGACCACGTGGTGAGGGGATGGGGAGTGCCAGGCTTGTTTTGACAACCAGTTTCTCAAGGGAGCTGATAGTGTGAGAACTCACTCTTCACTGTGAGGACAGTACCAAGACATTCATGAGGGATCTGTCCTCAGGATCCAAACACCTCCCCTTAGGCCCCCATCCAATATTGGGGGTCAAATTTCAATATGGAGTTTGGGGGACAAACATCTAAACTATAGCAGATGCTTTTCCTGCTACTAAAAGACACAGTTTAGCTGTGTTTGGCCACCCTTCTAGAGCTGATTAGAAATCTACTCACCACACAAGTATACACTGACAGCTTTCTGGGGAGACCTTGGTTATTGCATCCAGAGTTTATATGATTAAATTATAACCCTTGTCTTCTGTCTTCTCTTCCACCCCACTCCACCAGTTTCTATATAGCATCCGTCTGTTTCTATATCCTTTGTAAAATGAGATGCCTCAAGACCATCTAAAAACAGTGCCTGTCTGTGGCTGGTAGATCTTATGCATTGGTAGAAAAACATTCAGCCTGTGGAAAGGAGAGAGCAAAATTAACTTAGATGCTAAATTTTATCAGAGCTAAATTCATATTCCCCTACGGTTGGGGCAGGAAAGTCAGGTACATTTTACAAGTTCAGAAGGAAGAAAATTCTTTGTATTATTGCCTCTCAAGTTAAGTCAAATATTGGTAGCCTGGACTGGCTACATAAAATAAAATCTCATCAAGCCACAGTCAACAACTCTGAAAATAATGCTCCAAACACTACGGTTATATAACAAGAAGAATCCTTGTGTATGAACTGAATTAGACTTCCTTTCTCCAGGGAAATGTAATGGAATTAAGTCTCCTCTGTTCCCATTTAGAAGTTCATACATAATCATAGCATGTTATTACACAGACAGAAAATGAAAACTTCAAAGCCAGAGCTGGTACACAATGCAATTTATTTCTACTGGTAATAAATTGCCCCCTAGGTTATGGAAGAAGAATATGACGATGGAGACTAAGAAGAAACTAATGTCCTTTCTCAAAACATTGCAACAGCTGTGCCCATCTTGTGCGCCTCTCCAGAACTGACAGCATTGTTGCTGTTTTATTCCTTCAAGTGTTAAGTTCACCAACATCTGCTGATGGAAAGATGACAAAATATCTCTTGATCTCTGCCAAATTGGCCTGTGGATAGACACTTTTTAAAGTCATAAACTTTTTATCAGCCTATGCAGGATATTATTCTAAAATTTATTGTAGGCCGGGCGTGGTGGCTCACGCCTGTGATCTTAGTACTTTGAGAGGCTGAGGCAGGTGGATCACCTGAGGTCAGGAGTTCAAGACGAGTATGGTCAACATGGTGAAAACCCGTCTCTACTAAAGATACAAAAAATTAGCCAGTCATGGTGGCGGGCGCCTATAATCCCAGCTACTCGGGAGGCTGAGGCAGGAGAATCACTTGAACCAGGGAGGCAGAAATTGCAGTGAGCTGAGGTCATGCCATTGCACCCCAGCCTGGGCAACAAGAATGGAACTCCATCTCAAAAAATAAAATATAAATAAATAAATAATAAAAATAAAATTTATTGTAATAATTAAAAATTTGATAGAAAGCATTAGCCAAGACAATAAGCCAATCCATCAACCTCAAGAAAGCCAGGCAAAATCTTTCGAATTTCTTTAATACACTTGTCATGATGATATTGGGGAAGCCTGGCTTGAAATCCAAGTGGCCTTCTCCAATTCTTAGCCCTGTCACTTTTTACCAGGGTTTGAGCTTTGATAGTTTGCTTAACATAACTGGGTCTTGATTTCATGGAGAAAATGCTACATGTTAGATAGAGGTTTCATGGGAATAAATTGAAATACTGCATGCATGACACCCAAGGGGCATCCGACACAGAGAAAATACCTGAAGCTTAGTCCTCTCCCCAACCCCTCTCCTCCCTGTACTTTGCTTTATGGTATTGAGTCCTGAGTTTATCTCTGTGAAACACTGTTGCAAATAGACTTCTAATTCCAGATGGTTGCCTAAACTCAAGAAATCCTATTCTTTTGTTCCAAAAAGTTATAATGCTTTAGATATATCAAAAAAGAAAAATAGCCCATAGCCCAGCTACGATGAGTAGGAACACTCAATATTGTAACGATAAGCTCCTCAAATGCAATCACAACCAAAACCCCAACAAGCTTTCCATTGTGTATGTGGTTGTAGGTTTCTAAAACTTAATGGATGAGTAAAGTAAGGTTGGAAAAGACAGTCCTGAAAAAGAAATAGAAAGTAGAGAGAGTTACTACACCAGATACTATTAAGCTGCAGTAATGAAGACTACAGAGGTATTTGTTCAGGACTGATGAGCTGATGATGGAGCAGAAGGAAGCCCAAAACAGGCTCACACAAATAGATGCACTGCAGGCCCCTGGGGGAGGAAAGGACTGCTTCGTAGGTGGAGGTAGACAATCAGTGATCTGTATAGAAAAGTGAAATAGAATACCATCACTGCAGACGCAAAAATGAAAGGAAGGAAAAGGTATGGTAGATTATCCTGTGCTAAGAAATAGCTGGAAAATCTTACTGATGTGGCACAGCAAAATGTATTTCTTGTTCATGCCACTTTTGCTTTGGCTCCCAGAACTCTCCAGGGCCACCTTCTCGGGGCTGCAGCCCATCACTCCAGGAGGTGCTGATCTTGTGGCAGCTCCACGTCAACACATGCTTCCCCAGATGTGGCAGCCATGGGCGTGAGCACAGGAAATCACGCGCTGACTCGTAAACACTTCCTGGAACTGACACATGTACCCTTTTACTTGTTTCACTGGCCAGAGTAATTTACAAGAGCTTCCTGTCTGAAAATCAACTACTGCTACACACAGCAACAAGGACTGATCATAGAAACACTTTGTTAAGGGAGGAAAAATAAGAAATAGGTCCCTGGAGAAACATACTTTAATAGTATTTCAATATATTTTTAAAATTTAAAATAAATATTACTTAAACATACATATATGAAGGTTAGACTTATGTATTCAAAAAAGAGAACGGCGAAACCAAAATTCAGAGAGATGCTGACCTCTGTGGCTGGAGTGAGGGGAGATGCACACAGGTGGAGATGAGCTATTGGAATTGTTCCAGTCCTCAAGGAAGCTCTGCTCAATGAGGCGGAGGAAAGGCGACAATTCCAAGGGGAACAGCCAAAGCCGACAAAAGTAACATATTTTGCAGGAAATTGAGATAATTCAAAAGAGATCATTTTCAAAGCTCCAAAACATCATCACAAGTATTTGAGAAACTATATCCTTAAGACAAGGACAGGCTGCGGGGAAAGAATCAAGGACAAGAAAATATTCTTGGTAGTTAAAATTAGTATTTCTGAAGTTCAAATAAAATTATTGGTAAGGCTGAAAGACAAAGCCCTCTAGGACTATAAATAAAAAAGTAAAGATGATGGAAAATGGGAGAAAATATTTGGAAATCCCAATTCAAAATATTCAAAAACCATAAACACTGAAGTATAAATACAGGGACCGATAAATGTCCCAAGAATTAAAGGAGGGCACTCATCACACATTTTCCAGAGTATGTGTGTTGCCTGGAATGGTGTGGCCTCTAAGTCTACAGACTCAGCTGCTCATTTCAACAATATTTTGTTTTACTACCACTTGGATACATTATTTCTGTTCTATTTCTTCTGTTCTCATCTTCGTGAAACCTGATCAGTGCATTTATGGGTCTGTCTCTGATATTTTATAATATCTACCTGAATTTCTATTTATCTTTTAACTTTTTTTTTCAGTTGATACATATTAGCTGTACGTATTTATCTGTTAACTGATTTTATGGAGTAATGATATTTGTGATTTATTGAGCATCTTAGAGAACTGTGTGTTTACATTCATTCTCCTTTGGTTAATTTCACTTCTGATGTATGTTTTTATTTGATTTTGCGTTCATTGTTTTTTTTGTTGTTGTTGTTTGCAATATGTATGCACAGATCATTTCAGCTTGTTTCTCGTTGCTGAACAGGGACAGAGGAAGCACGGTGGTATGGAGAGAGGGCGAGAGGGGTGGGCTAGGAGCTCACTCTACCTGGTCTTTTTCATTCGTGTGTGGGAAGACAAACATCAGTATACAAACACCTGCCTGGGAGTCAGCAGTGCCATTTCCACCAGCTTACCCACCTTGGGGAGTGCATCGCTCCTCAATTTGCCAATATAGACACTGATAAGGCCTCAAGCTTGTTAGTTTCATGTTCTGTCCTTTTTCCCCTTCAATCATCTCCGTGGGCAGGGAGGTGAAGTCTGAATCCACAGCAGTGGCATTCTGCTATAGTTCTTCCTCTTTTTGTTCTTTTGTGTAAAATTGGGTCTTTAAAATATATTATCTTACTTTTCCAGGGCCCTCTAAGCCCCTAGATCATGTCCCTGTAAGTAAAGAACTTTTGGACATGTCTTAGGTTAGAGGCTCATACATTTGGGAAAATGTGGAACCTGCACAAGATTCAAGAAACAAAAGGCAATTAGAAATTTCAGGCAAAGCAAAATATTTTCAAGAACATTATGGTTCAAATATGAAGCAAACTAAGATGTTGTCTGCTGGGCAGTGGGGGTATAACTTGATTTTTCTCCTAGAAATATCTGCCTGTGTTGTCCCAGGCCACGATTCTGGGCTTGGAGAAGGAAATGTAAGTCAACCACAGTACTTGGCTATGGGGTAAACCACACTTACTTTGCCATATTTTATTGAGTATGTTTATTAGTTTTGAACTTTTAAATCACCTATGGTACAGAATATAAAATAGATGTTATCTTCCCTAACAAAGATCCAATTGATAGAGGTTTGGGAGTGGGTGCAGAAATAGAGATGAATCCAAAGATACTTTATAAATTGATAGAAACATAAATCTATATTTAATGATATTACTTGTATTTACACAGTAACTAATGGAAGGCCTGCCTACAATTGGGAAGAGGTGGAAAAGAGAGAATAAAATGATTTAGGTGAGCTAATTTTTTTAAATTTTAAATCAGAAATTTACCAGATGATGTCTGAAAATTATTTTAGAACGAACGAAAAAGCGTAATGGGCACATTAGTTAGTGCTGTGGTGGTAGCCACCAGAAGGCAGAACAAGTTGCAAGTCTGGGGGAAGGCACAAGGGTGCACAAGAGGCTGTGTTTTCATGGTGCACCTGGGTACCTTTTTATTTTTATTTATCGTATGTGCATATTATATTGATAATCATTATGAATTTTACTATTACTTATTGTATAAAAGTATTCCTATTTCCACTCTACTTCTCACATGTCTTAATAGGTAGGCTCTATGATCCCAAACATGATACAGTCATGTAACTATCCGGCTCCATCAGATCTAATTCTGTAGCAGTAATACCAAATTCCCTCCGTCTCTAATCCCTCTCTAGCTGAAAATAGGCACATTGACCCTTCACATCCTGGAAAGAAGGTGATAAGCATCACTGGTCTGAATCCCTATAGGGAAAACTAATAAAAATGAGAACAACAGTTTCTGCTTGTATGACGGCTTCCCAGAATGATTAATGAGAAGGAGAAGCTGCTCCACCTTTGTACTTCTAAAAGTCAAGAGCCATCCCCACAGCTGGGTTGACAGTGAGGGTAATTTTGCTTTACTTTTATGCAGGCCTAGTGCCTGCAGCTATGTGATGTTTTAAAAGTACCTCACATGATATCTGAAAAGATGCATGCATGCTACTTGTGTACCATAAATAATAAATTACAGCAGTATCACAAGTGCTGTGACACAGTGGTTATCTCTGCTGCAACTCAGCCAGAGTGGGGGCAGTTCTGCATGTAAGCATAGGAGTGTGATTAATCCCTTCCCCTCTCTTTTCATGGCTAATTTTTTATTCTATTTAATAATGCAGTACACTAGGTCCCATGATGGAGTGTCCTGTGTGTTTTATGCCTAGAGAGCCAAGAAGCACTTGTTGGGCACAGAAGCAGTCCTGGAATACTGCTAGGACACCTAAGATTCTAGTCCTGGGACAAGACTCATCTGGGGCCATATTTCTTCAATCACTGCATTGCAAATGTCTCTTGCGATAATAAAATACGGCAGCAGTTTATTGGTGCTTTATTGAGAGGTCTATGAGCCTCCCGCTTGAATCTGGGCAGACCATAAAGAGTCACTGCAAGGACAGGCAGAATGGAAGGGCATTGTGTGACTTCCATCAGCAGGTAAAGGGCATAAACTTTCTACCTGGTTCTCCTGGGATGGTCATGCCAAGGGAACCTGGATGCCCAATCAAAAATGTAACTCCTCTAAGGTCCCCATGCTGGAGAGGCTGAGGGGGACATCAGCTGAGCAAGTTCTTGGACCTCCAGCGCAAGTGTCTCAGCTGAGGGCAGCTCCAGCCAAGGCTGATTGCAACAAGCATGAGAAATCCAACCAAGAATTGCTTAGACCTTCCTAAACACCTGACCTGCAAAAATTATGAGCTGAATTAATGGTGTTTTAAGGCACTAAGTTTTGGTATGTAAAGATAGTCAGCAAATACCTCTCAGCCCCTACAAGAATTGCCTGGACCCCTCATTAGTATCATTTCTTACATAACCTTGACTTCCTTGAGGTCTATGGGGTGACTCAAAGAGGTAACCCAAATGAAAGAAACTTGTGCACCAAAATTATAAGATATCATCACAAATATTTCAGAGAAAAACACTACAAAAAAAGCAAGTTATCTGTATTATAATTATTGAATTTTTCAAATAGCAAATTTAAGAATACTCTTGGTTTGATGCCAAGTTAACAATCGGCCTAGTGGGGAAAGATGGAAGGTGCACCTGTCATTGGCACTGTGGACAAATAAGTCATCTTTCTTGCCCTTCTCTCCTTCCTCCCTCCCTCGTCCTCTTCCTCTTTCTTTTTCTGCTCCTGTTGCTCTTGGTCCCCTTGTCTCCTTCTTGCTCTCAGTCTTGCTTCTTCCTGGGAGTATCAGTCTTCAGGCCCCATTTTCCTGTGGCCTCAATATTTCTCCAGGGGACCAAGCAGGTGAGCTGGGCACCTTTGCTGGTGGAATTGGCCTGTGCTGAGACAGGTGAGAAGAAAGGAAGAAGAGGACACCTAGGCCCCCGCCTGGTAATATCATGAGCGGTTCCTCTCCTGAGGAGCAGCTTCTGTTGGGATCATTATCTAAGCAATTAGGGGTTTCCACTCAATTTGCAGGCTCGCTGATTGTTATGCATGTCTCAAAGCATCAGGCAGTAGAGGAACTAATCAGCACTTAATTGCTGAAAATAAAATCCAGAGAATAAGGAAGAAAACACAAAGAAAAACAATTCTCTCATTATTTCAACTTTTCTGCACCACTCCCAATTACACAGTAAATCACCTCTTTTCATAGCTGCTGTCATGACATCTGTGTGGGCCTTGGGGTCACTTAATTTCAAGCTGCCTTTAAAACCAGGTCCTCTGAGGAACAGATATTTGTTTTATGCTGATGCAATTAAAGAAGCTAATTTCAATTTTGAAGCACACAAGATGTATGCAAGTTAATAGCTTTTCGGCTTTTGGCCTCCAAGCAGAATGAAAAGCTTGTTGTTCAGCTTTAATAACCTGTGGGACAAATCTGAGTGTTCATATAAATTGGAAACCTTGCTCTTAACTATTTTTTTCATACAATTGCTTCCTGATACAAGGATCCTTATCTTAAATCCTGTAAATCTTCAAAAGTCTTTTGTTTCTTGTGCATCTGGCTGTGCCATTTATTTGGGGTGTCATAAAGGGAAAATGAAGTAGAAACAGGCACCTCCCAGGACAGCCTTGCAAGCTGGAACTCAGAGCACTTGGGGCACTGTGGCTGTGATGACCCACCTCAAGGTTGTTCTCCTCCATGCCTGCCCCATGTCCTTTGCCTTCCTTGTTCAGAGTACACATTCATGCAAGTGACAGATATCAGCTTTCCTCTACATCATGTTAGTTCAGTTGCTTGCAATTTGCAAGTGGCCCTGCTTCTCTAGTAGGGATCCTGCAATCTCCCTTCATGTATTTTTATGTGCAGCATAAAACTGCACAGGAGAAAAACTGGAATGAACTTATTGGGAGCAGGAAACACATTCATTAAGAACCCACGGTTTTTAGGGATATGCACCTTGCACAGTGGGGCACATGAAGCATAATAAATATTAACTGAAAGTTTGGTTTAGGCTCATTCCCCCAGAAGCAGACCTTGAGGAAAGGATCCAGAGCAGGAATTGGTTTGAGTGGCGATTTGGAGGGAGCAGTGGTGGGGAGCACTGTGGAATACCTCTCTTCCCCTCAAGGGAGAACTTGCCCAGCTGCAAGGAAGGCGGGTTTCTGCAGCCTTCACTGGCTGCCACCAGGATCTGCCCCTGCTTTCCTACTCAGACAAACTCTTTGCAGGCCATCCCTGCCACGGCCTGCACTTGGCTGGTGCTGCAGCCCAACTCAGTGCACCCAGCATTGGACGCCTCTAATGGGCAATCTCTGGGTTGGCGGAGCCTTCCTCAGTCAGCACCACAGTCCAAGGCTCCCCCTGCCCAACACTGGCCCTGCACTTGGTGTCAGGTTTTCTTCCCCAACTGTATTAGCGTTTTCTAGAGGGACAGAACTAATAGGATATATATCTATATATATTTTTATGTATATATACACACACACACACACACATATATATATACACATATACATACACACATATACACACACACATATACACACACACACACATATAAACTCCCCTTTATATATATAAAAAGGTCTGGTCACGCTTCTGGTCTTGTGGTCATAGCTGGTATTGATGACTACATTCTTCTACCCATTCTGTATTCCCTTTGCCTTTAGCAAGTGCCTCAGCAGGTTGTGTGTGTGTGTTTTTTTTTTCCTTGTGGAGTAAGCCAAACCTTCATTCCTAAAGAGTCTGGGCAATTTGTAGTCCTACCTGGATTGGGCTGTTGTAGTTTCCCACTGTGAGATCTGAGAAGAGCAATTACAGGGCTCTTCAGAGATGCAGGTGCTGCCCTCACAAATCTATTTTGCAAGGCATTGGTCAAAGGTATATCTTCTGGATGCTCCCAGTTGGAATAAGTAGATCTAAAGTGACTAATCCACTCCACCATCCCAATCTCCCAATGCCTTTGAATCCCTTCCTTTACATTAAACCAAGGGAGATCAGGCATTTCCAGCTCGCTCATAGTAGGCCATCTTTTCATCCATATTTCAGCTAACCAAACAAATAAACTATTAGAACCCTTTTTAACTCCCCAAGCTGCAATATTAAATGCAGAGTCCCTACTTCGTGGGCCCAAAGCAATAAATTCAGCTTGATCCAACTCTATGTTCCTTCCACCATTATCCTACACCCTTAATATCTATTTCCATGCCTGTTCTCCAGATTTCTGCTTATATAAATTAGAAAGCTCAAGCAGTTCTTTTCGAGTGTACTGCAACTCCTCATGGGTCACACTCTCAACCTTATGTCTAGGGGCCCGCTGGGACTTTAGTCTAGTTATAGGTCTCGAAGAAAACAGGGGTGTTGGGGGTGGCTCCTCAGGAGAATCAACATTATCTTGCCTGGCAACTGCCTTGAGGCCATCATCACTGTTGCCTCAGGCAGCACAGGGTTTAACTCCTCAGACAAAGGTGGAAAGGCTGATGGCAGCATGGGTCGGGGAGGGGATGTTGCCACTACTGGGGATAGGGAAGCTGTTTCTTCTGGCAAAAAAAGCTTCATCAGAGTTTACAAACTCAGTGTCCCCAGTGTCATCAGGGTCCTCCCACACATCCCCATTCCAAGTTGCACGGTCCCATTCTCTTCCTATCAATGCCCTCACTTTAACAGCAGACACCTGGGGAAGCTCTGCATGCACCTTTCGTTGCAGGTCAGCCACTCGCATTGTAAGAGCTTATGTCTGTTTTTCCACAATTTTAGTTATTTCTCTACAGGAGATAAGACCCTCACTCAGGGCAGTCTTACCAGATTTGAGCCTCAGTATCTGCTTCTGAAGCTGGGAGTTAGAATCCCGGAGTTCATCATTTTCTTTTGTCACTTTTTCCACCAAACTTAGGAGCAACCAACCAGCTTCATTATGTTCCTTGGTTCTCCACATATAGTCAAAGGTATTATGTATAGAGTCACCAAACTCCTTGCCTCTTGTGAGTGGTGAATTAGGAGTGTCAGATGCATTTATTTTGCGTAACTCTCTAAACAGTTCACACCAAGGACTATCAGTGTTCTCCATACTATTAGAAGTAGAGTCCTTATCATTTTTGGATCTAATTATATTAAGCAGCCAACTCCAGAAACCCAAAACCAATGAAAAAACTCCATTCTTAATATTCTGTTTCTCTAGAACCACTCCTGGTACCAAAGTCTGTAATAGTTATGGTTCTCTAGAGGGACAGAACTATATATATAAAGGGGAGTTTATTAAGTATTAACTCACACAATCACAAGGTCCCACAATAGGCCATCTATAAGCTGAGGAGCAAGGAGAGCCAGTCTGAGTCCCAAAACTGAAGAATTTGGAGTCTGATGTTTGAGGGCAGGAAGCATCCAGCATGGAAGAAAGATGTAAGCTGGGAGGCTAGGCCAGTCTAGTTTTTTCACGTTTTCCGGCCTGCTTTATGTTCTAGCCTCGCTGGCAGCTGATTGGATGGTGCTCACCCAGATTAAGGGTGGGTCTGTCTTTCCCAGCCCACTGACTCAAATGTTCATCTCCTTGGGCAACACCCTCACAGACACACCCAGGATCAATATTTTGCATCCTTCAATCCAATTACATTAACAGACAGTATTAACAATCACACCCAGTTTTCTTTTACAGGTATTATGCACCTCAAGGAATTACTTGCACTTCTAACTCCTTCCCAGCATCTGCTTCCAGGAAGACACAGATGACTTGTGAAAAAGTGAGACAGGGAAGGAGGGGAAGCAGTTAATGAGCAGGTCTCTGCTGTGAGCACCTCATATGCAACCTGGGGGCTTGTTGGTGTGGAACTTGTCTCAGACTTGCCTGAAAAAGTGAGGAAGAGGGCAATTTTGTTTTCCACCCAGCACCCCATCCTCCTTGGCTGAAGGCTGCTCCTGGGGAATTGGGCTCTGGCACTTCCTGTGAGTGGGGAGAGCAAGCCCTGGGGAGTCACCGGCACACACCCTAGTACTCCACATGAGGGTTTGAGAGCAGTCAGTGTCCAGGGAATGTGGGTGTGGCTGTGAGAGCAGCTGCCACAAGGCTTTGTTCTCTGGCTACTGATTCCCCATTCCGAGTCACAGTGAAAGAACAGCCAGGCTAAAGGATGCAGGGTTGTTGGATCTGCACCACCTCCAGGGGATGGCCCCTGTTGCCACATAAACCCCCAGGAGCTCCTCTCATTCTGCACTCACCTGGTCTCTCCAGTCCTTTAGTAGGACCTCCTCACCCCTACTAAACTTGGTAGTTTATGGAGCACTTGCCCCTGTGCTTGCGCATGCTCAGCTTGTAAAGGATGTCACGAAGGGCTCAGTATTATCCACTTCCTTTATTGAAGACATCTTCATTCTTCTGTCTTGGAAAGAGCAGGCTTACAAGAGACAGCCGTGTTACACAGAGCACCTCATAATCGAACTAAGGGGCAACCCAGAATGAATCAGTAGTGCTCAACGGAAAAGCCCTGAGCTGTGATCTACAGTGGGGATGAACTGTGCAGCTACTCACAAGACCTTTCTTCCTGATGGCAGCTCAGCCGCTCTGCCAAAGGATGGGAAGATGGTCATTAGGACTGTGGACTGCACAGACAGTCTCAGAGAAGGGAAAAGAGAACACAAGCTCACACACCCAAAGTTCTGATATTTGTAGACTCAACCGTGGAATCCACTGAAGCAAATATAACATTTGGGGGAAACTTTAAGAAGTTCAGATTGGTTTGCCACTTTAATCCTTCCCCAACTGGCCACAGCTGTCACCAGCCAGGACCAAGAGAGAACCAGCCAGGGGAGAATATTAGAAATTTCACTCTCATGCCTATCTTTTGGAGCAGGCTGCTCACCTGTCTCATCTACCTGAGTCCTTGAGAACCATCACCTTTGCCTAGGTTCTTGCTCCCTGTAGAGCCCTAAGCTGTTGTCCAGCTCTCTGGGGACTTGTGCTGGGAATGAGCCTCCTCTGGGTCCCTCACACCAAGAAGTCACTGGCCACAGACCCTGATCCATTTGCCTCGACTCACGATTGCTGTGTCTTCTGGCTGAGTCTGTGGACTCTCCCCTTGCATTTACCATGAGTTACACGCCCTTATATCAACTCTGTTGCCCTGAGTTTTCTCTAAGTAGCCCTGGTATTCTTTTCTGTTCCTTCAGAAGAATTTTTTTTTTCATGTTCAGCATTTCTTTCCCTTGTTTTTTGATTTCACTTATAAGCCAGGGTCTAAAACACCTCAAAGGGGTAAAAAACATGTAAATCCTCCTTGATTTGTGTTCCCTCTAAAGCACACACTGAGCTAAGAGCTTGGGTATAGATGCTAAGTGGGAAGTTGTTTCCAGGAAATACAGGTAGAGAAATAAGACAGTATCCAAAATGTGGCATTTCCATACAATGGAACAGTGTTCAGCCTTAAAAAGGAAGGAAATTCTGACACATATCACAACACGGATGAACTCTGAGGACATTATGCTAAATGAAATAAGCCAGTGATTCATTACTTACAATGATTCCACTTATGTAAGTGGCTAGAGTCATCAAATTCGTCACGACAAAGTAGAATGGTGGCTGCCAGGGGCTGGGAGGGGGAGAGTGGGGAGTGTTTAATGGGTACAGAGTTTCAGTTTTGAAGATGAAAAGTGTTCTGGAGATGGGGCTGGTGATGATTGTGCAACAATGTAAATGTACTTAATATCACTGAACTGTGTACTTTAAAAGGGTTAAGATGGTAAATTTTATGTTATGTATATTTTAATACAATAATAAAGGCATTGTTTAAATCAGAAGACATATTGTTTAAAAAAAAACCAGATGCTGATGGCAAGGTAGGGCTGTTCCAGAGGAGTGAAGGGAGGAGACCCATCAGAGCAGCCGTGCCTCCTGCATTTAATAAAGGCATCAAAATAAAATAGATGAGCAGAAAATGAGACTCATACTCTTGCACTCTCTTTATCATAATTGGGCCACTTTAGCAACCACACTGGGGAAGGGAATGGGTTTGATTTTAGTGGTTATGTTAATTTCTGTAAAATAAATCAGATTCTTGAATCAGCAAGCTTTACCACCCTTTGCATGAGTTTAGAATATAAATGAAAGCTATTTCTCTTCCAAGATGATCTGGGTTAAAAAGCAATAACACACAGGAAATATGCGAGCCATTTCTGGAGCTGACATTCTGCGATCTCCTACTCGACAGTTATTAGAGGGACAGCAGATCTGCGTTCCCACCATCATTGTCGTACTGAGTGGCTGAGCGATGAGTGAGGCTGGTGTTAATGATTGACCGGGACTCTGTGGGAGAAGCAGTGAGGATGATGGCCAGGAGGTGCCAGGATTTTGGAGTGTTACAGAAAAGTGCTACAGGGTCTTAGGTAAATACCAAGTTCTTGCAGTCCTGCCTGTCTCAGCAACTAGCATTCTTGTGTATTTAGAGGAATTTGCAAAACATAAAACATATCAAGCATAGGAGGTTCTCCAGCTTCAAGTACACCTCACCTCCATAGCTCCAATCAGCTGGGAACATAGAACAATCATGGATAGTGTTTTCCTTCTAAGCTAACAGCAGAGATCGTCAAGGAAGGTGGTTCAGATAGGAAGGGCACAGAATCAAACACCAGAAGGTGGGGTCTGTCCCTCAAGTGAGACTAAATTGCTTGTTTCATATTCCCAGCAGTTACAAAGCAGTGACTTTAATAAGGCTGTGTTTAAGGAATTTTTGTTTGATTGGGCTGCAAGGCAATGGGAAACGAAGGTGACATGCATTGCGTGATTTATTTTTGGATTCTCTGCATGCATGGGTTTTATGAAGACAGGATGAGAGAATATTTTAGCTGGAAGGAAATACAGTTTATCTAGTTTAAACTGCTTACAGTCTGAAAGTATTTCAAACTAAAAGGAGCAGTGCATAGATCCCTGCACAATTTCAGAAAGCAATAATACTCCTAGCACAGAGCAGCCCCGCTGTGTTGTCTGGAGAAGGTGATAGGTGGACTGCAATGGACAACCCACCTCTCGGACCTACACCTCCCCTGTGCTGTTTTCTGACACAGGCTGTGAGGCCTGTCCTTGGGAACCAGGACTCAACACCATCTTAGTAAACTCACCCCGCTGCGGGTCCTGGTGAACACTGCACAAGGAGACAATGATGCTTAAGTAAGGGCACAGAATCCACTCTTGTATAGGGAGTGGGCATGAGGACAAGGGGGCCAGCTGCTGCTGTTGTCACTAGAGCAGAGTTAGGAACTGTTCGATGTAACTTATTTACTACATTAATCTCTGCAAAGACCCATGACATGCCAAGGATGTTTCCTCTTATACAGATGAGTTTATTAGAAGTTCCTATGAGTAGGTAGAGTGGCAAATGAGCCTTAAGGTTTATTAATAAAAGTTAGTTCTTTTAGAGATAAATAATGACCTGATATAGTTATTTTTTAAAAGAAGGAATTTAAGATATCTACCTTATAATACAAAGCCACAGACATCACTTCACATTTTTCTTTGAGGAACTTGCTGTAATAGGCAACCATATACAAAAATGAGAATGCGAAGGAAGGCATATCATTAAAACAACAAAAAAGAAAATATAAATCAATAGCTTTTCTTTTCATACATGATTCATGTGAACATGGAGTATTAAATGTAGTTTTGAAGTATTGGAAGGACACGAGAAGTAGAGAAAGGGAATCAGGACAGGTTAGGTTAGCACCAGGTATATGAAAGGAAGCAATGGGTTTGGTTTACAATAACAAGCGCTGCAAGAGAGCTGAGGAGGCTGGGAGCCATTGCAAGGGTGTCCCAGGCTGCATAGGGTGGGTCTGGGTCTGAGTCTGGGCTGGAAAAGGGAAAGGGAGACAAGGTCTCGTTTTGTGGGTTCTGAATCTGGCCAGAGAACTGCAGGGAGCAGTGCCACCGATGGGCAGGGCAGCGGGGATGCTGCCTTTCATGGTCAGAAATAGGGGAGGAGAAAATCCACAAGACACTGGAACAGAGAACCCAGGAGATGGCAGTGAGGGTGCATGCACATAGAGATGCTCCAGTCAAGATGCCAAAAAATAAAGTCAAGGATAAAACGAGACTGGTTTCCCAAACCCTGACACACATGTGTAAAGTGAAATGTAAGATGTGAGCAAAGTACTCATATAGCACAGAAGGGAACGCACTGCTCACACAGCGAGTAATCAACACTGTGCTTCCCTTTGCTTCTGGAAGAATCCCAAAAAAGGGTTTGGACAAAGTTATGAAAGACAGAGCAGTAAGTGGAGCTGAAATGCCCCCAGTCATTAAGCCTGAGATTGAGGAAAACCCTAGTCCCTTCCCCACTCTGATCCTAGGGCCGCTGGCAGCTCACTTAGCTCCCAAAATGTCCCAGGTTCACTAGAAGTTTGGCCTGAAAGTGCCTTCGTACCTTTATGAAGATCAAGGTCAAGTTGACTATGGAGACCCCCCTGGCTGCTTCCCTCCGCTAAAGAAAACCAGAACTGGACAATAGTTAAAGCTGTAAAAATAGATTTGGTTCAGGAATGATTGCAGTAGGATAAAAGAAGCCTCAAAGTAGAACATGGGTCACTCCTACAGCATGGACAGTGGGGACTTTCACCAAAGAGCAGGGTGGGGTCAGCGGATGCTAAATCAATAAGAGGAAGCATCCGGCCTGTAGGTGGGGGAATCTGGCTAACCCGACCTAGTAGGATTCTTGCTGAAAGCAGACAGGGTTCAGACATCTCCTGGGGGATGGTGGAGGTGGGAAGCTTGATCAGCTGTCAGGAGTCAGGGATTCCCACTAAACTACTCCAACGCAGACACCTGCACACACACATACACACACACCAGATCACAGGCACACATACATCATCTATCACACACATCCCACACACACATGCACACTGCATGCACATCACACTCCCACACACATGACACTGTGCATTTCAGCCCCCACGCTGCTCCCTGTACCCCACTCTTCCCTCAGATGTCTTGAATCCTCAGCTAACAGATAACCTGCCATCATTTAAGCCAAATGAGCTGTAAGTGTCCACCCATGTTTAAAACAGTACTAATGTTTTGTTTCTTTGCTATTTCTAGGTTAAAAATAAGAGTTATAAAATGTTCTTTTGTAACCTTGACGGATTTCCTTGCAAACCCACAGGACAACTAATATGAACAAAATATCACCAAATGAAATAGAAATTAAAATTCTTACCTTAAAATAAAAAGTATTTAGATTAATAAGGCCTCTTTCCAAAATGTATACTTTTAGATACAGACATGTAGGACAAGAAGGGCAAGTTTCATTTCATCCAGCCGATGTGTGTGGCTCATCTGGGCAGCAAACAGGCCCTGATGGAGTGAGTGTGACAGAAGGCAAGAAGAACAGCCTACGAGAAACTCCGAAAACCAATCTTGCTACCTTTGTGGCTTGGTCCAGGGCTTACCTGAAAGGGTCAGAAATTCAACAGGATCAAATCATCATTGACAAAATCAAGCTACTAGTTCTAAAGGGATAAAATTTCAGGTGTGTCCTTGAGAGAGCTTAAGTTTTCATTTTCTGGACAAATCAAGACCTAATGCCAGGGAAATTGATGCTGTGCTAAAACGTTACTCAGCCGCAGCTCTCGAGTAACATGGTAGGAAAGGATGCAGAGAAGTGTGATTTGCACAAGAAATGAAAGGTTCAGGGTGAAAGTCCATTGGGTCACAGTAGACACAGCTATGCAAAAACTCAAATCTACTTCCTACATAATTTTCTTGTCAAGATTCAAGAAAAATGCAGTAATTTGAACTAATGTGTTGGCTTAGAAAACATATATTAGGAAACATGGGGAATAATGAACAAACACAGGACAGTAACAATGAACAGAACAAAGCGATCTTGTTCTGGAGCCGATGGTGTGTGTTGTCCACTCCTTTCCTGGGGCAGAGGCAGGAGCTAGGAGGCTCCTTTCCTGAGGTCCTCCCCTCCCTGGAGCCTTTGGTCTCCCCTCGATGTCACAGGATGTGAAGCAGGAAGGCAGTGGGGTTGAGTGATAGGTTTGCTCGGAGGACTATTTATGTTTTCGAGTGTCTTTACAGAGAGAAGAGGGAGTCCATTCAGAGGGGGTCACACTGAAGGACAATCACAAAAAGATTTGAGTCAAGGTGCAGGACTGAGTGGGCCACGGGTACAGGCGTGTTATGAAGAGGAGGGAAGGCGGATGCACTCATACGCAAAGGAAATCAAATCACTGGCTAAGTAGGGAAGCCTGGGCAAGGGGGGATGAGGGGATGAGGAGTGTGTGGCAAGGTTGCCCTGCCAGGGGAAGGGTCTGCAAGGCCTACCAGAGACAGGTCCATAGGGGAAGGCCATGGGCTGGACCTGGAGGCTGACAGGCTGCCCTGTACCCGCCACACCATTCCTGTATCCTGGGGCATTCATTACTGGTTTTTAGGAGTTCAAAGCAGGTGTAGTCACCATCTCCAAAACTTGTGACCTGGCAGAGCCTGAATCCCGCTGGTGTCACCCTGGACCTGCCATCTTAGTTGAGACCACATCCACCCCCAAGAACCTGCTGTTACAAACATCGTTCCTCTGCAAGGAGGCAGGGGGAGACACTGGCTTCCATCCTCCCTCCCGCTTCCTGCTCAACTGGCAGGGGGAGTCTTCTTAGAAGCCCACCTTGATGAGATCTTTCTTTCCCCAAATTCTCAAATGCTCCTGATGCTTTCCGAGTTGGACCTGAGCTCTGTGACTGGTGTCCACAGGCTGCTGTGATACTGTTAGGGTCCATGTGCTGCCATATTCTCCACCTCACTCCACTCTCCAAAAACTCCAGCCTGCGTGGGTTCCCCTTATCCCTATCTCTGTAGCTTTTTCCCTGCCTTCTTGATCCCACCAATCAAAATGCCAGAGATTAGCCTCCCTGAATACCTCCAGCCAAAAATCACCCTAACTGCTTAGCACCCAAAATAACTGCCTGTACCACTCTCATGGGGTGTCCTACCTTGTCTCTCAGTGCATGGATAGTATGTGCACATCATTTTTCCAGGTCATCCTCCAGAAAAGGCAGACACATATAAATTGGTTTGCACGTAAAGTCAACCTTTCCCCCGAGAGAAACATTCCCAGCTCTTCCAGACTTCTGTACCCACTGGAGGCACCAAAGCCCTAATGGGCATGATGCCCCCCTCCAGGCTGGTGCATCGCAGGGCAGGCCTTTGATGTGACTGCTGCCCCAGTGGGTTGGGGAGGCTCTGGCCAGATGAGAGACTCACCCTTGTGCTGTGCCTGTCGTGATGATGGCTGCAGAGGAGTTTGCTCCCAGGGCAGGCCTCCTCACCTGAGTCACAATGCAGTGAGCTTCCTGTTGACACAGACATACAAGCCGCCATTCCAAATCAAGGGGCTCACAGAGGTGGGCTCATCTGGGCTGACTGGGCTGAAGGTCTTTCCAAGTCCCTTGGAGCTTGAATAAAGTCTGCATTTAACTTGCTGTGAAGTTTGTTCCACTCCATCAATTACATAGTATGGGAGTTAGTGGAGCTCAGCATGCAGTATTGAGAGGGTCAGTGTGGGTGACAGAAAGTCAGCTGGCATGCAGCATTCGAATTCTCCCACTCACAGAGCATGTTTATGAGGCGTGCTCACCACCATCCCAGCCCTGGGCAGCACTGCGTCTCGCCTCCACTGACAAAACACAGTGATGACAGAGATGCACGCAGGAGAAAGTGGCTGGTAGGTGCATACTGAGTGACTGAGGCCATGAGTGTCCTTCAAAGGCTTGGTCTGAATGACTTGGAAATAGCAGCTTTCTAACCACCTTGCATGCCACCACTCATCCAGCCGTCTTCCCCAAGCATTGGGCTACATGGGGATCCTTGAGAGAACAAAGCTGAGTCTGAAATTGGTTTTGCTTCTGTGTTTCTTGCATACCCTTTAAAGTATTAGATACATGACAGTAATTGGAGCCAAACCAGCAACTGCTTCGAGAGATCCCTGGGTTGCAGTTAAGTGTCAGCAGTCCCAGCCAACTGCAACGCTCCCATTCCTAAGCCAAGGGATCCATGCAGGTGTGCATTGCTCTGTCAATCCTATGCTGCTGTGAACCTCAACAAACATGGGCCCTAAGAACCAGGAATCCCAGCAACTCTGTTGTGAAATTTGCAGTACAGCACCACAGTTCTGCAATAATTGTATTTCCTGTTGAGTTACTTCCTCAGACAATCAACATAGCATGGCAAATAAAAGTGGCCCCCAAAGGAATATCAGAACCAACAAGTTGGAATTGAAATGGAAAGAATACCCTTTGGTCAATCCCAGAGTTGTCTCATTTGTCTGTCTGTGAAAGAATAGAATGATTTATGTTTGAATAAAAGGTGTCATGGCCTTGGGGGAAGGAACATACCCATTCCTGCCAGACCTACTCTGAAAACCCCCTGCTCTAAAAATCAGTGATTTGACAAGCATCACCTTGCATCTCTGTTGACATCTATTAACACACTTCTCCAACTGCTACAGAATATTTACTATTACACACAATCAGAGAATCAGGGCCACTTGATCCCTGGGATTCTGCTAGACTTGCAATTTGAAAGCAAATGAGATCTTCGGCAAAATGACAGGCAAAAATTCTGTGCCACAATGAGCAGATGACCTTCAATGACATTGCCACAGTGGATAATGCATTTCTCTTAGTCAAAGGAAGGGCCCACTTCACCTGGCTGTAAGGACATTGTCTTAGCCTATTCAACTTGCTGAAACAAAATATCTTTGACTTGATAATTTAGAAAAAATAGAGACGTCTTGCCCACAGTTCTGAAGGCTGGGAAGTCCAAGATCCAGGCGCCGGCATATTCAGTGTCTGCTGAGGGCTGCTCTCTGCTTCAGAGATGGTGCCTTCTTACTGCTTCCTCACATGGCAAAGGGGTGAGGGAGCTCTCTGGGGCCTCTTTTATTAGGGCACTAATCCCATTCTCGAGGGCTCCACTCTCATGTTGGAGTCAACTTCCAAAGGCCCTGCCTCCTAATATCATCAACTTGGGGAGTGAGGATTTCAAAACATGAATTTTGAGGGAACACAAATATTCAGTCTATAGCAGACATCTATTTTTAAAAGAAATGTTGGCACAAGACAATGAGAAAGAGAGGGCTTTGTTGGTAAGAGGCCATGCTGACCTGGACTGTACAATAAGATAGCCACCAGCCATGTGTAACTATGTAAATTTAAATTAATACAAATGAAGCCAATTAAAAATTCAGCTCCTCAGTGGCACAAGCCACACTTCAAGGGTCTAACCCCACTCAGAATATAGAGATCACTGAGAGGAAGCAAATGTACACAGCAGACAGGTTGAGAATTCACTGAAATTCAGAATGGTTGCAGCTCTAGAATTAGGCTTTCGGAGGTGCCTCTTGGCTTCACACCCACCCACCATTGGCTTTGGGCACATCAGCCACGCCGTGCTTCACTCTGTTCATCAGCAAAGTGAAAGATCTAAAAATAAGGCCCTATGGCACAGAGCTATGGTGGGATTGAATGGGAATCAGTATGCAAGATTGTTGGCACCCAATAAGTGCCAGCTGTTTTTATATTTAATTTAATCATTCAATTAACATCCATTATTAACTGCCTACTGTGTAGGCAGTTAAAACATGGCTCTAGAGGCTGGGATGTGGAAGAGAATAAAGTACTCCCTCCTACCCACTGCCTTCACCAAGCTTACATTCTAGCAGAGAGACTGGCAACGAACAAGATCAATAACCAGTGTGATGTCAGTGGTGACAGCTGCTATGCAGGAAGGGAAAGCTGGGTGAAGAGTGGATGGCCTGGGAGCAGCACTGCCACGTGGAATAGGAAACCAGAGATGGCCTCATAGGGGAAGAGACTTTCAGACAGAGGAAACAGTACGTGCAGAGGCCACAGGCCAGAGCCTGGCACATCAGAGTGAGTGCAGGAGGTGACTGGAGAAAAGAAGAGGGGGCAGAGGTGAAAGGTGAAGCCCTGGAGGCCACTGTTGTGGTTTATGTTTCACTTCGACCTGGAGGCCAGTGGAGGATTTGAGCCCTGGGTCCTGTGCTTTGCCTTTTGCGTTCATAATAATAGCAGTGTTGTAGAGCCCTCAATATGAGCCAGACCTAAGTTCAAACTCTTTACCTACATCAACAACTCTGAGGGGCAAAAACTAATATCAGGCCCATTTTCCGTCCACAAGAGTCTAAATGACATTCTCATAGAAGCACAGTTATCAGAAGCGGAAGCAAAAGTTGAATTTCTAAGTCAAGCTCTAGACCATGCGGGGGTCCACATCCCTGCACACTACCAGGGCCCTGTGTGGCTGCAGCAGGGATGCCAGGAACAGGAAAACTGGCTGCTGCATCAAGCCTGCCTGGAGGCAGCAGGGCTGGGACCAGGGTGCTGAGAGGCCGTGCTGGGCACAGGGAGATTCTGGGCATCTTTTATAAACAAAGCCAAGAAGGCAATCAAGGATAACACCAAATGTCTTAGCCTGAACAACTGGAAGGAGAGCATTACCACTGGCAGGATGCAGAAGGCCAGGGAATGAGGTCAGTTTGGTAGTAGGATGGGAGGGTGGACAGGAGCTCTATCTTGGGCAGATCACCCTGGAAATGTCCTACTAGACATCCAAATGAAAATGCTGAGTACGTAGTTAGATTTGCTGGTCCTCCAGGGTTGAGGGAAAAGTCAAAACACAAGGTAAACTGGAATCATCACCATATAGATTTATTCGAAGACATTAGATGGGGCGAGGTCATCAAGGAAGTAAGCACATATAAAACGGCAAAGAGGTCCAAGGAGTGAGCCCAGGGCAGTGAGGTTTGGACGTTGGGAGACAAGAAGGAACTAGGAGAACAGTGTGCAAGGAACAGAAAGGTAGAAGGATAAGCAGCAGGATCTGGCTGCAGCCACACGTCCATGGTGCTTCAAGGAATCAGCTGTGCAAGCCGCAGATGAATTCAGGGAGGCCAAGACTGAGAACAGACCCCCGGGCTTAGATCATGAAGGTGACCTTGACAAGAGCAGTGTCTGCAGGGCTGTGGGGACTCAAGTCTGACCAGATAAGAGTCCAGAGAAAACCAGCAAAGGATGAATTCACATTCCCCTGTTATGAGCTGAGCCCTGGAGTCTGTCTGCACATCCAGGTCCTGACTGCACAGCATATTAGCTCATGACTTTGAATTCACATTCCCCTGTTATGAGCTGAGCCCTGGGGTCTGGCTGCACATCCAGGTCCTGACTCCACAGCATATTAGCTCTTGACTTTGGCAAGGTGTTTTCACATCATCTATGCTAAATTTCTTCATTTGTAAAGTGGAGATAATAATGAAAAAATTGTTGTAAGCATCAAATGAGTTGATAAATGTCAGTTGCTTAGAACAATGTCTGACTCACAGTAACTGCTCCTTAATGTTAATCATGGTTTGTGATTGTTAAGATTATTATTATTCATAGCACATATCATAATATGCGATGTATTTTCCTAGGATTGTTTAATGCCTGTTGAGGACAGAAATCAGATCTGTTTTGTCCATAATGCCAATCAAAGCTGAGTTCTCCGAAGTGGACAGAGAAGTGAGTGACTCTCAGAAAGTCTCTCTGATCTATTTTTGGCTGAGTGTGCTGTAATTCACAGTATGTCCGGACACGGGATATTTTTCAGCTTCAGATATCTTCATGGAAGGCGCTAAGTCTCAGGCAGAGCAATGCTTAGCTTCTTGTGTCCTCAGCACATGCATAGAAGTGGGTGTCAGAGCAACGTGCGCCCCCGTGCATGTCAGCAGAGACATTGCCAGTGCTCCAGGAGCACTTGTTCCCAATTTAATTAAAAACAAAAAACTCCCAATAGCAATTTGTCACTGTGCTTTAGGAGGCATGGAAGCTGTGCTCCAAACTACTGTGACCTGGTTGTTTTGCAGCAAACCTGGTCTGGCTCATTAACAACTGGAGGCATAGTCTGTGCTTCATGCTTCCGTTCCTCAGTTACTCCTGTGAGCCTGGGGTTGGGTGATATAACAAACATGAAGGGAGACCAGTGGGAGGAAAAATCAGGGCAGGGGCTGTCCCTGTTCTCCAGGCTGGAGCTGGCACTGGCAGCTGCTATTGCAAACTCAACCTTACTAATGCCAATTGGAAATATGCACTCAATCCACTGGGAAAAGCAAGTCATGAAGAAATCTCATCCCCACAGCCAGCACACCCCAGGCTGATTGGCGAAGCTGCTAATTGCTTAACACAAGCAATTAGCAAGGTAGATGACACCGGAGAAATGCAAAGCAGTTGCAGTGAGCATTTTAAATATCGCCTTAACTCACTGGAGTAGCTGAGAGGTCCGGATGAGACCAGTAGCATATCGATCACTTAGGAGCTGCAAAGACACTAGCTCTGCGTTAATCAAAGAATCTGTCTCCGCTGAGGGGAAAAAGCCAGGAAAACACCTGAAAATGTGGCTTTCGGCTCCTGTGCCCTAGTTTCTTCACCAGAAACCAAATTCCAGACTCCATTCAATTCCTCATCAGTGATCAATATAGGTAACAAAATGCTGGGCTGTGTGTGGATCTATAAGCAGATGCTGGAGGCACTGGTACAGACACAGCTGAGCCTGAGGGATCAGCAGCTCCCTGGTACCTCCCTGCCTTCATCAAGGAGAAATGTTTAATCACAACAGAGCAAGATATACATTCTTCCTGCTGAGGGTGGAAGGAACCTGAGGGCTGTAGTTTAAGGCTTGAAGAAGTGGCAGAGACGCAGATCACATCTCTGCTCTTGCTGGTCCCTCTCGCTGAGGAAAACCCAACCCTTCCAGTGCCCCAATTGCCATGCTTGCTGGCCCCCCTCACGAGGTGCATTCAGTGCAGTCCTGACTTCCGACCAGGATCAGGAAGGAATTCACCCACCTCCTCAGTGATTGCGCTCTTCAAGGTGAACAGCCCAGATCCTTCTAGGCTGCCCGACCTCCAGCCCCCAGGCTGGGAAGGAAGTCATCACTTCCCAGGAGAGTTTTGGAAGTCATCACTTCCCAGGAGAGTTTTGGCAGATTGGATTTTCCAAAGATGGCGCCATCAATATCTCTCATCCCCCACAATCTCCTTACACAGTGACAGGTCATCTGTGACACCAAGATATCAGGGCTGTGTCCCCCCCTCTGAATCAGAGTAGACCTCTTTGACTGCCTCAACACAGAGTAGAGCAAAGTGAAGCCCTGTGACTCCTGAGACCAGATCATGGAAATTCTAGGTTCTTCCTCTTTGTTCTCCTGGGACGTTACTCCTAGAACCAGACACCGTGCTGTAAGAAAGCCCAGGCAGACCTTGGAGAAGGCCCCGTGTGGAGAGAAACCAAAACCTGGGGCCCACCGCCCTTGCTGCCCTCCCCGACAACGACTGGAACCACACTTCAGCCCCAGAGTAAGACATCTCCGAAGCAGGTCCTCTACCCTCCAGGGGTCTGCCCCAGAGGGTGCCCCAGAGAGCAAGGCAAGCTCTCTCCACCAAGCCCTGCAATCTTCAAATTCATGAGCAGAATAAATAACCACAGTTGTGTCAAAAGACAAAATCACAACAAATTTAAAGATCTTAATTGGCTTTTATGTGTGATTCGTGAATCAGGGCAGCCTCCATCCTACAAAATAAAATGAAAGCTTGAAAGCTTCCACCAACCAGTAGCAGAACAGTGAGTTTTCTAAGGGGAAAACAAGGAAACAAAACCATAGAAAAATAACTGATCAATTAATAGCATTAGGTTACTTCTTTGTGAGAGTTAACGCAGGACAGACTTCCTTATTGTGCCAGCTAAAGCTGGCCTCTTTGGTTATATTTCTCTCTCCTGATTTCTCAGAAGGTCAAGTAGCTTAGTTTTGGTTTGGTGACATGGAACTTTAGCATGAGTGACTTCATTTTGCTTTGGTCTGCTGGGGCTGGTAAAGGGGTCTACTTCCAGGGGAGAGTATTTTTAAGGCTACGTAGCATCAGGGCCACAGGAGGCTCTTGTTGACAGAAATGACTGCAATATAACCAGGTCTGCTTGAGCCCTAAGTAGGCACAGCTGATGGATGTCCTCTACCTTTCTTATGTGTCAGCCTCTTAGAACATCCCTGTGGGGTTAGATGTTTCTGTAAGCCACCCAAAGGATAACTGACAAGCTTATCTGTCCCGAGGGGAGGGATGAATAGACGGTAGTATGACATTGTGATTTATGATAAGAAATATATATTTGGTTTTTGTCCTGCTCCCTGGCACACAGCTCCTAAAAAGCTTGGAGTCTCCAAAGTGACAAGTGTCTGTTTCTATGCGAATGTGGTGATTGACCCCGGACCGCCTCAGGAGGGGGCCTGGTTGTCAAGGGGACGGATGGCATACTTAGAGGGCCAAAGGGCCTGCTCAGGCGAGGCGGTATTCCTCGGGATTCTTTTCTGCAGTGGATAAGGAGATAACAGGGAGGAGAAGGAAAGCAACTGTTCTCCTTGGGGGTCGGTCTTTATGCAGATAAGGGAAAACTCTCTTGGCCTCTGTTGATCTCTAAGGATTTTCAATTCAAAATACTCACTATACTAGGGAGCCATATTTTTGGGTGAAGTTCCCTGGGTTCCTTCAGTGCTATAGGTGAGGAAATGTAATTTCTTTTCTTTCCCTTATAGATTCTTAGTTTAGACTTGCTTGAAAACAAAAGTCAGATTAACAAGAGAAAACCCAGCAGGAGTTTATTAACACTTGCTGTACCCATCACCTGGGAAAGGCTTCAGTTCAAAATTATTTCTCTCTCAAGGCAGTGGCTTAGGGGCCAATACTTAAAAAGTATTGGCCGGGTGCAGTGGCTCACGCCTGTAATCCCAGCATTTTGGGAGGCCGAGGCGGACAGATCACTTGAGGTCAGGAGTTCAAGACCAGCCTAGCCAACATAGTGAAACCCTGTCTCTACTAAAAACAGAAAAATTAGCCAGGCGTGGTGGCAGGCATCTGTAATCCCAGCTACTCAGGAGGCTGAGGCAGGAGAACCGCTTGAACCTGGGAGGCAGAGGTTGCAGTGAGCCGGGATTGTGCCACTACACTCCAGCCTTGGCAACAGAGACTCCACTTAAAAAAAAATTATTTTAACAAAGAGCCATAAATCCTATTTAGTGACAAGACAAAGAAAAGAGCATCTTCAGGCTTAAAAAAAGTGAGATACATGGGAAAGTAATTGTGGGAAGAGTAAAGCCAGCTCCTAGATTCTCTGGCGTGGCTGTCTCTGAGCTTATAAGCAAGTGTTGGAAAGGGGCCTGTCTTTAGGTGGGAATGACAGAGAGGAAGGAAGAATACCTTGGTTTTGTAAATTGCTGTCCTGCTACCTGGCAAGCAGAGGCAGGGCGGAGTCTCCCTGCATCTGAATCTTCTTAAGCTCCATAATCCTCAGTAGGTAGGGGAGAATATTTTGGTTTCTTTCAGTGCATTAAGCTAATATATGTCACCTGAAATCTGCACCCTGACAGAGCAAAAGGCTTGGCATCCCACGGGACAGTAGCATATCCTCTTAGGGGCCACACTTTTGTAATATGAGTATGTCCAAAGCGAAGTTACAGACTGTTTTTCTCACACTTGCTTCCACTGTGAGACCCACCGGGATAATCATTCTGGCCTCTCATCACATACACTTAATTTTCGAGTGTGACTTTTCTTCTACTGGTTCTTTTTTGTTTACCATTTTGAAGGTCTGTTATTCACATATTGGGTATCCTGGATTTGTTCTTCAGGTCTCTTTATATTGCCTTGTGGCTTTTGTGTCTCTGTGTGTGTGCATGTGTGTGCGTGTGTGTGCACGTGTGAGTGTGCGTGGGTGTGCGTCTGTGTGCATACGTGTGCGTGTATGTGTGTGTGCGTGTGTGCATATGTGTTTGCACATGCGTGTGTGGGTGTGTGTACGTGTGCATGTGTATGTATGTGTGAGTGTGCTTGTGTGCATGTGTATGCATGTGTGTGTGCATGTGTGTACATGTGTGTGTGCGTGTGTGCATGTGTGTGAATGTGTGTGTGCGTGGATGTGTGTCAGTGTGCATGTGTGTGTGCATGTGTGTGTGAGTGTGCGTGTGTGCATGTGTGTGAGTGTGCATGTGTGTGCGTGTGTTCACAGGATTGCAGAATGTCTACCTGGTCCCCCACATCTGTATATCAGTTATCCGCTGTGACCATCTCTCACTTCATCTGTTAAACATTTTCATTTAATTGAAAAATCCATTCTTCTGTCTATAGATCCTGAGAGTATTTTGTGTTCTAGCTACGTCTCCTAGGGCTTGTCATTTGTGGTTTTTGTTAAGTTCTCATGTAGCTCTCTCACCAGTTCAGGGGGAGCTGAGTGTTACATTACTTGCTTTGGACTTCCTTGCTCTGCACGTACTCAAGGGCTCCGGAGGAGCTGAAACTTTTCTTTGCCTGCTCCTCCTGGTGTGTCCTCTCCTCATCCAGACCCATCAGGCTTTTAGGGCGTCTGGGGCAGGATGACTTCAACAGCAAGGGAAGATGTATGACTCCTGCTCCCTGAGGATGTGCAGGGAGTGGGCTGGCAAATCATCACCTTCATTTTGGAACATGGAAAGGACGTTTTTCTGCTTCAAAATGCCAAACACAGTCTTCACCCAACCAGAGAAGCTGCACACAATCCAACCCAACATCAATTTTCTCTTTCTCCAGGGTCATCAAGACCAGAAAGCTCGAACTGCACCTGCACACTGCAGCTCTTTCCTGGAGAGACTCATAGACTTCGGCTGGTCAAGCCACACTGGGGTATAAATAACCTTCACAGCCCCCAGAATAGCTGTGTCTTTCAATTACATGCATGACTCCCCAAGAACCATGCCCTCAGGTGTTCATACCCTCAGGTGGTTCGCCCTGCTCAAGTCTGGGATGATCTTGTAAAAGCTTTACCCAATTAAATACGGAGGAAGTGATGCTGTACCCGTTCTAGGCTTAAGCTTAAAAAAGAGCCAGCAGCTTCCGCTTTTCTGCTTTGGGAAACCCCAAGGCTCAGGTACCATGATGGACAGACCCCTTGGAGAGAGCAAGACTGTGCAACTAGTGGAGAGAAAGACAGAGGCTGTTGCAGCATCCCAGCTGAGCCCAGCCCAGATGACCTGTCAGCTTGACCAGTGTGAGATCAGGAGAACTGCCCAGCTGACCCAGCCCAGACTGCAGAATCATAAGCAAATCAAATGGCCATTGCTTGAAGTCACTAAGTGGGTGTGCTTTGCTACACAGCAATATATAAGCCTTAAGTTCTCCCGCAGCCCCACAGGCTCTCCTGTCTGTCAAGGACAAAGCCTCACACTTACTCTCTCTCTCCAAGAAATCCCATAGGACATGGAAGTCAAGAATCAGCTTCAAATCAGTCTTTCCAGAAGTTTTCATCATTTACTAGGATACAGATTATGGAATTTATTCTCTGTTAATATCATCATTTCTCACATTGGGTTATTTTTTGGTTGTTATTTTTATCTTTCCTTGAGATTTGCCAACAGCTTCACCACAGAACTAGATTATGAAAATCTAATGAATTAATTTATTATTCATTATTATTTTCTTTTTTTGCTTCCCAAGAATTACTTTTTTATTTTAAACTTATTTTGTTATATAACTTGTTCATTATTTATTTTGTCTGTAAATTTGTACTTTTTGCATGTTTAATTCAATTTTAAGATATATAGTATTCTAATAACTTAAAATTGAAATTTCATTTCTCCTTTGATCCAATAATTTTATACAAGTATTTTTAGATATCTGGTTAATTTTTGCAGAATTTTTCATATTCATTTCTTGTTTTACTGTAGCTTTATGGGAGTATGACAAGTGTTTCCCATTTAAAAATTTGTAGAAATTCTGATGATTTTTGTAAATGTTTTATAAACATTTTTAAAAGTGTGTTTCCAACACAAAAAGGTAATAATTACTTCAATCCGACTTTAATTCTCTACGACGTTTTTTGTCACATGTTTGCTGGGCTTATCAAGGGCTCAGAGAGCTACATTCCTAAATCCTGTAAAGATCATCTCTCAATTTCTCATTTTATTTGGATAATTTTTGCTTTATATATTTTCATGCAATATTAATCAGTATATTAATGTTTATGAATGTTTATGTCCCTTATAATATTTTCTCAGTCAACCTATTTGTTTTCCTCCTTGAATTTTACTTCTTTGAAAACCATGTTGCCATCTATGTTGTCGTTTTGTTTCTTGATATACAAGCTAAATTTTAAATGTTTTATTCATTAAACTGTTCTAGAATGTAAGCACATACGTGGATACTGAGTTTTAATGCAGCTAGAAAGTATACATCTTTTTTCACAGAGCCCAGCCTACTTACCTTTATTGTAATCCCTGCCATATTTGTTATTTTATTATATTGGAATAAATATTAAGAGTATTATGTTTCACTTTATTTTCTCAAATGGTTTATTACATTTACATTCTGGTTTAATTGTTCAACCTATAATTCCTTATTCAAATCAAGAAAGATGTGCCAGGTGCAATGGCTCACACCTGTAATCTCAGCATTTTGGGTGGCCAAGGCAGGAGGATTGCTTGAGGCCAGGAGTCCAAGACTAGCCTGGGCAACATAGTGAGACCCCATATCTAAAAATAATTTAAAAATGTGCTGGCCATGGTGATGCATGCCTGTAGTCCCAGCTACTCAAGAGGCTGAGGTGGGAGGTCCCCTTGAACCTAGGAGGTGGAGGCTGCAATGAGCCATGTTTGCACGGCTGCAGTCCAGCCTGAGTGACAAAGCAATACCCTGTCTCAAATAAACCAACAAACAACACAACACAACACAACACAACACAACACAGAGACAGAGGAAATGTGTCTTTTGACTCTGCTGCCTCAGATATACAATATTTAGAATTTAGAATGATTTTCCTTCTTCATGTTCTACCCCCCGACTTTTGATTTTTTAAATATATAAACTAGACCTTGGAATTCTCCATGTAATTAATTTTTATACTTTTCCTGGTAACAAATATTAGTTGTAATACATGCCTCTAGATTAACAAATGTATGACAGTGCTTTAGGTTAATTCTCCCTTTCACTATTCATAATCTCTCTTTTTAACAGGTGCACACCACCACGCCCAGCTAATTTTTGTACTTTTAGTAGAGATTGGGTTTCACCGCATCGACCAGGCTAGTCTCGAACTCTTGACCTCATGATCCACCCACCTTGGCCTCCCAAAGTGCTGGGATTACAGGCGTGAGTCACCGTGCCCAGCCCACTTTTTTACTATCCCACCCTCCCCATTCTCTCATCCCAGAGCTCTTCATTTCTATGATATCAGCTTAACTTCTTTGTATCAAAAATAAAATTTGATACATGTCTTTGAGTGTCTGACCATTTCATTTTCAGATGTGAATGAAGCTTGTTTGTGATAATCTTCCCTCTCCAAAAACTGTAAGTATTATTTAAACCTTAGTGCAGAAGAATGAATTTGATTCTTTTGTTAGTAACTTCTTTTTCTCTCTGGATGCTTGTGGGGTGAAGGGATTTCCCTTCATCCTTCTAAATAAAACTTTGTTCTAGGACTCCAGGTATTATTCCTTGGGGATCACTGTCAAAAAGAAAAAAATTCTTGAATTGTGCTAATTCAAGAAATCCTTCTCTTGATTATGGCAACTGTGCTAGTTGCCCATGTTACCTTGTCAGGGGCACCTATGTCTTTAGCTCACAGTTCATTTTCTTCACCTGTCATTCACCCTCTTACAGATCATACCTATTTGTCCGTATTTTATGCATTCCATGAGGGTTTCTCAAAAATTTTCCATCAGGGATTTCACTTCCTGCAGTTCTATCCATGTTATTTACCAAGCAAAAGTCCTTCTTTCAAAAGGACCTTTGTTGAAATCCGTATTTCAAGCAGATCATTTTCCATCTCATTGCATTGCCTTTGCATCCTATCCTCTAGTCTCTTTGTACCACCTGCTGTCTTTTCATCTCCGTTCATCTTTCCGCAGCTTTCTGCTCCAGGCTTACACAGCCATGCCTATTTACATGCTATTGAGGATGCCGGTTTTCTAGGCAAGGAAATGCCAGTGCATGCTCTTATTCTGCATATCTGCATGATATTCTCTTTCCCCAGATCTGAAGTGTGTTTTCTCAGGGGTGGAGGAGGGAGGCAACATTTTGGTTTTCTTGATTTACTCATTTTCTAAGGGATGCAGAGTTAACTTGGTATTTCTCCAAGCTGTGACTACGTGGCTTCTCTTTGATTCTCCCCCTCTTCCCCACAGTAGGTCAGCTGGGAGCATAGCGACATGCAGTTCCCACTGTGTGATGAGCATCTATCTGCTCAGGGGCTGGACTGTGCGGTTGGGAGATCTTCATCCATGCCCATCTCATGCCTTGACATTCTCAGTTCAGAGGATGGAAGGGCACTCGACTGCCCGCACACTCTGCCTCACAGAGGACTTGCATATGGACACACCTTCAGCACCTCGCATGCCCCACAGGGGGCTCCTCTGCCCATGCCATCATGCTTTGTTTCCGGTGGCCTCTGGATGGATATATTGAGAGAAGCACTCATACAAGGAGAAGATTCTGTCTTGCTTCTGCTATCTTAGCTTCATGGCCTCTGAGGTCAGGCCAGGCCGTGGGACCGGGACCCTGGGCCCACCTGCCTTATTCTGCAAGTTCACAGACTGTGTTCAGTGAGGCAGAACATAAATAGGTCACCAAAAGTTCTTTTAATCTAATTCTGTCAGACTTTTCCAAATTTTTGGAAATAAACGGTTCATCAATGTTGGTCTTTACTTTTGTTCTTGTTTAAATCTGATTCCTAGCAGGAATTCAAAGGAAAATGACTTCAAGGATCATGGTTTAGTGCGAAACAGAAAACCAAATACCGCATGTTCTCACTTATAAGTGGGAGATAAACAATGGGTATTCATGGCATATGTTAGCAACAATAGACACTGGAGGCTCCAAAAGTGGAGAGGGAAGGGAGAAGGGCTGGAAAGCTACCTATTGAGTACCATGTTCTCTACTTGGGTGATGGGTTAAATCAAAGCCCAAACCTCAGCCTTACATCAAAAATCCGTATGTGTACCCTTTGAAGCTAAAATAGAATTAAACAAGCCCAGAGCGATGGCTCATGCCTTTAATCCCAGCACTTTGGGAGGCTGAGGTGGGTGGATCACTTGAGGCCAGGAGTTCGAGACCAGCCTGGCCAACACGGTGAAACCGCATCTCTATTAAAAATACAAAAATTAGCTGAGTGTCGTGGCGCTTGCCTATGATCCCAGCTACTCGGGAGGCTGAGGCAGGAGAATCGTTTGAACCCGGGAGGCCGAGGCTGCAGTGAACCAAGATCGCACCACTGCACTCCAGCCTGGGTGACAGAGCGAGACTCTGTCTCCAAAACAAAACAAAACAAAACAAAACAAAAACAAAAAAAAAAAGAGAGAAAGAAAAATAAATAAATAAATAAAGTCTTTAATTTTTTATTTTAAAAGCAGACCACAGTTTAGCATCCTGAGAAATCCAATAACCATGAAAACCTCCCTACTTTGCTACAGTCTGAGGACACTCCCCAGCACTGAAGCAGAATGTCATAAGGACCTCAAGCCTGCTGTTTTCTTCTGTCTCCCATCCCAGCTCATAGTGGAGAAATCTAAATGTGGTACTTCTGTTGGTAACTTGCTGATTACCCCTGGATGCCAAGGTAGGGGGCTGTCTTCTGATTCTTGCTCAGGTAGCACACAGGTATGCTTGACCATTGACTACTCTTACAGGACAGCAACAATATTCCTGGTCTTTCTAGACCAAGGAGGTCAGCATTCATGTCACCTCTTCCTCATTGTTTAATAAGGATTTTTACATGCTTCTTATCAGCTATAAATGTGCTCCAGGGCTCAGTAACATCAACTCAAGTCATGAAGCAGAATTCCCCTGCTTAGCATTATATTGTTTGCTGCCGGAGAAATGAAATGATGGCTAAGATCCCCCGCCTGGAATTGCTTGCTATTGGGAAAGGAAGATTCAAGTTGTTACAACCTAAATAAAGTAAAATATGTGTTATAAATTACAAGCCACACTCTAGAATTTACAAAGAGCACTTCACAGTGCATGCCTGCCTATGTGTAAGCCTGCTGTGCTTCTTGGTATCTCTTCAGATAATTCTCACACAGCCCTGATAAAGTTCTATGGATGCAAGTGATTTCATCTTTCCATATGCAAAATCCAATTTGAACTTGGGAAGGAAAAAAATGAAACACCTTAATAACAGAGATTTATGACATTTTTAACCTGAGAAAGATTAACTTTTTCTATCATTTATAATTCAGCTCCCCTAGCAACCTTATTTACAAGCCAGATCCATGTTCCCTTACGCAGCTGGCTCAATTATACAGCAGCATGAAAAATCATCTGGGCAGAGAGTATTAGCTTAAACAGAAATTTGTCTTCCACACTGGAGTATAAGCCGAATTCTGTGATAAAACACATTACCTTCGTTCTTTAATTTTTCAAAGAAGAAATGAGATGACTCTGTCAGGAGGCTGAGGAGGGGAGTCTCACTTCATTCCAGGATTGGCAACAACAGCACAGAATTCATTCCCAACGGTACCTGCTAGAGATGAGCAAATGTCTATCAACGTAAATTTTTTAAAGAAGAAAAATGCCAACCAAAGAGAGAAAATGGAAAAAGGTAAAGCACGGTGTTAGTGTCCTAAGGTGGCCAGCAGGGGGCAGCATTTCCCGTGTAAATAATTCACGAGTGCCATTTCAGAACAATGCATAGTGATTATTTTTAATTACATTAATTTCTCCTTTAATATTAATAATTAATATTAAATATTAATATTAAATATTAATGTTAAATATTAAATATTAATATTAAATATTAATATTAAATATTAATGTTAAATATTAATATTAATATTAAATATCGATATTTAATATTAATATTAAATATCAACATTAATAGTTAATATTAAATATCAATATTAATATTTAACATTAAATATTACTGTTTAATGTTAAATATTAATATTAATAATTAATAACATTTTGTTATTAATAATTAATAACATTTTGTCTTCCTCTAAGCGCCTGGCTCCGCTGTTCTCAGGAGTGGGTTCTGAAGTCTCTGGAGAACAGGATACGTGGAGGGTTAGGAAGGGGCCAGGCCTAGAGATGGGAGACTCCCTCCTGGAGCAGGTGGAGGCACAGGACCATTCGCTACCCCATCTGCCGGCACCTGCGGGGAAGCCCAGGCATTCTTTGTAAGCCCTCCTGACCACCTGGCTCAAAGAAAACAGAAGCATGGAGGCCGCCAAGTGTTTTCAAGAAATAACCCCATGAACACGGCATCACTTTTTTAGAAAGAGGGGTTTGGGGCAGGCAGAGGAGAGAAGGGAGAGCAAACTGAGAGCCAAGTTTCCAGACAATCTTGCAGGAGGAGAGGATGCAGCTGCCCAGAGGGAAGCAGGATCACATTTAAGGAAGTGTGTGGGGTCCCTGGATGACACCAGCACCCAGTGCGGCTCTGTCGGGCAACCGCTCCCAAGGTGGGAGGAGTGGGTGTCCCCTGTGTGTCAGTGGGCAACTCCTGCTGAACCCGCAGCTCACTAGGGAGCCTGACAGTGGGGCCATGCACCTGACACTCCTCTCTGCTTGTGGACCTGGCAAGGCAGGGAGCAGAAAACAGAGCCACTTGAAGGCTTTCTGTCTGCGTCTGTGTGCAGTGTGGATTTAGTTGTGCTTTTTTCTTGCTGGGAGAGCACGGCCACCATTTACAAGCAGTGTCACCCTCGTGGGTGGCGAGGACAGAACAGGAGCCTCTGCTCTCTGTACCTATCTGGGCCCGGTGGGCTCCCCTGTCCTGGCTTCCATCTGTCTCAGCGACCATTCAGCCGTGGGCAGGAACGCATGTTGCTTAGAAAAGCCAAATCCAGCCCTTGTCTCTGCCTCCTCTGGTCTCATGATGTGCATCTGTTACCTTGAAACTGGAAACCAGTCTATCAATGTCTGTGCCAATTTTTTATTCCCTCCCCAACCTCCTTCCCCATACGACTTTTTATTTATGTAGGATGTGTGCTGTCTAATGATGGGATGACCACACTTTTCCATGTTCTAAAAGTGCTCCTCTCCCGCAGGGTCCCAGGGCTGGTGGTTGCTTTGGGTCTACAGCTACGTCTTACCCACCTCCTGCCTCAAAAGCCTGTGTGGTGGCAAAGCCGGTGTGGGGCTGGGGAACGCAGCGTTCTCCAGGAGGGGGACCCGGCTCTCCTTCTGCAATGCAGGCGAAGGCCTAGATGCCAGTGTGACCTCCCACAAGGCGTGGCTTCCAGACTCCCCGGCTGGAAGTGATGCTTTTTTGCCTCGGGCCCTGGGTTTGAAGCAGCCTGGCTTTCTCTTGGTAAGTGGCTGGTGTCTTAGCAGCTGCAATCTGAGCTCAGCCACCTACACACCACCGTGGCCGACACTTTCATTAAAAAGTTTCCTGAGACGACTTGCTTGCATGTTGATTTCATGATCAGCGCCGCTGGGAAGGACCCCTGAGCCAGTGGGGTGGGGCTGGAAGCAGCAGGTGCAGTGATGGGGCTGGGTGCCCAGGAGGCCTCAGTGCTCAATCAGGCCAAGGTGGCCAAGCCCAGGCTGCAGGGAAGGCCGGCCTGGGGGTGTGGGTGAGCACAGGCAGGCGCCAGCTGGGCAGTGTTAGGATGCTGGAGCAGCATCCGTAACTCCACTGAGTGGGGTAGTCTGGTTGGGGCAGGGACCGCTGTTGCTTTGGCAGAGAGAGATGATCCCCACTGGGGAGAGGCTGTTCTGACTCTACAGGTGGGACAGGGACAGATGGCCACCAGGGTGACCCAGCTGATCTTCCTTTGCTATGCTAAGCCCTGGGACATGGAGGATTCCCGCCACACACAGCCTGGGCCCGGGTTCTTACCTGTGGCCACCGCTCTGGCATGAGCCCCTCAGTCTTGGGTGGTTTCTGCCTGGTCCGGGATTTGGTGTTGCTGCTGAGTCCAGCCTTTCCACCACCTCCACATGGGCCGTGGGTGTTGTCAGCTGCCTCCCGCCTTGGCTTCAGTAGCTCACCCAGCTTACAGGGGAGCTGCCCTGGGCTGGAGATGGGCACGCACCCTGGGTCCTACTTGAATGAATGCAGCTTGAGGAGACCCGGCCATATCCACTGGGCCACAGGTTACCCTCGGCAATGCCCACATCAGCCGTCAGCCTGAGCCTCCCCAGGAGAGCAAGGCTCACACGACAAAGGCTGCCCATAGCCAATGAGGTGGCTGAGCTTTCTCGGACCTTTCTCGGACTCCCAGGATGTGGCTCTGCTTGTGAGCTGCCTGGTCAGCTCTCTCGGGGTGAGAGGGGCTTGTCACATGGGCCCCTGCCTGCAGTGTGACCCTTCTCAGCTTCTCTCAGCAGCCCTGCCTGCAGAGTGTCACCGCCACCATGATAATTTCCCTGACACTGCGAGGGTGGGGGGACGTCCTGGGTAGAGACCGGGCCCGTGGCAGCAGCAGGCTCAGGGGCGCCCTGCACTGGTGGGCTGGGAACCTGATGGAGACCATGCCAAGGGCTGGACAAGGGGACGAGCCTCCACCCTGGCCTCTCCGCAGGCCTCAGCAGCCCCTCCCACAGGCAGAAGGGTTGACACTGGGTTCTGCCCTCACTGCAAGAGCTGCAAGTGCCACGTGGTGTCCTGCCCAATCTGGTGTCTGCAGGTGAGGAAAGGGCTGCCGCTGGCCTGTTTCTGAGTGTTCAGCACCTAAGGGTGACAGCACTGTCTGTCCCTACCCTCCGGGTCCTGTTTGAAAATCAAACCCATGCTCACAGGCCGATTTTTTTTCTTTTAGAGACAGGGTCTCAGTTTGTCACCCAAGCTGGAGTGCAGTGGTGCGATTATAGCTCAATGCAGCCTCCAATTCCCGGACTCAAGGGACCTTCCTGCCTCAGCCTGCCAAGTAGCTTGGACTATAGCTGTGTGTTTTATTATTATTTTGTAGACATGGGGTCTGGCTATGTTGTCCAGGCTATTCTCAAAATTCCCGGCCTCAAGCAATCCTCCCGCCTCAGCCTCTCAAAGGTTGGGATTACAGGTGTGAGGCAAGGCACCCAGCTCAGCCACAGAGCCCTATTGCATCTCTCTTACTAGGAGCAAGAGCTGACTGCCCCCTCATCCCCATTCCAGAGTGTTGGGGCTGTGTTCAGCTGAGGCCGGGACACTGGCACGGCCCAGGGAGCGGGATCATTCACTGCTGCCCCAAATCTGAGATCATTCCACCTTGACAAGACTTCCTCATCCAATCCCTTTACTTGACAGCTGGGGAAACCAATGCGCACGGAGCACCCCCAGCTCACTTGGGGTCTCAGAGCTCATCCATGAGCAGAGGCTGAGATCCTGGGATCTTGTCCCCCAGCCTCCCTGCAAGCTTACTCCCTTTCTGCTGGAAGAGATGGGGCCGGACCTCGACCAGCAGCCCTGGCCTGGACATGACTGTGCTCATGCAGGTATTGAGGCCAAGATGCCCCGGCATCATATGTTTTTCTTTTCTTTTTTTTTTTTTTTGAGATGATGTCTCACTCTGTCACCCAAGCTGGAGTGCAGTGGCATGATATTGGCTCACTGCAACCTTTGCCTCCCAGTTAAAGTGATTCTCCTGCCTCAGCCTTCCAAGTAGCTGGGCCTACAGGCTTGTACCACCATGCCTGACTAATTTTTGTATTTTTACTAGAGACGGGGTTTCCCCATGTTGGCCAGGCTCGTGTCGAACTCCTGACCTCAGGTAATCCACCTGCCTTGGCCTCCCAAAATGCTAGGATTACAGGCATGAGCCATGGCATCACTTAAATGTAGTGAGAGGCCAGGTATGGTGACTCATGCCTGTAATCCCAGTACTTTGAGAGGACGAGGCTGTCCGATCACCTAAGGTCAGGAGTTCGAGACCAGCCTGGCCAACATGGTGAAACTGTGTCTCTACAAAAAGATAGAAAAAAATATCCCTGCATGGTGGTGAGTACCTGTAGTCCCAGTTACTCAGGAGGCTGAGGCATGAGAATCGCTTAAACCTCGGAGGCGGAGGCTGCAGTGAGCTGAGATGGCGCCACTGCACTCCAGCCTGGGTGACAGAGCAAGACTTTGTCTCTAAATAATTAAATAAATAAATATGGCCGAGCATGGTGCCTTAGACCTGTAGTCCCAACACTTTGCGAGGCTGAGGCAGGTGGCTCATGAGGTCAGGAGCCCGAGACCAGCCTGGCCAAGATGGTGAAACACTGTCTCTACTAAAAATACAAAAATTAGCCAGCTGTGGTGGCAGGCACCTGTAATCCCAGCTACTTGGGACACTGAGGCAGGAGAATCGCTTGAAACTGGAAGTCAGAGGTTGCAGGGAGCCGAGATTGCACCACTGCAGTCTAGCCTGGGCGATGGAGCAAGACTCCATCTCAAATAAATAAATTAATAAATACAGAGCAAGATTCCATCTTAAATAAATAAATAAACATACACCTGTAATCCTAGCACTTCGGGAGGCTAAGACAGGTCGATCACCTGAGGTCAGGAGTTCGAGACCAGCCTGACCAATATGGCAAAACTCCATCTCTACTAAAATTACAAAAATTAGCCGGGCGTTTTGACATGTGCCTGTAGTCCCAGCTACTTGGGAGGCTGAGACAGGAGAATTGCTTGAACCCAGGAGGTGGAGGTTGCAGTGAGCCGAGATCTCGGCTGCACTTCAGCCTGGGTGACAGAGTGAGACTCTGTCTCAAAAGGAATAAATAAAATACAAAATAAAAAAAAAATGTAGTAAGATTGCAGAGTCGTGCCGCGGAAGCGTGCTGGTCCTATCCATGTAGTGAAGGCTGATTTCATACACAAATGTCACAAGAACTTTTTTTTCTTTTTCTTTTTTTTTGAGACGGAGTCTCGCTCTGCCACCCAGGCTGGAGTGCAGTGGCACAATCTCAGCTCACTGCAAGCTCTGCCTCCCGGGTTTATGCCGTTCTCCTGCCTCAGCCTCCCGAGTAGCTGGGACTACAGGCCTGTGCAGCAGATGCTGGGGGGCCACTAGGCCCAGGCAGTCTTGGGACTTGTGTCTCTCCTGCTGTGCATCCATACTGGGTGCTTTAGAAATGGCAGGCAGACCAGAAGCCCCTGTTGCAAGTGAGGACAAAGTGTGGGAAGGCCATGAGGGTCTGCAGTCCTAGATGGCCTTGTCCTCAACCTGCAGTGCACTCTTGATGCGCTGGAATGCCACCTCCTTCTCCCGGTCCAGGTCTTCAGCAGTGACCCGGTACCCCAGCTCTAAGGGAGGAGGCAGCATCAAAGGCTCCCCTCGCCTGCGTGGCAGCAGGGGAAACTTGTGTCTACAGGGCCTAGAGGCCTGGGATCTGGGGAAGCCACCCCTGGGGGCGAGTGTCTGCCCTGGTGCTGTATCTGCCGTCTTTTCACAATGGGTGTGACCCGAAGAGACAGCCTGAGGTCCGTCCTCACTCACTGTGTTTGAGGAACTGAGGGTCAGCTGGCAGTGGGATGAGGCTGGCCCCCTCCTCCGCTTTCGTTCCGGGAGGCCTCCCGTAGAGCTGTAGGAGCTGGAGATGGCCTTTCGTTTGGGGCACGAGCTGGTCCGGGAGGTCTGGGATCTCTGGTTCTGACCTCTGGGCACCTGCTGCAGCTGTGGCTGAGGCCCAGAAATGTGAAGGGCCTCTATCCACTCTAGTAGTGACCCCAACGTGGGGTTCAATGTGGAGGGGGGAGGGGCTGCTGCGGCTGCAGGAGCAGAAGTGCCAGGGCTTGTTCTTCTCATGCCCGCATCCATGCTTGCAGCTGGGAAGGGGGCAGGAATCAGCGAGGTGACCTGGGCTGAGTCCTGGGAGTGGGAAGAGGTGGCAGGAAGGGGATCTGAGGAGGAGAACAGGGGGCCTGGTGGTCTGTGCTTCTTCCCAGACATGGGAGCTGTAGAGGGGACCTCTGCAGCAGGTGCTAGGGGGGCCAGTAGGCCCAGGCAGTCTTGGGACTTGTGTCTCTCCTGCTGTGCATCCATACTGGGTGCTTTAGAAACGGCAGGCAGACCAGAAGTCCCTGTTGCAAGTGAGGACAAAGTGTGGGAAGGCCGTGAGAGTCTGCAGTCCGAGATGGCCTTGTCCTCAACCTGCAGTGCACTATTGATGCGCTGGAATGCTGCCTCCTTCTCCCGGTCCAGGTCTTCAACAGTGACCCGGTACCCCAGCTCTAAGGGAGGTGGCAGCATCAAAGGCTCCCCTCGCCTGCATGGCAGCAGGGGAAACTTGTGTATACTGGGCCTAGAGGCCTCGGATATGGAGGAGTCATTCCTGAGGGTGAGTGTCTGCCCTGGTGCTATATCTGCTGCCTTTTCACACTGGGTGTGACCCGAAGAGACAGCCTGAAGCCTGTCCTCACCCACTGTCTTTGAGGAACTGAGGGTCAGCTGGCTGTGGGATGAGGCTGGTCCCCTCCTCCGCTTTAGCCCCGGCAAGCCTCCCGTGGAGCTGCAGGAGCTGGAGATGGCATTTCGTTTGGTGCAGGAGCTCGTCCAGGAGGTCTGGGATGTCTGGTTATATCTGATTTCTCACCTCTGGGTATGGAGGTCTGTCTGCAGAGGCCCGGGCCCGGGCACAAAGGGAGAGAGAGGCCTCCATTGTCCCGCAGGGGCCGAAATGCAGACCGTGCATCCCCGGTGACCTCGGGGACCCTTCTCTGATCATCAGGATTCTCTTGGACTCTAGGGTCCTTGTCCTGCTCAGGCATCCCTGCCCCGCTCTCCTTGAGGGCCCTCAACACTGTCTTCCCTGGACACAAGTCTGGGGACAGCCGGGTGTTTTGGACACCAAAGGGGTGACTCCCGGCTCCTGGGCCCCACAGAGAGTCCTTGTGCTCAGTGGAGTGGCTGAGCTGGAGGACGCCCTGGAACTCAGAGCACACAGCACTGGCTTGCTGTGGTACCTGTGCAATCAAATTGAAAGCAGGATCCCAGGAAGGAACGCAGGGCTTGCAGGATCACGGAAAACCTTCTTAGAGTTGTCTTGACACCACTGATGTCAAGTGTCCGGGTGCTTGTAGGATGGCCTGCCACTCAGTCCACAGGCAGGAGCAACGGGGAGATCCCACAAGCAAAGTGAACTGGGGGATGGGCTGAACCGGCTCCAGGCAACTGAGCCCTACTGGCAGGTCCTAGGCCTGGGCCCGAACAGGAAGGAGGGGCACAGAGTGCCCAGGTAACCGCTCCTGGGAGCCCTGGGGAACCGTCGGTTGCTTGAACTCTCGAGAGCTGGGCTCTGCGTCCTCGTCCAGCCGCCAACTCGGCCAAAGGCGAAGCCAGCAGTTTCTTCTGCTGCCGGGCAACGCGCCTTTTAAACCTGAGGGAGTGGGCGCGTGAGCACTTAATGGCGCCGGTGACAGAGTGAGCTTAACGGATTAATAAGCGCAGCCAGGTACCCGCGCAAGGCACTTGCTGGCAATGGCGGGAGGCGGACGTGGGGGGTCATGCAATAGGTACTGGAAGGAGAGACACGGGCACAAAGGTCGCGGGAGGAACAGGTGCCCACAATGGCGGCAGATCTGCCCGTGGATCACTGAAGATTCCTGCTCTCCTGCTGAGGTGGAGATTGCAGTGAGCTGAGATCGCGCCATTGCACTCCAGCCTGGGCAACAAGTGCAAAACTCAGTCTCCAAATAAAGAAAAAGAAAAAAAAGAGGCCGGGCGTGGTGGCTTATGCCTATAATCCTAGCACTTTGGGAGGTCGGAGCGGACGGATCACGAGCTCAGGAGTTGGAGACCAGCCTGGCCAACATAGCGAAACCCCGTCTCTAGTAAAAATACAAATTTAGTCAGACATGGTGGCATGCGCCTGTAGTCCCAGCTACTCCGGCGGTTGAGACACAAGAATCACTTGAACCCGGGGGTGGGGAAGGGATTGTGATGTGCCGAGATCACGCCACTGCACTCCAGCCTGGGCAACAGAGCCAGACTCTTTTTTTTTTTTTTTTTTTTTTTGAGATGGAGTCTCCCTCTGTCGCCCAGCCTGGATTCCAGTGGCCTGATCTCGGCTCACCGCAAGCTCCGCCTACCGGGTTCACGCCATTCTCCTGCCTCAGCCTCTGGAGTTGGGACTACAGGCGCCCGCCACCACACCCGGCTAATTTTTTGTATTTTTAGTAGAGACGGGGTTTCACTGTGTTAGCCAGGATGGTCTCGATCTCCTGACGTCGTGATCCGCCCTCCCAAAGTGCTGGGATTACAGGCCTCGGCCTCCCAAAGTGCTGGGATTACAGCCGTGAGCCACCGCGCCCGGTGTTGAAACTCCCTTGAGGCATTTTCTTCGGCCTTCGGGTCCATCCTCTCTGTCTCCTCCTTGACCTCCTCATCTCCTCCTCGCCACTGCCTTGGGGACCTTGGCCAGGCTCATGGCATCCAGCAGCCACTCAATGTCAATACCTCCATGTTCATCTCTCAGCCCGCCCTTGCCCGTGAACCCATGCTTATTTATTTATTTTTTTTATACGTGCACCCATGCTCTTCAGGTCTGATGAAGTATCCAAAATCAAGCTCCTGACCATCCCCAAACCTGCCCCTTCTGCAGAGTTTACCTCGCTAGTCGGCGCCATCCTTGATTCTTCTCTTTCTCCCACCCAGGCCATCATCTCTTGCCTGGTTGATACCCACAGCCTCCCCTTTGGACTTTATCCTTATCCCCGTCATAGCTGCCAGAGGGACCCTGTGAAAACACTCCCCAGCCTGCTCATTCCTCTGCCCTAAGCCTGCATGGCACAGAGCAAAAGCCAGTTGTTATGGGACCTAGGATGTCCTGTGGGATGGGCCCCAGCCTGCATCTTCAGCCTTTTCTCCCCACCCCACTCCATTCACTCTCTGCCTATCGCTCACCAGCCTATACCACCTGCCTCAGGGCCTTTGCACTGACCATTTAGGCCACATTCCAGGCTCTTTTCACACATTGCCTCCTCTGAGAAGCTCTCCCTAACCACTCTGCCCATACCTCATGCCTCTTGATTCCCCTTACCTGGCTTGTGGTTTCAGCACTTTCGCTGTGTGTGTTTGTTTTTCTTGGCATGAGGGCAGGACCTAAGTGTCTGTTTCCTATTGATTCCCCAGTGCCAGGCATGCAGTGCAAACTCTAGAAATATTTTTTGCATGAAGGAATGAGTGATTGAATGCAGCAAGGGTCTGGAGGCTGAGGACCAGGCAGACAAACATTCAGAGTTGCTGGAATGCGACAGAGACAGGGAGTCAGACTGGTCATGCAAGGTCCTGGGCCTGCCCTTGGGTCCTGGGGAGCCACGGAAGGTTGTGGGTGCCAGAGGGTTGTGGTCAGAGCCACAGTCAGGGGCCTTCTGAGACCTGTGCCCCCTCCCCACCCTCCCTCCCCACCTCCCTAGGCCAGCTCTGGGGTCTCGGCAGGTGGTCCGCGACATGACCTCCGAGTTCTTCTCTGCCCAGCTCCGGGCCCAGATCTCTGACGACACCACTCACCCGATCTCCTACTACAAGCCCGAGTTCTACATGCCGGATGACGGGGGCACTGCTCACCTGTCTGTGGTCGCAGAGGACGGCAGTGCTGTGTCCGCCACCAGCACCATCAACCTCTAGTAGGGGCTGCTGGGCCGCCTGGGTGGGAAAGGGCCAGGGGAGGGTGGCTCAGGGACTGCCCACTTATCCAGTAAGGTGGCTCCATCACCTCTTTTCCTGGTGGGAAACTGAGGCCCAACCTTGGTAGCTTATCCTGAGCCTCTCAGTGAGTATGTTTGAGCCTCAGTGGGTGGATAGGGACCAGGCTGGGCCAGGCAAGGTCGGGCACTGTCTGACCTGGCTGGGCGATAGCTTTGGCTCCAAGGTGCGCTCCCCAGTCAGCGGGATCCTGCTCAATAATGAAATGGATGACTTCAGCTCTACCAGCATCACCAACGAGTTTGGGGTACCCCCCTCACCTGCCAATTTCATCCAGCCAGGTATGGGGTGGAGGTCCGAGGGTGGGGGACTGGGGTGGAGAGGGGCGGGTGTCCTGGGCAGGCAGCTGACGGGCATCCCTGTCTTCTCCCATTGGCCGCAGGGAAGCAGCCGCTCTCGTCCATGTGCCCGACGATCATGGTGGGCCAGGACGGCCAGGTCCGGATGGTGGTGGGAGCTGCCGGGGGCACGCAGATCACCATGGCCACTGCACTGGTATGTGTCACACCTTTTCTCCCTGGCCGTGCCCACCCTGCACAGCCCCCAAGCCATGCTGATCACACTCCCATGCCCCAGGCCATCATCTACAACCTCTGGTTCGGCTATGACGTGAAGTGGGCCGTGGAGGAGCCCCGGCTGCACAACCAGCTTCTGCCCAACGTCACGACAGTGGAGAGAAACATTGACCAGGTGGGCTGGGGGTTGGAGAAACTGAGTCACGGTGTGGGGCCCCAGGGCATCGTGGGCTGGAGGCCTGGATCATCACAGAGTGGACAATGGTTGGTGTCCTCTCTCTAGTGCCTGGGCCATCTGGAGCCCCTGTGCCATGAGGGCCAAACCCCTTGCTCCAATGAGACCCAGCAGGCCCCAACCTGCTCTTCCTGATGACCTGGCCTGAAATGGCACCACCTGGGCTGAGGCCTGTGACCACACAGGTGTGGTTCAGGTGGCATCTGGAGCCCTGCTCAGGCTTCCCCTCTCCTCCCACCCCCAGGAAGTGACTGCAGCCCTGGAGACCCGGCACCATCACACCCAGATCACGTCCACCTTCATTGCTGTGGTGCAAGCCATCGTCCGCATGGCTGGTGGCTGGGCAGCTGCCTCGGACTCCAGGAAAGGTGGGGAACCTGCTGGCTACTGATTGCTCCAGGCGGACAAGGCTGACAAGCAATCCAGGAACAAAATACTCACCAGGACGAGGAAGAGGACTTTGGGGGACAGGCTTCTCCTGTGAGCAGCAGAGCAGCACAATAAATGAGGCCACTGTGCCAGGCTCCAGGTGGCCTCCCTGGCCTGTCTCCCCACTCTCTGGGCCTCAGTGTATTGTGTGTGAAATGGAGCCATCTGGCTGGGGAGGAACAGAGAGGTGGGATTCGGAGATCTTCACAATGCGGGCACTGGAACTAGCCTCAGCATCTTCAGCATGGGGAGAGCCAGGCACATGGCTGGGGGCCAGGGGAAGGTTCACACCAAGCCCTGCCCCTTTCCACCCTGATCCCTTGAACTTTGGGGCCAGGCCCTCCCTTACTGGGGCTGGGCAGTGACACTACCTAGGATCAGCCACCAGGGGGTGCCACGACCCTGGCACTTTCTTAGGCAGAGGGTGGCCAGCTGATGCTGGGAACCCGGGCGCCTTCTCAGACCCGTAGGCGTCTAGCTCACCCTGCCGAGGACACTGGATGTGAAGCTGAGGTCCGAGGAATGGGGACTGGGCAACAGGCTGCAGGAAAACATCTCGGTCAGAGCCACGCCCCTGGGGGGTTTCCAAGAGCAAGCCCAGAGTGAAACCCAAGCTTGTGATCCTCTCCAGAGGGAGGCCTGGTTCTCAGGGAACAGCAAACGGGAAGATGTCCCCAGATCCCAGGGATCAGGGCTTGGACCAGCCGGGGACGCAGCCCAGAGGGAGTGGGTCCAGAAGGAAACAGCTAGACACAGCAGCCTTCACCATCCGCAGCCCCTCCAGGCCTCCCTCAGGGCCTGCTCCCTCCTCTGTGCACAGTTCCAACACCTGGGGCAGGGTTCTGGGAAGGGCTGGTGGAGGTGGGCTGGTGGGAGGCGGTGATCACAGCCCAGCACCTGGATATCACCAGGGGCACTGGGGCCAGGGGCCAGGTGAGGCCAGGTCGGGGCTATCCTTCAGGAGCCCCGAAAACCTGGTGATTCCAAAGGGCCCATAGACAAACAGGGTTTTATGCCTGTGGAGTCAAGTCCCACTGGGTCTGAGCTCTGGAGGGCTGTGTCTCTGGGGCTCTGCAGGGGTGAGACGGAGGTGGGCTCAAATGGTGTACAAGTCATTCCTCAATCCTTATTTTATTTATTTAATTTTTTTAAAAAAAAATTAAACCAATAGAGATGGGGTCTCACTATGTTGACCAGGCTGGTCTTAACTCCTGACTTCAAGCAGTGCCCCCATCTCAGTCTCCCAAAGTGCTAAGATTACAGGGGTGAGCCACTGCACCCGGCCTCAATCCTTATTTTGGCCTGAGAGGAAAGGCCGTGGCCCCATTTACAGGGGAGAAGACTGAAGCTGGAGGGGCAGGCCTTGCTCTGGGTTGCACAGCAGCAAGAGAAGTGGGAGCTGGCCACAAGGCTTCCTCGACTCGACACACTGGTGGGGTACACCCTGGTTCTCCAGGTCCCATGGGGCTCAGCCCAGGACTACCTCGGGTGGTGAGGGACTTAAATCCTCTCCTTCATTCTCATCGCCCCTTCCCCCATCATTTCCTGAGGAAGGACATTCAGGGACCTGAAGGAGTGGCCTGCCCCTCCACATCTGTGGGTGTTTCTCATCAGGTTGGACAAGAGACTGAGAAAAGAAAGAGACACAGAGACAAAGTATGGAGAAAGAAAAGTGGGCCCAGGGGACCTGCGCTCAGCATACGGAGTCCCCACGCTGGCACCAGTCTCTGAGTTCCCTAGTATTTATTGATCATTATCTCTACCATCTCAGAGAAGGGGATGTGGCAGGACAATATGGTAATAGTGAGGAGAGGGTCAGCAGGAAAACATGTGAACAAATGTCTCTGTGTCATAAACAAGGTTAAGAAAAAGGTGCTGTGCTTTGATGTGCATATACATAAACATCTCAATGCATTAAAGAGCAGTATTGCCACCAGCATGTCCCACCTCCAGCCCTAAGGCAGTTTTCTCCTATCTCAGTAGATGGAATATACAATTGGGTTTTACACTGAGACATTCCTTTGCCCAGGGACGATCAGGAGAGAGATGCCTTCCTCTTATCTCAGCTGCAAAGAGGCCTTCCTCTTTTACTAATCCTCCTCAGCACAGACCCTTTACGGGTGTCAGGCTGGGGGATGGTCAGGTCTTTCCCTTGCCACGAGGCCATATTTCAGACTGTCACATGGGGAGAAACCTTGGACAATACCTGGCTTTCCTAGGCAGAGGTCCCTGCGGCCTTCTGCAGTGTTTTGTGTCCCTGCTTACTTGAGATTAGGGAGTGGTGATGACTTTTAACAAGCATGCTGCCTTCAAGCATTTGTTTAACAAAGCACATCCTGGCACAGCCCTTAATCCATTAAACCTTGAGTTGACACAGGACATGTTTCTGTGAGCACAGGGTTGGGGCTAGGGTTACAGATTAACAGCATCTCAAGGCAAAAGAATTTTTCTTAGTACAGAACAAAATGGAGCCTCTTACGTCTACTTCTTTCTACATAGACACAGTAACAGTCTGATATCTCTTTCTTTTCCCCACAGGGACCTTCCTGGCTGTGCCTCAGGTCAGGACCAGAATGACACCCATTCATTTCCCTGGGCCTTTGCTCAGGCGGTCCCTGCACCCTGTCCTCTTGCCTGACCAGGATGGTGGAGAGAGGAGGGGGGACGTCCCCCACGCTGCTGTCTCCACTGTTCCTGCTGCCCCCACTGTTCCTGCTGCCCAGGCCTCTGAGCTTCCAGGACTGCAGCGGGTGGGTGGGTGGGCTGGCCTGAGCCCAGGAATGCACTTCAGCTCCTGGTTGAGCAATGTCACTGAGGCTTGGGAGTCGGGTGGGGACGGGAGGAGGCGTCCGCAGGCCCCCCTACCATGAGAAGCAGCCGTGGGAACAGCCTGCCTCTAAACAATCACTGCAGCCCAGGCTCACCAGGGGCTCTGGCCAGACATAGGGGCCTGGCAGGCTGTGTGGCCTGTAAGGACACAGTCTGTCTCTGTGCCTCAGTTTCTCTGCTGCCCAGATGGAGGGGCCCAGACTCCAGGTGTAGACATCTGGAGCAGGCAGTGTTCAGCTGGGGAGGAAGTGCGGAGGACTATGGGGGCCACGTGGGAAGAAGTCCAGCCCACATCACCTGCACCCCTGCTGAGCCTGGTCAACAGAGCCCCTCAGTGGGTCCTCACTCTCCTGGCTGCCTCCCATTTAGGCACCCTGAGGCCTGGGGAGAACAGAGCCAGGCCAGTGTCCCCAGAGAGGCTGCGCTGCCAGCACAGTAGTAGCGGATTTGGATTCAGGGAAGCAGACCTGCAGCCAGGGTGGGAAAGAGCTGCAGGAGGGGTGGAGCCCCCACATGGCACAGCCCCCCTCCCTGGAGGTCCATGCTGCATTTCCAGGACAGCAAGTCCCAGGGATGGATGGTGCCGGGTGCCAAGGGCTAGAGGCATGGTCTGTCTGCATTCCCCACAGGGGCGTCTTGTAGTCACCAGCATTTGATGCTGTCAAGTCCCCCTGTCGTCTGTGCAGACTGGGAAGCCCTTGATCACCCTGGGGGGTTGGGGGACCCAGGCCAGGCTGCAGAAGCATAAGGACTTGAACCCGGGTCCTGAGTGACACCACCTTGGGTCCTCCTCCCTCTGCCTCTGTTCAGCTCCACCTTGATGCTGACTAGGCTGGGCCATGAGGAGAGGGTTAGGGGATAGAGATGGGAGCTGGGGAGCAGGGCTCCACTCTGAGACGGGGGCAGCCTTGCCGGATCCAGGGCAGAGTTAAGCGGCCCCAGCTCTGCTTTCCTAGAGCTGCTGAGAACCCGGGAAATGGTGTGGAGGTTCCGGGGAGCCCTGCCCCTACCTGGCAACCGCAATGCAGCAGGCACCAAGTTCTCCTGCACATTGCGACAGTGTGACCCTGGGCTCTGGCGGGCGGTAGGTGGGGCCTTTGGACCTACCAGCAGTGAGGGAGTTAACACAGCAGCTGACTTCTGTAGGCAAGGAAAACTCCCCTCAGACACTTTGCTGCCTGGCCTCCTGCCAGCAACAAGCAGGAGCTGAAAACTAGAAGTTGAGGCGTGAGTTTGGCCACTCCGTAGTGTGCACTTGGTGAGGGCAGCAACTCGCCACAGCTGCCAGGCGTCTGTCCATTCACCCATCTGTCCATCTGGCAGCCCGCTGTTCAGACCTGTCTGTCTGTCCGCCCATCTGTAAGCCCATCTCTGTCCCATTGTCTATCTGACCATCTTTCTCTTACTGTCCTCTTTGTCTAGCTATCTGGCCTATCTGTCGATCCATCTTCGTGTCTGTCTTCAGCCCCCACCTGTTTGTCCATCTGTCCAATTACCTGTGAGTCTATCTATGCATTTTCTTGTCCATTCATCTGCCCACCCATCTGTCCCTCCGTCTGCCCACCGGCCTCCCCTCTCCTTCTGGGCCGCAGAGCCACGGTCCAGGACTGCAGAGCCATGGTTGGCCTGGTCCTTCTGGGGCTGGGGCTGGCGCTGGCTGTCATTGTGCTGGCTGTGGTCCTCTCTCGACACCAGGCCCCATTTGACCCCCAGGCCTTTGCCCACGCCGCTGTTGCTGCTGACTCCAAGGTCTGCTCAAATATTGTAGGGTGAGTGAGACGTGGGAGGAAGCTGGGTGGCCCTTGGCAGCCAGCCCCTCCTGGAGAAGGCGTGTATGTGAGAGTGTGTGTGTGAGCATATGTGTGTGTGAGAGATTATATGTGAGTGTGTGTGGGTATATGTGTGAGTGTGAGTGTGGGGTGTGGGTGTGTGTGAATGTGTGTGATCGTGTTTGTGTGTGTATGTGTGAGTGTGGGTGTGTGTAAATGTGTGTGATTGTGTTTGTTTGTGTGTGTATGAGTGTGTGGGTGTGTGTGGGTATGTGAGTGTGAGTGTGGGGGGCGTGGGTGGGTGTGAATGTGTGTGATTGTGTTTTGCTGTGTGAGGGTGTGTGTGACTATGAGTGTGTGTGTGAGTGTGTGGGTGTGTGTAAATGTGTGTGTGAGTGTATGTGTGGGTGTTTGTGGGTGTGTGTGAGTGTGTGAGTGTGAGTATGGGGGTGTGGGTGTGTATGAATGTGTGTGATTGTGTGTGGGTATGTGTATGTGTGGGTGTGTGAGTGTGTGTGTGCGCGTGTGTGTGAACGTGCACTGGCCCAAGAAGCAGGAGCTGTGTGTGTGAGCTTCAACACCTGCAGGGCTTGAGCGCAAGGAGACAGCCTCAGGGACTTTGCACAGAACAGGTGGCAGGGTGTGCCCGTGGGGCAGATGGGGACTTGGGAACAATGGTGGTGTGTGAGTCCATACCTGGCTCCAGGATTCAGGAGGCCCATTTGCATATCCCAGGTGGGAACCTGTCTGGCCCCGCCTGACCCTGCTGGCCGGTGCAGGCCCCTTCAGTGAGGCCAATTCTCCAAGGCTGGGGTCTTCTCCCAGGGTCATGGGTGAAGGGGTTTGGAGGCTCCCTGCGTGGGTACTGGCCTGCTGGGGTACACACAATGCTGCCATAGCCAGTCTGCCCTAACACCCAGCCCGGGGCCACATCTCAGGTCTCTCAGTCCTGAGGAGCCCGGTGCCCCACCCCTCACATCCTCTCTCCCTGAATCAGGGCCTGGGTCTCGTGAGCTGAGTGACTGATACTTGGTGTCCTGGATGAGGGCGTGATGGAGAGGGGCCACAGTGGGTGTTTCCTGACCCTCTTCCAGGAAGGTGCTGCTGCCGCTGCAGGGAGGACACATACAGGATGCCCCTTCCTGCCCCCTGCCTCCCATTGGGCCCACAAAAGCCAGGGCAAGCCTCCCCTCCCTGCCAGCCACCTGGTCTGCTTCCCAGAAATTGTCTTGCAGGCTGTTGGGAGGATCCCAGTACTTCGTAAACTAAAGCAAGGGAGGAGTGGCCGTTCTCTCTCTTTGTTCATTCATTCACCTTTTCATTCATTCCTTCTTCCCTCCATTCCCCCATCTGTCCATCCTTCCCTGCCCTGATTGCTCATGCCACCCCCCCAGCCCCTCCTGACCTGGTCCTTTGGTTTCTCTTCAGGGCTTTCTGTCTCCTCCCACAGGGCTGAGAATGGCAGCTCAGGGACAAGTGGGGGCTGGGGACTGCTTAGTCTCCCCAGTGGCTCTCAGGGGATTTGAGGGTTTGACGCCAGCTGCCACCCCAGGCTGTGCCCCTCCTCTGCTCAGGAGGACATAAAGGATGCGACACCCACTTAAACTCAAAGTTGCAAAGATGCAAATGAGACTGGGGTCTCAGGCACCAGAGACCACCCGTGGGCACGTGGCTTTTGGGAGTGGGGACCTGCTGCCACAGATCTCTGAAGAGTCTGGACCTGCTGGGTCTCCCCGAGTGACTGTCTGGGGGTCTCCATAGCATGCCCTGCTGTGTGCGTGACTGTCACTGGTTGGGTAGGGGTCTCTACTCTAAAGCTCCCTCTGCTGGCATCCCCTCGAACTCTCCCTTGGTGAAGAGAGAGTTTTATCAAACAACTCTCTCCACTTCCTGTTTTAAGAAGCTGGGAGTGGAAGAGAGCCTGGGGCTGGCCCCAGCTGCTGCTGCGAAACAGGGGTCACTGGATGCTGGGTCCCTGGCCGGGCTGGCTGGAGGCCTCAGGAAGAGGCCTGCTACAGCATCATCCTGGCCAAGATTCCTCCCTGCAGAGGACCCTGGCCACGCTGCCACAGGGTCTGCTGGGGCCACCAGAAGCCCATGTTCCTGCCTCCATCTCTCCCCTTTGTGCTCACCTCTCACCAGGAGGCCCTCCCAGAGTTCAGTCTCCTGCTTTTTTTTTTTTTTTTTTTTGAGATGGTGTCTCGCTCTGTCACCAGGCTGGAGTGCAGTGGCGCGATCTCAGCTCACTGCAACCTCTGCTTCCTTGGTTCAAATGATTCTCCTGCCTCAGCCTCCTGAGTAGCTGGGACTGCAGGTGCCAGCCACCACGCCCAGCTAATTTTTGTATTTTTAGTAGAGACGGGGTTTCACCATGCTGGCCGGGATGGTCTCTATCTCTTGATTCGCCCGCCTTGGCCTCCCAAAGTGCTGGAATTAAAGGAGTGAGTCGTGGTGCCCGGCCCCATCTCCTACTCTTTCAGCACCAGGTTTTACTCTTGGGATTCTGCTACAGCTGGAGCCCCTGGGTGCGAGTTCCTAAGCTTTCTGTGAGTGTGGACCCAGCACCGTGCCTAGTAGACATACAAAAGGAGCATGGTGACAGTGAGGTCTGTCATCTCCAGCATAATGACTGTTTTGATCCTTGTAAAAAAGGTGATTTTTGGCTGGGTGTGGTGGCTCACACCTGTAATCCCAGCACTTTGGGAGGCTGAGGGGGGTGGCTCACTTGAGGTCAGGAGTTGGAGACCAGCCTGGGCAACATGGTGAAACCACGTCTCTCCTAAAAATACAAAAATTAGCTGGGCATGGTAGCGGGTGCCTGTAATCCCAGCTACTTGGGAGGCTGAGACAGGAGAATCACTTGAACCCAGGAGGCAAAGGTTGCAGTAAGCCAAGATTGCACCACTGCACTCCAGCCTGGGTGACAGAGCAAGACTTGGTCTCAAAAAAAAAAAAAAAAGAAAGAAAGAAAAGTTTATATTTTTGTTCTAATGGTTATCTTAATATCTTCATTCTATAATTATATGTTTTATATAATTATAATAGCTATATAAGATATAATACCCCTAGTATGTTGTTTTTTGGATATTCTACTCGCTCCTGATGGTTAATTTATGTGTCAACTTGGCTAAGCTATGGTGCCCCGTTGTTTGGTCAAATACTTGTCAATATCTTGCTGGGAGGTAATATTTCATAGATGTGATTAACACTGACAGTCAATTGACTTTAAGTAAAACAGATTACCCACCATAATATGGGTGGGCCACCTCCAATCAGTTGAAGGCCTTAAGAACAAAAACTGAGGTTTCCAAGAGAAGCAGGAATTCTGCTTCAAGACTATAACACACAAACCCTGCCTGAGTTTCTGGCCTGCTGACTGCTCTACAGATTTTAGGTTCCAGACTTCGAGATCAACTCTTACCTGAATTTATAGCCTGCTGGCTTGCCCTACAGATTTTAAACTTGCTAGTCCCCACAATCATGTGAGCCAATTCCTAAATAAATCTCTCTCTATGTATAACCTATTGGTTTAGTTTCTCTGAAAAGCTTTCACATCCAGTTTCCTGGATGTTAAGAATTACTGAAACTAGCTAGTAACTTCTTTTTTTTTTTGTTTTTTTGAGACAGAGTTTTGGTCTTGTTGCCCAGGCTGGAATGCAATGGCACAATCTCAGCTCACCGCAACCTCCACTTCCTGGGTCCAAGCAATTCTCCTCCCTCAGCCTCCTGAGTAGCTGGGATTACAGGCATGTGCCACCATGCTTGGCTAATTTTTGTATTTTTAGTAGAGACAGGGCTTCTCCATGTTCGTCAGGCTGGTCTTGAACTCCTGGGCTTCAGTGATCCACCCACCTCGACCTCCAACAAAGTGCCGAGATTACAGTCATGAGCCACCATGCCCAGCATAACTATTTTTAATGAAGTAGACTTTAAGAAGAAAAGTATTATTAGATTAGTAGTATTATTAGGATCGTCCCCCGATCCTGACCGCCCTTCCGGCCCATGCTCTCCTGTTTGGCTTCCACAGGCCTGGACGTCTCTGGCTTCTCTGCCCACACACTCCCTGCCCCCAGTGTCCCTGCCCCTGCCCCAGCACAGGTGACTTCATTTCTGTCCTCTCAGCTCAGTGGACTTGCTCAACTTTTGCATAAGTCTCCACTTGGTGGTAGCAGCTTGCTGATGACTTGTTTTAAAACTTTCATCCTAAATAACCTTTCGATGCTTGAATATTTTTAAGTTTTATACATAGTTTCTAATTTTTTTTCCCCAACAGATCCAGATACCTGGATCCAGGGAATGAAGTTCATTTTGCAGTGCTCTCAACAGCTGAAAGGTCCAATTAAAATTAAAAGGGGAAATTGATTTTTCTTTGGGTTAAATTAAATCTTTCATTTGGTTAGTCAGAACTAAGGCCAGAAAAATGGGCTAGCCTAGAATTCTGCTAGGGAATTGTCCACGTTCGGAATGACTGGAGCGGGCTGCGGCTGCTCCCATTTTCTGGGCACTACCATGAATTTCATCTCCAGCTACAGTGTGATTCTAGGGGTGCTTCTGATGTCAGCAAGGGTCCAGCCTTCGTTCCATGGCTGCCCCAGACCCACTTTCTAAGACCCAAATGCAGTGACAGTCCCTTTCATATCATCTGGTCTGTGTTTTGGAAGAAATATTATTAAAAACAATTTCTAAAAAAAAAAAAAAAAAAAAAAAGGCCACGCAATGGCACATGCCTGTAATCCTAGCACACTGGGAGCCTGAGGCAGGCAGATCACCTGAGGTCAGGAGTTCGAGGCCAACCTGGCCAACATGGAGAAACCCCATCTCTACCAAAAATACAAAAAAATTAGCAGGGTGTGGTGGCAGGCGCCTGTAATCCCAGCTACTGGAGAGGCTGAGGCAGGAGAATCTTTTGAATTCAGGAAGCAGAGGTTTCAGTGAGCCAAGATTGTGCCACTGCACTCCAGCCTGGGAGACAGAGCAAGACTCTATCTCAAAAAAACAACAAAAAAAATACATTTTAAAAAGATAAAAAGATAAAGAACTATTGAAATGTGGCAAAAGGAATGTGCAGTATACCATATATTCAAAAGTGAAAGTATTAAACATAGAATACCAGGGATCCTGGTCATGAGGTCCTACAGGTAGGAGGCATCCCCTATGTGCCTGTGGCCCCCCCAATTCCTGGTGCTGGCCCCCACCCCTGCCTGGGACCACCCTTCACACTGCTGCTGGAGTAGTTCACATTTTGAAAACCTGAACCTGATTAGGTCCCTCCCCTGCTTAAAACCAGTCGCCTCTCTCAATTGCCTTCAAGACAGTTGAGAATCTGGCACCTCTGTCACTCCTAGCTCCCAAGGGCTCCGACAGTGCAGGACCACGCCCCCTACATGCCCAGTGCTCCCTGAGACCCGCTCAGCCCCTTTCTACCTTCCTCACCACTCGCCTGTCACTCCAGGGCAGGGTTTCTCAGCCTTAGCGTTATGGATATGCTGGGTCAAATTATTCTTTTCATTGTGGGCTTTGTCATGTGGCCTCCATGCACAGCTGTCGATCCCATCTCTTTAGTTGCGACAAGCAAAAATGTCCCCAAGCATTGCCAAATGTCACGTAGGAAGCAAAATCATCTGCAGTTCAGAATCACTGAGATAGACTTAGATGACAGCTCCTGTAAAGAGATTTCCTAGCTCCCCACCTGTGCACCTCCTTGTGTGCCCTCTACCTATGGTGCTGCACTGCACTGTGTCTACTCATCCGCCTCCTCCCAGGAGCAGCCCCAGCAGAGCTCATGGCATGTGATAGATTAATAATTTGTGTTGTTGGATGGGTGGATGGTTACATAGATGGGTAGATGGGTGGATGGGTGGACAGATGGACAATGGATGGGTGGATAAATAGGTTAGTGAGTGGATGGATGAATGGACATATGAGTGAATGAATGGGTGAATGGATAGAGAGCTGATTTCTATGAAGCATCCCCATTTATGGGTGACAATTCCAGGCTTCAAGTTTAAGAGGCATCTCCCCAGGCACAAAGTAGAAACCGTTGGTCAGTCAGGCAGAGAAGATGAAATGAGGGATGGAGAGGAAGGCCTCAAGCAACACTCCCCTGCAGTACAGAGTTGGACCATTTCATCCTCAAGCCAGGGAGTCACAGAACTCAGGATGGTGATCTTTCTCGAACCAGGGAAGAAAGCCAGGCACTTCTGCAGCTACTACAGTTGAGAAGATTCATACTTTAAAATAATGCCAATCAATTAAGCCATACTTCGCTTTAGCAAAATGATACTTGTATTTGAAATTGCTACCAGCTTCCCTTGAATTCTGTGCATAATGTACAGCCTGTAACCTTTACCCAGAGAACTAATCAACTCCCACTGCTGCCCTTCTTGACACCTGCCACTAAGGTCTTCCTCACAGGAGTGAACCCACTGTTGACTGGCAGTCAGATCCTCAGAGCTGCTTTGAGGGGACCAGAGCTGGGAGGGCAGCATCCCTGCCCAGCTTGGACAGTGACCTCAGGGTGAAGCTTCTTAGAATCTCCATGCTGCCAGGCATTAAGGAAATACAAGTTATCCCTTCTGGACATGGATCATTGGCACAGAATCCTTGAAATTGGTCATTGTGTCACCCAACAGCTTTCAGTTCCTGCAAGACCAAGCTTCAGAAGCAACTTCAAACCTTTGTCATCCATTCTTCATTCTTATAGCCAACAATGTTGTCTCACAATCTATAATTTTGCTCAGACTTCTAAATTTTGGCTTCCAGGGGCTCAGCCCTTGGTCTTCTCTCCTTTGTCCACTTGCTGCCTTGGGAATCTCTTCCAGTCTCTTGGCTTCAAATACCATCTATTTGGTGATGACATCTAAATTTGTAACTCCTGTCCTCATCTTGCCTGTAAATTCTAGCTTATACTTCCCAAGAACATCTCTGTTTTGATATTTAATAGGTGTCTCAAATTTACACATCCGAAGCCAGTCTGTCAGAGGTCCCCTAAAGCTACATCTCCCACAGTCTTTCCCATCTTGGCAAATGCACTCTGTTTAAAGTCCTTCTGCTCATGGCTTTCTATATGGACACCTGCACAGATAGAGAACAGAAAACTTGTATTCCAAATAAAGAAAGGAGAAGGTGTAACTGCATTGTTCCATGGACTCACAGTTTCTACTTGGAGAAGTAATAAGCACATGTGGAGATGCCCTCCCCTTGCTGTAATGCACAAGAGGTCTAAGGCTCCACTCTAGCCAGAGCTGCCGAAAGCACCTGAGTTCCTAAGAACAACAGCTACCAATTTGGGGCATGTCCTGTGTGTCGGGTGCTGTTCTAAGTGCTTTACACATATTGCCTCATGTGCCCAATCTACACAGACACTTGTGAGACAGGTATTATCATTGCACCCCTTTTACAGATGAGGAAACTGAGACACAGAAAGGATAAGCAATTTTCTTAGTAGCACTACTGAGCAGAGCCAGGACTCAGCCCCCGACAGTGGCTTGCAGAGCCCATGCTCTGATGCCCTCTACTTTGCTCTGGGACCTCACTGTGTCTCTGCAGGCATGCCAACTTTTGCACAGAACTGGGAAACCCTCTGAGCAGGAACCACATCCTGACTTCTCACGGGAGTCGGGATCCGAGCAAGCAGCGCTCAGTGAAACTGAGCAGGATTGCCCTGGCCCTGGTCTGTGGGCACCTGATGGTCCTCAGTCCAATAAGCTCGGAGAACACTGAGTTAAACAAAGGGAGCCAGGGGTCTTGACTGAAGGACTTCTGGGATCTTTAAAATGCTAAGTACACACAGGGATTGGGAGAGCAAGAATGGAGTACATAGCTCTTCACACAGCAATTTGAAGGCAGAGCCCTCTTTCTAGGATAGTTCATTAATCCATTTTGAGAAACCTCTAATTAAGGGGAAATGCCCTCCAGCCTGAGCCAACCCCTTAATGAATGAAAGCCGATGGCCTTTCATTCTCCTTTGCCCCGGGACTCTGAAGAAGCCAAAGCAAGTTTCTAAGGCAAAGCCAAGCCCCTGGCTGCCAGAACACATTGATCAATTTCTGTTTTCAACCCCTCTCCACCTCCCTCCCTCCATTAAGCAAAGTATGCTTTTTCATCCTATCGGGATCATTTTCACCCAACTGTGGGCACAGGTTCTAGAATGGACCAGAAACACCGTAGACCAGGATGGTCTTCATGATGCAGCCACTGTTGGTACTTTAATCTTTTTAATTTTAGAATTGATTACATTCATCTTACATTTCGCCTGATTTATTTTAAATCGAGGGCTTCATTTTATGCATTTTTCATCATCAAGGCATTTTCATCATCAAGAAATGGAGTGCATGTAATCAACACAAATAATAGGGCAAGAATCATTTGTGAATTTGTCAGAAGTCCTTTCCACCTCTGTTGTGCTAGGATGCAGACTCGAGGTGAGTTTATTTCCATTCCATCTTCTACCTCATAAGGAAATTTAATCCAGTAGATTAAATCCAGCAGATTAAGCCTTGTCACCTGGCAGAGACACTGACCTGTGGCAACCTCACCTCCACAAAACAGAGGAGCAGGCGTTGTGCCAGGAATCCTATGGTACCAGGACAGAGGGGATGCCTTCTTTGCCAAAATATTGACAGACTCACTGGATATCAGAAAAGCATGACCTGCAAAGCTAACCCAAGGGGCAGCCAAGAAGGAGAGTTCTTGAGGCAACTGTTTGGATGCAAATGTTTGGATGCAAATGTTTGGATGCAACTGTTTGGATGCAAATGTGTTTCTACTCCAAGCCATTTCTGTCTTAATGGTATCTCTTCACCAGCTGTTCCTCTGAGGTGAAGGTTTTCACATTTCAAAGCTTCCATTTCACACAAAGTCCCATGGGAGGGAATGTATGCCTTATTTTTTAACTGTATAAAGAATACAAGGGCCTGAGGATGTATTTCAAGGAGTCCATACTGTAGAGTTCTTTATAGGCTAATAACCCCACCAGGGGCCCAGTAAGAAATTATTGCTTTGCTCTTAAGAAAAAATAAATTGAAACCAAAACATCATGTTAAGCCATAAAATAAGGAAGTTCTTCAAGAAGCATGAGGTCATGCCAAAGGATACAGGAGGTTGCTGACAGGCCTCCTGCTGAGCACATCTGACAATACAGCAACAATATGAATTATACTAGTTAGGTACCATAACATATAGAATAAAATAAGCATCAAAAGTTCTTATTGTTATGAATGCACAAAGTAATAAACAAATGAGAAGAAAGTATTTTTTCTGATAGGAATATGAACAAATAAATGTGGAAAAAGTAAAGTTAGAACATCAATGAATAATAAAACTACTGGATTAAAGGTTGATGAGGAGCAAGATAGTTACATAGTCTCCAAACATCTCCCTGCTAGATCCCTACTAATTATAAAGATGAAATTGATAGCCTCTTTTTGGAGAACCCCAGGAGTCACCATCTTAACCCGGGGATGAAGGTTAACATCGCTAACGTAGGGGCAGCCATGGTCATGCGTCTTCTCATGTGTGCACTGGGAAGGACAAAGTGCCACCTCTGTGGCATTCCTGCCAAAAAATACATCATGTGAATTTAATCGTGAAGTTGAAAAATCATGTCAAGGGCATCCTACAAAGTAACTGGCTTTACTCTGTTTTTTTTTTTAAGACAAAATCCATGATCAAGAGGCCCACATAAAGACTGTGAAAGTGATTAGGTTTAAGACAGACCAAGAAGATGCATCAGTCAATGGACCATGTAATCCTGTATTGGATTTTAGAGAGGGGAAGAGAAAACTTTGGGGACAATTGATGAAATCTGAATATGGGCTGTGGATTACATAATGGCATTATATCAATATTAAATTGTTTGACTCTGAAAACTGTACTGTGGTTATATAATAGGATATCCTTCTTCTTGAGAAACACATGCTGAACTGTTTAAAGATAAAAGGGGCACAATGTCCCCAATTTACTCTCAAGTAAATAGATCAATAGGTACCAAATTTGGCAAATTGTAAATTGTCAGTAAATCTGCATATATATATATGAGCTCCTTCTACAACTCTTGCAACTTTTCTATACATTTTAAATTACAACAAAAAAACCTAAGCAATAAATTGGGAGCCAATCTCTATTGTCCTATAGATGTCAAAAGTAAATCCTATAGGTAGGTGAATCTGAAAAGCAAGCTATCTCTTTGTGAGCCATTGAGGCTACAGTGGTAAACCAACAAGGTTTCTGCCTCATGGAAAATGGTAAAGTTGGGCCTCCAGGTGTTCCCCCAGCTACTGCAGGTGCCCTTGGCACCCTTCTTTCTGAGCAGATGCTCTTAGCAGCAGCAGCTCCCAGCACCTGCTTCTCAGCAGCAGCAGCCTGGCACAGCACCTTGCTCTTGACCACTGCTCCCTCGGAAGGGCCCTCCCCTGAGGGCAGAGTCAAGAGACAGTAGTCAAAGTCTGACTCCTACTATTAGCAGATGGCACTGAGGGAGTTACCACCTACTAAAGTGGCTCCCAGCCTCCTCCACAGTTGCTCTTCCTCAGCACACCAGATTGTAGACCAAGACCGTTATTACATTATCTAGAGTCAGCTTTAGGGCAGCACAATGCTACCTTGTGTACTAGTTATCCACTGCTATGTAACAAAATACCCTGAGGCATGGTGAAATTCATGACCTCACAGTGCTATGGGTCAGAAGTCCAGGAGCATCTTAGCTGGTTGGCTCTGGCTCAGGGTCTATTGCCAAGTTTCATCCAAGGTTGCAGTCATCTGAGGTTTTGATCAGGGCTGCAAGATCTGCTTCTAAATGCTCTTGCATGGCTGTGGGCAGGAGGCCCCAGCTCCTCACCATGTGGGCCTCTCATAGGGCTGCTCACAACATAGCAGTTGGCTTTCCCTGTGGACAGTGGGCTGGGAGAGAGCTACCAAAATGCAAGCCACAGTGTCTTTTGTTGCCTTATCCCAGAGGTACCACATCACCAGTTCTGCCATCCCAATGCTGGTGCACTGTGGGAGGAAACCACTGAGGGATGTGACTATTAGAAGCCTGGGACCCATCCCAGGGGCTGTATGCCACCATCTTCCCTCTGGCCTCAATGAGTTCTGTCCATCAGACATGCAAAATAACTCAACCCTTCCCAAGACTCCTATAAAAGTGATCCCATCCCATCAGCTGAAATCCGTGGTCTGTTATAGTTCCTCACAACTCTTGAATTGAAAAGATCAGATCTTTCCCCCTCAACATAAAATGGGTACAGGAATAGGTGTAGAGTCCCCAGATACCCCCTCTTTCCTTCTGTGTCTGGACAGAAAACCACAGAATGTCTTGATCTCTGTGACTCAGACAGCTACAGGTTCTTCGAAGCAGGCTCAAATCAAACAAAGTTATATCTTGAACATTTTCAGGCACTGATAAGGGTATCTAGGTTGTTGCCCCAAACACTGAAAGAAACTGGCCTCATGCCCTGACCCCTCACTGTGGACTTGTGTAGGCAGAGCAGCCTTTTCTCACACTGTGTATCGCGAGGATTGCTGCAGCCCTCTGTTAATTAAGTTCCCCAAATAATGCTCTGGACTGAAGTTTAGTGCTTCTTTCTTTGTAATCCCAACTGGCCCCATCATGGGAGGGTTTGGGGCTCTCTGTTGTGGGACCTCCTCTGCTGCCACTTTTGGGGTGATGCCAGCTCTGGGCTCAGCAGAATAAAACAGTAAGAACCACCTTCAGCCCTCCTATTCAAAAAGAGGGAAACAAGAGGTGCACCAGCACCCCTGGCTGCAGCAGTTCTGGAATCCAGCTTAAAAAATGTTGGATGTTTAGGACTCAGTCCTACTCATGCCCATCTGTTCTTCTCTGTGCCTCCTCAACTGGTCCTTGGGATTCTTGTTTCCACTATCTGAATCCTTCTTTTTCCATGAAAGGTAGCACACATTTGCAGCTGAGTAATTTTCTCAACTGGCTTCCTGCTAGGAGGAATGGCCCATCTTATTATGCACTGTTTCGATCCTTTCATACACTGATGGTGATTTGTCAGATATAATTTTTTAAAAAATGTGTGAATCTCATTGAGTGTTATTCCATTAGACAAAAGTCACACCCACAAATCAGTCTGAAATAAGCCCTTCTCTACCTTAGGCTTCTGCTCAGAGACAATGCCTTAACCTTCTTAAAAGTCCTTTTGTTTGATTGAGAGGGTCTGTGAGTAAGTCATCTTGTTAGATATCTGAGAGTCTTTTGGCTGATTGAATAGTATTTTGAGGCACCACTCAAATAAAGCGTTTAAGAGTCATACTCTTAGCCTCATCTTTAGGCTATGCTTTCCTGAGAGTGTCTTGGATTTGATCTTTGCTTAGAAGATATGTCTTAAGTTTAGCATTATTTGCCATTGGGGAAGGTTGGGAATCTTTACCAGCAAAGCCTGGATTTTTTGTTGTTTTTCCTACAGCTTATATTTCTCCCCTTGAATATTATCATAAACAGCAAGGAAACAAAACAAATGGCACCGTCATCACTGGCTGGAAATTTCCATAACTAGGTCACCCAGTTCATTAGGTACCTTTCTGACTTTCCACATCACTGCAGGCTACTGTGTTGCTAAGCTTTCTGCTACTACACGAGGAGGTTTTAATTTTCCTCCCGAGGAAGGTGACGCCTTCGTGTCAGCTCTCTGCGAAGAGTGTCCCACAGCTGCCTCACTGAGTGCAGGGCAGCACCTGTGCATGTCCCTAATGCTGTCTGAAATCCCCACACCGTCCTCTTTCCCTTCCTCCCCTGCTATGCATTTGCTTGGTAGTTGCACTTGGCATTGGTCTACAGCCACCTTCCCTCCCTTCCTCTCTCCTCTCATTCCCTGCCTTCCCGCCTGTCTCTGCCCCTACAATGGCAGCTCCATGAGGTTCTGGCCACTTTTAACCAGGACTTAGGGCAGCACCTGACACAGAACAGAAAAGCAACACATAATTTTTAAGACATGAATGAATTAATTCTTCTAAGTTTACCTCAATTCTACCCTTCATTATGGTTGAAGAACAAATAAACATCTGGCATGCAACAAATGTTCCAAAACTGAAGTGAATTATCCGTGTCACAAACAACACAGATAATGTCAACAAGGCCTGGCCAGCTTCAGTTCACACCCAAGAGAGGTCCAGACCGCGGTGCCAACACTGAGACCAAGAAGTTGTGACACAAAAATCAAATCTTAAAAACACAAATTGGCCTGGCACTGTGGCTCATGCTTGTAATCTCAATACTTTGGGAGGTCAAGGTGGGTGGGTCATCTGAGGTCAGGAGTTTGAGAACAGCTTGGCCAACACGGTGAAACCCTGTCTCTATGAAAAATATAAATACAAACAAACAAAAAAACACGAATTGAGAGAAGTGTAAATTAAACGAGGTTTTACAGTGCAGCCTTTTGAGTCAGGTGGCCCCTGTTCAGGCCCAGGCTCTGCCCTGTGTAGCTCTGATTTCATTGCTCGGGGCTGCACAGTGGGGCAGGCATGAGGGAGAAAGGCAGCCACAGACCTAGCTACGGGTCTTTGGAGGACAAGATAGGTTGAAACAGGCTGAAAATGATTGCAACTCATTAAGGACAGTTTCCCAGGAAGTGATTATCTCTCCATCCACTCCTAAGATTCTAGATCAGCAGGCAGCTGTTGCTATTCCAGTCTGAAATGAGGGTGGAACACATGACTGCCCTGGGGACCTTCCTGGGTCCTGGCCCAGGGGAAATGTGAGGAAAACAAAACTGGCCTGATTTTCCCCACCAAGTTGATGTTTATGTTTTTCTTTTTTATATAGAAATTGATCCTCCCGGCCTTAAAGCTTGAAACACATTTGTCTTATCTGAGTTCCTGTCTCAGGAAATTGACCCTCAGGCCTTGCAGATTGTATCAGGAAACTAAAGCTCCTCTTCCTTACCCCTCCCAAATTTCTGTTTTCCTGCCTATAGCTATGTTCCTTCCCCATGATATAAACCTCCAATTTTAGCCAGATGGGGAGATGGATTTGAGACTGGTCTCCCGTCTCCTCAGCTACAGCACTCAGTTAAAGCCTTCTTCCCTGGCAGTACTCGTCTCAGTGACTGGCTTCCTGTGCGGTGAGCAATACGACCGAGACAAACCCCTGGCATTTTGGCAGCAGATTTTTGTTCCCTGACAGGTAGGACAGTGCTCATAGCTCGGCTGCTGGGAGATAGGAGAATCTTGGGAGCCCCCCTTAAACAGCTGCCTGCCCATTTTTGGCTGGAAGTGGGTTTCTCTCTCTCTCTCTCTCTGGCCCCATCCTGCCATCCTGCCAGCCCCAATTGTGTTACTGGTTGCCTAGGAAGAACTACCTTTGAAGTTTAACTGGGCAAGTGTCTTTAGTGGGTACTAGAGAGCAGGAATGGCTCCCTAAATTTGGGAAAATCTGAAGGAATTTCCGTTTGCAGGTTGAACAAGCCCAACGAACAGAGAGAGGAAGCACCCCAATTGTTTTACTGTGGACGCTCTTGGGGGTTGTCACTAATTGCGTGTGTGCGTGTGCACATGTGCGTGCAAGTGAGTGTCCTTTGTGGGTCCAGACAGTGGGATCTGCTCCTCTCAATTTAGGAAATTCTAGAGGAATTTCCATTTTCAGATTGAACAAACCCAACCTGTGGAGAAAGAAAGCACCCCCATTGTTCCCATTTGGACACCCTTGGGGCTTGTTTGTTGTTGCAGCAGTTGGACTGTATTTTGGCGATTGCGTGTGTGTGTGTTGATGGAGTTTTGGGTGGTTGGGTTCCATTCCAGAGTGCAGCCTGTGTGGGTTTCTTCTTCAAGGTTGGTCTGAGCAGAGTTCTGGTCTGATGGAGCAAGGGAAGGTCTGCAGCCACACCACCCTGAACGTGCCAGCTCTCTTCTGATTTCGAAAGGTCTGTGAGTTGTAGTGCTATCTCACAGTTGGATTCATTTTGCTAGTGAATGGGAAAGCAGGATGGAGTTCCTTGCATCCAGGTTTTATGCCGCTGTTCTAAGCAGGGTTGGGCCTGGTTACTACATGATGTCCTCCTGGGGTGCAGTTTGGCCGCAGTGTTCTTTAGAGTCTGGGAAGGTTTGGCCATCAAAAATCAAACTGTCACGGAAACTGCTTTATCCAAAATTTTGTTTCACAGTCTTCACTGGATTACCTACTGGAGCAAGCAAAGTTTACCCATGTGAACATGTAGGTAAACCACTGAGTTTGTACTGCTATCTTGTGGCTAGTGTTCTGTGGTAAAACTATTAGGTCTTTGTTTGTCTGTGTGTATATATATCCTGATGTTATGTGTTGTTTTCACAGGACACCAAACTGGCTTATAAATGAAACAGTGCTCATAGATTAAGTAAACAAATACAAACATTATTGAAGTTCACATAACTTAAGTAAATCTTTAATAAACAAGTGGGCTTTAAAATTATTGGTAAAATAAAAATAGAAATGTCTTCAGAATTGTCAATATACATTTGTGTGTGTGTGTGTTTTATATTTGTCTCTGCTACATATTTTGAGGTGTCAAGGTTTGGCACACAAGGTTATGAAACTACAAACCCATTCACAGCAAAATGATCTTTGTTTGTATGACTTTTTTTTGATAAATAAGACTAATTTAATGTTGTTGGTTTAATGAAAACAGCTGAATATCCTGAGTTCTTGGTGAAAATGCCCATATATTTAACTTTAAGGTCATTACTTAGGTGAATGCCAGATATTCACATGCTATTAAGATAGTTAACAAGGAGATTACTTGAAATGATGGCTAGCTTTATCTAACATCTCAGTTTTCAGAGGTAATCTAGATAAACTGTTAAAATTGAAAGAATTGAGTACATGCAAATAGGATAAATGCTTGTAGGTAAACTTTTTGTATAATTTTAAATCTTAAAATTATTTTTGATACTCATTAGATACCTTGGTAATTTCCAATTAAGAAAGGGTTATGATATGGGGAAACACTATTTTTAAAAATGTGGAATGTTTTCATCTATAAAATGCTAATATCTGATAGATAGTTCAGATTTCTTGCTTCCAATGTTTTCGCCAAAATTCAAGGTTACTAAGAATAGATATTATGGTTAATACATAATTCTGTACATAAAATATGCCAAAGAAGATGTATTCTTATTGAAGAAAATAATACTTTTGTCTAATTCAACAGTTATCTAAAGGTTAATTGAAATTAAAGACTTAGAAAGATTATTTACAAACCAGGTAGAAAGAAAAGAGTAAGTAGAGGAGAGAGATGTAAGGAAAGTTATGGATATAAAGATGCATTTCTTTGGTAGGGAAGAGAAAAAAGAAAGAATAATTTCGTATGAGGAAAGATCTCATATGGGAAATTTTTGTTTTGAACTAAAATGACTGGTTATTTTAAAAAGAAAATTTAGGACAAAACAGAAAGCCCAAGCATGTCATACATTGTCTGTGTAAGTCATGTGTAGTTATTTTCTATTTCTCTGTATGTGTATCTTGATGTACACACAGAGAAAATCAAGATTTCAAAAACTTTAGATAAAATATTCTTTAAAACCAGATAGAAAATTGGATAAATTTGGCCAATTGACATTGTCCATATGTGAAATTGTCCCACATGTGACATTGTCCCACATGTGCTCATTTTAGGCTCTGAGTAACACTAGCCTCCAATGTAAACTGAGTGGAAAAAAATTGTGAGTCATGTTCCTATTTATTTGTTTTTTTTCTTGCTGTTTGCTCTTCTTTGGGTTTTACTAAGTAAACTGATTTTTCAAACTTTGTAATGGAAGACTTTTATTTGGTTCTATGGATAGTCATTTTGTTTCTATGCATTTCCAACAATTCATCATTTGCTCTACTTATCTAAAAATCCTAAACTACCTTCATCAAGCCTCTAAAAGTTGATAGAGCACACAAGACACTTAAAATTTGATTGGTATGGTTACCTCTGATGATCTGGAGAGCTTTAAGAGCTTTAATATTTCTGGCCAAAAATAAAAGACTTACTTTTATAAGTTCTGAACAGAGATAGTACCTACTTTATCTTACTATTTGTAAAAGTAGGTGAGAGTAGAAACCTTTAAATGGTTTTTATTTTCAAGATAATTCAATTTGATCAGTGTTTGAACTGGTTTCAGATATTGTAATGAGGAAAAACTGTGATATGGTATAAGTTTCAAAGTTCTGGAAAGTTTGGCCTTGTCCTTAAGGAAATTATATTGACTGGGATTTCTCTCAAGCTACTTTAGTTGTTTTAATTGTTATTAAAATTAAGTGGCATTCACCTGGATTAGGTAGCAGTTTAAAAATGTGAGACGTTCTAATGATTTTTGATCCCAAGCCTTTTATCACTGTTGGGGATTCATGTCTGTGCTTAAAAACAAAATATGTATAAGTGTTGCACTGATTTGAAGATTTCTAGTGGTAAAAGTTACCTAATTGGCTGTCAGTACTGTATCTAGAAACCAATTTTGTAATTGTGTGATGATGCTCTTTTAAAATAGCTGAAAATAAATTATTTTGTGCTTGTTTCTACTGTGTCCTTGTTTTGTGTATACTATTTAAGTGAAGGAGATTATTTATCTTCATACTGAATTTCCAAAACTGGTATTTGCATATATCATTTTTTTAAATGATAGAAAGAAAAGTTAATTGTCTGATTTAGATAAGTTTGCCATAGGACCTACCACATTTTTTATGCTTTTGGTCATAGCCTGTCTCCAAAATGCTAGCATTTAGATACATGCAGGGAGTAACCTAGCCACTTTATAATTTTTAAAAAATTTTTGTGAGTACATATTAGGTGTATATATTTAGGGGCTACATGAGATATTTGTTACAGGCATGCAATGCATCATAATCACATCATGGAAAATAAGATATCTACCCTGTCAAGCATTTATCCTTTGTGTTACAAACCACTTAATTATCCTCTTTTAGTTATTTTTAAATGCATAGTTAAGTTACTTTGACTATAGTCACCCTGTTGTGCTATCAAATACTAGATATTATTCATTCTCTCAAACTAGTTTTTGTGCCCATTAACCATCCTCACCTTTCCTATACTGTCCATTACCCTTCCTAGCCTCTGGTAACTATGCATCTACTCTCTGTCTCCATGTGCTCAATTGTTTTGATTTTTACATCCCACACATAGTTAAGAACATGTGATGTTTGTCTTTCTGTGTCTGGCTTATTTCAATTAACATAATGACCTCCAGTAACATCCATATTTTTGCAAATGACAGGATCTCATCCTTTTTTTGTGGCTGAATAGTTCTGCATGATGCATATGTACCACATTTTCTTTATCTATTCATCTGTTGATGGATACTTAGATTGCTTCCAAACCTTGGCTTCTGTGAATAATGCTGCAACAAACAAGGGAGTGGAGATGTCTCTTCAATATACTGATTCTCTTCTTTTGGGTATATACCCAGCAGTGAGATTGCTGGGTCATATGTAACCTAGCCACTTAATTACAGTGGTTTGAGGTCCTGCAGGCAGTAACTACTCAACACCCCATCACAGTGTTTTAATTTGTGACAAGTTAGAGAGAATGAAAGAACTTTCTCCATTATATGTAAATGTAACCACAATTTTAAAATGTTCTTTATGTTTTTAAACAGTTTAATAAACACTGGCTTCTGTTCTTAGCATAAATATATATACTATATTTGATCATTTATATTGCAGAAATTTATTTTATAGCAAAGTAGTCTATCTGCATATTATGGATAAAATGCTTATAATTTTATTCTATGCTTTAAAAGTTTTTTGATGATCACTTTGGTTAAATAAGTAGCTACTACTTTACAATGACCTGTGATTCTGTTTTGATCCAATTTTTTAGTCTTTTAACATCCTTGATAAATGTCCTATTAACTAATCCTCCTGCTGTTAAGTTGCAGGGTTTTGACTCCTTGGTCTGAAAAAGGCATCCATTCCTGATAAATCTTGAATATTGACATCAGTCAAAGCCTCCTCTTCAGACCCTGGAGAAGGTGACAATCAAAATGAACTGCTTTTCTGAGACACAGAGCAAAAAATTAGATCTATTCAATCCCTTTAGGTCAAGGGACTACTGCATAAAAGGTGAGTGAGTAAGATTTTAAGGGCTGATTTTGAGAGATAAAATTAGTTCAGACCTTCTAAATCAAGGATGGGCACACAGATGCCTAAAAGCTGAAAAACTGGGGAACTTTGCTTCTCTAAATTCCTGAACTCAGATGGGTGTAACAAAATGCTTAAATTTGGGTTATCTATGCTATTAGCTCTTAGTCAATATGGCTTGAAATGTTGCTCTAAAATCATAATAAATTCACCCAGATCGTGGGGCTCCAACAAGCCAGATGCTAACCAGGTACTCATGAGCACTTCCAATTATAGATATGAGATTCTCATTACTCATTATCCCACCATGCCCCTCCTCTGCTTGAAGCAGCCAGAAAGATCAATGACAAGATTCCCCATGATTGAGGAATTGGTATATAGAAAGAGGGCACTGAAATGGCCCAATTTCCTGGTAGAACTGATGTTTATGTTTTTTCCTTTTAATAAACATAGAAATTGACCCTACTAGTCTTAAAGCTTGAAACCATTGTCTTATCTGAGTTTCTTTCTCAGAAAACCAACCTAAGGCTAATATCAAGAAATGGAAACACCTCTTCCCTACTCCTCCCTCATTCCTGTTTTCCTGTATATATAGCATATAGCTACATTCCTTCCCTGCTACATAGTCTCTCAATTGCAGTCAGATGAGGAGATGGATTTGAGACTGATATCCCATCTCCTCAACTGCAGCACCTGATTAAAGCCTTCTTCTCTGGCAATACTCAGTGATTTGCTTTCTATGCAGCAAGCAACAGGACTTCAAGTCCCTGGTATTTCAGTGACAAAAACACCATGATGTACACGATATTTAGAGGAGCCAAAAAATTCTGAGGTCTTTTCAGAACAAAAAACTAGCAACTAATAAATTTTTTTTCCTGAAGGGAGTTATCTTATTTCAAGATGTCATAAACAACATTAGAAAAGTAGGTCCACAAATATTTTATAGAAATAACCATAAATATTACATTTAACTAATTAGAAGTGATGAAACTACAAAATACAGATCTAAATACAGTAACCAAGAAGTTAAATTGTGTGGCCTACAGAATAATGTTATGCTGTACCAAAATATCTTTTACTTTATACCACCTGCCTTCATTTTTTTGTGGTAAATAATAATTTGCTGAAATATTTTCATCAAGGGTCACAAAATTTAAATGGATTTCATTTATATATATTTAAATTGACACAATAATTGCACATATTTATCATATTTATGGAGCATAGTGTGATATTTCAATACATATATATAATATGTAATGATCAAATCAGGGTAATTAGCATAGGAGTTTTCTAAATAAGCAAAGAATTGAACTACCATATGATCCAGCAATCTCACTCCTGGATATATATCCAAAGAAAAGGATATGCTTCTTTACGTACATTCACGTTGAACTCCCTTTCAAATTCTTTTGTGTGGCAAAGTCAAGAATCTGAACCAGCCCACTGACAACAGAACTATCCTTAAAATTCATTGAAGATAGAACCAATTTAACTTGCACATCTTTGCATGTCACCCCATAGATGTCTCTTGCATGTAGGAGGTGCTTAGCACATAGCTGCTGATGAAATTCTATTTCAATTCCCACAGTGTAGGAAAACCAAGAATTTTAGTGAGGCTGTAGTTTTGGGCTTGTTTTATGAGTAATATGCAATTTACTGGAGGGAAAAATTCTGTATTTTTTTGAACATAAACTGTGCTGCCTTCTGCCCTATGCAAATACGTATTTTCAGTTGTTCAAGTGGAAAACGAACTGATGTGGAAGCTGAGTGCAGAACTTGGCATCTTACATGTGCTTAATAAGTGTTGCTTTATTATGAGTTAATTTGGGGAAAAAATAGAAATCTGCTATTAAGAGGAGCATTGTAAACCCTGCTGGAAGTCTTCTGAAGCCCAGCAAAGATAGGCAACATCTTTGAATGTAGGGCATTCATCACCAAGAAAGGAAGAAAGGGTTGTCAGTTATTCAGAAACTTATGTTTTCCTGATCAGAAGCAAGCCACACAGTCACATACAGAAAGCCTCTTCAGTTGTGGTGTTGGCCTTTCTTTTCTATCGCTTATTTCTTTCCCAATCAAGTCCAATGGCATTAGCGTCTCTGGGCAGGAGATTAAAAAGGGTAGAGCAATACAAAAAGCATGCACAAAGGTTAATTCCTCAGGAGCACATGCTGTATATCTGCAAGGAGACTAGGTCGTTAAATTTCAAGAGACGCTGGTTCTCAAAACGTAGAGAATACCAGAGTTACCATGAGGGCTTGTCAAAGTGCACATGCACGTGTCACACACACACACACCACACCACACCACACCACACCAGGTTCAGCAGGTCTGGGATAGGGTCGAGGAATCTGTTTCTAAGTACCATGCAGGTGATTTTCATGCAGAGTATATTGGTGGAACACATTTTGAAGTAAACTTCATATGGTTATATTTATACCCTTAAAGCATGGTGAGAAAATCATGTATGAATTGTGAAAGGGGAGTCAGATTAGGTGGGGAGTGATTGCAATTAAAGTTTGAAAAGATAAGGTTGCTATAGAAAATCTGGCTGTCTGCAGTTCTTAACATTCTTTCTAAAGGTATATATTACAAAGCTTGTGAGGAGAGAAGTGTGCTCACATTTGTATTATGATAATAGTTTTACTTTCATTTACAAAAACCAAAACTGTCCCAGTTTGTGCAGTTATATATAGTTTCTCCATATGCACAGCAGTTACTCTGGCAGGTCCATACATCCAGGAAACACATATTACAATTTGTGTGCCATAGACCACCTAATTATAGGCCAACGATTTAGGAAGAAATGATTGACCTGTTTAGGACTGACTCAGAAAATTAAAACCCAAAGAGTAATTGCAGCCATCACAACAACTAGTTAGTAAATTGTTTCTCTGAACCCTAAATGTCCCAATCAAAGATACTCATTTATGCAGCTTCTGAAACATGCCTCTGGTGAAGCCAGTGGGCTTCATAGCTAAGTTTTTAAAGGCAATTTCTGGTTCTCATGTGTTACTCATATGTAAAATAGTGGAACAATTTCTAGAATTTATTGGCATTCAATTTATATGATAATTCTTATTAACTAACTGGAATCATTCATTAACTGAAACAATTTAAAGTACCTTTATGTTTTATCTAAAGAAACACCATTGTTGATATCTTCCTAAGCAAGACTTCGAATTAATGTCCAGGTTAATGTCACATGCTGACCCTTTCTTTACCCTGCAACAAAGGGGTAAAACCCCATTCACAAAGTTACAGATGAACTCAAGCAAGGAGAAATGCATATTCCTAATCATGATTCATTAATTTAGTGGCCCAATGTGAACTGAAATAAGGAATCTTGTAAGTATTTAAAAGCTTCTTTGAAGACTGCTTATTTCTCTATGAGAGGAAAAGAAGAACTGCCAAAGTAAAAGACACCACCGTTGAACAAATTAGATATTGATGTCCAAATGAAGGTAGCCTTGGATTAGAGTTGAATAAAAATAAAATACCATATTGTTCAGCCCTGATGCTGGTGACAGGGCCAGTTATTAATCAGATCCTACTGGGTTAGAAATTGAAAACACAAAACATCTGAACACAATGACTCTTTGTCTAGACAGACAATGGCATCAAAGGCAGCATCTCCTCTAGGCCTCCAGCTCAAACCCACCTGCACCTGAAAGTGCTGCCATTATATGGGCTTGACCCCCACTTAATTCCTTCATCTTTTTTCTCTTCAGACCCTCCCCCAATTCCAGCACTTGGTGATGTTGTCCTGGCAAGTCTCTCTATTAACTAGAATGATTTAATCTCAGTTATCAGGATTGCCACAATGGCTGCCTGAATTCTTTGCACAGAAGTGGAAGAAGGCATGAGGCTGACCAGTGATCCAGATGCTCATCCTGACTTGCCGCATGGTACTGGGAAAATTAGTTTCCATGCTGGGAATGCAGACGGCTTCCTTGCACTGAAAAGTATTTTCCAAGACATGTGAAATTATGACCCTGGTTACACTGTATATTAAAGCAAATAAAATGTTTAAATAATATGCCTGACTTCCACAAGCAACACCTGAGCATGAGAAATAACACCAGCCTCCAAGTGAGCATGGATGATGTGTGCATAGGACAGTTGGGGTTCTGTATCCATCATCTCGTCTACTCTTACTGGTGAAGCAGGCAGCATGGCTTTCCCTGTTTGGAGAAAGGTGGAACCTGGTGCTTGAGGGGTGACCAGCTGCTGAAGTCACATGGGGCAAACATCAGATGTCAGAGTCGAAGGCCTCACCTACCATTCACTCTTGCCTCCCTGAACAAAATTAAACTCACACAGTGATCATCTGACACTTAAATAACGGAAAGTTTTGAATACTGATTAATATTATTATCCCAAATAATATTGCCACCAGACATGGGACACAAAATGAATCTCCCTTTAAATATATATAATAATCTCACTTTAACCCCACATGCTGGGGTTTCACAGCAGTCCCTCTGTCACACAGAGATGAACACTTCTACAGAGAAAGATGGGGCAAATAAGAAAGTTGCAGAAGTCCCCAGTGGCAGATGTGAGGGGCTGCTTGCAAGTCCTTATAGCACAGGCTCCAGGATGTGCCCCTGGAGCAGAGGAGGGGGCAGGGAGGCCAAGAGCTAGCAAGTGCATCTTCTGGGCCAGGTGGTGGGCACTGAGCTGTGTTCTGAAGCCACGAGGTCTTTGGAGTTGTGTTAAGGAGGCTCCTGATTAAGTCATATTTGGAAATATGTTGTCTCTTCTAAGAATTCCTTTAGCAAAAATAATATCACAAATCAGTGGTAAAAGACAGAAACTGCAGTGTTTATTAACCCATCATCCAGCACACACAAATCACTTGAAGGAGGGGTGAGTGTGTTGGAGGCCTGGGAAGCACAAGGCAGTGCAGTCTTTCTTTGGGCAAGTGGACGCTCGCACGACCACAGGTGGACCAGGTGCTGTGGGGCCTGAGGCTCCAACAATATAGGGGCATTCTGTATGAAAAATAGCATGATATTACCAATATGAACTAAGCACAAAAATTAACATGTATTTAGGAAGAGAAAAGAAATCATAGAAAATTACACATTTTAAAATGCTACTAAAAAAAATACAAAATCCAGAAAAATGACAGTCACACCAAGGGAACCCAGGAAAACTCGCCAAATAAAGGAAAATATATAGGACTGGGGAAAGGAATTTTGAGGCTGTATTGATACACTCAGAAGGCCTCTGTGGAAAGGAGCCAGTGTCTGCTCTGGACTGCAAAATGCACCCAGCTCCTATGTCATCAGAACCCATAAAGTTCAGCCAGATGAGGAAGGTTCTGTCCGGAAACCCCTTCTCTAACATTCTGCACCTCTCTGTGAAGGTGAATCTACATCCTTCAGGCAGTGGGATGTTCTTACTGATAAGCAAAAATTCTGACTTCCCCCCGATTCTACAGAACAAGATCTTCCATTGAGATGAAATGCGGTAGTCAGCCAAGAAAGAGGCTGTTTAACATTTCAAAGCTGCAGTTTGAAAGAAACATCATTTCCTGCTCATGATGCCACTGGCTTTGTTACCATCAGTCCATCTGTCCATCCTGCAGGTGAAAGGGCAGATTTGCACTTTCTTGATCCATGTTATTTTGACTTACTCATGTAATATTTTCTTTTTTCTTTTTTTTTTTTTGAGATGGAGTCTCACTGTTGCCCAGGCTGGAGTGCAGTGGCATGATCTCGGCTCACTGCAACCTCCGCCTCCTGGGTTCAAGCAATTCCCCTGCCTCAGCCTCCCAAGTACCTGGGATTACAGGCATGTGCCACCATAAGTGGCTAATTGTATTTTTAGTAGAGAGGGGGTTTCATGTTGTTGGCCAGGATGGTCTCAATCTCCTGACCTCGTGATCCGCCCGCCTCAGCCTCCCAAAGTACTGGGATTACAGGCATGAGCCACCACACCCAGCCTTATTTATATAATATTTTATTAATTAATATGTGACACAACTCTAATAATTTCTTCCTATGTTTTCATCTTCAATTAATGAATCGTTATCTGCCTCATCATAAGACATTGAATTTATAGCAGAATTGTGTATAAATAGGGCAGAAGGATAAGCCAGTCTTTCTACTAAGATGTTTTATCATTTTGTAAAACTGATGGTGCATAACATCTTCCTTCTAATTTATAACTCAAACCTTTTCTGATTGTCGTCAAATTTGGAAAAGTCTCTTCCAGTTTACTTTCATAGTGATCTCTAAGATTTTAGCTCTTTCTAAATTTTGTTGATTGATGATCGTAGGGACTTTTTCTATTGACAGTGCTCACTATCACAGCATTTTTAATGTGTCACTGTTGTTCTGAGATTCACAATTGTGCAAATGTATCATTTTGTGCTATATTTATTAGGTCATTGAACATGCAGGAGGAGTTTCCCTTGAAACAAGTATTTCTTCAAGCTGTCTTGCTGCTGGTCAAGTTTACATCTGTGTTGCCTGCAGCTGGGAGAGGTCGTCAGGGTAAGAGGGGAGGGAGGTCAGCCCCGCGCCTCGTGTCTGTGCCATTCACATGCGTGTGTCCTTGCTGTGGGCAGTTTCACCACACAGGTCTGTGCTATACAAATGTTAAAAATCAAGATTTATTTCTCATCCAATTCCCATCAAAAATAAATCAACTGCATGGTGCACTAACTATTGTATATACCATATTGGTGAGTATATTTCCAACAGGAGAAAACTTCCATTTTTGACTAGGTGTCAAAAAGAACCAAATTATCCACTCATAATTTCCATATTTCTGCTGGGAATAATTTTCCACACAGTGGCTTCTGGCTCCACGCATTGCAAACCTTGTTTCCTCTGCACTGATCACAGGCTTCCCATATGCGGTGCTGGGAAATGTCGTGATCCAGGAACCACCTCTGCCCCTGCTACTTTGGGTCAAATCCTAGGCGGATGGTGGGGCCAGGGCTGGGGCCACTTTTACAACAGGGTCTCTAGAGACAACGTAACTATGCCCAGGAGTGGCTGAGAACCACAGGAGTGTGTTCCCCTCACCCCAGGTTAAATGTGTCCCAGCTCAGCTTCCTCTTAGCCAGATACCAAAATGCCTGTGTCCACCCACAGAGCATGCAGGAGGAGAGTGGGAAAGAGAAAGTCAGAGTAAACAAAGGCAATGCTCTTGAATAACTGCAGTTTAAATACTTCTTAAAATTGTAGAAAACATCCAGCCAAGAACACCTGTTGCTCGGCCCCACTCAGACCCTTTTCTGCGGTTGTGAGGAGCCCTGCGCTTAAATACCATTAGCTTCCTGGAAACTCCCCTCTGACAATAACATAGGCAGACTCCGGTATTCTTGCACAGTGCATGGGCAAATGGGACGTTAAGGAAGAGGCAAATCCACCAGCCACAAAAGTAGGAGACCTGGAGAAGAGGTGAGGGAAGGAGAAACTCATGCAGAAGAAATCTGCACGGGCATCAGTGCCTGGTGAGAGGCCTTCAGCCGCGTGTAAACAAGTTCCCAATTAAAATGTCTTAAATGCAAAGGGAATGCTCCACCCCTCATGTTAAGAAGCCCTTGGTTGAGACAGGCTCCAGAAGCAGAACTCCCAGCATCCATCTCCCATCACCCAGAATCCCTGGGATTCTCTCATCCTTACCTCTCCGTTCATGATGCTTCAGCCTTGATCTGGTAGCAAGACGTTTGAGAAAGCTCCAGATATTACATCATCAACACTGACATCCAGAGGCAGAAAGAGCTTTGGGAAGAGCTCATATCATATATAGATATGTATACACACATATATACATGTATATATGCATACACATCTAACAGAGAGAGAGAGAGAAAGAGAGAGCAAGGGGAAGACAAGAAAGCCAAACTATCATTTGCATTTTTCCTGGAAGAAAGCAAAGCATAAGGGATTATTAGCAATGGATATCTTTAGAGATAGTAGCCTGGGTAAGAAGATGGGTGCTTTTGGCTTTTCCTTTTTTTTTAATTTTGAATCTCTCTTTTCCATTGAATATTATAACAATGTGCTTGTGTTTTTTCTAAACATCTTAAATGTCAGCCATGGTGTTTGGGTGATGAGATTATAGGTTATTTTTCACTGGATTCTCTCTATGTCTTTATTTTAAATAACAAATGCTATGCCTGATTGTCCTATTGGTGTGGTTGATATGCCTGCATATGTTTAATAGCACACTAGCTGTGAATTAATCATGAGTTGACTTTTAGTATGTGTTTCTACTCGCTCTGTGAATTATAACTGCCATTTAGTATTCAATGCATTTCTCCTTGTTTTTCTCTGTGTGGCACTGAACATTTCTGGATTAGATCTTCTCTCAGCCACACTGTGAGCTCCTGGGGGAAGTAAGGGTGTCTTAGTTCACATTCCCTATTGTGCCATTACCATCAGAGAGCTCATCACTGCTGTGGACTCAATGACTGTAATTAGCAGGTGGGCTCTGGCTTGGCTTTAGAGTACTGGATTTCATCTTCTTTCAGTCTCCTATATTCTGCATCTGTTGAACGTAAGGGGGAGGTAGCCTGCTGCCCAGTTCACTTGAAAGTAATGGACATGTAAATATCAAGATGTTGGTCTGTATTTCATTCAGTGAAAACTCATGGCATTTCATTTACATCTCAGTACCTATACCTCAATATTAGAGTGATGTGCAGTCACTGAATCCATTACAAATCTGATGACAGTTGTAGAAATAAATGTGTGTGTGTGTATGTATGCACACTCCTACACAAACACATTCATAAGCTTCAGAGTACAATGGGGTTTCTGCAAGCTCTTGATAGACTCTTATATTGAAAAACTTTGTTCTGGAAACCTGACCAGCCATTTCCAACTCCCTTCCTCCTGCCTGAACCCAAGTGCAAAGACTGAAAGTATCAGGCAATAAACTTCCTAGCCTTCTTCACCCCTGGGGATATTTCAGATGTCATTGATTGGAACTGGCAACCAATGACATCTGAGATGTCAGCCAGGTCACTACTAAAAAAGGTCTATATTGAATAAAAAGGGTGAGATCCTGCCTCTCTCTCTCTTTCTTTCTCTCTCCCTTCCTCCTGCCACCACTAGGACTGCCTTTTGCTCCTAGCCCTTACCCTTGGACACTGTACTGCGGGACAGGATGCCTTGGGCTATGGTGTTCACCTTTCACTCATGAGCAATGTGCCCAAGAACAAGAGCCCAAGGAATGGTGTAGAAGATGGAAGGAAACCACCTGGGCCCCTGCTGAGGACACTGCACCAACTCTATGAATTGACCACCCCTACAGCTGTTGGTAAATGGATGTCGTCTTCATGGGAGGTGTAGCCATTGTTTCCCAGGACTCTTGCTACCTGTAGCTAGGATGTTTCTAGGAGTAATGGAGCCAACACACCCTAAATATCAGTCTCAGAGCCAGAGCAGCAAATGAAGCTTATTGTGCAATGGAATCAAAATTTAACTGAAAATTACATGACGTGGCATCTTGTCCCTAACTTGCTTCCTACTTATTTCCTCAAAGTTACAAGGGGTAATTTACCAAGCCTTCCTCATCAGATGAATCAACGAGCATTAGGTAAGTGAAAATATTTCACCAAGTCCGATACAAATGGACACTTTAGTATTCAATTCACTGAGGATAAAAGAGGACAAAATAGCCCTCACTTTTGGAACACAGGTAACTTTCCAGATGACATATTTTTTCCTTAAGCAAGTCTCAGCTCTGAGAAAATGGGGATCATCCCAAGATGGGTTATATTGAGTATCCTGGATGAGAGTTTCCCAAAGGTCCACAGACCTAATGCCCACTGTAGCTAAAAATGCAGAGTATCTTGTGTTGTGAGTCATGACTCCACTACTCTTAGTTAGAGTTTCCTGGAAACAGATGCTGAAATGGAGATTCATGGGCAAGGGTCTCATTGTAAAGAGTACAAGGGTGGCAGCGGCGAGGGGTGGGGCAGAGGGAGAAGTCAGGCTGGGGTGCGGCTCAGCAGAAGCCACGGCCAGCCCCACGGAGAGCTCTAAAGCTCTAAAGCTGGGATGGCCTCAGAATTGTTTCATATTGGTGCAAACAAGTCAGGCCTGGTACCCACTTTTAGGCCTTTTATTCAAAATAGGCAGTTTCGGGGGTGGGAAGGGCATGCTCTTAGGCAAAGCATCTTCCTTTGTCTCAGATCAAGCCCCATTGAAGGACTCAGCTGTGAGCAATCAGTGGACACACACCCCACCCCCCGACCTGGCTGAGAGAATGAGTCTTGCTGGTGAGGGGAAACCTGAGCAATGCAGCCTCCAGTGAGAGAGCAAGGGATGTAATCTCTCTGAGACTCAGTTAACTCATCTGTACAATGGGAATGATTATAACTACTACTGCATATGGTCATTTAATAAATAAATGAAAGTGTTTTTGAAAAGGGACTTTGAGCTCTGAATGATGTTACATATTTTTTGGTTGTTAAAATATATTCACAAGAGAGAGAATAAAATTGGTGACACCTGGCAACATTCTGCATGCCCCAAAGTGAGACACAAAGAGTCATTTAGCAAATGCTCGTTAACCAGCTCTTAGGTGCTTTGCCTGGTGCTAAATCCTAGAGTAAAATGACACACACCATGACCTTCAATAAATAAAACAGGTGTATAATTGATTTAGCTGTAAGTGTGGAAAAGAAAAAGACACGATTTTTCTTGTTTGTAGAAGATTTTCTCAAATGTCTAGAAAACTCAGAAGAATCAGCTTTAACATTATGAAAATCAATATAGGTGTTTGGCAACATGGCTGAATCCGTGGCAAAATTTAAATATCAATAGTTTTCCTAGATACTTTTAAAATCTAGTTAGAATTAATAAAGAAAAAAATCCCACTCTGCTGTTCCTAAAAAACAAAATGGGCAGCAATATTTTTTATGATAATGCACTTGGTACAATAACATTATTCGCTACAGGCAAAAGGTAGAAGCAACTCAAGTGTCCATCGATAGATAAATGGATAACCAAAATATGATAAATTCAGATAATGAAATACTATTCAGCTTTAAAAAGGAAAATAGTTCTGACACATACTACAACATGAGTGAATCTTGAGGACATTATGCTAAGTAAAATAAGTTACACAAGAAAAGGACAAATATTCTATGATTCCACTTATATGAATTATCTACAGTAGTCAAAACATATTTGAGAAAATAATTCAAGGAAATTTCCCTAATTTTCTAGAGAGGTAGACATCCAGGTACAAGAGCTTCAGAGAACATCAGTGAGGTACTATAAAAAATGGATATCACAAAGGCATATAATCACCAGAGATCAATGCTAAAGAAAAAATCTTAAAGGCGGCTAGAGAAAAAGTTCAAGATTACATACAAAGGGAACTCTAACAGCTAACAGCAGACTTCTCAGCAGAAATCTTATAAGCCAGGAGAGATTGGGGGCCTATTTTCAGCAATCTTAAAGAAAGGAAATTCCAATTAAGAATTTTATATTCCACCAAACTTAGCTTCATAAGTGAAGGAGAAATAAAATCTTTTTCTGACAAACAAGTGCTAAGGGAATTTGTTACTCCTAGATCAGCTTGACAAGACATCCTTGAGGGAGTTACATGGAAATAAAAGAAATGATCCCTGCTACCCCAAAAACTTAAGAACAAAGCTCTCAGATCCTATAAAGAAACCACGTAACAGAAACTACAAAGCAACCAACTAACCACTTCACAATAGGATAAAAACATCACATATCAGTATTAAACTTGAATGTAAATAGTGTAAACACCCATTTAAAAAGAATAAATTGGCAAGCTTGATTTAAAAATAAGACCTATCTGTCTGCTGACTTTAAGAGACCCATCACACATGTAACAGCACCCATAGGCTCAAAGTCAAGTCTTTGTTGAAAACTGGCACAAGACAAGGATGCCCTCTCTCACCACTCCTATTCAATATAGGAAACCCTGGCCAGGGCAATCAGGCAATAGAGACAAATAAAAGATGTCCAAATAGGAAGAGAGGAAGTCAAGCTATCTCTGTTTGCAGATGACATGATCCTATATCTAGAAAACCCCATAGTCTCAGCCCAAAAGCTCCTTCAGCTGATAAACAGCATCAACAAAGTCTCAGAATGCAAAATCGATGTGCAAAAATTACTAACATTCCTATACAGCAACAACAGTCAAGCTGAGAGCCAAATCGGCAATGCAGTCCCATTCCAATTGCCATAAATAAATAAACAAACAAATAAATAAAATACCTAGAAATACAGCTTACCAGAGGGGTGAAAGATCTGTACAAAGAGAACTATAAAAAACTGCTCAAAGAAATCAGAGATGACGGCCGGGCGCGGTGGCTCACGCCTGTAATCCCAGCACTTTGGGAGGCCGAGGCAGGCAGATCACGAGGTCAGGAGATCGAGACCATCCTGGTAATACAATGAAACCCTGCCTCTACTAAAAATATAAAAAAATTAGCTGGGTGTAGTGGCAGACACCTGTAGTCCCAGCTACTCTGGAGGCTGAGGCAGGAGAATGGCGTGAACCCGGGAGGCGGAGTTTGCAGTGAGCCTAGATTGGGCCACTGTACTCCAGCCTGGGTGGCAGAGCGAGAATCCATCTCAGAAAAAAAAAAAGGAAAGAAATCAGAGATGACACAAAGAAATGGGAAAACATTCTGTGCTCATAGACAAGAAGAATCAATATCATAAAAATGGCCATATTGCCCAAAACAATTTATAGATTATGCTATTCCTATTAAACTACCACTGACATTCTTCACAGAACTAGAAACAACTATTTTAAAATTCACATAGAACCAAAAAAGAGCCTGAATAGCCAAGGCAATCCTAAACAAAAATAACAAAGCTGAAGGCATCACACTACCCTACTTCAAACTATACTATAGGTCTACAGTAATCAAAATACCATGGTACTGGTACAAAAGCAGACACATAGACCAATGGAAAAGAATAGAGAACCCAGAAATAAGGCTGCATACCTCCAATGATCTGATTTTTTACAAATCTGACAAATAAAAGCAATAGGGACAGGATTCCCTGTTCAATACATGGTGCTGGGATAACTGGCTAGCCATATGCAGAAGATTGAAATTGGACCCCTTCCTTACACCATATACAAAAATTAACTCAAGATGGATTAAAGACTTAAATGTAAAACCCAAAACTATAAAAATCCTGGAAGACAACCTAAGCAATACCATTCAGAACATAGGAACAGGCAAAAATTTCATGACGAAGAATCCAAAAGCAATTGCAACAAAAGCAAAAATTGGGAAATGGGATCTAATTGAACTAAGGAGCTTCTGCACAACAAAGGAAACTATCAACAAAGCAAACAGACAACCTACAGAATGGGAGAAGATTTTTGCAAATTATGCACCTGACAAAGGACTAATAGCCAGCATCTATAAGAAACTTAAACAAATTTACAATAAAATACAAACAACCCCATTAAAAAGTGGGCAAAGGACATGAACAGACACTTTTCTAAAGAAGACATACATGTAGCCAACAATCACATGAAAAAAAGCTCAACACCACTGATCACTAGAGAAATGAAAATCAAACCACAATGGGATAATATCTCATACCAGCCAGAATGGCTATTAAAAAGTTGCAAAATAACAGATGTTGATGAGGTTGTGGAGAAAAAGGAATGCTTATACACTGTTGGTAGAAGTGTAAACTTAGTTCAACCATTGTGGAAGACAGTATGGTGATTTCTCAAATACCTAAAAACAGAAATATCATTTGACCCAGCAATCCCACTACTGGGTATATACCCCCCAAAATATAAATGATTCTATTATAAAGACATATGCACACATATGTTTATTGCAGCACCATTCACAATAGCAAAGACATGGAATCAGCCTAAATGTCCACCTGTGATAGACTTGGTAAAGAAAATTTGGTACATACACACCATGGAATATTATGTAGCCATAGCAAAGTATGAGATCATGTCCTTTGCAGGAACATGGATGGAGCTGGAGGCCTCTATCCTTAGCAAACTAACATAGGAACAGAAAAATAAATACCACATGTTATCATGTATAAGTGGGAGGTAAATGATGAGCTTAAGGACACCTGTAGGGGAACAACAGACACTGAGAAGACAACAGAAGGTAAAGGATGGGAGACACTTCTCAGAAGACACAGAGGAGGCTAACAAACATAAAAAATGCTCATCATCACTAATCATCAGAGAAATGTAAATCAAAACAGCAATGAGATACCATTTTACACCAATCAAAATGGCTACTAAAAAGTCAAAAGCAAATGCCTGTGAGGCTACAGAGAAAAGGGAATGTTCATACACTGTTGGTGGGAGTATAAACTAGTTCAGCCACTGTGGACAGCAGTTTGGAGACTTATCAAAGAACTTAAAACAGAACTGCCATTTGACCTATCAATCCGTTTACTGGATTTATATCCAAAGGAAAATAAATTATTCTACCAAAATGATACATGTACTCCTGTGTTCATGGCAGCACTACTTATAGTAGCAAAGACACGGAATCAACCTAGGTGCCCATCAATAGTGGATTGAACTAAGAAAACTTTGTACATGTACACCACAGGATACTGCACAGTCATAAAAAAGAATAAAATCATGTCATTTGCAGTAAAATGAATAAGGCTGGAGGCCATTATCCTAAGTGAATTAACAAAGGAACAGGAAATCAAATACTCTTACTTATAAGTAAGAATACTTATTCTTACTTATAAGTAGGAGCTAAGCCTTGGGTACATGCGTACATAAAGATGGGGAAGATAGACACTGGGGACTATTAGAGGGGAAAGAGAAGAAGGGGGAAGGAGCTGAAAAACAACCTGCTGTGAACTATGCTAACTCCCTGGGTGACAGGACCGCTCAAACCACAGTGTCACACAGTAACATCCAGGTAACAAAACAGCACATGCAACCCTTGAATCTAAACTAAATTTGAAATTACTTTTTAAAAGCCCTCAAATCTCAGTGACTTAAGGCAGCAACATAACACTCTATTATTGTGACTGCTATTTCCACAGATGCGTGGCATCTGTGCTGGGGGCTCTGGACCACATTGTGGTCACTCTGGGCCTCAGGATGATGAAGTCACCCTCATAACAACAGAGGGGCCAAGGCAATGAGCACAAGCACTCCCTAGCATAACTAGAAAGAACACCTGTCACTTATTCTTCTATTATATTGACTAAAGCAGGTGATGACTACAACAAACTCAAGGGGGTGGGAATCCTGTCTTGCACTCATAAGAAACAGAAATATTCACGGGACATCCCTAACGCCCACCACAAATGCCCACCTACCACAAATGCCCACCTAACAGCTACCAGGCAGGCACAAGCAGAGCTCAGACCCCACTTTGTCCCTGCTCACCTTATCCCCTTCCCTGGACACCCTGGACATAGGGATCCTGAAACCACCTAACAGGAGTATAATGAAATGCAGGATCTTAAGAATTCCTTAAAGTACACAGAAAAACATTTTACCCATCTTGGGCAGTCAGGTATCACCTGGACAGAGTACCTGGGTGATCATTCACATGTTTCATTCATTCAGCTACCAAATTCACTAAGATGCCAAAAGGATGAAGTTGCCCTGAACCCATTTGGAACTGCCTGGGTGCCAACACGTGGCTACTGGTTGCCTCTCTTATCTGATTCCTTGTTCAGTGGAAGAGAATGAGCTTCGTAGCACCTGTGATTCATTTTCATTTCTACCTTATTTTACTTCTGGGCCTCCAGGCTAATGATTATATTTTCCTTCTGTCTCATTTCCTTTTTACACATTTTAAATTTGGGGGTAATTTTCCAAATTACACAAAGCAATTTCCTTTTTGTTTCTGCAACTTTTATAAAATATTTTTCTTTTAATTATTCAAGAGAATTTCTCTGTAAATTAATGTTTCTGAATAAAGATTTGTGAAAGTTTTTCAGACTTTTCATAAAATGAGCCTAATTTCATCACTCCTACTGTCTTTGTTGAGTATACATTTTATGCTAGAAATAAAATTGGGTGCTGGAGAAAAGAAAGCAAAAGAGCCAAGTCCTCCAGCCTTGATGGATGTTCAATATAGAATTTTGGGTGGTAGACAGACAAGTAGAAATCAAAGGAGAGAATATGGCACTGGAGAGCACAGAGAAGGGCACCAAACCCACATAGAGGGCTGGAGGAGGACAAGATGCTCACATCCCTTGGTTGGTCCTCACTATCTCAGCACTTACCAGCCCACATTCCAATTGCCAGCATCTGCACTGATTTTCCTGTGCATGTGGCACAAGTAAGTGCAAGAGAACTAATGGCCCTGCACATTCTTCACCCACAGAATGACACCAGCAGATATGTTCCAGGCAATCTCCCAGGGGTTCCCAGTGGAAATGAGTCCCACATGCCCGTAGCGGTAGCCTGGCAACTCGCACTTGCTGTATTGACCACTTCTCTTCCTTGTCTCATTTCCTCACTGCTTCAGTAGACTTTCCTGGGACTACCCACCAAATAAAACACTTGCAATTGCATATTTGTTTCTGCTTCTGGGTAGGTCAATCTAGACAGTCACCTTTATGGAAAATATAATACCTGGGCAATCACGAAAGATGAAGAGGAATCAATGAAATGACACAGGGGAAGGGAATTCCAAAAAGGAGGAGAGTCTGGGCCAAGACACATGGCTGTGATTTGGTGTGAGTTCCACATGAAGGGGCAATGACCTAGGAGTTAAAAGGGCCCCATCCACTGATCTCAAAAACATCTTAACTGTGTCCTACCATAAAGTCTCTCAAATGTCAAAGATTTTGAGTGCAGCAGACTGCTGGAACATCTAACCTCATGGCGAGAGCATGAAACCAGATTATATGGGTTAAAATCCTGGTTATCCATTTACACACTGTGTAAATTTCAAATATGTCCTTAACCTCTCTGTGACTCAGCTTACTTATCAGTAAAATGGAGACACTAATTGTAACTACTAAGTAGTTATTGTGAAATGATGATTATTGTTATATATAACTGTATAATTATATACATTATTATATATTTTATATTATTGTGAGAATAATATCATTATCATTAGCTTGTTTTTGTTTGTAATTATCTCAGTGATCTCTGAGAGGCAAATCACATGGAGAAGGAGACTTAGTTGCTATCCTCCAAGACCTCATGGCCTGGTGAGGGACAGAAATACATACACAAGAAGAAAGACTCTAAGAGGAGGATGGTAAAAGCCTCTAGTGAACATAAAAGTTCTATAGGAGATCAAACTCAAAAGGTTCACACCTGGCTACATTGACCAGAGAAGAATCCATAGATAACGTTTATGTGGACATGAACTTGAGGAACAGGTAGAATTTGGGCAGGCAAAGATCTAGGGAGGAGTGGGCAGGTACAGGTGACTTTGTATAAAGAATAGGTGTCCTTTCATAAAGACAAATTTATGTGAGCCTGGACAGGTATACATGTGCAGAATATCAAGAAGTCCAGTTTCTTTTGAAGCCAAGCCACATTATGTGCAAAAGCAAGAGGGCGGCCACAGAGGGCAAGATGCCTGTGTTTCATGTGGCAGGGGATGCAGCTTTCTGAACATTTTAGAACCAAGGAAACAGAATCTGAGGGTGGAGCCCAGTGGACCAGTGAAGATGTCACTGTGGATGTCTAGATCAGACCTATGTCCAGCAATGTGGGAGCTGAGAAATGAAGTGAGTCTTCTCTTTTATTGATTGCAGATAATTCTGAGAATAGAAAGCAGGTTCACACACTCTTACATCATGTTACAAACCCAATTACCACCTTATATTTTTCTATAAATGTATACACTCAGGGTAACGATGTAACCACATGAGGTTTATAAACAGTGTGGCACAATGTCTAACGCAGACTAACTGCTGAGAGGCACCTGGTAATTGTGGTGAAGATGATGTGATGATTGTGACGACGATACAGTGGATACAGTGGAAATACAGTGATGATGATGGAGATACAGTGGATACAGTGGAGATGGAGATGGTGATGGTGATGGTGATAGTGGTGAAGATGATAATAATGATAGTATGCTGGTGAAGGTGATCATGATAATGTGGTGGTGATGATGGTGGTAATGGTGGTGATGGTAACGGTGATGATAGTGCTAATGATAATGGTGATGGTGGTGGCAATAGTAATGGTAATGACTATATAAGGCCATTCTTGTGTTGCCATAAATACCTGAGGCTGTGTCATTTATACAGAAAAAGGGTTTAATTGGCTCAAAATTGTATAGGCTATACCAGTATGTCTCCAGCATCTATTTCTGGTGAGGGCCTAAGGAAATTTACAGTCATGTGTGATGGAAGGTGAAATGGGAGCAGGCATGTCATATAATAACAGAGAGAGCAAGACAGAGAGAGAAGGAAGTGCCACACTCTTTTAAACACCCAGATCACTCAGGAACTCAAAACGAGAATGCACTCATTACCATGGGGTGGTGCTAAGCCATTCGTGAGGGATCTGCCTCCATGATCCAATCACCTTCCACTAGGTCCCACTACCAACATTGGGAATTATATTTCAACATGGTATTTGGAGGGGATAAACATCCAAACTATATCAGTGATGGTGGTGATGGTGATGATGGTCATGGTGAGAACGCTTGTGATAATGGTGACGGTGAGAATAATGATGGTGCTGGTGGTGTTGGTGATGGTAGTGGTGACTGGCAATAATAATGGTAATCATGGGGGTGATGGTAGTGATGATAGTGGTGATGGTGGTGAGGATGGTTGTGATGCTGATGGTGTTGATGGTACTGATGGTGATGGTGTTTATGTTATTTGTGGTGATGATGATGGTGTTTGTGATTGCGATGGTGGTAATTGTGATGATAGTAGTGGAGGTGATGCTGATGGCGGCAGTGTTGATAATGGAGATGCTGGTGGTGGTAGTGATGATGATGATGGTGATGGTGATGATGTTAGCATTGGTAGAATGATGGTGATAATGATCAGAATGGTTATGGTAGTGGTGGTGGTGCTGACAAAAATGATAATGGTGAAAGTGATGGCAGTGATGGTAATAATATGATGTTAATGAGAAAATATCAAGCTCTTTGGAGCAGAGTGTAAGCACCAGGTCTGAGCAGGTGGAAGTCAGGGGGGATTCCTCTGTTTGCAGATTCATCAGATCAAGACTCAGGTGAATCTTCTCTTCAGACACCTTACATTGGATGGGAAAGTGTGTCTGTTACAAATGGACCACATACTCTTTTTTAAAAGTTATGTTTTATTGTTATATGTTTAGCATGTACAAGTGAAGGTTTCTTACATGCATACATTGTGTGGTGGTAAAGTCGGGCTTTTAATGAACCAAGCACCCACATGATGAACATTGTACCTAATGGGCTATTTTTCAACCCTCAACCCCTGCCAACCTCCCACCTTTTGTAATCTCCAATGTCCATTATTCCATTATGTATGTCCATATGTACTCATGGTTTAGCCCCTATCTATAAATGAAAACATGCAGTATTTGACTTTATTTTTCTGAGTTACTTTAGATTATGGCCTTTGATTTCCACCATATTGCTATAAAATACATGATTTTATTTTATTTTATTTTATTATTATTATACTTTAAGTTTTAGGGTACATGTGCACAACGTGCAGGTTTTGTTACTTAGGTATACATGTGCCATGTTGGTGTGCTGCACCCATTAACTCGTCATTTAGGATTAGGTATATCTTTTTAATGGCTGAGTGTTGTTTCATTATAGATGGATAGAGAGAGAGATAATATACATATGTATGTATGTATATCTCACACTTTCTTTATCCTATTCTTTATTAATGGACACTTAGGTTGATTCCATATCTTTGCTACTATTAATAGTGTTGTGATAAAAATACAAGTGCAGGTGCCTTTTTTATATAATAATTTCTTTTCCTTTGGGTAGATACCCAGAAGTGAGATTCCTGAATAAAAGGGTAGTTCTATTTTCAATTCTTTAAGAAGTCTCCATACTGTTCTTCATAGGAGTCGTACTAATTTATATTTCCATCAGCAGTGCATAAGTGTTATCTTTACATCCTTGCCAATATCTGTTGTTTTTAGACTTTTTAATAGTAGCCATTCTGACTAGTGTAAGATGGTATCCCATTGTGGTTTTAATTTGCATTGCTCTGATGATTACTGATGTTGAGTATTTTTTCATATTTTGTTGGCTGTTTGTATGTTTGTATGGCTTTTTTTTTTATTTTGAGACAGAGTCCTTGTAGATGCTGGATATTAGCCCATTGTCAGATGCATAGTTTGCAAATATTTTTTCCCCAATCTTAGGTTGTCCATTTACTCTATTGATTTTGCTGTAGTAATAGTTGTTATTGTTGTTTGTTTCTTTTTTTTCTTTCTTTCTTTTTTTTTTTTGAGACAGGGTCTTTCTTAGTTTTCCAGGCTATAGTGCAGTGATGTGATCATAGCTAACTGCAGCCTCTAACTTCTGGACTCAAGTGAGCCTCCTGCTTCAGCCTCCAGAGTAGCTAGGACTACAGGTGCTAGCCACCAGGCCTGGCTAATTTCTCATTTTTTTTTAGAGATGAGGTCTCACTATATTATCCAGGCTGGTTTCGAACTTATGGCCTCAAGAAATACTTCAAACTCAGCCTCACAAACTGATGGTATTATAGGTGGAGTCCACTATGTCAGGACCATTGATTATTTCTTTTGCTGTGCAGAAGCTCTTTAGTTTTATTAAGTTTCATTTGCCTATTTTTGTTTTTGTTATGTCCTTTTGAGGACTTGCTCATAAATTCTTTTCCTAGTCCAATGTCCAAAAGATGTTCCTAAGTTTTCTTGTAGGATTTTTTAATAGTTTTGTCTCTTATGTTGATGTCTTTAACCCATGTTAAGCTAATTTTTGTATATGGTGAGAGGCTTGGGTCTAGTTTCATTCTTCTGCATATGGCTGTCCAATTTTCCCAGTGCCATTTATTGAAGAGGGTGTCATTTCCCCAGTGTACATTTTTACTGACTTTGTCTAAGATAAGTTGGTTGTAGGTATGTGGCTTCATTTCTACATTCTCTACTCTGTTTCACTGATTCATATGTCTATTTTTATACCAGTACCATGCTGTTTTGATTACTGTAGCATTGTAGTATAATTTGAAATGAGGTGATGTGGTATCTCCAGCTTTGCTCTTTTGCTTAGACTTGCTCTGGCTATTCGAGTTCTTTTTTGGTTCCATGTAAATTTTAGAATTGTTTTCTTCTAATTTTGTGGAAAATAATACTGCTGATTTGATAGGAATTGCATTGAATCTGTAGATTGCTCTGGGCACTGAGGTCATTCTAACTATAATGATTATTCCAATCAATTAGCATATAATGGTTTTCAATTTCTTTGTGCTATCTATGATTTCTTTCCTCAGTATTTTGTAGTTCTCATTTGTAGTTCTGCTTAAATATATTCCTAGGTATTTCATTAGTTTTTGATAGCGACTATAAATGGGATTGCTTCTTGACTTGGTTCTCAGCTACATTGCTATTGGTGTGTAGAAACTCCAATGATTTCTGTACATTAATTTTGTATCTTGAAACTTTTTACCAAATTTAACAAATCTAAGAGATTTTTGGTGAAGTATTTAGGGTTTTCTAGATATAAGAACATATCATCAGTGAACAAGGGTAATTTCACTTCCTCTTTTCCCATTAGGATGCCTTTCTTGACTTGTTCCAGTTGGTAGAGTGAATGAATTCAACTTTCCCCCATTAAATATGATGTTGACTATGAGTTTGTCATTTATGGCCTTTATTATGTTGAGGGATGTTCTTTCTATGTCTAGTTTGTTAACAGTTTTTTTGTCATGAGTGATGCTGAACTTTTATCAAATGCTTTTTCTGCCTCTATGATATGATCATGATTTCGTTGTTAATTTTGTTTATGGGATCATGTATTTTGTTAATCAGAGGAATAAAAGCAGATTTTTTCCCCTGGAATTCATGCCTCTGACCCCTAGATATTACCATGAACAAGAAGGAGATGGGTAGCTTCAGAAAAGAGGGAGGGAAGGAAGAGAAAGAATGCCAAAAAAGGGGTGAGAGGAGAAAGAGTGGAAGAGAGGACAGAAACCAGGCTTGGCTATAGTGTCACAGGATATTTACAGTGTCACTTTGCCAACTGGAAACTTCTGTGCCTCGTGACACCTCTACTCAGGTTTTGCTTGCACCCACTGGGCTCATTCCACCCACTTGGTCTGTCAGGCTGTGCTCAGCTCACACTGTGGCCCAGATTCCACACCTGCCAAGGGTGAGCCAGGTGCAGAGTGGTCAGGGGTGTGTAAGCAAATGAGCATTGGGTCAGGCCACTGTGCAGAGCCAGACATGTTGACTGCAGTGGGGCAGGCAGCTCCAGTTGCTGGCATAGGCACTGGCTCTGTGTGGGGCTTTGGCTGGACCAGACGTACTGCAAGTGGCTTCCACTGCAGGCACCAGCATCTGGACAAGGGGAATGTGGTGGCACCTGAAAGCTTGGAGATGCCAGGAACCACAGAGCCCCAAACAGGGTGTTAAAGCATATCACAGCCCTGGCTCCCAGAATGGCCACAGCTTTTCTCTCCTCATCACCACAGTGTGGTGAGTTGGGGGGTGTTTCAGCCCTTACAGCTCTTGCAGTCTCGCCATTTGGCAGGTCCTGAGTTCCTGTCCCACGTCCAGGAGGAATGGGGTATGCGTACAAGTGGAGGGTGAGCAAGGTGGAGAGGCGCTTCATTGAGTGACAGAACAGCTCTCAGGAGACCCAAGATGGGTAGTTCCTTTCTGCAAGCAGGTCAGCCCCAGGAGTGTCCAGCTCTCAGTGGAAAGGAGAACCATGGTGTATAGCTCCTTTCCACAAACAGGTTGTCCCAAGGAGTTGAGGAGACCTGAAGTGGGTAGCTCCTTCCCACAGCTGGTAGTCCTGATGTCTGGCTGAGTCTGGCTGAGTCTGGGGTTTTTATAGGCTCCGAATGAAGGAAGTGTGTGCTGATTGGTCCATGGGCAGGTGCAAAAAAAGTACCATAAGTTTTCACTCTGGACCACGGCTTCCACCCAGAACTGACACCCTGGTTCCAAGGCTTCAGGCTGTCCCTGGCTTGAAGGTGGGAATTCACCAGGTATCCACCCCTTTCTGTCCAGGAACCTGTCTGCCTCCCACCATCAACATGCCGTCCATGGTGCCCAGGCTGTTCATATTGAACAGTGCCTGCAAGCCCATGCTGAGCTGCACTCAGCCCCCACCAGCAGCCCTCCCATGCTAGTCAGCTCCCACAGTCCAGAGGGGGCTGAAGTGGCAGAGGGCTGGCCACTCCAGCACTGACAGCACTGCCCCAAGTGCACAAACACCCAGCTGGGTCATGACCGCTCCCAGGCTCAGCTACAACTTTGCTCTGCTGCAGAGCAGGTGCCAGGAGCAGGGACAGGCCAGGTAGCAGGAGCAGGCACTTCTGAACCTGTCAGGGCTGGGGACTTTCTGGGCCCTGAGAGCACAGGGATGCCCAGGTCTGGAGCTGCAGCTGGGTGACCACAGCTATGCCTGGGAGCATGGGGCTCCCACCTGTTCCTGGCCCCCACCAGCTCTGGGGAGCATGCAGCCCCAGCCACACCTCTCCTGCTGCAGCTGGCATCCTCACAGTAGCTGCTCTAGATGGGCCACTGTCACCATCAATAGGGGTATCCACACTTTCATTGTCACCTGCCTTGTGAAGGTCTAGCAGGGGCAGTGGGGAGAGCTGCAGAAATAGGAGGTTGTACCATCCACTGTCAATTGCTCTAATCAATAAAACCCTGCATGCCCAGGCAGCCTAGAGTAGCAAGGATAGAGCCAAGCAGAGGGAACTCTGCAGAACCCAGAACAGCACTAGGGAAGTATTTAGTTTGCAAAGCTTGTTCCTCCAAGGCAGACCCTATGTCAACCCCAGGACTACCTTCAGAGCCTGCTCTCTAGCATGAGGTTGGAGTAGCTGGTGCCCGAGAGGCTGGTCATCCGTGGGTGAATGCTTCCCTCTGGTGGTAACTATGGTGAAGTGGAGGATGCACGCTCCACCTTGCAGAGGTTCTCTGCAAACTCATGAACTGAGCAGAATTTACAGGGCAGGTGGCTGTGGGAGCAGGAATTGCCCTTTAGCTTTGTGGTTTATCTGCCACCTTGGAGGATTTTCTTCTTGTCTTTATCTTTGCATTTGATATTTCAGCATATCATTCTCTCCTTTATTATGTGGGAGGGGGTTGCCCACTCTGCAAGCCTCTTCCCTCCTTAGTTCCCCTGACACCCTCCATCTCTCAGGGCCCAGTGGCTCACCCTTCCCTGCCAACTCTGGCACAGCCCAAGGGTTCTTCTCAGACACCTTCCATGCCACAAGTTGCAGACTGTAGGTTCCTGTAGTCCGTGGTATTTGAGACTAATAATTGCAAATATTTTGATTTTCCAAATATGATTGGCAAAGGAAAAGTTCTACGATCACTATTCCATAATAGAAAGTCATTTTGGTGCCACCCAAAATGAGGCATTGTGAAAATGAAGGATGCCCTGCCCTGCACTCTAGTGAAACCTGACCCCTAGGCTGGATATGAAACTAGCCCAATTGTCCCATAAAACTTGTATTTATGGTTTCTTTTGAATGAACATAGAAATTGGCCCTCTGCCTCTTAAAACTTGAGAAACTTACATTTGTCTTATCTGAGTTCCTTAAGAAACGCACCTTCAGCATCAAGGAACGGAAACTCACCAGATCACCATTCCAGACAATGAGATGCCAGATTCCTCAACCATCATGACTTCTGCTCACCAATTCCTCTTCCTTGACCCTCCCCAATTCCTGTTTTCCTGCAAGTAGTTACATTTCTTCTCTACTATATAAACCCCTTATTTTAGTGGGTAAGAACAATGATTTGAGACTGGCCTCCCATCTCCTCTGCTGTGGCACCCAATGAAAGCCCTCTCCCTGGCAATGCTGGTTGTCTCCATGTTTGACTTTCTGTGCAAGGAGTAACGGAACTTAGATGGAACCCCCTGCATTTTGGTACCAGATTTTGGTTTCCTCACCAGGAAAGTGTTGCTCATGGCTCGGCTATGTGGGGAAGGAGACTTTTGGAAGATTCCCTAAGCTGCTGCCCATCTACTTTTGGCTGGAGGTGGGTTTCAGTCTCCATATGGCCCCACCGCTCCTCGCCCCAATCGGGTTTCTGACTGCCTAGGAAGAACAGCCTTTGAAATCTGACATCTGTGTCCAGATGGGTGAGTGTCTTTTTGGGCCCAGAGAGTGGGATCTGATCCCTCAATTTGGGAAATTCTAAGGGAATTTCCATTTGCAGGTTGGATAAGCGCAACCAACGTAAAGAGGAAAACCGTCTGGCTGTTTCTGTTTAAACATTCTTGAGGCTTGTTTGTTACTGCAACAATTGAATTGTGTTTCGGTGATTGTTCGTATGTGTGTGTTCATATAATCATGGGAAACCAAATTTGATAAACTGATAATCTTTTGTAATACTGTTGGGAATCTGGAGTTTGCTGTTGAATGGGAATGTGGGATGGAGTTGTGTGTAATCAGGCTTTATGTTGCTGTTTTTTGGGCCTGCTTAGTATATGATGTTCTTCCGGGGTGTTGCTTGGCCCAGTATTCTTTACAGTCCGGAGAAGTTTGGTCTTTAAAAAATCAAACTGCCGTGGAAATGAGTTTACCCTAAATTTTGATTCTGAGCCTTCGTTGGATTACCTATGGGGTAAAAAAGCTTTAGACATGTGAACAGAACAGTGTTATAAACCAGTGAGTTTGTATTACTACTTCATGGCTAGATTACTGAGGTAAAACCTATTGGATCTTGTGTGTGTTTTTGTGTGTACATGATTAGATGTGTTTGTGTCTATGTACCTTTTTAATGTTATATATTATATCTGCTAAATTTGCTTATGAATAAAAGAGCACTCATAAATTAATTAAATAAGACTATATAATTTTTAAGTTCATATAACTTAGGTAGATCTTTAATAAACAACCTGGCTTTAAAATTATTTGTAAAATTAAAACAGATACGTTTTCAGAATGGTCAACATACATTTTTGTCTGGGTTTTGCATTTGTCTCTACTAGATATTTTGAGGTGTCAGGGTTTGGCACACAAAGTTATAAAACTATGAACCCAGCAAAAACAAAATGATCCTTGTTCATGTGATTTTTTTGATGAAGAAGACTAATTTAGTGTTGGTTTAATAAAGACAGCTGGATCTTCTGAGTTATTGGTGAAAATATCCATATGTTAAACTTTAAGGTTCTTAGGTGGATACCAGATATTCACAAACTATATAAAAAGTGGTCGGGTTGGGCACTGTGGCTCACACCTGTAATCCCAGCACTTTGGGAGGCTGAGGTAGGTGGATCACAAGGTAAAGAGTTCGAGACCAGCCTGGCCAGCATGGTGAAACCCCGTCTCTACTAAAAATACAAAAATTAGCCAGGTGTGGTGGTGGGCACCTGTAGTCCCAGCTACTCGGGAGGCTGAGGCAGGAGAATAGCTTGAACCCAGGAGGCAGAGGTTGCAGTGAGCCGAGATCGCGCCACTGCACTCCAGGCTGGGCAACAGAGTGAGACTCTGTCTCAAGAACAAAAAAAAAAGTGGTTGACGGCCGGACACGGTGGCTCACGCCTGTAATCCCAGCACTTTGGGAGGCCAATGTGGGCAGTTCACAAGCTCAGGAAATCCAGATCATCCTGGCTAACACGGTGAAACTCCATATCTACTAAAAATACAAAAAATTAGCCAGGCGTGGTGGCACGCACGTCTAGTTCCATCTACTCGGGAGGCTGAGGCAGGAGAATCGCTTGAATCCAGGAGGTGGAGCTTGCAGTGAGCCAAGATTGTGCCACTGCACTCCAGCCTGGGCAACAGAGCAAGACTCCGTCTAAAAAAAAAAAAAAGTGGTTGACAAGGAAATAAGTTGAAATGATGACTAGCTTTGTTTAATGTCTCAGTTTTCAGAAGGAGTCTAGATAACCTTTTTAAAAATGAAAAAACTGAGTACATATAAATGAGATAAATGCTTGTAGGTGAACTTTTTGTGTAGTTTAAAATGTTAAAGTGATTTTGGGTTAAGTAACAGAAGCTCCTTGGATGTCTGGTCATTTCCAATTAAGAAAGGTTTATGATATGGGGAAACATGTTTTTAAAAATTGTGAAATGGCTGTTATCTATAAAATGCCAATATCTGAAAGGCAGTTTAGGATTTCTTGCTTCCTAGGTTTTCACTAAGATTTAAGGTTAGTAAGAATAAGAATTGTAGTTAATATATAATTTTGCATATAAAATGTGCCAAAGCCTTACTGAAAAAAAGAGTAATTTTGTCTAATTCAAAAGTTAAGTCATGTGTAATTTCTTCCTGTGTCTCTGTGTGTCTGTCTTCATGGACATAAGAGAAAATGGAAAGTTGAAAAGTTTAGATAGTAAAATATTACTTAAAACCTGATAAAAATTGGAGAAATTTAGCTAACTAGCATTGTTCATAGTTAAAGCTCTTACTGTTGATGAAGGTAAAATAAGAAATATTGTAAAGAGATACATTGGTAGTTGGACAATTCTCTCTTAAATTTAGTTAAACATGAAGCCAGATTTAGCATGGAGCCAAATTTTACATAAATGCTTGCATTGCTTTATTTCACACTGCCTTTGCTATTCTGCATAGATAGTACTAGCACTACAATACTGGCCATGTGCGTCAAGTAAATGTCTGAATTCAGTGGTGTTGCTGGACTAAAGTACATTAATTTGTACATCTGGAAAAAAATATCCATCATTTGTTATTGTAGGATCTGGATAACCTGTGGCTTCTAAGGTAAACTGAATAGGAGATAAATTTAGGGTTGGTTTACCTTTTTTGTTTTTTTTACTTTTATTTACTTTTTTTAATTTTTGTAGAGACAGGATCTTGCTAGGTTGCCCAGGCTGGTCTCAAATTCCTGGCCTCAAGCCATCCTCCTGCCTCAGCCTCCCAAGTGCTGGGATTACAGGTGTGAGCCACCACACCTGGGATGTTTTCACATTTAATTTTCATTTATTTGCAGATATAAAGCCATTGATGTTTTTGAGTTTCTTATGGAAAGCTTGTATTGGGTTCTATTTATAGTTGTTTTATTCCCTATGCATTTCCAAAAATTCATAATTTGCTCTACTTATCTACAATTCCTAAACTACCTTTGTGAAGAGTCCAACAATGACAGAGCACACCAGCCACTTAAAACTGAATCGGTTTTGCCTACCTCTGATAACCTAGAGAGCTATAAGAGCTTTGAGGTTTCTGGCCAAAAATAAACTCATTTTTATAAGTTCTGAACAGAAATAATTATTTATTTTGTTATTTGGAAAAGTAGGTGAGAGTAAAAATGTTTAAATGGTGTTCATTTCCAAGATAATTCAATCGATAATTTGAGTTGGTTTCAGATCTTTCCCTTTAGGTAATGAGGAGAAACTGTGACATGGGTACAAAGTTTTATGTTCAGAAAGATTGGCCATGTCCTGGAGGAAGTTACATTGACTGGGATTTCCCTCAAACTACTTCCGTTGTGTTTACCGTTATTAAAACTAAGTGACATTCACTGGTTAAGCAGTAATTTTTAAGAAGTTACACTTTCTAGTGATTTTGGATCCCATGCCTTTGATCACTGTTGGGCCTTCTTGTGTGTGCTTGAAAACAAAATATGTACAAGACTTCTAATGGTGAAAGTTACCTAATCAGCTGTCAGTACTCTATCTAGAAACCAATTTTGAAAGTGTGTGATGATGCCCTTTTAAAATAGCTGAAAATAAATTATCATGTGCTTGTTGTTGCTTTGTTTCTGTTTTGTCGTTCAATATTTAAGTGAAAGGAGATTATTTATCCTCATCCTATATCTCCAAAACTGATATTTGTGTTTATTACCATTTTTAATGATGCAGAAGAAACTGAATTGTCTCACTTGGATACGTTTGGCATAGGGCCTATCACATTTTTTATGCTTTTGGTCATAATTCAGCCATGACAATGTTAGCAATTAGACAGAGGCAAGAAGTAACCTAACCACTTTAACACGGTGGTTTGAAGTGCTGCAGACAGTAACCACTAGACACAAAATCACAGTGTTTTAATTTATGACATATTGGAGAGAATGATGGAACTTTCTGCAGTATTAGTAAATGGAAGCACACATTTCTAAATATTCTTTTTTTTGTCTATAAACATTTCATTAAGCTTTGGCTTCTGTTTTTATCACAATGTATATAGTATACTTGATCTTTTGTGTTGTAGACAGAAACTTATTTTTACAGCAAAAGTCATCTATCTGTATATTATGGGTAGAGTGCCCCTTTACTCTAATTTTATTTCTACATTGCTTTTAAAGTCTTTTGGTGATCACTTTGGTTAAATGAATAACTATTATTTTACAATGACCTATGATTCTGTTTTGATCAACTGTCTTGAGCCTTTTAGCATCTTTGATAAATGTCCTATTAACTAATCCTTGTACTGTTAAGTTATAGGGCTTTGACTCCTAGGTCTGAAAAAGGCATCAACTCTTGCTAAATGTTGAACACTGACACTAGTCAAAGCCTCATCCTCAGAGTCAGGAGAAGGTGGCAATCAAAATGAACTGCTTTCATGAGACACAGAGCCAGAAATTAGAACAATTCAGTCCTTCTAGGCCCAGGCACTGTCGTGGAAGAGCTGAGCATGTGAGATTGTAAGGGCTGATTCTGAAGGATACGTTTAGTTACGTATGTTATTTTTTGGTGGCTGTGTGTGTCCTTACATAGACCTTTAAAAGAACTCACTACTCTTGGCCAATGCTGAAGACACAACTCAGCTTGGGAGCCTGGGGGGCTGGGCCTCCCAGGTCAGGGTGAGGCCCCTTGAATGGCAAAGGCAATTCCTTTTGAGTCACAAGAAATTCTGCAACCCTACTTTTAGGCTTTTAGTTTTTAGCTCTTAAGTTACTTAAAGGGTGTTTGAGGGGTTATGAGAAGCTGCCCAGCTCCATTGCTGTCTGGCCTAGAACATTTAATTGGCTGGAAGTCTCTTGACTGTAAGTCCCTTGGCCATAGGCTTTCCACTGAGGAACAGGATGAACCATGGCAGGAAGTGTAGTATACCACTCCAGCAATAGTATGGGACAAAATAAAGTTCTAAGACCCCCCACCAACTTAGCAAACTCACTTGTGGCCAAGGGGACCCCAGTTGCCAAGAGACAAATCTTACCTGGAAATAGGTCTTGCTCTTTGCACTGCTGAGCATACAATAGCCCCCAGAAATGGGCTGGCTCTTAGCCCCTATCCCACAACCCTTGTCTTCAGCATGAGGCAGTCAGAAAGATCAATGAACAGATTCCCCATGATTTGGAAATCGATACATAGAAAGGGGGTTGAAACTGGCCCAACTGGCCCATAGAACTGATATTTATGGTTTCTTTTGAATAAACACAGATATTGACCCTTTCAGTCTTAAAACTTGAGAAACTCACATGTGCCTTCTCTGAGTTCCTTGCTCAGGAAATCAGACTTCAGGGCTCCCAGATAGCATCAGGGAACTGACACTCACCAGATCACAGCATCTGGACAATGAGATGCCAGGACCTTCACCCATCATGATTCCTGCTTACAATTTCCTATTCCTTACACTTCCCTAATCCTGTTTTCCTGAATATGAGCACATTTCTCCCCTGCTATTTAAATCCCTGATTTTAGTCATATGAGGAGATGGATTTGAGACTGACCTTCCATCTTCTTAGCTGCAGCACCTGATTACAGCCTTCTTCCTTGACAATACTTGTTGTCTCAGTGTTTGGCTTCCTGTGCTGCAAGCAATGAATCCTAGACTAAGCCCCTGGCACTTCAGTAATAGATCTATGGGCTGGCATTTGACATCCACAGTTCTACACACATGATGTCCCAACAATCTCTAAGGACGCTCTCAAATTTTCCCTGAGGCCCAAGCCCAGACAATCTGCTCATCCTCATATCTCCTCAAGCTTAGTAATTTTCCTGCCCCGTCATGAGGCCTGGGCTAGAGTTCTGTTTTTTTCCTTCCTTCTGCACCCTCACCCCAGCCCTCAGCAAGTCCTGCCATGCCACCTCTCACAGGCATCCTGAGTCTCCTGTGCTCCACCTCTTGGCCACTGCACTGGCCCAGGTCACTCTCCTCCCTTTCCTGGATGACTACAATGTCCTCCTGACTGTCCCCCACCCTCCCATTCTCACTGACTAAAAGCTTTTTTCCCTCTGTGTGGCCATGTCAGCCTTCTAATAACATATAAGGTGTTATGCTATGTCCCAGTAAATCATTTCAAAGGCTTCTCATTGCATTTTGAATAAAATAGGAGTTCTTCCTCGTGGTGGGAACTGACATCTGCTCATCCACCAAACCCGGTCTTCTTACCTCTCCTGCCTGCCGGTCCCTGACACTCCATTCAGGAGCTTCCACAGGTTAAGATCATTTCTGCCTCAAGGTCAGTTCAGGCTGTTCTTGACCAGAAACACCCCACCCTTGGGTTGGTGCAGCTGGCTGCTTCTCCTCCTGCAGAGTCCAGCTCCCATGCCACATCCTCAGAGTGACCTTTCCTGGTCCCTCTTTCTAGATAGACAGGACGAAGGGAAGGATCAAGAGAGAGACCTAGAGGAAGATGTTACACACTTTTAACAACCAGATCTCTAGAGAACTCACTGACTATTGTGAGGACAACACCAAGCCATGAGGGATCAGAAACTATGACCCAAACACCTCCCACCAGGTTCTACCTCCAACACAGGACTGGAATTCAGCATGAGATTTGATGGGGGTGTATATTCAAACTATCTCATAAAGTAATTGTTGGAAAGACTAGAAACAAGAGGTTTAATTGTTTCCTTTTAGCAATTCCTGACTGGTGCCCATATCTGGGAGACACAAGACAGCATTTAACTCTTCCCAGATACACATAAGTGATCCTGATCGCCTGTGTGCTCTCCTCACTGCTGAGGTGCTGGACCCAAACATTACATCAGAACAGCAAAGCAATGTGGGAAGAAGAGCCCAGCTCTCCTTCATACACCACGCCCTAACCAGAAAGTGACATGCTGAAAAATAGAGAAGCCAAGGGCATGAGAAGGACCTAGGAAGGGCTACTGCTTTAGGTAAGAAAACAATATTTAAAGAAGCTGGAATCCACCTTTAGTTTCGATGAAGTGATGCAGGAGAGAAACAACAGAAGCAGGACTGGGGACTCCCATATTGGCTACCCTATTTTTGTTTGATTATTTCTCAGATATTTAGAACTTTCTAAGCCAACCTGGAGAGGGACGGGGTAAACTCAGCTCCTGACTCCTGAGCTTCAGTGCCTTCCTCTGGACACCTCATCTCAATCCAGATATTACAGGAAGCCAAATTTTCCTCAAACAGCCATCTATAAAAATCTGTATTTTCGACATCAGACTGGTCCAGGCTCACATCTCTCTCCTGGATTCTGTGCAGGGAGCGGAGGTAGACACAGGAAACAACCACAATGCACGGGGCCTCGCCTCTCACTCTGTGAGGCCCCGCCCACTCTGAGGCTGGGCTTGGCCACGTGACCTGCTTTGATGAATGAGACAACGGCTGGCAGGAGTCTGCAATGGCTGGGGCCGGGCCACACCTAGGCGCTGAGCTCCTGAAATAAGATCTTGGAACTCGTCTTCATGTGAAAGCATCCTCTAACCTTCTTAAGGCTAAAAGACCACCTGGAAAGAGATGCCCACTGTGCCTGCTGAGCACATTCCCAGCCTACCTCACCTGAATGCAGCCCGCGAGTGAACCCAGCAAGACCAGCGCAAGAGCCGAGGACAGCTCCAGAGTCGTGAGAATCCATACATTACGTGACTTTCAGCTAGGAAAATTCAGGGTGGCTGCTGATGCAGCAGCAGGTAATGCATACAGGATGCTCTGAACAGCTCTCCCAGCAAAGACCCACAGTCCACCCCATGTGGGGTAGAGAGGGGGAAAATCCCCTCCCCCATAGACTGTGGTTTCTGCTGGTGTCTGCAACTGCCATGGGGCGGCTGGAGGGCAGCCCTTTCCTTCTGAATCCAGCCTACATTTCATGCTCTCCATCTGCCTTCTCACCGGCTTGCATCCTCTTTCTATAGCACTAGAACTATCAAACCCATCAAGCTGCCCCCGGAGGGTGAGCCTTTCAAAAAATCTTAAACAGGTGCAGGACCAGGTGCACTCAGGATTGTGAGCAAATTTCTAGGTGCAGAACAGTCCAGACTCTCAGCCCAAAGTTCAGGCCAGGCCAGAGCCCACTTGCCTGCAGGAGGCACAAGGGAGGGTAGGGACAGGTTTAGATGCCAAGTACTCATCAGAGTTTCAATTTAAGGACACTCGGAAGCCATGGGAGGCTGTGAACCAAGGATCACAATCTGATTTGCTGCGGTGGGTAGGACAGCACAGGAGTGGAGGCACAGAGTAGAGTGAAGATTCCTCAAAGATCAGACAGTCACAAGACATCCATGAGCGTTCTCATAGCTGTGGCAATGTGAAGAACAAAAAAAAAAAAAAAGAAAGAAAATACAACTCAGAGAATTTTACAGGACTTTAATTATTATTGTCTGGGGAAAGATGAGGAATAGAGTGGAAACATGATATATGGACAGATACATAGATTTGATACATAGATATATACATAGATTAGATAGATGAGATCAATTGATCAATCAATAGGTATGTCAGGCACTGCACTATCAACTCACAAGCATTTGATTTAGTTTTCCTGACACTAAATCTATTTGTTCAAAATACTCACTCCCTGTACCCCACTCTCCATGGCAAAGTGCACTTCTGCACCACTTCCTTTGGGCTGGGCCGTGTGATTTGCTTTAACCAAAGGAGTTTAACCAAAGGTGTGAAGTAACCAGAAGTTTGAAACAAGTTTGTGCAATTCAGCTTGCCCTCTTGCACCCTGCTCTTGCCATGCGAGAATATGAAAAATGTCAGCTATCTCCTTGGAGAAGGATCACAGATGTGGAGCAGAGCCAGCTCAGACAATCCCATTCCAGGTCAGTGACTCCCAGCTGGACTGCAGATGTGAGCAAAATAACTGGTCATTGCCATAGGCCAATGAGATCATGCAGTTCCTTATTACACAGCCTATTGTAATCATTGTCATTCCTGTTTTACAAATCAGGAAACAGAAGCACCAAGAGAATGAATATCTTGTCACAAATATATCTCTTGTCACAGCCATGGGCAAGGATGGGGCTACTAACACAGATGGGGACACTAGTCGAAGGGTAGGTCTATGGGCAAAATGAAGGTCAATGGACATACAGAACTGGTGATGCCTGCAGGACATCCAGTGATAACATCATGGGCAGGGCAATGAGGAGCTTCACTGCTGGAAGCCTGAGCTTGGTTGAGATGACTCAAGATAATTGCAATAGGGTCAACACTCTCACAATAAAAGAGAGAGAGCTCAACTATGAATATAAAAAGGGCAAGTGAGGATATATAGCCAAGGAGCAGGGAGCAGGGTTAATAGATTAAAAAAAATTACTAAGCAGAGACATCAAATGTGGGAGTTTCTTGCTAAATTGACCTAACAATATTCTTGCTAAAGGCAGGACAAAGCCTTAGACATCAAAGTTGAGAAATGAGGAACTTGGTCAGATGTTGAGGGTGATCAGATACCAAGGGTGAGGGGATTCTTTCTGAACTGACTTAGCAGGATTCTTTCCTAAACCTGGGCACTGCAGCCCTCGCAAGAGCAGGAGGTAGGGGCTGGGGACTAGGGTTGAGGCCAAGGGAAGAAGGTGGCTCAGACGAGCTTAACTAAGGTTTGGTCAAGGTGAGTCTTATCTCTGGATCCAGCCCCTCTGTGACAGGAGGAAAGGGCAGGCAGGGCCACAGGAGCAGGCAGGGCTGTCCTGATGGCCTCTGGCTCCAGCTCCAGCACTCAGTGATTGAGTTGAACAGGATTCCAACCAGGAACAGGAACCACTCTCCACAGTCACTGCACTTTGCTAAAGGAATTGATATTTAAGGTTACACAAACAGTGACAGGGAAATCCCAGCAGTGACCCAAACAGGATAAGAAAGTCTGACCACCCAGAGATGCCAAGGGGATTGCTCTCCCGCTCAGAGCCATCTGTTTCCCTTGAGGCCAGTCCCCTGCAGTCTGCAGCCCAGGGAGTCAGGCGCAGCCCAGCCTGCCCCAGCTAGCAACCCGAGTTCCTGGAGGCCTCTCCCTGTCCTCTTCACTAGGCTGTGTGGTTCTTCAGTCACTGGCTCTGCTCTGGTGAATGCACTCCTTGAGAAAGTCAGTGGTAACTTATAATCCAAAACCACGAGCACTGTTCATATACTGGTCCCTGAGCAGAAATGTCCCAAGGATTCTCTTTTCCCCATGAAGCTCAAAACAGTCAGACCTCAGACACTGGGCTCTGCCCTCTCGTCACATTCGGCAGGGGCTGTCAGCAGCCTTCCCCATGAGTATCACAGTTTCCCAATGATGTGGCATCATCTCAAAACCAAATGAGATACCAACATTGGCCCATGGTCTAGAAGCATCTGGTGGGGAGGGAGAAGGAGGGAGGGTGTGTGTAAGGGAAGGCTTGACCCCAGAGAACTCCAGGCACTCTATAAAGGAAGCTTCTGGGCTTCCCCTTTGAGAAACCAGCAAATCAAGTGGCTGCTCTGTCCAAGCTCCTACCATAGATGCTGAATGTTAATTTCTCAAAACCCAAATGTGCAGAATCTCAACTCTTGGCCAACTTGTCCTGACCACTTGCACCTTTAGTAGATGTTTATGTGCTTGATGATTTATTATAGCATTGTTTAGTGTTCACTTATTATTGCTTATTTATTATAGAGAACTTCTGCCACTCACCTAAATTCTCACTAATTCAGATCATGAGATCAATAGTACCCCACACAGCCTGGGAGAACACAGCTTTCTTTTTCATCACCTGGCAGAAGGGAAACATGCCCCCTCCTGTGCAGCTGGACTTCTCCAGGTTACCTGGGTGCTGGAGGCCCCAGGCTCAGTCCTGGGTCCATTGTTTCTCTCTGGGTCCCTATTACCTTGTCCTTGAAGCTGTAGGTTACAGGAATCAAGGCATACACAGCTGTGTCATGTTTTATTTTTTTTAAGATGGGGTCTATGCTGCACAGTTTCCCTATGTTGTCCAGGCTGGTCTGGAACTACAGGGCTTGAGGGGATCCCCCGTCATAGCCTCCCCAGTAGCTGGGATTACAGGTGCACCACCACATCATGCTACTGAGTCATTTTCAATCATGCTTAAATGTCACTCCTGAAGCCCGCTTATCTTGCTGCTTCTGAACTGTCAGACACTACTGTTTACAAAGCCGCCCACCTCTCCAGATGCATGATGCAGAGAAGGCAAAACATTTGCCTAAGGTCACCAAATATCTGGAGCAGCTGTCCAGCTACCCTAACCTTCCACTTCCCATCACCCGCACTGGACTTGGCTCCCGTAGCTCCTGAGAGTGCCCACCAATGCTGTCTGTCCTGTTAGGATTACAGCAGTCATTGATCAGGACAGCTGGCCCTCCCTGCAGCACATGCTAGTGTCCTGACAGAGGATGACCATAGGTAATGTCATCACATTCAGGGGTGCAGGTCAGCACTCCAGCCCCTCTTCCCCCACATTCCACTCACCACTACCCTCCCCCTATCTGGGTGACCTGCACCTTCTTCCTAGTGATAGAAGTTAGGAGATTTGTGATTATTTAATCTTACCCTCTGTACAACACATCTTCCTGAGATTGGAGCCCCAGTGGCTTCAAGAAGCTGGGGGCCACAGAGAAGAACCAACCCCCACACTTGGGAGATGACCATTGTGCTTGGAAGTACCTGGCCAGGGGCTGACCCCTCTTTCTCTTATCTGTGGAGCTCCCAGTCTTTCTTGTCTAACTAGGAGGCATCATGCGCTGCCCTGTTTGAGGGCCTTCCTTCCCTCACCCAGCAGTAAACACCATCCCTGGGCCTCCTACTGTATCTGCTGGGGTGCACAGCTTTTCTAGGGGTGCTGGATTCACAGTGGGTGAGAGGGTCACTTGGCCTTGGGTAACAAGTTTCCCAATCTTAACAATGAATATGAGCATCCGTAAGTAATATTGTTCCCACTGCCGGGTTCCTGCTGATCCAGCCCCAGCCATGGCTGAGACCCAGGATTACAGCAGGTCTGGGCTGACACTGGCCAACCCTCACCTCCACCACTCCCAGGAGAGTCCTCTGGGTCCCTGGCAAAGGCCCAGAATTTCCTGGCGTTTCTGGCCAAGGCTGCCACTTCACCATAAGGGATTTGCCACAGGGTCACCTTTAGGCATGGAGGGTGGGGTTGAGAGAACAAAGGGAGCAGCTGTCTGTTCAGAGCCTCCTTCCACCCTCCCCACTCCTGGAGTCACATTCCAGCCCAGGCCCGCAGCCATCCGAGCTGGGGACTTTGTCACCCCACAGAGCACCCAGCTGACCCATCTCCTCATCTGGGGAGAAGGAGAACTCACAATCCTGGCAATGAAGCAACTCAGGGCTCGCTGGAAAGCCACGCTGAGCAAAGGACAAAGACACACATGGGCTCTCTCTGCAGGACTCCATTCCTGGGAAGCTCAAGGACAGGTGACAAAGGAGTCTACAGGGCTGGATAGGGGCTGCCAGGGTGGGGTGGGCACGAGAGTGGGCTTGAGAGGCAAGAGGATACCATCTGGGGCAAGGCAGATGTCACAGGTCTGGACAAAGTGGTAACACAGGTATATGCATTTATGAAATCCCCCAAGTTGGGCACTTGCAATTGGGCATTTTATTGTATGTAAATCCGACCTCATTCACTGTAATGTCATAAAGTCAGATGAGTTTTCCAAGCAGTGAAGAGAGGAAAGGAGCCCGAAGTGTGGCTCCCACATTCATCCCGCGGCTGCTGATCCCTGTACTGCCAACTCTTACCACCTGCCAGGGGGTCTCCCTGCACCTTCCACTTGGCCCCACCCCCAGTTACTGTGAGACTCCAGGTCCTTCTCTTCCCTGCTCACGTTCCCTCCAGGGGCTTCCTCTTCCTGGAACAGGCACACTCAGCCCCACCTCAGGGCCTTTGCACTGGCTGTTCCTGCTGCCTGGAGCTGTTTCCTGTCTAAACAGGGCTTCTCACCTTTCCAGTCTCATAGAGACCTCCCTGACCAGGGTCCGGTGGCACCCATCTCTCTCCACCCTCCATTCTATTTCACTTCCTGCAGAACAGATCTACTCCCCTCATCTGATCACTGCTCCCCATCTCCACACACACCCTAACTTCGGCTGTGCAGTTCCACAGCCACCAGCCACAGGTGACCATGGGATGTTGGAAATGGGGCCAGTCCAAGATGACACTTGGTCTAAGTGTAAAAATTTCAGAGACTTACACATACCCAAAAGAATGTAAACTCTCTTATTAATAATTGTTGTTCCTATGTGTTGAAATAATATTTTCGATATATAAGGTTAAAAAAGAGATATTCTTTAAATTATTTTCACCAGTTTCTCTTTTCTTTTTTCAATGTGTTTCCTAGAAAACAGAAAATTGCTCATGGGTTCATGTCACAATCTGTTGGGCAGCGGCTCTGCAATGTCACGTCCATAGCTCAGTCACCCAGGCTCCATCCCAAGCTCTAGACCACATGGTGCTGGGAGAAGTTGGTGACAGGTTTGTTTATTAAATAATGAGTTATGAAAAGAGAACCCACTGACTTTTTCCCAAAAGGTTAATTCCTTTATGTTTGGCAAAGAAGTTCCCCAGAACAGGGAATGGACAAGGTCTTCCAGGAGTGTTTAAAATAGTCTCCCTGCGCCAGGGATTCCCAACTTTCACCAAGTGCTCTCAGATTTCCCTGACATCTGAAGACCCCAGGATGCCAAGCCTTTTATTTTTCCCTTTTCTAAGGAAGTAGAAGGTCACCTTGTTTCACAACACAGACAGCAGTGTCACCTTTCTGGAGACCAGGGTGACCCAATCTTGGGAGCACTGGGAAGGAAGGGCAAGACTGAAGTGAGCTGGGGATTGGAGAGAGGAGTTAGGAGAAGGGGGAGATGGAGGAGAAGGGCCTGGAAGAACAGGGGGACTTAGGCAGGGAGAGAGGTGAGGGGAGATGGAATGGGAGACAAAGGAAAAAGAGGAGGGGCAGAAAGAGAGGGAGAATCTAGGGGCAGGGCATGGAAGGACGTGGGGCTGGGGGCCCCCAGGCTGTCTTGCTTTTATCCATTTATCCTAATGCACAGCTGCCTGCTGGTCTGGGCTCCCTGCCTCAGGATCATGCCCCTTCACTCTCCTGCACTTCCCCCTTCTCACTCTTTGTCCTTGTCCCAGCAGACCACAACCTGGCCCCTGCACACTCCACTGCCCTTGCTGGCTGCCCTGTTTGTGGCCCTAGCCTAGAGTCCCCCAGCTCTGGCTAGAAAGATCATTCAAAGTGACATCTGTGATGCAGACCTTAATGATGATAGATGGCAGCATGCCCTGGACTTCGCCATCAGTGAGTACAACAAGGAGAGAATGATGAACACTACAGTCACCCCGCAGGTGCTGCCAGGCCAACAGCAGGTGGGTGATGCCACCACCCAAGGGGTCCTGAGTCCCAGCCAGATTTGCCCCCTAACCCCAAGAGCATTCCCAGCAAATCAGCACTGACACATTCATGATCTAATGCTCAGACTCATTCAGCTTTCTCTGACTGTCTGTTGACAGCCTTCATGCCCTAGGACGCTCCCGGGCCATGAGTGCATGAGCTCAGCCCTGTCCTGTCCACTTGGCCTCCTTTAACCTGCATCAGCTCCTGGGTCTGTGCCATGACCGTGGCATTTCCCAGGGTCCAGCAGGTGTGGATGGAGACTATGCTGGCTCTGGGTGGGCTTGGTGCTGCTCAGGATGAGATCCAGGCCATAAGGCTCATCCTCCTCCCTGAGTCCTCTCTGCAGGGGCCACACCGGAGCCTAGCTCCTTGTCCTGCAGAGCCCTGCTTCCCTCCCAAAGTCACACCCCTGGGCACAACCCCCTAGGGCGAGTGGCCTTCACCCTCAGGCTGGCTGACCACCCCCGACAGCCCAGGGCAGCTGAGTTCCTTCTGGGGTGGAGCACGCCTGACCCTGCTTTTGCCAGCTGACATAGCATCAGACCTCAACCAGATGAGGACAGCAGTCACCCAGCATAGTGGAGGAGGGGGTCAGGTCGGGAGGGAGCTTCAGCAGGGCTACTGGTTCCATTTTGACCTGCATCCCATGGCACAGCAACAAACAGTGACACAGCCTTTGGCTCTCCTCCACCTTCCCTTGGAAATTCAGAGGAGTCCAGACCAGCCCCGTTTCTCCTCCTGCAGCTGTCAGCTGGGGCCCTCTCCCTGCACAGGAGGGGCACTCCCTGCTGCCAGGATCCCTGCTGGCCTGTACCCCTCTCTCAAGTGTGACACTCACATGGGATGATAAGGATCACTGGGCCCTGAAGCATGTTTTACAGTGAGCAAACTGACACCAGAGAGATCTCAGGACTTGCACGTGGTCCCCGGGGCTCCTTGTCTCACACTGCTTCACAGTTCTCACCATTCATGTCTGGAGGAGGCCTTGTGCAGGGAAAAGGGCTCAATTCCACTCTGCAATCACAAATATAAGACATGCAGGTGTGCTGCTCACTTTAGAAATATTGCTTCCAACAACACACTTAGAATGGAGATCCTACAGAGACAATATGTTATTGGCCTAAAACATCTGTGCATGTGAAGCCTCTCATTTCCTGCTGTATATGAAGCATAAATAAATCTAGGTTAATAGAGGGAATGAGATGCTCTATGGGCTGGATGCCAGGAGCTGGAAGTTAGCAGAAATTTCATCATCAGGTGACAGCCTTCCTAGGACAGGTCAAGTGTCCCTGGCCTCTGAGCCACAAGTAGCAGAAATCAGTTAATCCTTTGCTGTGGGAAAGAGCATTCACTTGCTGCTTAAACCCGCCCTGCAAACCTGGTGCCAGGACTGTTTCTTTGCCCCACCCTGGCTGGCTCCCCAGAGCTGTGCCTTCTATTCCTGAATCCAATGAAGGGGGTTTTAGGCCTTGGCTTCCATCTGCCCTGCCCTTGCTTCTCCTCCTACTGGGCTGCATGAGACACCTTGTTTCAGTTACTTAGAGAAAACAAGTTATCAGGGAGGCCTGGCGCCCGGGGCCACTGCCAGCCAGTGTGTATGCCTTGTGGGTGACAGTGTGGGCGGTTCAGAAAGGCAGGCATGAAGCCCCAGGCAAACCCAGTGACTCAATCACAGTGAAATGCCTGTGTGTGCACGGAACTGACAGTGTGCTTCCCATGCACCCTGCTCTTTCGTGCTTGTAGATGTGGGCTGGGTGAGCTACTTCTTTGATATGAAGATAGACCTAACCACATGCACTAAGTCTCAGCCAGACTTGGACAACTGTCTCTTCAGTGACCAGCCACAGTTGAAGGAGGTATGTGACTGATGTGGGTCAGGGATGTCAGGCAGTGCAGAGGGGTGTGAGTGGTGTGTGTGTGTGTGTGTGTGTGTGTGTGTGTGTGTCTGCTCCTGCACATGTTTTGAAGGGAATGGAGCATGAGTGCAGATGCATGAAAGCCATGCATGCATGGGTGTGCGCATGTGCCTGTGGAGATGCATGTGGGTTTGTGCACACACGTGCAGGTGCCTGTTGTGAGGGGCATGCATGTGTGTGTGAATGTGGAGTTATATGTGTACATACATGTATGTGGGGGTGGTATGCATATATGGGTGTATGTGGAATGGAGCATGTGTGTGCCCACATGTGGGAGGTACATGAGAGTGTGTGTGTATGTGGGTAGATGGATGTTTGAGGGAGTATGCATGTGGGTTCATGCATAGATCTGTGTGGGTGAGGGTTGGGGTGAGCTTATGGAGACGCCTATGTGTGTGCAGATGAGGTGGTGTGGAGACGGGTGATTAATTTGATTTGCTAAGAGGGCTTTAGCTTGGGAATGGGGGTACTGGGAGCTCCACCCTGTGTGCTTTGGGGTATTGCCTGCTGGACTGGAGGAGGGCTGGGTTCTGGTCAGAGAGAAGAGGCTCTGTCTAATCCCAGCCTCATGCACCTGCCCACAGCCACAGCCTCTCTGAGCAGATTAGAGGGAATTAAATGCCTGTTAGCAGTGAAGCCCTGGACCTGCCCCAGCTCACCCAACACCAGCTTCTCTAAGAACCCAGGATTTCTTGTGAGGTCTCTGTTCAGGGGAGAGCCACACTCTCCTTGTCATCTCCTCACTACCCTTTTGAGTTACAGTTTCCAGTTCCCTGGGTTCTTCCCTCTGGTCCCTCTTAGTGCTGGCCTGAGTGCTGGAGGTGGAAGGAGCTGGGGGCAGTGAGCCACCTCCCCCTGCCCTGCACCCTTGGGGCTCCCGAGGCCATGCACAAGCTCGGGTTGTGCTGGGGCAGGAATCCTGCAGGCTGGGGTGGGGGCCCAATGCCACCTGGTGACTTGGAGCCTTGAGAGGGGTGATGGAACAGTCACTGTGCAGTCGGGCTCAGTGCTCTGGGACTCAGCGGGGGAGGGTGAGAACCCAGTGTCTCACCTGGATCTGTCCTTGCCCCACTCTGAAATGATATACCTGGGTGTCTTCTGATTTAACTGCAACCCACACTGATTGTCCCCCTCTCTTTCCTTTCACAGAAACAGTTCTGCTCTTTCCAGATCTACGAAGTTCCCTTGAAGGACAGAATGTCCCTGGTGAAATCCAGGTGTGGGAAAGCCTAGGGGTCTGTGCAAGGCCAGCCGCACTGACCACCTCCTACTCCCACCCCCTGTAGTGCTCCCACCCGTGGACTGGTGGCCCCAACCCTGGGGGAGGTCTCCCCATGTGCCTGCACCAGGAGCCAAAAGAGAAGGCAGCAGGAGGACTTTGTTGCTCAGCAGGGGGCTCTGTCCTTGCTCCTTTTTTCTTGCTTCTCACAGCCCCCCACTTCCTGCAATTAAACAGTAGCATCGCCTCCCTCTGAGTTCTTGGCTGTCTAGGGATGTGCACACAGAAAGGTTTCCGCAGTTCCTTTATGAAACCTCCTTGTCCTGCTGGTGTGGAGATCAGAGGAGTATCTGGGAGCTGACATGGCCACAGCAAGGCTGTCAGGGGAGCTGCTGCTATAGGAGACCTGAGCCTCAGAGCAGGGAGCGAGCAGCCAGGGGCTCGGGACCCAGGCCTTCAGCTGCAGCAGCCCCTGGTGAGGGGGTCAGGGAGAGGAGTGGGCCCAGGCTGCTGCCCGCGAAGCTGGGCTGCTGTTTTGGTCTGAGCTCTTGGTCAGACCAGGAGGAGGGGGCTGGCTATATCCACAGCCAGGGGCCAGGCCTCAGTGGAGCTCGCCAGGCCGTAGATTCCATCTGTGCTTGCAGAGTTGAGCAGACTCCAGGGACTGAGCTGCTCTCATCAAATCCCCTAGACACTAAACATATAGCAATCGATGTGTGCTTCTTTCCATAGGAGATTTTAGGCCCCTACATGGAAACAAAGTCCAAAAGTGTGTGTTTGTGTGCGTGTAACTGATTGGAAGAAATGCCAACCAGACCAAGGATGGGCAAGATCACAGAGAAAGCAGCGCCTGCTGTCATCCGTTCTGGGAGGGTGCAGCCCACGCTGGGAGGCGGTGCCCTATGAAGGTTTTAATAATTCGCGCCCACAGGTCCATTATCTGGACTTGAATTGAAAACCAGTCCTCATGTCAAGCTTAATGTTAGGGATGGAAAAGTTAGAACACAAGCAGGACTGCCATGCAATGGACTCTCTTCTTTTTCCAAGGAGGTTCTATTTAATAAATAGAACACATCCTTTTCTTGTCAGCATCATCCTGTAGAATAGTGGATATTTGTGTCACAAAAATCCACTAAGATGTAGCCCGTCCTGCACAGCCCTTCCTTTTGCCATTTCAAGACAGAGGAGTGCAGCCCTCACGGCCAGTGCCTCTGGGGCAGGGCTCTCAAATATCTTCCATGCCTACAGCTGCAGTGAGGGAGGGCTGCTGCCATGAACAGTGAGGGTAAAATGCCAAAGGGAAATCTGCCCAAACAGCCCTGAGGCCAGCACCCCATATGCTACCCTAGAAAGCCAGGAGGAGAATGGTCTGACAGGGACAGTAGGAAGCATCTGCTTCCATTTGCTCTCCACCGCGATGGGATTTAACAGAATCTTTGGGATGTAGGAATGAAGCAGAGCCCAGGAGGCCATGAGCTGGGGAGATGTAAGTCTGGGCCTCAACCTTTCGGTGGAGGGTGTGCTTAGTGATTCATGCTTTTGCTGGGAGACAGGTGCAGAGGGCAGAGCAGCAGGTGGTGGTTGGTGGAAAAGTCTTCCATGCAGCGAGGTGCTCATAATTTTCCACGTGGATAAGAGATCTTTTTTCACGCAAGCAACCACCACCTAGGCACACAGTGAACAGCTGACTTCGTGTAAATCATTCCCTTTTCTGACACAATTCTTTCTTCCTTGGGGAAGTTTGGGTTGAAGTCATGGCTCTGCACAGGGCTTTCCCCACCATCTCCCTGTGTGTCTGCTCCCTTGGAGGGGAGCAGGAGGCAGGGAAACTGAGAGTGTGGAGGTGCTTCTTCTGGGCCAAGAGATGGGCAGTGAGCTGTGTCCCGAAGCCACTGGATCTTTAGAGGAGTGCAAAGAACTCCCCTGATCAGGTCATGTTCAAAATATTAACCTCTTCTAAGAGTTCTTTTAACATAAATTACACACCAAATCAGTGGTAAAACACTGAAACTGCAGAGGTTAGAAACATCTCAACCAGCATAGAGAAATCACTCTGCAAGGAGGAATGAGTGCATCGGAGGCCTGGGAAGTGTGAGACAGTGCAGCCTTTCCCTGGGCAGGTGGACGCTCGGCACAACAAGCACAGATGGATCAAGATGCTGTGAGGCCTGAGGCTCCTGTGATATAGGGGCTCCCTGCATGGAAAATAGAGCAATACTAGCAATACAAAAGAAAGCACAAAAGTTAATGTTTATTTACGAAGAGAAAACAAATTACAGCAAAATACTCATTTTTTAAAATGCTGAGATATACTACAAACATCTACAAAATCCAGAAAATAACACATATCCTAGTGCAACCAGCCACCAAAATCAGTACTGTAGTCAACACATTCAATATTGGCTTGTTGCAATAAGGGAATACAGTCACATCAAGGATCCTCAGATGACTCGACAAACAAAGGAAAAGAAGTTATCATAGGATTGGAAGGAGGGATTTTGAGGCTGGATTGATGCACTCAGAGCATGGCAGGCCTCCGTGTAAAGGAGCCAGGGTCAGGTATGGTCTGGTCTGCAAAGTGGACCTAGGTCCTGTGTCCTCAGAACCCATAAAGTCCAGCCAGATGTGGAGATTCTTTCTAGAAACCCCTTCTCTGTAGCTCTGTGCTTCTGGTTTAAGGTGGACCTAGATCCTCCAAGCAGTGGGATGTTCTTCTTACTCATAAGCAAAGTTTCTGACAGCCCTGACGCTAGAGAACAAGGTCTTCCATTGAGTCAGAAAGCAGTCATCAGCCAAGGAAGAGTCTGCTTGACTTTTCAAACCTGCAGCTTGAGAGAAAAGTTGTTTCCTGTTCATGATGCCACTGGCTTTGACCCCATCAGTCCATCCATCCACCCTGCAGATGAAAGGGCAGATTTGCCTTGCCTTAATCCACATGATTTGTATTGCCTCATATAATTTTTTTAATTAATTAGCTACTTGACACAAACACATAATAATTTCTTCCTATATTTCCTACTTAGCTAAGGAATCCCTGCTTGCCTCATCATATGACATTGATTTGGTAACAGAATTTTCTATAAATATAGCAGAAATATAAGCCACTTTTTCCACCAACAGGTTTGATCACTTGTAAAATTAATGGCATATAATGTTTCCATTCTAATTTAAGACTCGTAATTGTAATATCATGCAATTTTTTTGATTATTATCTAATTTGGAAAAGCCTCTTTTAGTTTCCTTTCATAGGTGAGCAGTAAGATTTTAGTATTTTCTAAATGTTCTTGACTTATGGCTTAGGATCTTAAAGACTATTGACAATGTCACTATCACAGCATTTTAAAACTGTCACTGTTGTAGTGAACTCCAAAATTGTGTAAATGTATCATTATGTGCTATGTTGATTAGCTCATTGAATGTGCAGGAGGAGTTTGTCCTGAAACAAGTATCTCTTCAAGCCCTCTCACCTGTTGGTCGCTATTTTATATCTGTGTTGCCTGGAGCTGCCAGAGGTCATCAGGATAAGAAGGGCAAGGAGGGAGTTTCCCATCTGTCGGGTCTGTGCCACGCACATGCATATGTTCTTGCTGTGGACAGTTTCAAAACAAAGGTCTGTGCTCTACAAATGTCAAAAATCAAGATTTCTATCAAAGTTCCCATCAAAAGTAAAAACAATTACATGGTGCACTAATTATATATATCAGATTAGTGAGTACATTTTCAACAGGAGAAAACTTCCATTTTTGACTAGGTGTCAAAAAGAAAGAGATCATCCATTCACAATTGCCCATAATTCTGCTGGGAATAATTTTCTACACAGTGGCGTCTGGCTCCACACATTGCAAACCTTGTTTCCTCTGCACTGATCACAGGCTTTCCATGTGTGGTGCTGGGAATTGTCCTGAACTAGGAACCGTCTCTGTCCCTGCTGCTTTGGGTCAAATCCTAGGCGGATGGTGGGGCCAGGCCTGGGGCCATTTTTACAACAGGGTCTCTAGAGACAACGTAACTATGCCCAGGAGTGGCTGAGAACCACAGGAGTGTGTTCCCCTCACCCCAGGTTAAATGCGTCCCAACTCAGCTTCCTCTTAGCCAGATACCAAAATGCCTGTGTCCACCCACACAGCATGCAGGAGGAGAGTGGGAAAGAGAAAGTCAGAGTAAACAAAGGCAATGCTCTTGAATAACTGCAGTTTAAATACTTGACTTTCTAAAATTGTAGAAAACATCCAGCCAAGAACACCTGTTGCTCGGCCCTGCTCAGACCCTTTTCTGGGGTTGTGAGGAGCCCTGCACTTAAATACCATTAGCTTCCTGGAAACCCCCCTCTGACAATAACATGGGCAGACTCCGGTATTCTTGCATAGTGCATGGGCCAAGGGGATGTGCGGAAGGAGGCAAATCCACTAATCACAAAAGTAGAAGGAGACCAGGAGAAGAGATGAGGGAAAGAGAAACTCATGTAGAAGAAACCTGTAGAGGCATTGGGACCTGCTGAGACGGCTTTTGGCTGCATGTAAACAAAGTTCCCAATGAAAAATGTCTTGAATGCAAAGGGAATGCTCTACCTTCATGATAAGAAGCCCCTGGGTGAGGCAGGCTTCAGGAACAGAACTCCCAGCATGTAGCTCTGCTTCCCTGGGATTCTCTCAGCCTTGCCTTTCTGTTCTTGAAGCTTCTGCCCTGAGCTGGTAGCAAGGCGGTTGCAACAGCTCCAGACATCACATCATCAACACCAACATCCAGAGGCAGAAAGAGCCTTGGGAGGAGCCTCTGTTCCACACCTCCTTCCTGATTATGGGGAGGCTCTTCCTACCCACTCCCCAGCTCACCACCCCTGCTGTCTCATTGGTCAGGGCCGGTTCACATGCCCGCCCCCTACACCAATTCCTGTTAGGAATTCACATCATTCATGGTGTCACCAACACGCAGTGAAACCTGTGGATCAGGCAGCATCCTGGTAATAGCACAAACTTCAACATGATTAAAACTATGTCACCACTGTAGACTGGTAGAGTAAATTAGGGTGCACATGTGTTGGAATGGGCATTAAGAAGAATTAGATAAGGATATATGTGTTAAAATGGCAATAATTTTTAATACACCTTGAATAGATTTTTATTGAAAAAAGGTATATATGGCATGTTAATACAAAGTTCTTTGTGAAAACAAAACTAATCATACATGTGTATGAGTGTATATATAGACATGTATACCCACATATACATATATGTATATGCACATACACGTCAGAGAGAGAGAGAGAAAGAGACAGAGGAAAAAGAGGCAAGCTATCATCTGCATTTTTCCAGGAAGAAATACAAGCATAAGAAATTATTAACTGTGGATATCTTTGAAGAGAGCTTGTAGCATGAATAGGAAAATAGGTGGTTTGGATTTTATTTTTTAAATTTTGCATCTTTGTGGCTTTGTGGTCCATTTGAATATTATTACAATCTGTGTGTGTTCCAATTATTTTTAGATGTCAGCCATGGGTGTTTGGCTGATAAGATTATAGGTTATTTTTCATTGCATCCTCCTTATGTCTGTATTTTTAAAACTAACAAATGCTATGGCTGAATGTCCTATTGGCATGGTTGATGTGCCTGCATAGGCACATTAACTATGAGTTAACGGTAAGTTGATTTTCAGTGTAAGGTGTTTCCACATGCTCCCTGAACTATGACAGCCATGCAGTATTCAGTATATTTTTCCTTGTTTCTCTAGGCACTGAATGTCTCTGGATATACCCTTGCTCAGCTATAGTGTGAGCTCCTGGAGGAAGAGAAAGTGTCCTATGTTCTACACCCATTGAATGTGAGGAGGACGTAGGCTGCTGCTCAGTCCAGTTGAAAGGAACGAACGTGGGAATCTCAAGATATTGGTCTGCATTTAATTTCAGTGCAAGCTCACGGCTTTGCATTCACATCCCAGCACCGATACTTAAACATTGAAATGGTGTGCAGCCACTGATCCCATTAGGAATCTGATGAAAAATTTAGAAATGGTGTGTGTGTGTGTGTGTGTTTGTGTATGCACTCTCCTGCACAAGCACATTTGTAACCTTCAGAATTCAATGGAGTTTCTACAGGATCTCTATGGATCTATGGTAAGAAACCTTGTTCTGGAAACCTGACCAGCCATTCTCAATTCCCTTCCTCCTGCCTGCTCTCAAGTGCAAAGACTGAAAGTATCAGCCCATGAATTTCTTAGCCTTCCTCAGCCCTGGAGGCACAGGACCCAGATCCAGACAAAAACATTTAAGACTTCAACCAGGTCACTGCTAAGAGAGTCTATACTGAATAAACAGAGAGACCCTGGGGACAGCCTGTCTCCCACTGTGTGTATCTCTCTCACTCTCACTCTCTCCCCACCCTCCTCTCACCCCCTGTGACCTCCTCCTGCTTCTACTCCTCACCTTTCAGGGTGTAGTTTGGGACAGGATGCCTTGGGCTATGGAGTCCACCTTTCACTTATGAGCCATGTGCTCAAGAACAAGAGCCAAAGGAACAATGGAGAAGATGGAAGGAAACCACCTGGGCCCCTGCTGAGGACACTGCAGCAACTCTGTGAACACCATCCCACGACCTTTGGTAAATGACTGCCGTCATCATGGGAGAGGCAGCCAGTGTTTCTCAGGACTCCTGCTATCTGCAGCCAGGACGCTCCCAGGAACAACGGAGCTCACACACCACTAAGTGTCCATCCCAGAGCCCGCGTTTCAAATAAGGCTTATTGTGCGACAGGAACAAAATTTAACTGAAAATTGTATGACTTGGCACCTTGTCCTCAACCTCCCTCCTACTTATTTCTTCAAAAATGCAAGGAGTTATGTTACCTGCTCAGCCTTCCTCATCAGATGTATAAAGAAAATTAGGAGAGTGAAATTATTTCACAAGAAATTAGGTGAGTAAAAATATTTCACAAAGTTCAATACAGATAGAAGCTTTAGTTTTCATTTCACTAAGATTGGAGGAAGGATTAAAAATGTTCCAGTTGAATAAGAGATTTTTGAAAAAAGGTGAATTTCCAGTGAGGCTGGAAAGAAAATTGGAAATCCAATTTTTTTTTTTTTTTTTTTTTTTGAGCAGGTCTCAGGTCTGAGAACATTTGGAACATCCTACCTCTCAAATCCTGAGAAGGGGAGATATCCAGTCTTCCAGACAGGAATTGTCTCATCCTCAAAACGTTCACAGACCTAACACCCACTGTAGTTAAAAAGGCAGGATATTCTGTGCTGTGGGTCTTGACTCCACAAGCTCTTGGTTAGGGTTCCTGGAAACAGACTCAGATGGAGATTCATAGGCAAGAGGCTCACTGAGGCATGTGCTGGGAGGCAGGGATGTGGGTCGGGGCAGAGGGAGAAGTCAGGCAGGGGTGCAGCTCAGCAGAGGCCACAGCCAGGCCCATGGAGAGCTCTGTAATGGGGATGGCCTCAGAGTGGTAACATATCGGGGCAAAAAAATCAGGCCTTTGTATCCCCATAGAAGCCATTTATTTGAAATAGGAAATTCCTGGCTAATTTTTTTTGTATTTTTAGTAGAGATGGGGTTTCACCATGTTAGCCAGGATGGTCTCGATCTCCTGATCTTGTGATCTGCCCACCTCGGCCTCCTAAAGTGCTGGGATTACAGGCATGAGCCACTGTGCCTGGCCCCTATTTTTTCTCCTGTTCTAAGTTAATATTATAACATATTAGGTTGGTGCAACACATTAAATAATAAAAACTTTTTGGGAGTGGCAAGATGGCCAACTAGAAGCAGCTAGTGTGCATGGCTCTCATGGGCAGAAACAGAAGGGGTGAATAAATATAACATCTTCAACTGAAACATCCAAGTACTCACTGGGATTAATCAAGGAAACAACTTGACCCACAGAAAACTAAAAAAAGCAAGACAAGAGAACAGCCCACCTGGAAGCAATACAGAACCAGGGGATCCCCACCCACCCAGGGAAGGGGTGAGTGCATGATTGACATCAGGAAACCATGCTTCCTCCATATGTCTTAGCAACCCTCATGTCAGGTGATCTCCTTGTAAACCCACTCCACCAGGACCTTCAGTCTTCAGTCTGCCAGAGAAAGCTGTGTGGAGTTTCAGCAGAGCAGCCACTCAGGCATGTGTGGAGACCCTGGAGTCTTAGATACTTGGGCTTTCCAGCAAAAATAGCTGCAGCTCCAGCAAAGTGGGATAGACTACTCTGTGTAACCGTAAAAATGGTTTGAATCCAGGGGGCTGAGCAGCAAAAGCCCATGGTCCCCACTTCCATGGCACCTCACAAGACAAGACCCACTGTCTTGAAAGTCCAACCAGCTACTAGTAGCAGCATTGCACCTCCCTAAGAAGGAGCTCCCGGGAGAAGGGGCAGGCTGCCAGCTTTGCTATTTGGCCACCTTAGCTGTTCCAGCCTTCAGACTTTGGAAAGTCTGAGCCGACCTGGAAAGAAGGGATCCCTCAGCACAGCCCAGCTGCTCTATTAAAATGTGGCCAGTCTGCTGCTTTAAGCAGGTGCCTGATCCTGTTTCTCTTCACTGGGCAGGACTTCCCAACTAGAGCCTCCACCCGGTTCCACCTGAGATCTCCAGCCAATACAGATCCGAATTCCCCCTGGGATGGTGCTCCCAGAGGGAGGAGTGTGCTGCCATCTTTGCTGTTTGGGTGACTTAGCCATTCCAGCCTTTGGGCTTTGAAGTGTCTCAGGTGGCCCAGGGGCTGAAGTGGACCCCAGAATAGCACAGCTATTCTGCCAAAACATGGTCAGACTGCTTTTTTAAGTGGGTCCCAATCCCATTTCTTCTTACTGGGTAGGACCTCCCAACTGGGGTCTCCAGCCACTTTCTACAGGTGCCTTTGGGCTGGCAATAGGTCCATACTTCCCTGAGACAAAACTCCCAGAGGGAGGGAAATGCTGCCATCTTTGCTGTTTTGTAGCCTTCGCTGGTGACATCTCCAGGTTCTGGAAAATCCAGGTGACTAGGGACTGGAGTGGGCCCAAGCATACCACAGCAGCCCTACAGAAAAGTGGCCAGATTGTTATGTGGGTGTCCATTCCCATATCTCCTCACCAGGCAGGTCCTCCAGGCCTGGGCCTCCAGCCATGCCCCACCAGAGCTATTAAGCCAGCAGCAACTCAGCAATTCCATGTACAGAGCCTCCAGGGGCAACTGAAAGTCTCTCTGCCGCTGCCCTTGCCACCTTTGCACTAATGAATAAGCAAATACCCTAAGTGCCTTAACCTCCAACAAGCTTCAGTAGACCCAAGGAGAGGAGGTCAGTCTGTCTTCCAGGGATCCCACACACTCCTCATAGTTCGTCATTGGACAGGGAACCTTGGCTTGGGCCCACAGCACAACCCTTCATCTTAGACTGATTGCATGGAGCAATTGGTGACCTGCATCTCTCTGGGATGGAGCCCCCAGGAGTCAAGCAAAATGACTCTTGGCCACAACCACTACGAAGATCCCTTCCACTGCTGCCTCTAAACTGGGGAAAAAACATAACACTGGGATCACCACAGAGCTGCAGTGGGCAGCCTGGGGTGCCAAGTCATGAACTATAGCCAGCACTCAAGGGCGAGAGAAACTCACACTTTCAGAGCACTGAGAGGGAACACAGCTGCAACTGTGAGAAAACACAGGGAGCTACACAACAGAGCAAGAGGCTACCAACTGACCCATAAGCCTAAGTGTCACCTACTGGATCACACCCCAAAGCTTCAACATCAAAAATACCTCACTAATATACCCACATCTGAAACCAGAGACAAGAAGTCAACTTTAAATAAAGACCCTACACAAAGACTCAATCTGGTGAAAACATTGATTTAAACAAAGTCTATTGACTGTACTCAATCTACACTGCAGTTAAAGGGACACCCACACATGAAGATGAGAAAGAACCAATCCAAGAACTCCAGTAACTCAAATGGCCAGAGTGTCATATATTCTCTAAACAATTACACCAGTTTGCCAACAAGAGTTCTTAACCAGGCCAAACTGGCTGAAATGACACAAATAGAACTCAGAATATGGATAGAAACAAAGATCATTGAGATTCAGTAGCATTGCAAAACCCAATCCAAGGAAAATAAGAATTAAAATAAAGTGATACAGGAGCTGAAGGACAAAATGGCCAGTATAAAAGATGGAGCTTAATAACACAATAACACAACGATTTTCACAATGCAATCACAAGTACTAACAGCAGAATAAACCAAACTGAGGAAAGAGTCTCAGAATTTGAAGACTGGTTCTCTGACATAAGACAATCAGACAAAAATAAAGAAAAAAGAATAAAAAGGAATAAACAAATCCTCCTAGAAGTATGGGATTCTGTAAAGAGGTCAAATCTATGAATCATTAGCATCCCTGAAAGGGAGGGGGAGAAAGCAAACAACTTGGAAAATATGTTTCAGGATATCATCTATGAAAAATTCCCCAACTTTGCTATAGAGGCCAACAGTCAAATTCAGGAAATACAGAAAACTCCTTCAAGATTCTACGTAAGAATATCGCCCCCAAGACATATAATCATCATATTTTCCAAGGTTGAAATGAAAGACAGAAAGTTAAAGGAAGCTGGAGAGGAAGGACAGGTCACCTACAAAGGGATCCGCATCAGGCCAACAGTGAATCTCTCAGCTGAAATCCTACAAGCCAGAAGAGATTGGGGACTTATATGCAGCATTCTTAAAGAAAAAAATCTTCAACCAAAAACTTTTAAATCCAGCTAAACTAAACTTCCTAAGTGAACAAGAAATAAGATCCTTTTCAGATAAACAAATGTTGAGGGACTTTGTTACAACCAGACCTGCCTTACAAGAGATCATGAAAAGAGCTAAATATAGAAATACCACTACCAGCTAGTACAAAAACACACTTACACACACAGACTAGTGTCACTGTAAATCAACTACACAAGCAAGCCAACATCATAACCAGCTAACAGCACAATGCCAGGGTCAAATCCACACACATCAATGCTAACCTTTAATGTAAATGGTTTAAATGTCCCACTTAAAAGGCACAAAAAAAGGCAAGACCCAATGATATGCTGTCTTCAAGAGACCCATCCAAACGTGGACTCACAGGCACAAAATAAAGGATGGAGAAAAACCTACCAAGCAAATGAAAACCAGAAAACAGAAAAACAGAAAAATTAGGATTGCAACCCTAATTTCAGAGAAAACAGATTTTAAACCAACAAAGATTAAAAAAAAAAGGAAGGGTATTACATAATGGTAAAGGGTTCAATTCAACAAGAAGACCTAACTATCCTAAATATATATGCACCCAACACAGGAGCACCCAGATTCATAAAACAAGTTCTTACAGACCTGCAAAAAGACATAGACTCCCAAACAATAACAGTGGGAGACTTCAACACTCCATTGACAGTGTTAGACAGATCATTGAGGCAGAAAATTAATGAAGATATTCAGGACCTAAACTCAGAATGCGACAAAATGGATCTGATAGACCTTTACAGAAGTATCCACCCAAAACAACAGAATATACATTCTTCTCATTGCCACATGGCACATATTCTAAAATCACCACATAATTGGACATAAAACTATCCTCAAAAAATGTAAAAGAACTGAAATAATACCAAACACACTCTTGGAAAATGGCACAATAAAAATAGAAGTCAGCACAAGGAAAATCACTAAAAACCATACAATTACATAGAAATTAAACAACATGCTCCTGAATGACTTTTGGGTAAATAAAATGAAATCAAGGCAGAAATCAAGTTCTTTGAAAATAATAAGAATAATAATACAACATACCAGAATTTCTGGGACATAGCTAAGGCATCTAAGAGAAATTCATAACACTAAATGCCCCTATCAAGAAGTTAGAAACATCTCAAATTAATAACCTAACTTCACAAACTGAAAGAATTAGAGAAGCAAGGACAAATCAACCCTGAAGCTAGCAGAAGACAGGAAATAACAAAAATCAGAGCTGAACTGAAGGGAATCAAGACATGAAAAACCATTCAAAAGATCAACAAATCCAGGAGTTAGTTTTTTGAAAAAATTAATAAAATAGAAAGGTCATTTGCTAGACTAATTGAGAAGAAAAGAGATAAGATCCAAATGAACACAATTAGAAATGATGAAGGGAACGTTACTTCTGACCCCATAGTAGTAAAAACAACCATCAGAAACTATTACAAACACCTCTTCACACACAAATTTAAACATTTAGAAGAGATAGATAAATTCCTGGACACGTACACTCCCCCAAGACTGAGCCAGGAAGAAATTGATTCCCTGAACAGACCAATAATGTGCTCCAAAACTGAATCAGTAATAAATAGCCCACCAACAAAAAAATCCCAGGACATGATAGATTCACAGCCAAATTCTACCAGATGTACAAAGAAGAGCTGGTTCCATACCTACAGAACTGATTCCAAAAAGTTTAGGAGGAGGGACTTCTCCCCAATTCATTCTATGAGGCCAGCATCATCTTGATACTGAAACCTGGGGGAGATACAACAACAACAAAAACTTCAGGCCAATATCCTTGATGAAAATTGATGCAAAGCTCCTCAACAAAATATTTGCCTGCTGAATCCAATAAATAACACATCAAAAAGCTAATCCACCATGATCACATAGGCTTCATCTCTGGGATGCAAAGTTGGTTCAACACATGAAGACCAATAAATGTGACACTTCGTATCACAGAACTAAAGACAAAAACCACATGATTATCTCGGCAGATGCAGAAAAGGCTTTTGATAAATTTCAACATCTCTTCATGTTAAAAACTCTCAATAAACTTGATACTGACTGGACATATCTCAAAATAATAAGATCCCTCTATGACAAACCCACAACTAGCATTATACTGAATGGGCAAAAGCTGGAAGCATTCACCCTGAAAACTTGTACAATACAAGAATGCCCTCTCTCACCACTTCTATTCAATATAGTATTGGAAGTCCTAGTCAGAGAAATCAGGCAAGAGAAAGAAATAAAGAGCATCCAAATAGGAAAAGGGGAAGTCAAACTCTCTCTGTTTGCAGATGACATATTCTATATCTGGAAAACCCCATTGTTTCAGCCCAAAAGCTCCTTTAGCTGATAAACCATATCAGCAAAGTTACAGAATACAAAATCAATGTACAAAAATCACTAGCATTCCTATATACCAACAACAATCAAACTGAGAGCCAAATCAGAAAGGCAGTTCCATTCACAATTCATACACACACACACACACACACACCCCTAAAAATACAGCTAACTGGGGAGGTTAGGGACAATTCTCTACAATGCAAATTACAAAACACTGCTCAAAGAAATCAGAGAAGACACAAACAAATGGAAAAAATGTCATATGCTCATGGATAGGAAGAATCAATATTATTCAAATGGCTATAGTGCTCTAGGCAATTTACAGATTCAATGCTATTTCTATCAAACTATCAATGAAATTATTCACAGAACACGAAAAAATTATTTTAAAATTTATATGGAACCAAAAAAGAGCCTGAATAGCCAAGGTAAATCTAAGCAAAAGAACGAAGCTAAGAGAATCACATTACCTGACTTCAAACTATACTACAAGGCTACAGTGAACAAAACAGCATGGTACTGGTGCAAAAACAGGTACATAGACCAATGGAGTAGAATAGACAGCCCAGAAAAAGGCGACACGTCCAGGACCATCTGATCTTTGACAAAGCTGACAAAAACAAGCAATGGGGAAAAGACTCCTTATTCAACAAATGGTGCTGAAAAACTGGCTAGCCATATCTGAAGATTTAAGCTGGACCCCTTCTTTACACCATATACAAAAATTAACTAAGATGGACTAAAGACTCAAATGTAAAACCTAAAACTATAAAAACCTGGAAGACAGCCCAGGCAATATGATCCTGGACTTGGAATGGGAAAAGATTTCACAACAAAAACACCAAAAGCAACTGCAACAAAAGCAAAAATTGACAAATGGGATCTAATTAAAGTTAAGAGCTAGAGCTTCTGTACAGCAAAAGAAACTATCAACAGAGTAAACAGACAACCCACAGAATGGGAGAAAATATTTGCAAACTATGCATCTGACAAAGGTCTTATATCTAGCATTTATAAGGAACTTAAACAAATTTACAAGAGAAAAACAACTCCATTAAAAAGTGGGCAAAGGACATAAATGGACACTTCTCAAAAGAAGACATACATGCAGCCAACAAGCATGTGAGAAAAAGGTCAATATCACTGATCACTGGAGAAATGCAAATCAAAACCACAATCAGATACCATCTCACACCAATCAGAATGGCTATTATTAAAAAGTCAAAAAATAACAGATGCTGGTGATGTTGCAGAGAAAAGGGAACACTTATACACTGTTGGTGAGAGTGTAAATTAGTTCAGCCATTGTGGAAAGCAGTATGGCAATTTCTCAAAGAGCACATCTTAGAATGCTAAATAGATGAGTGACAAAATGAATAGAGGGAAAGCTGTTAGGCTTGGAGATAACCAAAAGAAAAAAAGAAGTGATATGTCTTCCTTCCATTGCTCTTGACAGAGCCAGTGCTTGCTGCCTTGGCCCCTGTGTTGCTGCCATCAGCCTGAGGCTCAGAGTGACCACAACATGGTTCAGAGCCCCCAACACACATGCATCAATCTGTGAGAATAGCAGTCACAATAATGGAGTTTTATGTTGCTGTCATAAGCCACTGATATTTCAGGTTTTTGTGTTATGACTGCACAACTCAGCCCATCCTGGTTAATGCAACAGTCTCTACATAAAGAAAATTGGGGCTCAGAAAGATTAAGAAATATTCCGAGGATTGTACACTGGGCCCTTTCCAATTTTGCTTGCCTAATAAGGATATATGCTCTGCTTTTGACAAACAAGATATAGACAAATGGAGGGCAAAAAGTTTTCCTTTCTTAAAAATTTTTATTTCAGGTTTAGGGTTACATGTGAAGGTTTGTTACATACATAAACATGTGTCATGGGGGTTTATTGTGCATATTCTTACATCACCCACATAATAATCTTGGTACCCAATGGTTATTTTTCTGCTCCTCTTCCTCCTCCCACCCTCCCCTTTCAAGTAGACCCTAGTATCTGTTGTTTCCTTATTTGTGTTCATAAGTTCTCATCATTTAGCTCCCACCTATAAGTGAGAACATGTGGTATTTGGTTTTCTGTTCCTGTGTTAGTTTGCTAAGGATGATAGCCTCCAGCTCCATTCATGTTCCCACAAAAGAGAGGATTTAATTCTTTTTTATGGCTGTATAATATTCCATTGTGTATCAGCATCACATTTCCTTTATTCAGTCTGTCATTGATGGGAATTTAGGTTCATTCCATGTATTTGCTATTATTAGACCTCTATGAAAAAGGCAATAAAAGATAGAGTTCTATTAATGACTTGGAATCTTGAATAACCTTTTCTGCCTTCTATTCAACTTTCTTTTATTTAGACATCATTACATCTGCCTTCTAAGTAAATACCAAAATTTTATGAGGCATTATACAGAAATTACTTGGTGTGGCTTGTATTTCTGTTCATATTTTTGAAAGTACCTCCAGAAATAATGCTTTTATACTTTGCCTGCTTTTGCTCCTTTGTTATAAAGTAAGCTGATGTGAATTCCTTTTCCCTCTAAACTTATTTTCAAGTTGTATAAAGTTTACAAATTTAACTCTTTAAGTTATTTGTGAATGTATTCATTCATTTACATATTACTGATGTCTTGTGTAAGGCAAAGAAGGAGAAAATAGATTAAAAAATTCAAAATGCAAGAGAAGGAGTTTCCACAAGATGGCTGAATAGGAAGAGCTCTGATCTACAGCTCCCAGAGTGAGCGACACAGAAGACGGGTGATTTCTGCATTTCCATCTGAGGTACCGGGTTCATCTCACTACGGAGTGCCAGACAGTGGGCACAGGACAGTGGGTGCAGCGCTCTGTTCGCGAGCCGAAGCAGGGCGAGGCATTGCCTCACTTGGGAAGTGCAAGGGGTCAGGGAGTTCCCTTTCCTACTCAAGGAAAGGGGTGACAGACAGCACCTGGAAAATTGGGTCACTCCTACCCGAATACTGTGCTTTTCCGACTGGCTTAGGAAATGGAGCACCAGGAGATTACATCCTGCACCTGGCTCAGAGGGTCCTACGCCCACGGAGTCTCGCTGATTGCTAGCACAGCAGTCTGAGATCAAACTGCAAGGCGGCAGTGAGGCTGGGGGAGGGGTGCCCGCCATTGCCCAGGCTCCCTTAGGTAAACAAAGCAGCCAGGAAGCTCGAATTGGGTGGAGCCCACCACAGCTCAAGGAGGCCTGCCTGCCTCTGTAGGCTCCACCTCTGGGGGCAGGGCACAGACAAACAAAAAGACAGCAGTAACCTCTGCAGACTTAAATGTCCGTGTCTGACAGCTTTGAAGAGAGCAGTGGTTCTCCCAGCACGCAGCTGGAGATCTGAGAACGGGCAGACTGCCTCCTCAAGTGGGTCCCTGACCCCTGACCCCCGAGCAGCCTAACTGGGAGGCACCCCCCAGTAGGGGCAGACTGACACCTCACGTGGCCGGGTACTCCTCTGAGACAAAACTTCCAGAGGAACGATCAGACAGCAGCATTCACAGTTCACAAAAATCCGCGGTTCTGCAGACACCACTGCTGATACCCAGGCAAACAGGGTCTGGAGTGGACTTCTAGCAAACTCCAACAGACCTGCAGCTGAGGGTCCTGTCTGTTAGAAGGAAAACTAACAAACAGAAAGGACATCCACACCAAAAACCCATCTGTACATCACCAGCATCAAAGACCAAAAGTAGATAAAACCACAAAGATGGGGAAAAAACAGAGCAGAAAAACTGGAAACTCAAAAAAGCAGAGCACCTCTCCTCCTCTGAAGGAACACAGTTCCTCACCAGCAATGGAACAAAGCTGGATGGAGAATGACTTTGATGAGTTGAGAGAAGAAAGCTTCAGATGATCAAACTACTCCAAGCTACAGGAGGAAATTCAAACCAAAGGCAAAGAAGTTGAAAACTTTGAAAAAAATTTAGACTAATGTATAACTAGAATAACCAATACAGAGAAGTGCTCAAAGGAGCTGATGGAGCTGAAAGCCAAGGCTCGAGAACTACGTGAAGAATGCAGAAGCCTCAGGAGCCAATGCGATCAACTGGAAGAAAGGGTATCAGTGATGGAAGATCAAATGAATGAAATGAAGTGAGAAGGTAAGTTTAGAGAAAAAGAATAAAAAGAAACGAACAAAGCCTCCAAGAAATATGGGACTATGTGAAAAGACCAAATCTGTGTCTGATTGGTGTACCTGAAAGTGACTGGGAGAATGGAACCAAGTTGGAAAACACTCTGCAGGATACTATCCAGAACTTCCCCAATCAAGCAAGGCAGGCCAACATTCAGATTCAGGAAATACAGAGAATGCCACAAAGATACTGCTCGAGAAGAGCAACTCCAAGACACATAATTGTCAGATTCACCAAAGTTGAAATGAAGGCAAAAATGTTAAGGGCAGCCAGAGAGAAAGGTCAGGTTACCCACAAAGGGAAGCCCATCAGACTAACAGCTGATCTCTCGGCAGAAACTACAAGACAGAAGAGAGTGGGGACCAATATTCAACATTCTTAAAGAAAAGAATTTTCAACCCAGAATTTCATATCCAGCCAAACTAAGCTTCATAAGTGAAGGAGAAATAAAATACTTTACAGACAAGCAAATGCTGGGAGATTTTGTCACCACCAGGCCTGCCCTAAAAGAGCTCCTGAAGGAAGCACTAAACATGGAAAGGAAAAACTGGTACCAGCCACTGCAAAATCATGCAGAAATGTAAAGACCATCGAGACTAGGAAGAAACTGCATCAACTAACGAGCAAAATAACCAGCTAACATCATAATGACAGGATCAAATTCACACATAACGATATTAACTTTAAATGTAAATGGACTAAATGCTCCAATTAAAAGACACAGACTGGCAAATTCAATAAAGAGTCAAGACCCATCAGTGTGCTATATTCAGGAAACCCATCCACATACAGAGACATGCATAGGCTCAAAATAAAAGGATGGAGGAAGATCTACCAAGCAAATGGAAAACAAAAAACGGCAGGGGTTGCAATGCTAGTCTCTGATAAAACAGACTTTAAACCAACAAAGATCAAAAGAGACAAAGAAGGCCATTACATAATGGTAAAGGGATCAATTCAACAAGAAGAGCTAACTATCCTAAATATATATGCACCCAATACAGGAGCACCCAGATTCATAAAGCAAGTCCTGAGTGACCTACAAAGAGACTTAGACTCCCACACAATAATAATGGGAGACTTTAACACCCCACTGTCAACATTAGACAGATCAATGAGACAGAAAGTTAACAAGGATACCCAGGAATTGAACTCAGTTCTACACCAAGTGGACCTAATAGACATCTACAGAACTCTTCACCCCAAATCAACAGAATATACATTTTTTTCAGCACCACACAGCACCTATTCCAAAATTGACCACATCCTTGGAAGTAAAGCTCTCCTCAGCAAATGTAAAAGAACAGAAATTATAACAAACTGTCTCTCAGACCACAGTGCAATCAAACTAGAACTCAGGATTAAGAAACTCACTCAAAACTGCTCAACTACATGGAAACTGAACAACCTGCTCCTGAATGACTACTGGGTACACAACGAAATGAAGGCAGAAATAAAGATGTTCTTTGAAACCAACGAGAACAAAGACACAACATACCAGAATCTCTGGGACACATTCAAAGCAGTGTGTAGAGGGAAATTTATAGCACTAAATGCCCACAAGAGAAAGCAGGAAAGATCCAAAATTGACACCCTAACATCACAATTAAAAGAACTAGAGAAGCAAGAGCAAACACATTCAAAAGCTAGCAGAAGGCAAGAAGTGACTAAAATCAGAGCAGAACTGAAGGAAATAGAGACACAAAAAAACCTTCAAAAAATTTATGAGTCCAGGAGCTGGTTTTTTGAAAGGATCAACAAAATTGATAGACCGCTAGCAAGACTAACAAAGAAAAAAAGAGAGAAGAATGAAATAGACCAATAAAAAATGATAAAGGGGATATCACCACCGATCCCACAGAAATACAAACTACCATCAGAGAATACTACAAACACCTCTACGCAAATAAACTAGAAAATCTAGAAGAAATGGATAAATTCCTCGACACATACACTCTCCCAAGACTAAACCAGGAAGAAGTTGAATTTCTGAATAGACCAATAACAGGATCTGAAATTGTGGCAATAATCAATAGCTTACCAACCAAAAAGAGTCCAGGACCAGATGGATTCACAGCCGAATTCTACCAGAGGTACAAGGAGGAACTGGTACCATTCCTTCTGAAACTATTCCAATCAATAGAAAAAGAAGGAATACTCCCTAACTCATTTTATGAGGCCAGCATCATCATGATACCAAAGCTGGGCAGAGACACAACCAAAAAAGAGAATTTTATACCAATATCCTTGATGAACATTGATGCAAAAATCCTCAATAAAATACTGGCAAACCAAATCCAGCAGCACATCAAAAAGCTTATCCACCATGATCAAGTGGGCTTCATCCCTGGGATGCAAGGCTGGTTCAATATATGCAAATCAATAAGTGTAATCCAGCATATAAACAGAACCAAGGACAAAAACCACATGATTATCTCAATAGATGCAGAAAAGGCCTTTGACAAAATTCAACAACACTTCATGCTAAAAACTCTCAATAAATTAGGTATTGATGGGATGTGTCTCAAAATAATAAGAGCTATCTATGACAAACCCACAGCCAATATCATACTGAATGGGCAAAAACTGGAAGCATTCCCTTTGAAAACTGGCATAAGACAGGGATGCCCTCTCTCACCACTCCTATTCAACATATTGTTGGAAGTTCTGGCCAGGGCAATTAGGCAGGAGAAGGAAATAAAGGGTATTCAATTAGGAAAAGAGGAAGTCAAATTGTCCCTGTTTGCAGATGACATGATTGTATATCTAGAAAACCCCATTGTCTCAGCCCAAAATCTCCTTAAGCTGATAAGCAACTTCAGCAAAGTCTCGGGATACAAAATCAATGTACAAAAAATCACAAGCATTCTTATACACCAATAACAGACAAACAGAGAGCCAAATCATGAGTGAACTCCCATTCACAATTGCTTCAAAGAGAACAATATACTTAGGAATCCAACTTACAAGGGACATGAAGGACCTCTTCAAGGAGAACTACAAACCACTGCTTAATGAAATAAAAGAGGATACAAACAAATGGAAGAACATTCCATGCTCATGGGTAGGAAGAATCAATATCGTGAAAGTGGCCATACTGCCCAAAGTAATTTATAGATTCAATGCCATCCCCATCAAGCTACCAATGACTTTCTTCACAGAATTGGAGAAAACTACTTTAAAGTTCATATGGAACCAAAAAAGAGCCCGCATCACCAAGTCAATCCTAAGCCAAAAGAACAAAGCTGGAGGCATCACGCTAGCTGACTTCAAAGTATACTACGAGGCTACAGTAACCAAAACAGCATGGTACTGGTACCAAAACAGAGATATAGATCAATGGAACAGAACAGAGCCCTCAGAAATAACGCTGCTTATCTACAACTATCTGATCTTTGACAAACCTGAGAAAAACAAGCAATGGGGAAAGGATTCCCTATTTAATAAATGGTGCTGGGAAAACTGGCTAGCCATATGTGGAAAGCTGAAACTGGATCCCTTCCTTACACCTTATACAAAAATCAATTTGGGATGGATTAAAGACTTAAACGTTAGACCTAAAACCATAAAAACCCTAGAAGAAAACCTAGGCATTACCATTCAGGACATAGGCATGGGCAAGGACTTCATGTCCAAAACACCAAAAGCAATGGCAACAAAAGCCATAATTGACAAATGGGATCTAATGAAACTAAAGAGCTTCTGCACAGCAAAAGAAACTACCTTCAGAGTGAACAGGCAACCTACAAAATGGGAGAAAATTTTTGCAACCTACTCATCTGACAAAGGGCTAATATCCAGAATCTACAAAGAACTCAAACAAATTTACAAGAAAAAAACAAACAACCCCATCAGAAAGTGGGCGAAGGATATGAACAGACAGTTCTCAACAGAAGACATTTATGCAGCCAAAAGACACATGAAAAAATGCTCATCATCACTGGCCATCAGAGAAATGCAAATCAAAACCACAATGAGATGCCATCTCACACCAGTTAGAATGGCAATCATTAAAAAGTCAGGAAACAACAGGTGCTGGAGAGGATGTGGAGAAATAGGAACACTTTTACACTGTTGGTGGGACTGTAAACTAGTTCAACCATTGTGGAAGTCAGTGTGGTGATTCCTCAGGGATCTAGAACTAGAAATACCATTTGACTCAGCCATCCCATTACCGGGTATATACCCAAAGGAATATAAATCATGCTGCTATAAAGACACATGCACACGTATGTTTATTGCAGCACTATTCACAATAGCAAAGACTTGGAACCAACCCAAATGTCCAACAATGATAGACTGGATTAAGAAAATGTGGTGCATATACACCATTTAATACCATGCAGCCGTAAAAAATGATGAGTTCATGTCCTTTGTAGGGACATGAATGAAATTGGAAATCATCATTCTCAGTAAACTATCGCAAGGACAATAAACCAAACACCGCATGTTCTCACTCATAGATGGGAATTGAACAATGAGAACACATGGACACAGGAAGGGGAACATCACACTCTGGGGACTGTTGTGGGGTGGGAGGAGTGGGGAAGGATAGCATTAGGAGATATACCTAATGCTAAATGACGAGTTAATGGGTGCAGCACACCAGCATGGCACATGTATACATATGTAACTAACCTGCACATTGTGCACATGTACCCTAAAACTTAAAGTATAATAATAATAAAACACACACACACACACACACACACACACACACACACAAAAGAAAGAAACAAAATACAAGAGAACCCTTGGTCACTTGTCTATAGTAGAAATTTTCTGCCCAACTGCTTTTCTGAGGAAAGTATTTTGAAATTTTTTAATTTTAAAATTATTTAATTTCAATAGGTTTTTGGCGAACAGGTGGTGTTTGGTTACATCAACAAGTTGTTTAATGGTGATTTCTGAGATTTGAGTGCACCCATCACCCAAGCGGTGTACACTGTTCCCAATGTGTAGTCTTTTATCCCTCGTCCCCCTCCCACCCTTTTCCCCAAGTTCCCAAAGTTCATTGTATCATTTTTATGCCTTTCCATCCTCATAGCTTAGCTCCCGCTTACAAGTGAGAACATATGTTTGGTTTTTCATTCCTGAGTTACTTCACTTAGAATAATGGTCTCCAATTCCATCCAGCTTGCTGTGAATGTCATGATTTTGTTCCATTTTATGGCTGAGTAGTTTTACATGGTATGTATCTGTGTATATATCACATTTTCTGTATCTGCTTGTTGATTGGTGGGCATTTGAGCTGGTTTCATATATTTGCAATTGTGAATTGCGCTGCTGTAAACATGCATGTGCAAGCATCTTTTTCATATAATGACTTCTTTTTCTCTGGGTAGATACCCAGGAGTGGAAAATGGTAGATCTACTTTTAATTCTTTAAGGAATCTCCACATTGTTTTCCATGGTGATTGTACTAGTTTACATTCCCACCAACAGTGTAAAAGTGTTCCCTTTTCACCACATCCATGCCAACATTTATTATTTTTTATTTTTTTTATTATGGCCATTCTTGCTGGAGTGAGATGATATTTTATTGTGGTTTTGATTTGCATTTCCTGGATAATTAGTGATGTTGATCATTTCTTCATGTTTCTTGACCATTTTTATATCTTTTGAGAATTGTCTATTCATGTGCATAGCCCACTTTTAATGGGATTGTTTGTTTTGTTCTTGCTGATTTTTTTGAGTTCTTTGCAGATTCTGGATATTAGTCCTTTGTTGTGTGTATAGATTGTGAAGATTTTCTCCCACTCTGTGAGTTGTGTGTTTACTCTCATGATTATTTCTTTTGCTGTGCAGAAGCTTTTTAGTTTAATCCCATCTATTTATCTTTGTTTTTGTTGCATTTCCTTTTGAGGTCTTGGTCATGAAGTCTTTGCCTAAGCCAATGTCCAGAAGGGTTTTTCCAATATTATCTTCTAGAATTTTTATGGTTTCATGTCTTAGATTTAAGTCTTTAATCCATCTTGAGTAGATTTTTGTATAGGGTGAGAGATGAGGCTCCAGTTTCATTCTTCTACATGTGACTTGCCAGTTATCTTAGCACCATAGGTTTAATAGGGTGTCCTTTCCCCACTTTATGTTTGTGTTTGCTTTGTCTAAGATCAGTTGACTATAATTCTTTGGCTTTATGTCTGGATTCTTCAATCTGTTCCATTGGTCTATATGCCTACTTTTATATCAGTACCATGCTGTTTTTGTGACTGTGACCTTATAGTATAGTTTGAAGTCAGGAAATGTAATGCCTCCAGATTTGTTCCTTTTGCTTAGTCTTACTTTGATATGCAGGCTATTTTTTGATTCCACATGAATTTTAGGATTTTTGTTCTAGTTTTGTGAAGAATAATAGTGGTATTTTGATGGGAATTGCATGGAATTTGTAGATTGCTTTTGGCAGTATGGTCATTTTCACAATATTGATTCTACCCACCCATGAGCATGGGATGTGTTTACATTTGTTTGTGTCATGTATGATTTCTTTTGGCAGCATTTTGTAGTTTTCCTTGTAGAGGTCTTTCACCTCCTTGGCTAAGTAGATCCATAAGTTTTTTGTTGTTGCTATTGTTTGTTTGGTTGTTTTTGTTTTCATTTTGGAGCTATTGTAAAAGGGGTTGAGCTCTTGATTCGATTCTCAGCTTGGCCACTATTGGTATATAGCAGAGCTACTGATTTGTGTACATTAATTTTGAATCCTGAAACTTTGCCAAATTTACTTACCAGTTCTAGCAGATTTTTGGATGAGTCCTCAGCGTTTTCTAGCTATACGATCATGTCATCAGCAAATAGTGACAGTTTGACTTCCTTATTACCAATTTGGATGCCCTTGATTTCTTTCTCTTGTCTGGTTGCTTTGGCTAGGGCTTCCAGTACGCTGTGGAATAGAAATGGTGAAAGTAGGCATCCTTATCTTGCTCCAGTTCTCAGGAACTGTTTTTAACTTTCCTCCATTGAGTATAATGTTAGCTGTGGGTTTGTCATAGATGGCTTTTTATTATCTTAAAGTATGTCCCTTCTATGCCAATTTTGCTGAGGGTTTTAATCATAAAGGGATGCTGGGTTTTGTCAGATGTATTTTCTGAATCTATTGGAATGGTCATGTGATTTTTGTTTTTAATTTTGTTTATATGGTGTATCACATTTATTGACTTGTGGATGTTAAGCCATCTCTGCATCCCTAATATGAAACCCATTCGAAAACCATGGTGGATTATCTTTTTGATATGCTGTTGGATTCTGTTACCTAGTATTTTGTTTAGGATTTTTGCATCCATGTTCATCAGGGATATTGGTCTGTAGCTTTTTTGTTATGTCCTTTCCTTGTGTTGGTATTAGGGTGATACTGCCTTCATAGAATTAATTAGGGAGGAGTCCCTCTTTTTCTATCATGCAAATAGTGTCAATAGGATTGCTACCAATTCTTTGAATGTCGGATAGAATTCAGCTGTGAATCCATCTTGTCCTGCACTTTTTGTTGCTGTTAACTTTTTAATTACCATTTCAATTTCACTGTTGTTTTTGGTCTGTTCAGAGTTTCTATTTCTTCCTGGTTTAATACAAGAGGGCTGTATATTTCCAGAAATTTAGCTATCTCCTCTAGGTTTTCTAGTTTATGTGCATAAACATGTTCATAGTGGCTTTGAATGATCTTTTGTATTTCTGTGGTATCGATTGTAATATCTCCCGTTTTGTTTTTAATTGAGCTTATTTGGATCTTCTCTATTCTCTTCTTGGTTTATTTTACTAGTGGTCTATCAATTTGATTTATCTTTTCAAAGAACCATCTTCTTTTGTTTCAATTATCTTTTGTAATTTTTGTTTCAATTTCATTTAGTTCTGCTCTGATTTTGGTTATTTCTTTCCTTCTGCTGGGATTGGGTTTGGTTTGTTTTTTGTTTCTACAACCAAGGACCCTCACAGAGTTCACTTCACTCCCCTGCTACCTCTACCAGAGTAGGTGTTGGTATCCATGGCTGAGAGACCTGAAGACAAGTCAGATCACAGGACTCTTTGCGAACACTCCCGAGTACCACCCACGGGCCTGATAGCTTTGCTGGGTGGCTAGATCCAGAAGAGAAATAACAATCACTGCAGTTCAGCTCTCAGGAAGCCCCATCCCTAGGGGAACAGAGAAAGCACTACATCAAGGGAGCACCCCTGTGGGACAAAAGAATCTCAAGAGCAGCCATTGAGTCCCAGATCTTCTGTCTGACACAGCTTAGCCAAATGAGAAGGAAACAGAAAAACAATTCTGGTAATATAACAAAATAAGGTTATTTAACACCCCTAAAAGATTACACCAGCTCACCAGCCATGCATCCAAACCAACAAGAGATCTCTGAATTGCCAGAAAAGGAATTCAGAAGGTCAATTATTAAACCAACCAAGGGGGCACCAGAGAAAGGTGAAGTCCAACTTAAAGAAATAAAAAAAAAAAAGATGCAGCATATGAATAGAAAAATCTCCAGTGAAAATAAATAAATAAATAAAATACAATCACAACTTTTGGAAATCAAGGACACACTTAGAGAAATGCAAAATCCACTGCAAAGTCTCAGCAATAGAATCAAACGAGTAGAAGAAATAACTTCTGAGCTTGAAGACAAAGTTTTCAAATTAACTCAGTCCAACAATGACGAAGAAAAAATAATGTAAAAATAAACAAAGCCCCCAGCAAATTTGGGATTATGATAGATGACCAAACTTAAGAATAATTGGTGTTCCTGAAGAAGAAGAGAAACCTAAAAGTTTGAAAACATTTTATCCATCTTTGGGCAGTCAAGTATTCCTGGACAGTGTACCTGGGTGATCACTCACACTTCTCATCCACTCACTTATCAAGTTCACCAAAGTACCAAGAGGATCATTTTGCCCTGAACCCGCTTGGAACTGCTCGGGTGCCAGTACACGGCTTCTGGTTGCATTTCTTACCCAATTCCTTGTTCAGTGGAAGAGAATGAGCTTTGTAGCACCTGTGATACGTTTTCACTTCTACCTTATTTTACTTTCCGGGCTCTAGGCTGATGATTACATTTTCCGTCTCTCTCATTTCCTTTTTGTGCATTTTATATTTGGGGATGATTTTTCAAATTACACAAAGCAATTTTCTTTTTGTTCCTGGCAACTTCTATGAAATATTTTTCTTTTAATTATTCAAGAGAATTTCTCCATAAATTAATGTTTCTAAATAAAGACATAAAAGTTTTTCAGACTTTTCATAAAATGGTCTTAATTTCATCACTCCCACTGTCTTTGTTGAGTATACATTTTATGCTAGAAACAAAATCTGGTGCTGGAGAAATGAAAGCGAAAGAGCCAAGCCCTCCATCCTCAGTGAATGTTCGGTGTAGAATTTTGGGTGGTAGACAGGCAAGTGGAAATCAGATGAGAGAATATGGCATTGGAGAATACAGAGAAGGACACCAAACCCACAGAGAGGGCTGGGGGAGAAGGACAAGCTGCCCACATCCCTTGATTGGTTCTCACTGCCTCAGAACTTACCAGCCCACATTCCAATTCCCAGCATCCCCACAAATTTACCTGTGCAAACATTTGAGAAAGAATTATGTGAGCCTGGACAGTTCTGTGTCTGGAGAACATCAGAGTCCAGTTACCCTAGAGGCCGGGCTATGTCATGGGCAAAAGCAAGAGTGCAGCCACAGACAGCAAGATGCCAATGCTTCATGTGGCAGGGGATATGGGTTTCTAAACATTTTAGAACCAGAGAAACAAAATCTGAGGGTGGAGACCAGCAAAGCAGTGAAGACTTCACAGTGGATGTCCACATCAGACCTCTGTAGGGAAGATCCAGCAATGTGGGAGCTGAGAAATAAAGTGAGTCTTCTCTTTCATTGATTGTAGATAGTTCTGAGAAGAGAAAGCAGATTCTCACACCCTTCTATCATGTTTCAAAGCCAATTACCACCTTTTTTCTATAAAATATAGAATTAGCATGACTATGTAATCACATGAGGTTTATAAAGGGTGTGGCACAATGTCCAATGCAGAACAGCTACTGACAGACACCTGGCAGTGATGCTGAAGATGATGATGGAGATGAGAATGGTATGCTGGAGATGAAAATGGTGATGGTGATGATGGTTTTGAAGGTGATGATGATGGTATGGTGGTAATGCTGGTAATGGTAATGATGGTGATGGTGTTGATGATGATAGCGGTGCTCATGATGAGTATAATGATGGTGAGTATACTGATGGTGATGGTGGTAGTGGTGATGGTGATGTTGATGACAGCAGTAATGTTGGTATTGATAATGGTGATGTGATTGTGATAATAGTGATGATGGTGGTGGTGGTGGTGGTTATAATGGTGGTGATGATGGTAGCTCTTGTAATGATAATAGTGGTGATGGTAATAGTGGTGAAGTTGGTGATAGTGATGGTAGTAATAGTGGTGGTGGTGATGGTGATGACGGCAGAGACGGTCGTATTGATAATGATGATGATGGTGGTGATGATAGTGATGATGATGGTGATAATGGTGATGGTGGTAAAGATGGTAGTGATGGTGGGGATTATGGTGGTACTGGTTTTGATGGTGATGGTCTTGGTGGTGGCAGTAATGGTGACGGTGATGATAATAGTGATGGTGATGGTAGTGATGATTATGGTGAGGGTGGTGATGATGGTGATGACCATGATGTTGAGGTTATGGTGATGGTGATCATGGTGGTGATGGTGATGGTGATGATGCTGGTGATGATGATGGTGATCATGGGGGTGGTATCAATGGTGATAGTGGTAAAGATAATGGTGATGGTGGTAGTGATGATTGTGGGGATGGTGGAGGTGATGCTGGTGATAGTGATGGTGGTTATGGAAGTGGCAATAGTTGTGAAGATTATGGTGATATTGATGATATAGTGGTGATGGTGGTGATATGATATTTGATGTGAAAAGATAAAGCTCTTTGATGCAGAATATAAGCACGAGGCCAGAGCAGGTATCATTAAGGGTTTTCCTCTGTTTGCAGGCTCATCAGATCTGGACTCAGGTGAAACTTGTCCTCAGACACCTTGCCTTGGATGGGAAACTGTTTTTCATTAATGGATCATGTGTTCTTCTTAACCACAGCAGCAAACGTGGTTTTTCCATGGTATTCACGCCTCCAACTGACTAAGATGACCATGAAAAAGAAGGAGATGGGTAGTTTGAGAAAGGGGCAGGGAGCAAGAGAGACAGCACCAGGAAAGGGGTGAGGAGGCAGAGTGGAAGAGAAGATAGAAACCAGACTTGTCCACAGGGTGTCCACACGTTCATTGTCACCTGCCTTCAGAATGTCCCTGTCTTCTGAGAGAGTCACTTCTGGGCCTGTCTCTCCTTTCTGGAAAGATCCAGCAGGGGCCCTGGGGAGAGCTGCAGGAACAGGAGGCTGTGCCATCTACTGGCCATTGCTCTGTTCAATAAAACCCCACATGCCCAGGTAGCCCAGGGCAGCGAGGACAGAACCAAGCCGACGGGCCTCTGCAGAACCCGTACGGCACTCAGGGAGTGCTTAGTTTGCAAAACCCCTTTCTCCAAGGCAGATGCTATGACAACCCCAGGGTTACCTTCAGAGACTGCTCCCCAGGGTGAGGCTCGAGTAGAGGCACCCGAAGGGCTGGTCATCCGTGGGTGAATGCTTCCCTCTGGTGGTCACTGTGGTGAAGTGGAGCATGCAGAACCCAGAGGTTCTCTGCAACCTCATGAACTGAGCAGGAGTTACAGGGCAGGTGGCTGCAGGCACAGGAATTGCCCTGTAGCTTTGTGGTTTATCTGCCACATCTGGGCATTCTCTTTGTGATGTGTTCATCTTCACAAGTGATGTTTCAGCATATCGTCCCCTCCTTTATCATGGGGTGAGGAGGTTGCCAACTCTGCAAGCCTCTTCCCACTTAGTTCCCCTCAGACACACTCCATCTCTCAGGGCCCAAAAGCTCACCATTCCTGCCAACTCTGACACAGCTCAGGCATCATTCTCAGATACATTCAATGCCATGAATGGCAGACTTAGCTGGGCATAGTGGCACGCACCTGTAGTCCCAGCTACTCAGGAGGCTGAGGAAGAATCACTTGAACCCAGGACGCTGAGGAAGAATCACTTGAACCCAGAAGGCGGAGGTTGCAGTGAGCCAAGATCGTGCCACTGCACTGAAGCCTGGTGATAGAGTGAGACTCCATTTAAAAAAAAAAAAGGCTAATGTTTTCTTTTTCCAAATATGACTGGCAAATAGGTACTTAAAACATTTTATAATAAAAAGCCATTGTGGTGCCATATTCATAATGAAGTCCATCAGCAAAAGGAAGAAGACCCTCCCCTGCACTCTAATGAAATCTGGCCCCTCTAGGCTGGGCACAGGGGTTGACATTTTAGATCCACAGTCTGGCATGTATGATGTCCCAAGAATCTCCTGAGGACAGCTCTCGGTTCCTTCCTGAGAGGTGACCATCTGCTCATCCTCATGTCTCCTCTAGTTCAGTAATTTTCATGGCACGTGCTCAGACCAGGGCTGGAGTTCTGTTCTTTCCTCCCCACTATGCCCTCACCCCAGCCCTCAGCAAGTCCTGTCTCGCTGCCTCTCACAGACATCCTGAGTCTCCTGTGCTCCACCTCCCGACCACTGCACGGGCCCAGGTCACTGTCCTCCCTTTCCTGGGTGACTGCAATGTCCTCCTGACTGTTCTCCACCCTCCCATTCTCACCGACTAGAAGCCTGTTCCTTCCTTGAGGCCATGCCAGCCTTCTAATAACATATAAGGTGTCATGTCATAGTCCCGGTAAAACCTTTCAAAGGCTTCTCATTAGAGTTGGAATAAAGTATATTCAGCATGATGCATATGGCCTGGCAGGAACTGACATCTGCTCATCCCCAGACCCAGTCTCTGTATCTCTCCTGCCTGCTGGTCCTTGATGATCAATTCAGGAGCTTCCACAGGTTAAGATCATTTTCTCCTCAGGGTAAGTTCATGCTGCTTTTTGGCCAGAAAATCCCCACCCTTGGGTTTCTGCAGCTGGCTGCTTCTCCTCCTGCAGAGTGCAGCTCCCATGTCACATCCCCAGAGTGGTCTTTCCAGGTCACTCTTTCTAGGTTAGGATATCATTTGGCTACAAGCTGGGTAGAGGCAATACTGTATTCGTCCCATTATCTGTAAAGTGCCTATGAACAATCCCTGGACCATAGAAGACTCTGAATATACATATTGGATGAAATGCCTTTATGGACGTATCAGAGACTTTCTCAGTGGCAATGAGATAATGTCATGTGAACATCTTACCGGCAGCATCTGTGAGGTTGTGTTAACTCTACAACTATTTGTTATAACTATCATTTCAATGGCAAGAGTTAAGATGACCTTTGGATCTTTTGAAAAATGACAAAAGCTTGGGATCAAATATCAAAATGCAACTAGGGAAGGATAAGAAATCACCCTAGGGAGGGTGGCAGGAAGCACAGGGTGTCCCAGAGACAGTGTCCTGGAACCCAGCCAGCAGAGCTTCCACCAGCAACACTGTCACCCTTTCTCCAGGGCTTCTCTGTGCCGAGCAGTTCAGTAAGGACCTGGTATGCATTGTCATTTTGTTCTTCACATATCTGCAAATAGAGAAGTGTACTCTTGCTGATGAGAAAATAATTCTTGACATACAGCAGGCACACCATACCTCTCTTTTGACTGAACGCACACATGTATCCAAGGTCCTCCCTTACGGAGAAGACATCACTGGAGAGCTCCAAGATCCCAGACAGGGCTCAGCTATGATGACATCACAGTGTGGGGTCCTGTGCACTTGCATCAGACTCTGCCTTGACACTTTTTGTTGCAGGTTCCTCATCTGCAAAATATGGAAACACATTTCATAAAGATTGTTGGAGGATCCATTAATTCACTCAACTAATTCCTTACTGAACCCTGTGCTAGGGCTGGGACCACAGCATTGAGCAAGTAGACAGTGTGCCCGTGTCTAGAACACAGGAAGCACATAGAGAGGCACAGATATGGTTGATAAAAAGCTTTTACTTTCCTTCCTGGCCTGGGAGTCTCATGAATAGAGGATGCCTTGGAGTAGGGTGTGATCAAAGGTAGACAGCAGAGGAGGTAAAGTGGGACCATCTCCAGTGCATTGCTACCCTAGGAAGAATCTACAGTGTTGCTGAGCTCCTGACAATGATAACAAATACTGCAGGGCAAACTCAGAGACCCTAGAGAAGGGCAATGGGGTGCTCTAGGGGGATGCAGGAGCTGCTGAATGGGGATAAGCCAGGCTCATCATGGGACCAGTAGTGGGCAGCTGGACAGCTTTCAGACTCCTGAGGAGGGATTGATGCCTGGCCATTTGTCCAAGTACATGCATACACACAGTCACACACAAATACACACAGTTTCACACACAGAGAGAATAACACACATACACAGAGTCTCTCACACACACACATAGAATCACACACCCAATCACACACATACATGCAGTCACACACACATGGTCTTGTACAAAGGTGGATTACTATGAAGGAAACCTGCTGAATAAGTATTTTCCTGCATTGAATTTCCTTAAAAGCACAAAACTATGTTCATGGCAAAATCTGGAAGAGCTAGATGCAGACTGAAACAGATCTAAAACTGCATTTTGCAAACTGCTGCACGCAGCACAAATGCAGCTGTAAAAGTTAATGTGCGCTCCTAACTACATTTTTAAAAATTCCTTCAACAAACATTGAAATTATTTTGTATACCAAAGCCTCCTTTTGGAACTATCAATGCACATTATAATATTCATTAAAACTCATAAAATGCCTGCAGTAAGCCACCTGATTTTTTATCTTCAAACTTTAATCAATTATTCTGAAATTCCTACACTTTGATTTTTGAGGGGAATGGCTAACACCTATCAGCTACCTTCAGAAAGAGTGTCCTGTGGAAATAAATTAAGAAACATTCATCTGTAATATTGTTTCACTTTCTGTAAATTCTAGTATTGAGGAAGTTAAGTAAATATAGCCATCCATTGGTATCCATGAGGGATTGGTTCCAGGACCTCCCTCTTATACCAAAATCCATGGATACTGAAGTCCCTCATATAAAATGGTGTAACATGCATATAACCCATGCACATCCTCCTGTATACTGTAAATCATCTCTAGGTTACTCATAATTCCTCAGACAATGTAAATGCTATGTGCATACTTGTTATGCTGTATAGCTTAGGGAACAATGGCAAGATAAAAGTCTGTCCATGTTCAGTGCAGATGCATTTGTTAAAAAATATTTTTTATCTGAACTTGGTTGAATCCAAAAAGGTGGAACTCAAGGATACAGAGGCTGACTGCATGATGATGGCAATTGATGGGATCCAAGTTTTTAACTGTCAAAGAAAGCAGCCACAGCTTTGGAAAGGGAAGAACCAGAATGAATCTCACAGGGTTGGAAATGAGGTCAATATTAACTTATGGTTTATAACGTATAGACAGATAATGTAGAAATAAATATCAACATGTGAGTATGTTCAGGTGTGGATTTCGTAGCTCTGTCCCACTGAGGAGGCCTGGAACAAGGCTCCTCACCCTCCCCACTGTGGACATTTTGGGCCTAATCACTCTATCTTTGGGAGCTGTGCTGTGAAATTGCCTGATGTTTATCAGCATCCAAGACCTCTATCCCCAAAATGACAGCAGCACCTCCTCCCGAGTAGTGACAACCAAAAATGTCCCCAGACACTACCAAGTGTGCTCTGGGAAGCATATTTGGTGCCTCCTGCCACAGGTTGAGAAGCACAGACCGAGGACTCATGGCCATCCAGGAGCAATGAGCACAGGTTGCACTTGGGCCTTGCTTTCTAAATTCACCGCAGATTCTAGCCACTGATTCTAAGGTTGGCTCAGAAAAGTGAAAGATAAATCTGCAACTTCTTGTTACATCAGAAAGTAAAAATAGACTCAAATAATGATGAAAACATCTCATAAGAATGCAGGAAGCAGCTGAAGGGGTCCCCAATAGCCAACTCTGAGATAATTTTCACATTGGAATAAATAGTGCTAACAGAGTGTAACTCATTGAATAAAATAAGAAACCATGAGTCAGATAGATCTATGGAAAGATAAATGGCAAATAGGTAGGTAGGTAGACAGATAAGCAGATAGAAGAAAATAGAGATTTTCCTTATAGTAGAATGAATGCCATTAATAAATGTAGAACAAATAATGAAATTAGAAACAACCTTTTCACAACAGTCATAATAACAATTGATTCAAGCAACAATTATCATTGTATGCTAAAGCTAGAAAGTGAAAATTTGATAAGAAGTAGGATATAATCGTATTTCAAAGCATTGCTTTATGCAATATTTGTTAATGATAAAGTGAAAAATAGCAACTTTATAGTGGACTGGTATAGATACGCTGCAATGGCTGGGGCCAGGCCACTCCTGGGAGGTGGGCTCCTGAAATGTGATCATGGACAGCAACTTCATGTAAAAGTATCCTCTCACCTTCTTGAGAGTGAAAGACTGCCTGGAAAGAGATGCTCACCATCCCCGCTGAGCACATTTCCAGCCTACCCCACCTGAATGCAGCCCCCAACTGAACCTAACAAGACCAGCAGAAGAGCCGCGGACAGCTCCAGAGTCATAAGAATCCACACATCATGTTGCTTTCAGCCAGGAAGATTCGGGGTGGCTTCTGATGCAGCAGTAGGTAACTGATGTGTACAGGATGCTCTGAACATCCCTCCCAGCAGAGACCCACAGTCCATCCCATGTGAGGTCCAGAGAGGGAGAAATCTCCTCCTCCGTAGACTGCATGGTTTCTGCTGGTGTCTACAACTGCCATGCAACTCGTGGAGCGCAGCCCTTTCCTTCCGAATCCAACCTACATTTCATGCTCTCCATGAGGGGCAGGTCTGTGGGCAAAATGATGATTGTAGCAATAGACATGCTGAACTGGTGGTGCCTGCAGGAAGTCCAGTGATGACGTCATGGACAGGGGGATGAGGAGCTTCACTGCTGGAAGCCTGGCCTTAGTTGAGATAACTCAAGACAATTGCAATGGGGTCAACACTCTCACAATAAGACAGAGTGAGCTCAAGTCCAAATATAAAAAGAGTAAGTGGGGATTTATAGCCAAGGAGCAGGGTGTGGAGGTTAGTGAAGAAAAAATTACTAAGCAGAGACATCAAAGGTAGGGGTTTCTGGCTGAACTGACCAAACAGGATTCTTGCTAAAGGCAGGACACAGCCTTAGACATCAAAGCTGAGGGATGAGGAACTTGATCAGATGTCAAGGGTGATCAGACCCCAAGGACAGCAGGATTCTCCCTAAAAGGAAGCAGGATTCTTTCCTAAAACTGAGCAATGCAGACCTGGCAGGTAGGAGCTGGAGACCAAGGTTGAGGCCTAGTGAAGAAGGCTCAGAGGAGCCTTAAAGTTTCGTTAGAGAGTCTTTTCACTGGATCCAGCTCCTCTGTGACAGGAGGAGAGGGCAGGCAGGGCCACAAGAGCAGGCAGGCTGTCCTGATGGCCTCTGGCTCCAGCTCCAGCACCCACTGATTGAGTGTAACAGGATTCCAGGCAGGAACAGGAACCACTCTCCACAGCCACTGCAGTCTGCTAAAGGAATTGATATTTAAGGTTAGACAAACAGTGACAGGGAAGTCCCAGCAGTGACCTGAATGGGGATTAGAAAGGAAACTCTCACCACACAGAGATGCCAAGGGGATTGCTCTCCCCTCAGAGCCATCTGTATTCTCCTGGGCCAGGCCCCTGCAGGCTGGGACCAGGGAGTTGGGGGAAGTCCCTGGGTGCATCAGCAAGCAACCCGAGTTCCCAAGGAACTCTCCCTGTCCTCTCCACTCGGCTGTGGTTCTCTAGCCATGGCTCTGCTAGGAAGAATGTACTCCTTGAGAAAATAAATAGTAACCTTGCAATCTAAAATCCTAAGTGCTGTTTACACATTGATCCCTGAGCAGGAAACTTCCCAAGGATTCTCTTTCCCTCCATAAAGGGCCAAACTCTCAGACCTCAGATCCTGGGCTCTGTACGCCCTTTTCCTGTAGGGGCTTTGGGCATGCTTCACAGCAAGTACCAGAGTTCATAATAATGTGGCCTCATCCCCATCAGAGCCCAGATGCTTACCAATGGTGGCCAATGGTCCAGGAGTATCTCAGGTCCCCCACAGTTGGGAGCAGGGAGGGGGAAGGAGGAAGGGTGTGCATAAGGGACAAGCTTGACCCCAGAGAACTCGCAGCACTCCATAAAGGAGGATTCTGGGCTTCCCCTTTGAGAAGCCAACAAATCCCGTGGCTGCTCAGTCCCATCTCCTATCACAGACACTGAATGTTAATTGCTCAAAACCCGGATGTGCAGAATCTCAACTCTTGGCCAACTTGATCTAACCACTTGCACTTTAGGTGATGTTTATGCCCTTAGGTATTTATTGGTTATAATATTGTTTAGTGTTTCCCTTTACTGCTTATTTATTATAGAGAACTTCTGTCACTCACCTAATTTCTCACTCTACTAATTCAATCATGGGATCAAGTTACACACGCAACCTGGGAGAACACGGCTTTCTCTTTCATCCACTGGCAGAAAGGAAACATGCCCCCTCCTGGGCAACTGGACTCCTCCAGATTACGAAGGTGCTGGAGGCCCCAGGCTTGGTCCTGAGTCCATTGTTTATCTCTGGGTCCCTGCCAGCCTGTCATTGGAGCTGTAAGCTATAGGAACTAAGTCTCCATCTTTTTTTGAGATGGGATCTCACTGTGTTGCACAGTGTGGTCTGGAACACCTGGGTTCAAGAGATCCTCCTGCCTCAGCCTCAAGAGTAGGTGTACAGGCATGCCATAACACTGGGCTATTGTAAATTTTAACCACACTTAAATGTCACTGCAGAATCAAACTTATCTTGCTGGTTTTGAACCACCAGACACCACCATTTACAAAGCAGCTCACCTTTCCATATGCATGACACATAGAGAAGGCAAAACATTTTCCCAAGGTCACCCAGCAGCTGGAGCAGCTGTCCATCTACCCTAACCTTCCACTTACCATCACCCATACTGGATGCATCTCTTGTAGTTCCTGAGAGTGCCCTACATGGGGGTCTGACTACAAAGATTAGAGTGGCCACTGTATCAGGCCTGTTGACCCTCCCTATAGCTCATTCCAGTGTCCTGACAGAGGATGACCACTGGCGGTGGCATCACATACAGGGAAATAGGCCAGCACTCCAGCTCCCACCCCATACTCCACCCACCACCATATGCCTGTTATGTGGATGACCTGCATCTCCTTCCTAATGATAAAAGATAGGAGAGATTTGTATGTATTTCAGCTTACCCTCTGCACAACACATCCTCCTGAGAGTTGAGACCTAGCGGCCAGGGAAGGTGGGAGCCACAGAGGAGACCCAACTCCCACACTTGGGAGATGACCATTCTGCCCACAAGCACCTGGCCAGGGACTGCCCTCTCTTTCCCTTCTCTGGGAATCTCCCCCAATTTCCTGTCTAACTAGGAGGCATCACGTGCAGCCCTGCTTGAAGACCTTCCCTCCCTCACCCAGCAGTAAACACTATCCCTGGGCCACCTGCTGTATCTGCTGGAGTGCATGGCTTTTCTAGGGGTGCTGGATTCACAGTGGGGTGCAATGGTCACTGGGCCTTGGGTAAAAAGGTCCCCTGTCCTCATACTGAACATGAGCACCCATGAGTAATATTGTTCCCGCTGTCGGGTTCCTGCTGATGCAGCCCCAGCCATGGCGGAGCCCCAGGATTATAGCAGGTCTGGGCTGATCCTGGCCGACCCTCACCTCCACCACTCCCAGGAGAGTCCTCTGGGTGTCCTGCTAAGGCCCAGGGTTTCCTGGTGTTTCTGGCCAAGCCTGCCACCTCGCCATAAGGGCATTTGCCGCAGGATCACCTTCAGGCATGGAGGGGGGGTTGAGAGAACAAAGGGAGCAGCTGTCTGTTCAGAGCCTCCTTCCACCCTCCCTACTCCTGAAGTCACATTCCAGTCCAGGCCCACAGCATCCCGAGCTGGGGGCTTTGTCAGCCCACAGGGCACCCAACTGACCACATCCTCTCAGTCTGTGGAGAAGGAGAACTCTCAATCCTGGCAATGAAGCCACGCTGAGCAAAGGACGAAGACACACCTGGGCTCTCTCTGCAGGATTCCATTCCTGGGAAGCTCAAGGACAGGCAACAAAGGAGTCCACAGGACCAGATGTGGGCTGCCAGGGTCGGGTGGGCATGAGGGTGGGCTTCAGAGGCAGGAGGAAACCATCTGGGGTGAGGCAGATATCACAGGTGTGGACAAAGTGGTAACACAAGTGTATGCATTTATGAAATCCCCCAGATTGGGCACATACAATTAGGCATTTTATTGTGTGTAAATTCTACCTCATTCAATGTAATTTTTAAAATATTACATGAGTTTTCCAAGCAGTGTACAGAGGACCAGTGCTGGCAGCACGTCTCCCAGAGGGGAGGAGCAAGAGAGGCTCTTGGGCTCCCACATTCATCCTGTGGCTGCTGCTCCTTCTCCTGACACCCCCACCACCTGCCAGGGGTCTCCCTGCGCCTTCCACCTGGACACACCCACAGTTACCGTGAGACTCCAGGTCGTTCCCTTCCCTGCTCACACCCCCTCCAGGAGCTTCCTCTTCCTGGAGCAGGCATGCCCAGCCTTGCCTCAGGGCCTTTGCACTGACTATTCCCTGCTGCCTGGGGCTTCTCAACCTTTCCGGTCTCTTAGAGACTTCCCTGACCAGGGTCCAGTAGCACCCACCCTCTCTCTAACTGAGCGACTATAATTCCCTGATCTAAATTGTTGATCACCACTCTGCATCCTCCCACACACCCTAATGGCTGGGCTATGCAGTACCACAGCCACCAGCAGCCACTCGTGGCCACAGGGCACTTGAAATGGGGCTAGTCCACAGTGACGCTTGGTCTAACTGTAAAAAATACACAGGGAACTTCAAGACATTACACTCACACAAAAGAATGTAAACTAGCTCCTTAAGAATAGTCCTGAAGTGTTGAAGTATTTTGGATATATTAGGTTAAAGTAGAAATACCAAAATTACTTTCAGCTGTATCTTTTAACTTTTTCAAATGTGTTTTAAATTGCTCCTGGGTTTCTGTCACATCTCTGTTGGATGGCAGCTCTGCAAGTTCATGTCTACGGCTCTATTGCCCAGACTGCTTGGTGCAGGGGGAAGCTGGTGACAGGTTTGTTTATTGAATAATGAGGAGTTATGAAACGAGAACCCAGTGAACTTTACCCAAAGGTTAATTACTTTATGTTTGGCAAAGAAGTTCCCCAGAAGAGGGCATGGACAAGGTCATCCCGGAGCTTCTGAAACAGCTCCCTGCCCCAGGAATTCCCAGACCATGACCACGTGCTCCTGGATGCCCCTGACATCTGAAGACTTTAGAAGGCCAAGCCCTGTATTTCTCCCTTTCCTGTGGACATAGGTGGTCACCAGGTTTCACAGCCCAGGGAGCGGTGTCACCTCTCTGGAATCCAGAGTGAGCCAAGCTTTAGAGCACTGAGGAAGAGGGGCAGGGCTGTGGGGAGGTTGCGGTCAGGACAGGAGTGGGGAGGAGGATGAGGAGGAGGCATGGGAGGAGCGAAGGGAACTTAGGGAGGGAGGGAGGTGGTTGGGGGTGGAAAGGGAGATAGAGACAGAAGAGGAGGGGTAGAAAGAGGAGGAGGAGCCAGGGGCGGGGCCAGGGAGCAGGTGGGGTTGGGGGACACCCAAGTAGGATAAATGCACAGCTAGCTTCTGGCCTGGGCTTCCTGCCTCAGCCTTCTGCTGCTTTGCTCTCTGGGAGATCCAGCTCCTTGCTCTGTGTCCCAGTAGAACATGATGTGGCCCATGCACACCCCACTGCTGCTGCTGACTGCCTTGATGGTGGCCGTGGCCGGGAGTGCCTCGGCCCAATCTAGGACCTTGGCAGGTGGCATCCATGCCACAGACCTCAATGACAAGAGTGTGCAGTGTGCCCTGGACTTTGCCATCAGCGAGTACAACAAGGTCATTAATAAGGATGAGTACTACAGCCGCCCTCTGCAGGTGATGGCTGCCTACCAGCAGGTGCGTGCTACCACCACCCTGGGGGTCCTGAGTCCCAGCTGGGTTTTTTGCCTCACCCCCCAGAGCACTCCCAGCAAATCAACATTATCTAAACCGCAGACTCATTCAGCTTTCTCTGACTGTCTGCTGATGGTCTTCATGCCCTAGGACACTCCTTGGCCGTGAGTGCATGAGTTCAGCCCTGTCCTGTCCCCTCGGCCTCTTTTAACCTGCAGCAGCCACTGTGTCTGTACCATGACTGTGGCATTTCCCAGGGTCCAGCAGGTGTGGATGGAGACTGTGCTGACTCTGGGTGGGCTTGATGCTGCTCAGGATGAGATCCAGGCCACGAGGTTCATCTTCCTCCCTGAGTCCTCTCCACAGGGGCCACACGGGAACCTGACTCCTTGTCCTGGATAGCCCCGCTTCCCTCCCAAGTCACGCCCCTGGGCACAGCCCGTTATGGCTAGTGGCCTTCACTCTCAGGCTGGCTGACCACCCCCTACAGCCCAGGACAGCTGAGTTCCTGCTGGGGTAGAGCATGCCTGACCCTGCCTCTGCCAGCTAACGCAGAGTTAGACCTCAGCAAAATGAGGACAGCAATCACCCAGCAGAGTGAAGGAGGTGGTTGGGTCCAGAGGGAGGAAGCTTCAGCAGGGCTACCGAGCCCAGCTTGACCTACGTCCCATGGCAGAGCAGCAGTGACACAGCGACCACAGGGCTATATGGCCTGCCAGCCTTTAGAGCTCCTCCACCTTCTCTTGGAAAGTCAGAGGAGTCCAGACCAGCCCTGTTTCTCCTCCTGCAGCCCTCTCCCTGCACAGGAGGGGCATTCCCTGGTGCTGTGGTCCCTGCTGGCCTGCACTCCCTCTTAAGTGTGTCACTCACTGGGAGTGAAGCACAGAATGATGTAGATCGTTGGGCCCTGGAGCCTATTTTACAGAGCAGCAGACTGACACCGGAGGGATCACAGGACTTCCATGTGGTTCTACAGGACTTGTGTGTGGTTCCACAGGGCAAGGTCTAGCACCCTGGTCCCAGGGTCCCTCATCCCATGCTTCTCCACAGTTCTGACAAGTCATGTTTTGGGGCGGCACTGTGCAGGGAAAGCATTCAGTTCTCTTCTGAAGTTGCAACCCTAAGACATGCAGGTGTGTGACTCACTTTAGAAATATTGCCTTGAAAATCACACCTGGAATGGAGGCATGCAGGAGGCAATGTTTATTGGCCTAAAACATCAATGTATGTGAGCATCTCATCTCCTACTGAGAAATGAGGAAAAATACCTCTGGGTTAAATGGCAGGAATGAGATGCTCTGTGGACTGAATGCCAGGAGCTGGAAGTTAGCTGAAATTTCATCATCAGGTGGCAGCCTTCCTAGGATGGGACCAGTGTCCCTGCCCCCTGAGCACAGGTAGCAGAATTCAGTTAATCCTTTGCTGTGGGAAAGAGCATTCACTTGGTGCTTAGACCCTGCCCTGCAAGCCTGGTGCCAGGACTGTTTCTTTGTCCCACCCTGGCTGGTTCCCCAGAGCTGTGCCTTCTGTTCCTGAATCCAGTGAAGGGGGTTTTAGGCCCTGGCTTCCATCTGCCCTGCCCCTGCTTCTCTTTCTACTGGGCTGCATGAGACAGCTTGCTTGAGATACCCAGAGAAAACAAGTTACTAGGAAGGACTGGGACACACTACCACTGCCAGCCAGCAGGAGAAGGTGGCTTGTGTGCCTTTTGGGTGACAGTGTGGGCATGAAGCCCCAGGCAAGCCCAGTGACTCAGTCACAGTGAAGTGCCTGCGTGTGCATGAAACTGACAGCATGCTGCCCCTGCTTCCTGCTCTTCCACGCGTGTAGATCGTGGGTGGGGTGAACTACTACTTCAATGTGAAGTTCGGTCGAACCACATGCACCAAGTCCCAGCCCAACTTGGACAACTGTCCCTTCAATGACCAGCCAAAACTGAAAGAGGTATGTGCCTGATGTGGGTCAGGGGCATCAAGTACCGCAGAGCAGTGTGTGCATGTGTGTGTGTGTATGTGTGTGTGCACGCATCTGTACTCCTGCACATGCTTTGGAGGGCATGTGTGCATGTGTGCAGATATTTGTGGGGCCACGTATGCAAGGATGTATTCATGTGCATGGGAGGATGCATGTGTGTTTGGCACACATGTGCAGATGTGTATTGTGAAGTCAATGAATGTGTTTGTGCATATGGAGTTTTGTGTATGCATGAATGAATGTGTGGGATGGTGTACACATGTGGCTATGCATGTAGAAAGATGCATATGTGTGCATACATGAGGAAGATGCACAGGAGTGTGTGTGTGCATGTGTGTGGATGTGTGAAGGAGTATGTGGGTTCATGCATATATTCGTTTGGGTGAGGGTTGCTGTGAGTTAATATAGATGCCTATGTGTGTGCAGATGGAGTGGTGTGGATAGGGGTGATGAATTTGTTTTGCTAGGAAGACTTTAGCTTGGTAATGGTTACTGGGAGGTCAACTCTGCCTGCTTTGGGGTGTTGTCTGTTGGACTGGAGGAAGAAGCTGCTGGGCTGGGTTCTGGTCAGAAAGAAGGGGCTCTGTCTAACCCCAGCCTCAGGCACCTGCCTGCAGCCACAGCCACTCTGAGCACATTAGAAGGAATTAAATGCCTGTTAGCTGAGAAGCCCTGGACCTGCCCCAGCTCACCCAACATCAGCCTCTCCAAGAACCCAGGATTTCTTTCGAGGTCTCTGCTCAAGGCAGAGCCACACTCTCCTTGTCATCTCCTCACCACCTCGGGCACTTTGAGTTGCAATTTCCAGTTCCCTGGGTTCTTCCCTCTGGCCCCTCTTAGTGCTGGCCTGGGTGCTGGAGGTGGAAGGAGCTGGAGGCAGTGAGCTGCCTCCCCTGTCCTGCACCCCTGAGGCTCCCAAGGCCTTGCACAGGCTGCTCCTCATAGGGCTGCGCTGGGACAGGAATCCTGCAGGCTGGGGTGAAGGCCCAATGTCACCTGGTGACTTGGAGCCTTGGGAGGGGCAATGGAACAGTCACTGCCCAGTTGGGCTCAGTGCCCTGGAACTCGGCAGGGGTAGGTTGGGGTCAGGGGGCAGTGTCTCATCTCCAACCATTTTCACCCCCATTCTGATGTCCCATTCCTGGGCATCTTTGGCTTTAACTGTAACCCACAGTCATTTTCTCCATCTCTTTCTTTTCACAGGAAGAGTTCTGCTCTTTCCAGATCAATGAAGTTCCCTGGGAGGATAAAATTTCCATTCTGAACTACAAGTGCCGGAAAGTCTAGGGGTCTGTGCAAGGCCTGTCACACTGACCACCTCCTACTCCCACCCCCTGTAGTGCTCCCACCCCTGGACTGGTGGCCCCCACCCTGGGGGAGGTCTCCTCATGCGCCTGCACCAGGAGACAGACACAGAAGGTGGCAGGAGGCCTTTGTTGCTCAGCAGGAGGCTCTGCCCTTGCTCCTTCCTTCTTGCTTCTCATAGCCCCAGTGTGCAGTGCACACTCTCCCACCTCCTGCAATTAAACAGTAGCATTGCCTCCCTCTGAGTTCTTGGCTGTTTGGGGATGTACACACAGGCAGGGTTTCTGCAGTTCCTTTATGAAGCCTCCTTGTTCTGCTGGCCCCAGAAGTTGGGCTGCTGGTTTGGTCTGAGCTCCTGGTCAGACCAGGAGGAGGGGGCTGGCTGTGTCCACAGGCAGGGGCCAGGCCTCAGTGGAGCTCGCCAGGCCGTGGATTCCATCTGTGCTTGCAGAGTTGAGCAGACTCCAGGGACTGAGCTGCTCTCATCAAATCCCCTAGACACTAAATAAATAGCGATCGATGTCTGCTTCTTTCCACAAGAGACTTTAGGCCCTTACATGGAAACAAGTCCAAAAGTGTGTATGTGTATGTGTAACTGATTGGGAGAAATGCCAGCCAGACCAAAGATGGGCAAGATCTCACAGAGAAAACAGTGCCTGCTGTCATCTATCCTGGGAAGGTGTGCCCCAGGGTGGGAGGTTTTGTCAATTCACACCCACCGGCCCATTCTCTGGACTTGAAGTTTTAAAAAGTCCTCATGTCAAACTTTATATTAGGGTTAGAGAAGTTAAAACACAAATGGGACTGGCATGAAGTGGACTGTTTTTTTCCAAGGATGATGTTCCAATTAATAAAAAAAACTTAGTGTCATCATGATTCATAGAATAGTAGATATTTGTGCCTCAAGCAGGAGGCTACACTCCTAAGTCACATGGCCCCAAGCCCACACGGTCCTTCTCTTTGCTATTTTAGTTCAAAGAGAAGGGGGTGCAGCCCTCAGGACAGGTGCCTCTGGCCCAAGGCTCTGAAATGTCTTCCTCACTCAGAGCTGCATTGACCAAGGGTGGCTGCCATGAACACTGAGAGGGAAATGACAAAGAGGAAGCTGCTGAAACAGCCCTGAGGCCAGCACCCACCGTGCTGCACCTAGGAAGCCAGGAGGAGAATGGTCTGGCAGGGAGAGTGAGCAGCATCTGCTTCCATTTCCTCTCCACCCCCATGGGATTTAACTGAGTCTGTGATGTGGGAAGTGTAGCAGCGCCCAGGCAGCCATGAGCGGGGGAGTCAAATCTGGGCCTCATCCTCTCAGTGGAGGGTGCACTTAGTGATTCAGGCTTCTACTGGGAGAGAGCGGCTGAGGGCAGAGCAGCAGGTGCACAGATGTTGTGGTTGGGGGCAAAGTCTTTCTTGCACGGAAGTGCTCATAATTTTCCATGTGGATGAAGGGTTTATTGACCAAAGGGACCACCATCCAGGCACACAATGAACAGCTGATTTTTTGAAAAACAGTCCCTTTCTGACACAATTCTATCTTCCTTGGGGAAGATGGTGTGACGTCGGGGTTCTGCACAGGACTCCCCCGACTTTTCCCTGTGTGTCTGCTCCCTTGGAACAGAGCAGGATGCGGGGAAGCTGAGAGTGAACAGGTCCATCTTCTGGGCACTGAGCTGTGTCCTTGGAAGAAGCTAAAGAAGGTTCCTGATCAGGTCATGTTAAGTGTCTTCTAAGAGTTCCTTTAGAAAAAATCATGCACCAGATCAGAGGTAAAAGATGGAAACTGCAGAGGTTGGAAACCCCTCACCCAGCATAGAGAAATCACTCTGGAAGGAGGGATGAGTGCATCGGAGGCCTGGGAAGCATGAGACGGCACAGTCTTTCCTTGGGCAGGTGGACTCTCTTCATGATCACAGGCAGACCAGGTGCTGCAGGGCCTGAGGCTCATACAATATGGGGGCTTTATGTATGAAAAATAGAGCAATATTAGCAATACAAAAGAAAGCACAAAAGTTAATGTTTATTTGGGAAAAGAAAATAAATTATGGCAAAATACTCACTTTTTAAAACACTGAGATATACTGCAAACAGCCACAAACTCCAGAAAATAACAGACACCCACAAAATCCAGAAAATAATCAGCCACCAAGTCAGTACTGTAGCCAACACACTCAGTATTGGGTTGTTGCAATAAGGGAATAAAGTCACACAAGGATCCTCACATGATTCAACAAACAAAGGAAAAAAGGTTATCACAGGATTGGAGGAAGGGATTTTGAAGGTGTATTGATGCACTCAGAGCATGGCAGGCTTCTGTGTAAAGGAGCCAGGGTCAGGTCTGGGCTGCAAATTGTACTCAGCTCCTCCTATCTCCTCAGCTCCTCCTATCTCCTCAGAACCCATAAGGTTCAGGCAAATGTGGAACGTTCTGTCCAGAAACCCCTTCTCTGTAGCTCTGTGCTTCTGTGTAAAGGTGGACCTAGATCCTCCAGGCAGTGGGATGTTCTTCTTACTCATAAGCAAAGTTTCTGACAGCCCTGACGCTAGAGAACAAGGTCTTCCATTGAGTCAGAAAGCAGTTGTCAGCCAAGGAAGAAGCTGCTTGACATTTCAAAGCTGCAGCTTGAGAGAAACATTGTTTCCCGTTCATGATGCCACTGGCTTTGACCACATCAGTCCATCTATCCACCCTGCAGATGAAAGGGCAGATTTGCCCTCCCTTAATCCACATGATCTTTACTGTCTCATATAATGTTTTTGTTTAATTAACTAGTTGACACAACTCTGTAATATTTTCTGCCTATGTTTCCATATTCAGCTAATGAATCACTATTTGCCTCATCATAAGACATTGAATTTGTACCAGAACTTTTATAAATATAGCAGAAAGATAAACCAGTCTTTCCACTAACTGTTTGATGATCTGTGAACTTAATGGTACATAACATCCTTTTTCTGCTTCAAAACTCATATTGGTAATATCCTGCAACCTTTCCTGATTGTTGACAAATTCGTAAAAGCCTCTTGCAGTTTCCTCTCATTTGTGAACTCTAAGATTTTAGTGCTTTCTAAATTTTCTAGACATAAGATTGATGATCTTAAAGACTCTTTGTATTAACAATGCTCACTAACACAGCATTTTTAAACTGTCACTGTTGTGTAGTGAGCTTCAAAATTGTGCAAATGTATCATGATGTGCTATATTGATTAGCTCATTGAATGTGCAGGAGTTTGTCCTGGAAAAAGTATCTCTTCAAGTCATCTCACCTGTTGGTCACAGTTTTACATCTGTGTTGCCTGCAGCTGGGAGCCAACAGAATAATCGGGGAGGGACGTCAGGCCCGCCCCTCCTGTCTGTGCCACTCACACACACATGGGCAGACTCCAGTATTCTTGCATAGTGCATGGGCAAAGGAGGACGTGAGGGAGGAGACAAATCCACCAGCCACAAAAGTAGAAGGAGACTTGAAGAAGAGGTGAGGGAAGGAGAAACCATGCAGAAGAAACTGCAGAGGCCTTGGGACCTGCTGAGAAGCTTTCAGCCACATGTAAACTAAGTCCCTAATTAAAAATGTCTTGAATGCAAAGGGAATGTTCTACTCTCATGATAAGAAGCCCCTGGGTGAGGCAGGCTTCAGGAACAGAACTCCCAGCATATGCTCTGCTTCCTTGGGATTCTCTCAGCCTTACCTTCCTGTTCTTGAAGCTTCAGCCTCAAGCTGGTAGCAAGGTGGTTGCAACAGCTCCAGACATCACATCATCAACACCAACATCCAGAGGCAGAAAGAGCCCTGGGAAGAGCCTCTGTTCCACACCTCCTTCCTGAATGTGAGGAGGCTCCTCCTATGCACCCCCTAGCTCACCACCCCTGCAGTCTCATTGGCTAGGGCTGGGTCATATGCCCACCCCCTACACCAATCCCTGTTAGGAATTCACATCATCCATTGTGTCACCAGCACTCAGTGAAACCTGTGGATAGGATGGCAGCATCCTGGTAATAGCACAAACTTCAGCATGATCAAAATGATGACATGACTGCAGAGGGAATAAATAAATTATGCATGCACATGATGAAACCATCGTTAAGAAGAATTAGCAATATATGTGTTAAAATGAAAAAAAATTTTAATACACTTTGAATATATTATTTTATAGAAAACAAGATCTATATGGTATGTTAATACAAAGCTCTTTCCAAAAACAAAAATAAACACATGTGTGTATGTGTGTATATAGACATATACACAGACATATACACATATGTATACACAGAAACACATCTGAGGGAAAGAGAGAGAAAGGGAGAGAGGATGAGAAGGGAGAAGAAAAAGAAAGAAGAGAAGAATTTTGCATTTTTCTGTTTCATTTGAATGTTATTACAATGTCACGTTGTTCTAATTATTCTAATTATTTTAAATGTCATCCATGGGTGTTTGGGTGATGATATGGGTTGTTTTTCATTGTACCCTCCCTATGTCTGCATTTTAAAAACTAACAAATGCTATGGCTGAATGTCTATTGGTGTGGTTGATATGCCTGCATATGCTTAATAGCACATTAATTATGAGTGAATCAGGAGTTGATATTCAGCATCAGGGGTTTCCCCTGCCCCCTGAGTTGCAACAGTCATTTAGAATTCAATACATTTTTTCCTTGTTTTTCATGACACTGAGTATTTCTGAATAGATCCTCTCTCAGCTACACTGTGAGCTCCTGGGGAAAAGAGGGTATCTTTGCTCACATTCCCTAAGGAGCGTTTACTAGCAAAGAGCTCATCATTCCTGTGGACACGATGATTGCAATTAGCAGGTGGACTCCAGCTTGGCTTTAGAGTGCTTGATCTATTTCAGTCTCCTGTATTCTACTTCCACTGAATGTAAGGAGGAGGTAGTCTGCTGCTTAGTTATGTTGAAAGTAAGAAACATCCAAGTTTTGAGAGGTTGGTCTGCATTTAATTTCAGCACAAGCTCAGAAAATTCCATTCACATCTCAGCACCCATACTTACACATTGAAATGGTGCGCAGTCAGTGATTGCATTAGGAATCTGATGAAAATTGTAGAAATGGTGTGTGTGTTTGCATACTTCTGCATAAACACATTCATAAACTTCAGAGTACAGTGGAGTTTCTATAAGCTCTCAATGAACTCTCATATTAAGGGACCTTGTTCTGGAAACCTGAACAGCCATTGTCAATTCCCTTCCTCTTGCCTGTTCCTGAGGCAATGGACTTTCAAGCCTTCCTCACCTCTGGGGAAATAGATCTCAGGTCCAGCCAACAACTGACAAGCACTTGGCCAGGTTACTACTAAAAGAGTATCTGCTGGATAAACAGAGAAAGGCTCCCTGAGGGGAGTTTTCTCTCTCTCTCACTCTCTCCCCCCACCCCCAACACTCTTCTCATGCCCTGTGGCCTCCTGCTGCTCCTTCTTACTCCTCACCTTTCAGGCTGTGGTGTGAGACAGGATGTCTAGGGCTATGGTGTCCACCTTTCACTCATGAGCCATGTGCCCAAGAACAAAAGCCCAAGGAACAATGGAGAAGATGGAAGGAAAACACCTGGGCCCCTGCTGACGACGCTGCACCGACTCTGTGAACACCACCCACGGCCTTTGGTAAATAACCAGTGTCATCATGGGAGAGGCAGCCAGTGTTTCTCAGGACTCCAGCTATCTGCAGCCAGGACTCTCCTAGGAGCAATGGAGCTGACACATTACTTAGTGTCAGTCCCAGAGCCAGGGAGGCAAATGAAGCTTACTGTGTGACAAGAACATAATTAAGCTGAAAATTACATGACCTGACACCTTATCCTCAACCTACCTCCTACTAATTTACTTACGAGTATAAGGGGTTTCTGGTACCTGCCCAACCTTCCTCATCAGGTGGATCAAAGAAAATTATATGTGAAAATATTTCACCAAGTCCAATACAGATGGACACTTTGGATTTCATTTCACTAGGGATAAAGAGGCAAAAAAAAAAAAAAACCCAGCTGAGTAAGAGATTTTTGGTAACAAGTAACTTTACAGATGAAGCATTGGTTTTCTTCAGCGGGTCTCATGGGTGTGAGAACATTTGGATCATCTGTTGAAGGGAGATATCCAATCTCCTAAACAAAAATGTTCCATACTTTCACAGACCTAACACCCACTGTAGTTTAAAAGGCAGGATATTTGTGGTGTGGGCCCTGACTCCACCATCTCTTGGTTAGGGTTCCTGGAAATAGACTCAGATGGAGATTCACAGGCAAGAGGCTCACTGAGGCATGTGCTGGGGAGGCAGGGATGTGGGTCAGGGCAAAGGGAGAAGTCAGGCTGGGGTGCAGCTCAGCAGAGGCCACAGCAAGGCCCATGGAGAGCTCTGCAACGGGGATGGCCTCAGAGTGGTGGCCTATTGGGGCAAAAGAATCAGGCCTTTGTATCCCCATAGAAGCCATTTATCTGAAATAGGAAATTCCAGGAAGGGCATGAATTTGGACAAAGCAGCTTCTTTTGACTCAGATCAATGCCCACAGAGGGACTCAGCTGTGAGCCCTCAGTGGCCACACTCCCAGCAGCTGAGAGAATGAAGTCTCACTGGTAAAGGAGAAACTGCGGGGGGAGCCCCACTGAGAGAGCAAGGGATGTAATCTCTAGGAGACTCAGTTAATTTATCTGTACAATGGGAAAAATTATTACCATTACTGCACATTGTAACTTAAGAAATAAATGAAAGAGTATATTTGAAAAGTGACACTGAGCCCTGCATTATGTTATGTAATTATTGGTTAGTAAGACATGCATACAGCAAAGGAGGAAAGATGGGTGACACCTGACAGCATTTCACATGCCCCCATGTGAAGCACAAATTGTTACTCGGCCAGTGCCTCTTAACCAACTCTTAGGTGCCTTGTGTGATGCTGAGTCCTGGGAATAAAAAGACACATAAGACATTACCTCCTGCAAATGCAAAGAGGTATATTACTGAGTTAGCTAAAAGTATGGGAAATGAAAAGATGAGATTACTCTTATTTGTAGAAGATTTCTTCATGTGTCTAGAAAGCTCAGAAGAATCAACTTAAATGTTATGAAAATCAGTATCGGTATTTGGCAACATGGCTGAATCCCTGGCAAAAATTCAAGCATCAGTAGTTTTCCTAGAAGCTAGCAAAAACTAATTGGAATGTGTGAAGAACAAAATCTCACCTCTAGAGGCAAGAAAATGGACAGAAATATTTTTAAAGAAAAAGGTACTGTTGTAACCAAGCGAGTTATAGAGAAATGCCACACTTTGAGACTAATTCAGGAGTCCTTTATTAGCCAGCGACCGAGAGACGGCTAGCACTCAAAATTTTCTCGGCCCCGAAAAAGGGGCTAGATTTTCTTTTATACTTTGGTTTAGAGAGGGGAGGGGGAGCCTAGCTGTAGCAATCTTACAGAAGTAAAACAGGCAAAAAAGTTAAAAAGACAAATGGTTACTGGAAAACAAACAGTTCCAGGTGCAGGGGCTTTAAATTCATCACAAGGTGATAGATGTGAGGGCTTTTGGGTGCTATCTATGCGACACAAACGTGGGGGTACTATCACCTGGGTGAATTCTTGGGAACTGTGGACATAGCTTGCCACAGTACCTTCTCAGTTAATTGCACTCTTTGATGTGCTGGGAGTCAGCTTGCACAACTTAAGTCCTTGAGGAAGGGGGTGGGTAAGGAGCCCTTGATGTCTTGCAAATGAAGGAGCCAAATGGAGTCCATCCGGCTTTCTCAGCTAAGGGAGAGTCTATTCATATTAAAACAAGGTAAGGTATCACAGTACTTTGCAAAATACTGTTCATAATATTCATAACAATGTTATTCGCTATAGCCGAAAGGTAGAAGCAACTCAGATATCCATTGATAAATAAATGGATAAAGAAACTATTATATACCCATACAAGGAAATATTCTTCCATCTTAAAAAGAAAGGAAATTATGACGCATGCCACGATATGAATGAACCTTGAGGAAATAATGCAAAGGAACATAAATCAGACAAGAAAAGGACAAATACCATGTAATCCAACTTATATGAGCTACTTACACTGGCCACATTCACAGAGACTTAGAATAGAATGGTGGTAAGGAAGGCTTAAGGGATAGGGGAAATGGGTAGTTGATGTTTAATGGGTACAAAGTTTCATCTGAGAGGATAAAAAATTCTTTCATTGAAGAATGGGGATGTCCGCACACCAATGTGATGTATTTAATGATGCAAAACTCTATACTTAAATACAGTGCAAATGACAATTTTCATGTTATCTGTATTTTATCATAATAAAATATTTTTAAAGATATGAGCAAGTTCTTAGTGAAAAGTAAGAAAAATTTACTGAGAAGAGAGATAAAATATGACTAGAGCTTATTTTTTTGTATGGGAAGAACAAATAAGGTAAAGATGGTAATTTTTTTCAAATGAATCTATAGTTAATTGTGTTCCATTCAAAATACATGACAATAATTTTGAAGATACTAAAAGTCTTGTGGAAAAATAAACTGAAATAACTAAAAATATTTGGAAAATTACTCATGATGCCTTATATTAAAATATATTATAGAATTAAAAGAATGTGATGATGATGCAAAATAAACACTGTACACAAATCTGTTGCTTATTCTCTGTTGTGGCCGTCAGTTCATAGCCTACTTCGAGAAGCACCACGTGCTGGGTGCTCACATGGTGCTGGGTGCTGGGGAGGCTGCAGACAGCAACAACCCCAGGGATGGGCAGCTATCATGCCAGGCACCACCAAGTAAGAGCCCGCCCCAGCCTAGGCGGATGGAGGTCCGAAGGAGGGGGGCTTCCTGTGAGTGAAGGCACCTGTGCTGAGACTGTGGACTAGGACTGAGAATGAGGAAGCGGCTCAAAGCAAGCATTTCAGAACGAGGGCTAGAAAGGAGGCGGGGAGGGAACAGTCTGGCAGGGATCTGCAGGGTTCCCTTGTGGAGGGTCTCTGTGTGGGAAGTGCAGGCTGGTGGGGGCAGTGCCTTGTGCCCAGCAGGGCCTTTGAGCCACACTAGTGAGATTGAGGGTGGTTGCCCTATAGCAGAGAGGGCTCTCTTAAGCAGAGAGCAAAATATTGAAAGGGGTGTGCGAGAGACAGCATTCAGAGCACTGGGGGAGATGCAACAGAGAAGGTCATGTGTTATTCTGTCAATTGTGACAACATAGATAAACCTGGAGGACATTATGTTAAGCCAGACAGAGAAAGACAAACATTACATCATCTCATTTATATGTGGGATCTAAAATGCCAAACTTATAGAAGCCATGAGTAGAATGGTGAAGACCAGGGAATGGAGCAGGGGGAACGTTGAGGAGATGTTGGCCAACACATCTGTATCTCTTGATATAGAAGAACATTATACTATATTAGAAAGAAAAAAGATAAGGAATAATCTATGTGGCATTATCCTGATATATAAAGAGAGAGAGAGAGATTAGAAAATGTTAACAATGGTTATTTCTGGATATAACGGGGGAAAAAATAACTGACAGCCTCAAAGGCAAGGCTGTGGAGCAAGAGGAACTATTGTACTTTGGCAAGAATGTAAGATGGTACAATCACTTTAGAAATGTTTGTTATAAACTGAAGTATATGCTAACCCCATTGATTTTTGTGTGAATGCAAGAGCATTTGTTATACCTTTTCTGATTATTAAAAATTGAAACCAACAGTTTTAAAGGGAGCCAAGACTCAGGGTGTGTCAGGACAGAGAAGTGGGAACTGTGGAAACACAGGGCTATTGAGCACAGTGGCTGGGAAAGGGCATGGGGTCTGAGAGCCGCAAGAGACTTTTGGAATCTGAATTTGCCAACTGAGTGTGAGAACTACTTGACAGAGCTTCCATCCTGGGTGCCTGGCTGCTGGTGAGCTTAGCACGTGAGATAGTGAGTTCATTTGTGGAGGTTTTGAAGTTGATTTAAGCTTCCCAAAGAGCTGGAAATACAGATGTGAAGTTAGAAGAAGTTGGGTCATATTTATGTATAATATATAATATATATTATATATAACTATGTATTATGTATGTTTATATAATATATAAAATATTTTATACATACACATAAAGATACCTTTAAAAGACAGGAAAGCAAAATGCAAAAGACTCTGAGTTGTGCGGAAGAAAGAATAAAATTTAGGTGTACAAACAAGAAAATGTAGAAGAAATGGGCTGGGTGCAGTGGCTCACGCCTATAATCCCAGCACTTTAGCAGGCTGAGGCGGGCAGATCATTTGAGGTCAGGAGTTCCAGACCAGCCTGGCCAACATGGAGAAACCCCGTCTCTACTAAAAATACAAAAATTAGCTAGGCATGGTAGTGCATGCCTGTAATCCCAGCTACTTGGGAGGCTGAGTCAGGAGAATCATTTGGACCTGGGAGACGGAGGTTGCAGTGAGCTGAGATTGTGCCAGTACACTCCAGCCTGGGTGACAGAGTGAGACTTTGTCCCAAAAGAAAAAAAAAAAAAAAAAGAAAATGGAGAAAAAATGGATAAATTCCTGGAAATATACATCCTTCCAGGATTGAACCAAAAAGAAATAGAAATCCTGAACTGACCAATAATGAGTAGTAAAATTGAATAAGTAATAAAAAAAATTCTGAAGAAAATAAAGCCCAGAACCAAACAGGTTCACTGGCGAATTCTATGAGACGTACAACAAGGAAGTGATAGTGATTTTACTGAAATCTTTCCAAAAAATCAAAAAGAAGGGAATCATCCCTAACACCCTACAAAGCCAGCATCACCGTGACACCAGAGCCAGGCAAGGACACAACAAAAATAGAAAACTACAGACCAATATCCCTGATGAACATAGATGCAAAATTCCTCAACTAAATAATAGCACACTGGTCCAGCAGCACATCAAAAAGATAATACACTACAATCAAGTGGATTTGATTCAAGGGATGCAAGATTGTTTTAACATATGTAAGTCACTAAATATGATTCACCACATAAACAGACTTTAAAATTAAAATCATATGATCATATCAATAGATACATAAAAAGTATTTGACAAAATACAGCATCTCTTCATGATAATTCTTACCAAACTAAGCATACAAGGTACATAGCTAAAAATAATAAAGGCCATATGTGACAAACCCACAGCCAACATCATACTGATTGGGTAAAACTTGAAAGCGTTTCACCTAGGAACTGGAAGAGGACAAGGATGCCCACTGTCCACTCCTATTTAACAGAGTACCGGAAGTCCTAGCAACAGCAATCACGTAGAAAAAAGAAATGAAGAGCATCCAAATTGTAAAAGAGAAAGTCTAACTTTCTCTGTTTGCCAATAATATGGTCTTATACCTAGAAACCCTTAAAGACTACTCCAAAAGACTCCTAGATTTCATAAATGACTTTACTAAAGTTTCAGGATTCAAAATCAAGGTATATAAATCAGTACTTCTATACACCAATGATAATGAAGCTTAGAGCCAAATTAAGAACTCGAGGCCATACATAATAGCTACAAAAAATAAAATACCAAAATCATTTAATCAAGGAGGTAAAAGATCTCTCCAAGGAGAACTACAAAACACTGATGAAAAAAATAGATGACTCAAACAAATGAAAAAACATCCCTTGCTCATAGATTTGAATAATCAATATTGTTAAAATGACCATACTGACAAAAGCTTTCTAGAGATTCAGTGCACTTCCTATCAAATTATCAATATCATTCTTCATAGAATTAGAAAAAAAATCCTAAAATTCAATCCTAAAATCCTAAAACCAAACCAATCTTAAACAAAAATAATAGAATTGGAGGTATCACATTATACTACAAGGCTATAGTAAGCAAGACAGCAGGGGCCTGATATAAAAAACGACACATAGATTAATGGAACAAAATAGACACCTAGAAATAAAGAAAGATACCTCAATCAACTTGTCTTTGACAAAGTTAAGAAATCATACACTGGGGAAAGATACCCTATTCAATAAATGGTGCTGGGGCAATTGGAGAGCCACATGCAGACACATGAAACTGGACCCTTGTCTCTCACCATATACAAAAATTAACTCAAGGTGATTAAAGACTTAAATGCAAGAACTGAAACAATAATATCACAGAAGAAAACCTAAGAGAAACTCTTCTGGATATTGATCTAGGCAAAGAATTTATGACTAAGTCCTCAAAATGAAGCCCAACATCAACTACCTTAGACAAATGGGACTTAATTAAACTGAAAAGCTTCTGCACAGCAAAAGAAATAATCAACAGAGTCAACAGATAACCTACAGAATGAAAGAAAATATTTGCAGTGTATCTGATAAAAGACTAATATTGAGAATCCACTAGGAACTCAAATAACTCAATTAAAAATAATCCCATTAAAAAGTGGGCATGGTGCCAGGCGTGGTGGCTCATGCCCATAATTCCAACACTTTGGGAGGCTGAGACGGGCGGATCACGAGGTCAAGAGTTTGAGACCAGCCTGACCAAAATGGTGAAACTCCGTCTCTACTAAAAAAAAATACAAAAATTACCTGGGCCTCGTATCCCGTGCCTGTAATCCCAGCTACTCAGGAGGCTGAGGCAGGAGAATCACTTGAACCCAGGAGGCGGAGGTTGCAGTGAGCCAAGATCATGCCATTGCACTCCAGCATGGGCAACAGAGAGAGACTCCATCTCAAAAAAAGTGGACATAGAATAGCACCTAGGAATACAACTTACAAGGGATGCAAAGGACCTCTTCAAGAAGAACTGCAAACCGCTGCTCAAGGAAATACGGCAGGACACAAACAAATGGAAAAAAATTCATGCTCATGAATAGGAAGAATCAATATCATGAAAATGGCCATATTGCCCAAAGTAATTTATTGATTCAATGCTATTCCCATCAAGCTATCATTGATTTTCTCTGCAGAATTAGAAAAAAAACTACTTTAAATTTCATATGAAACCAAAAAAAGATCCCATATAGCCAAGCCAATACTAAGCAAAAAGAACAAAGCTGCAGACATCAGGCTACCTGACTTCAAACTATACTACAAGGCTACAGTAACCAAAACAGCATGGTACTGGTACCAAAACAGAGATATAGACCAATGGAACAGAACAGAGGCCTCAGAAGTAACATCACACATCTGCAACCATCTGATCTTTGACAAATCTGACAAAAACAAGCAATGGGAAAGGATTCTCTAGTTAATAAATGGTGCTGGGAAAACTGGCAAGCCTTATGCAGAAAACAGAAACTGGGCCCCTTCCTTATATCTTATACAAAAATTAACTCAAAATGGATTAAAGACTTAAATGTAAAACCTATAACCATAAAAACCCTAGAAGAAAACCTAGGCAATACCATTGAGGACATAGGCATGGGCAAAAACTTCATGACTAAAACACCAAAAGCAATTGCAACAAAAGTCAAAATTGACAAATGGGATCTAATTAAACTAAAGAGCTTCTGCACACCAAAAGAAACTATCATTGGAGTGAACAGGCAATCTAGAGAAAGGGAGAAAATTTTTGGAATCTATCCATCTGACAAAGGGTTAATATCCAGAATCTTCAAGGAACTACAAGGAACTGCAATATAAAAACAACCCCAGCAAAAAGTGGGCAAAGGATATGAAGAGACATGTGTCAAGACATTTATGCAACCAATAAACACATGAAAAAAAGCTCACCATCATTGGTCATTAGAGAAATGCAAATCAAAACCACAATGAGATACCATCTCATGCCAATTAGAATGGCAATCATTAATAAGTCAGGAAACAACAGATGCTGGCGAGGCTGTGGAGAAATAGGAAGGCTTTTACACTGTTGGTGGGAGTGTACATTAATTCAACCATTGTGGAAGACAGTATGGTGATTCCTCAAGGATCTAAAACCAGAAATACCATTTGACCCAGCAATCCCATTACTGGGTATATATCCAAGTGATTATAAACTATTCTACTATAAAGACACATGCACACATATGTTTATTGCAACACTATTTACAATAGCAAATAATTGGAACCCAAATGCCCATCAGTGATAGACTGGATAAAGAAAATGTGGCACATACACTATGCAGCCATAAAAGAGAATGTGTTCATGTCCTTTGCAGGGACATAGATGAAGCTGGAAACCATCATTCTCAGCAAACTAACACAGGAACAGAAAAACAAACACCACATGTTCTCACTCATAAGTGGGAGTTGAACAATGAGAACACGTGGACACAGGGAGGGGAACATCACACATCGGGGCCTGCCAGAGGGTGGGGGACAAGGGGAGGGAGAGCATTAAGACAAATACTGAATGCATGTGGGGCTTAAAACCTAGATGACAGGTTGATAGGTGCAGCAAACCACCATGGCACATGTACACCTATGTAACAAACCTGCACATCCTACACATATATTCCAGAACTTAAAGTAAAATTTTTTAAAAAGTGGGCATAGGACATGAACAGATATTTTTCAAAAGAAGACATACAAGTGGCAAACAAACATGAAAAAAATGCTCAACATCACTAAATATCTGAGAAATGCAAATTGAAACCACAATGAAATATCATTGTACACCAGGGAGAAAGGGTGTTATTAAATGTCAAAAGACAGCAGAGTGCAGTGGTTCATGTCTATAATCACTGTGGGGAAAAGCAAGAGAGATCAGATTGTCACTGTGTCTGTGTAGAAAGAAGTAGACATGGGAGACTCCATTTTGTTATGTACTAAGAAAAACTCTTCTGCCTTGAGATTCCGTGACCTTACCCCCAACCCCGTGCTCTCTGAAACATGTGCTGTGTCAAACTCAGGGTTAAATGGATTAAGGGCGGTGCAAGATATGCTTTGTTAAACAGATGCTTGAAGGCAGCACGCTCCTTAAGAGTCATCACCACTCCCTAATCTCAAGTACCCAGGGACACAAAAACTGCGGAAGGCCACAGGGACCTCTGCCTAGGAAAGCCAGGTATTGTCCAAGGTTTCTCCCCATATGATAGTCTGAAATATGGCGTCGTGGGAAGGGAAAGACCTGACCGTCCCCCAGCCCGACACCCGTAAAGGGTCTGTGCTGAGGAGGATTAGTATAAGAGGAAGGCATGCCTCTTGCAGTTGAGACAAGAGGAAGGCATCTGTCTCCTGCCCGTCCCTGGGCAATGGAATGTCTCAGTATAAAACCCGATTGTACATTCCATCTACTGAGATAGGGAAAAACCGCCTTAGGGCTGGAGGTGGGACATGCCGGCAGCGATACTGCTTTGTAAAGCATTGAGATGTTTATGTGTATGCATATCTAAAAGCACAGCACTTAATCCTTTACCTTGTCTATGATGCAAAGACCTTTGTTCACATGTTTGTCTGCTGACCCACTCCCCACTATAGTCTTGAGACCCTGACACATCCCCCTCTCGGAGAAACACCCACGAATGATCAATAAATACTAAGGGAACTCAGAGGCTGGAGGGATCCTCCATATGCTGAACGCTGGTTCCCCGGGTCCCCTTATTTCTTTCTCTATACTTTGTCTCTGTGTCTTTTTCTTTTCCAAGTCTCTCGTTCCACCTTGCGAGAAACACCCACAGGTGTGGGGGGGGGGTAACCCACCCCTTCAAATCACAGCACTTTGACAGGCCAAAATGGGAGGATTGCTTGGGGCCAGGAGTTCAAGACCAACCTGGACAAAATAGTGAAACCCTGTCTCTACAAAAAATAAAAATGTCTTGCCATGGGCCTGTAGTCCTAGCTACTCAGGAGGCTGAGGCAAGTGGATCATTTGAGCCCAGGAATTTGAGGTTATAGTTAGGTATGATCATGTCACTGCCTTTCAGCCTGGGTAAGAGTGTGAGACCCTGTCTCAAAAGAAAGTCAAAAAACAATAGACATTGGAGAAGATGTGGGGAAAAGAAAAAAATTATGCACTGTTGGTGGAAGTGTACGTTAGTACAACCTCTATAGAAAACGGTATGATGATTTCTCAAACAACTAACACTAGAACTGCCCTGTGATCCAGCAATTCCACTACTGGATAGGTACCCCCCTAAAAAGAAATCATTATGTAAAAATGACACCTGCACTTGTATGTTTCTTGCAGCACTTTTCACAATAGCAAAGCCATGGTATCAATGGACAGATGGACAGGTGGATAAAACAAGGTGGTGTGTGTGTGTGTGTGTGTGTGTGTGTGAATACTACTCCATATATATATATCTATATATACACACACACACCCACACACACATATATGTCCAATACTACTCCATATATATATATATATATATACACATACACACACACACATATATGTCCAATACTACTCCATATATATATATCCATATGTGCGTATATATATACATATGTATATATATATCTCCAATACTACTCCATATATATATATAAATATATATATATACACACACACACATATATATATATATACACACCATGGAATACCACTCAGCCACAAAAATGAATGAAATTATGTTTTTTTTTTGCAGCAACATATATGGAGCTGGGGGCCATTACCCTTATTGAAGTGACTCAAACTGAAAATCAAAAACTACATGCTCTCACTTGTAAGTGGGAGCTAAACAATGGGTACTCACAGACATGCAGAGTGGAATGATAGACAGTGGAGGCTCAAAGGTGGGAGAGTGGGATGGTGGTGAATGTGAAATATCACCTAGTGGATATAATGTACATTATCTGGTAATGGGTACCCTAAAAGCCCAGATTTCACCTCTATGCAATATATCCACATAATGCAACTACATCTGTACCCCAAAATCCATAAAAATAAATAAATCCCCCAGGTTACACATATACAATTAGGCATCTTATTGTATGTAAATGCTACCTCATTCAAGGCAATTTTTAAAAATCAGGTGAGTTTTCCAAGTAGTGCACAGAGGACCAGCGCCGGCAGCATGGCTCCCTGAGGGGAGGAACAAGAGATACCCGTGGGCTCCCACATTCATCCCGCGGCTGCTGCTCCATTTCCTGACACCCCCACCACCTGCCAGGAGTCTCCCTGCACCTCCCACCGGGCCCCACCGGCAGTTACCCTGAGACTCCAGGTCATTCCCTTCCCTGCTCACACCCGCCCCAGGAGCTTCCTCTTCTTGGAGCAGGCATGCTCAGCCCCGCCTCAGGGCCTTTGCACTGGCTGTTCCCGCTGCCTGGAGCTCTGCTTCCTGTCTAGACAGGGCTTCTCACCTTTCCAGTCTCCCTGACCAGGGTCCAGTGGCTCCATCTGTCTCTACCTAATACTCTTTCACTTCCAACAGAGAGACTAATTTCCTGATATTAATTATTGATTATCGCTTTCTTATCCTCCATACCCTAAGGAGCAGAACCACTGCCACCAGCCACATGTGGCCATGGGTCACTGAAAATGAGGCCAGTCCAAAATGACATTCGGTCTAAGTGTAAAAAAAAAAAAAAAAAAAACAGGGAATTTCAAAGACTTACACACATTCAAAAGAATGTAAACTATCTCATTAACAACTGTTCCCATGGATTGAAATAATATTTTGGATATATTAGGTTAAACAAGAAATACTATTAAAATCACTCCCTCTGTTTCTTTTTCCTTTTTTAACGTGTCTATTATAAAACTGAAAAGTGCTCATGGGTTTGTGTCACATCTCTGTCCATGGCTCGGTCATCCGTGCTCCATCTCCAGGTCCTAGACCACGTGGTACCCGGAGGAGCTGATGAAGAGTTTGTGTATTGAATAATGAGGACTTATGGAAAAATAACCTAATGACCTTTCGCAAAACATTAATTCTCTTATGTCTGGCAAAGAAATTCCCCAGAGCAGGATGTGGAATAAGCCTTCCAGGAGCTCCTGAAATCATCTCTCTGTTTCATGGATTGCCAGACCGTGACCAAGCTTTCACTGATGCCTCTGAACACTGAAGATCCCAGGAGCGCCCTGGACTTTTCCCTTTTCTGAGGAAACAGGAGGTCATTATACTTTCACAGCCCAGGGAGCAGTGTGCCCTCTCTGCAGACAATTGTGAGCCAGCTTGGGAGCAATGGGGAGGAGGGGCAGGGCTGGAAAAGGGGTGGGAGTGAGGAGAGTAGTGAGGAGGAGGGGGAGACGGAGGAGCAGACTGGGGGATGGAGGGGCAGGGGGATCTTAGGCAGAGATGGAGGTTATGGGCGGGGCAGAGTTAGACCTCAGCCAGATGAGGACAGCAGTCACCCAGCAGAGTGGAGGAGGGGGTCAGATTGGGGGGTGGGGCGGGGGGGTAGCTTCAGCAGGGCTACCAGGCTCAGCTTGACGTGCATCCCGTGGCAGAGCAGCGAACAGTGACACAGACTTTAGAGCTCCCCCACTTTCTCTTAGAAATTCATTGGTGTCCAGACCAGCCTCTTTTCTCCTCCTGCAGCCATCAGCTGGTGCTCTCTGCCTGCACATGAGGTGCATTCTCTGGTGCCACAGTTCCTCCTGGCCTGCACGTCTCTCTGAAGTCTGACAGTAACTCAGAGTGAAGCAGTGGATGATGTGAATTATTGGGCCCAGGATCCTAATTTACAGATGGGGAGACTGATGCCCTAGAGAACACACAACTTCCTCTTGGTTCTGCAGCCTGGTTCCCAGGGCTCCTTCTCCTGTGCTTCTCCCCAGTTCTGACAAGTTGCGTCTCGAGGATGCCCTGTGCAGGGAAAGCATTCAATTCTCTTCTGCAATAGCAAGTTGAAGACGTGTGGGTGTGTGACCCTAGAAATACTGGAGCCAAAAATCCACTCAGAATGGAGGCATTAGAGAGGAAGTCTCCTTTTGGCCTAAAACATCCACTCAGAATGGCGGCATTAGAGAGGAAGTCTCCTATTGGCCTAAAACATCCACTCAGAATGAAGGCATTAGATAGGACGTCTCCTATTGGCCTAAAACAACCACTCAGAATGGAGGCACTAGAGAGGAAGTCTCTTGTTGGCCTAAAACATCCATTTGTGTGAAGCTTCTCATCTCCTACTGCTAAATGAGGGAATAAACAAATCTGAGTTAAATGGAGGAAATAAGATGCTCAATGGGCTGAAGTCTAGAAACTGGAAGTTAGCTGAAATTTCATCATCAGATGACAGCCTTCCTAGAAGAAATACAGGGTCCCTGCCCCTTGGGCCAGCAGAATTCAGTTAATCCTTTGCACTGGCACAGAGAAAACAAGTTACCAGGGAGGCCTGGGGCATATCACCCCTGCCATCCGGCAGGAGGTGACTGTGTGCCTTGCAGGTGGCAGTGTGGGCAGCTCATGAAGGCAGGAATGAAGCCCCAGGCAACTCCCGTGACTCAGTCATAGTGAAGTGCCTGTGTGTGCATGAAACTGATGGAGAGCACTGTCCGTGCATCCTGCTCTTTCACGTGAGTAGGTCGTGGCTGCAATGAACTACTTCTTTGATGTGGAGATGGGGCAAATCACATGTGCCAAGTCCCAGCCCAACTTGGACAACTGTTCCTTCCATCACCAGCGAAAACTTCAGGAGGTATGTGCCTGATGTGGGTCAGGGGACAGTTGCACACTGCAGAGGTGTGTGTGTGTGTGTGTGTGTGTGCTCCTTCACATGTTTTGAAGGGTATATGTGTAAGCGCATCGGTATGCCTAGAGCAGGGCATGCAGGCATGGGTACATGTATGTGGAGAGATGCATGTGTGTTTGTGCACACACGGGCAGATGTGTATTGGGAGGGACATGGAAGTGTGTGCATATGAAGTTATATGTTTGTGCATGTACATGTGAGTAGGTGTGCAGGTGTGGTTTTGCTCATGGAAAGGTGTATGTGTACACGTGCAAGTGTGTGTGGGGTGCACGGGAGTGTGTGTGTGCATGTGGCTGTGTGGGGGAAGTATGGAGGTTTTTGCATAGATCCATGTAGATGAGGGTTGGGGTGAGTTCATGTAAATGCCTATGTGTGTGCATGTAGGTGAGGTGCTGTGGAGAGGGGTGATGAATTTGATTTGCTAAGAGGGCTTCAGCTTGGGAATAGGGGTACTGGGAGCTCCACCCTGTGTACTTTGGGTTGTTGCCTGCTGAACTATAGGAAACAGCTGCAGGGCTGGGTGCTGGACAGGAAGATGGGGCTCTGCTGTGCAAAAAAGCCTCCTGATGCCTTCTCTGCCTGTCTCCTGGTGCAGGCCTGCAGAGGAGACCTCCCCCAGGGCAGGAACCACCAATTCAAGGGTGGTCCCCTCCTCCCAGCCTCAGGCACATGCCCACAGCTATAGCCATGCTAAGCAGATTAGGGGGACCTAGATGCCTGTTAGCTGAAAAGCCCTGGACCTGCCCCACTCACCAAACACAAGCCTCTCCAAGGACCTGCTGGTTCCTATGAGGTCTCCACTCAGGGAAGAGCCTCACTCCCCTTGTCGCCGCCTCCCCATGCCCCAGCTCTTTGAGGGGGAATTGCCCTGCCCTGGGTTCTTCCCTCTGACCCTTCTTAGTGCCAGCCTGGACACAGGAGTTGGAAGGAGCTGGGGGCAGTGAGCTGCCTCCCCCTGTCCTGCACTCTTGGGGCTCCCGAGACCTTGCACAGGCTGCTCCTCACAGGGCTGTGCTGGGGCAGGAACCCTGCAGGCTGGAAATGGGGGCAATGCCACCTGGTGACCTGGAGCCTTCCATCCCCACCTGAGAGGGGGAATGGAGTCATCTCTGCACAGTTTGGTTCAGTGCTCTGGGTCTCAGCAGGAGCAGGTAGGGGGCACAGTGTCTCACCTCTATCCATGCTTGCCCCCACTCTGATGTCTCATGCCTGGGCATCTACCGCTTTAGTGCAACCCACACTGATTGTCCCTCTCTCTTTCCTTTCACAGAAACAGTTCTGCTCTTTCCAGATCTGTGAAGTTCCTTGGGATGACAGAATATCTTTGGTGAAATCCACATGTCAGAATGTCTAGGAGTTTGTACCAGGCCAACTGCACCAACCACCTCCTACTCCCACACCACTATACTGCTCTCACCCTTGAACTGGTGGCTCCTGCCCTGGGGGAGGTCTCTTCTGAGGGCCTGCACCAGGAGACGGGGAGAGTGGAGAGCATCTACATCCATTTCATCTCCACTTGGACTTGATTTTACAGAGGTCTTTGGGATCTGGGAAGTGCAGCATCACCCAGGAGGCCATGACCTGGGGGACTTGAGTCTGGGCCTCATCCTCTTGGGGGTGGGCAGGTGTAGTCACTCAGGCTTCTGCTGGGAGAGAGGGGTTGCATGCAGAGTAGGAGGTGCTCAGAGTGGTGACTGGGGCGAAGACATCACCGCAGGAAGTTGCTCATGATTTTCTACCTGAATGGAAGATCTCCTTTGGCACAAGCAAGCACCATCAAGACACACAATGAAGAGAGGATTTTGTGTAAATTAAGCCACTTATCAGATACAATTCTCTCTCCCTTGAGAAAGTTGGGAGTAAAGAAGAGGCTGTATACTGGGATCCCCCCAACTTCTCCCTGTGTGTCTGCTCTTTTGGAGAGAAGAAGTGGATAGGGATGCTGAGGGTGAGCAGGTATATCTTCTGAGCCAAATGAATTGTCTGAACTGTGTCCTGAAGCCACTAGGTCTTTGTAGGAGAGTAAGACAGGGTTTCACCGCACCGATCTGCGCCTACAAATATCAAAAATTACAAAATTGAAAATCACTCAATTCCCATTTTGGAAATTTTATGCCTTTTCTAAGACTTTCTTTACCAAAAATAATGTCACAAATCAGTGGTAAAAGATTGAAAATGAAGAGGTTAGAAAACCCTCATCCAGCATGGAGAAATCGCTCTGGATGGAGGGGTGAGTGCATTTGGAGGCCTGGGAAGCACAAGACAGCACAGTCTTTCCTTGGGCAGGTGGACACTTGCCATAACAAGGACAGGAGGACCAAGTTGTGCAAGGCCTGAGGAGCATACATAGGGGCTCTCTGTGAAAAAAAAAAAAAAATAGCACAATGTTAGCACTACAAAACTAAGAACAAAAATTAATGTTTATTTAGGAAGAGAAAATAAATCATGGAAATTGTATGCATGAAAATGCTGAAAAATACTGTGAACATCACAAAATCTGGACAAATAACACATATCCTCTTGCAATCAGTCACCAACACCGATTCTGTGGTCAACAGACTCAGGTCTATGGGCTTGTGGAAATAAGGGAATAAATTCACACCAAGAAACTGGGATGATTCAAAAAAGAAAAGAGGTTATTATAGGAGCAGGGGAAAGGATTTTGAGGTGATATCGATGCACTCAGGGCATGGCAGGCCTCTGTGTAAAGCAGCCAGTGTCAAGCCTGGTCTGCAAAGTGGACCTAGGTTCTGTGTCCTTAGAACCCATAAAGTCCAGCCAGATGTGGAATGTCCTGTCCATAAACCCCTTCTCTGTAGCTCTGTGCTTCTGTGGAAAGGTGGATATAGATCCTCCAGGCAGTAGAATGTTCTTCTTACTGATAAGCAAAGTTTCTGACAGCCCCTGACTCTAGAGAATGAGGTCTTCCATTGAGTCAGAAAGCAGTCTTGTGTTGACCTCCTATCTCACCCTGTGACTTAGAATGCCTTAACCATCTGGGAATGCAGCACAGTAGGTCTCAGCCTCATTGTACCCAGCCCCTACTCCAGATGGAGTTGCTCTGGTTCAATCACCTCTGACATGAGCAGGTGGATGGGGTGGTGGGGGACAAATGTGATGAATTTGATTTGCTAAGAGGGATTTAACTTGGCATGGGGGTACTGGGAGCTCCACCCTGCATCCTTTGGGATGTTGCCTGCTGGACTGGAGGAAGCAGCTGCAGGGCTGGGTGCTGGGCAGGGAGAAGGGGCTCAGTCTAATCCCAACCTCAGGCACCTGCCCAGAGTCAGAAAGCAGTCATCAGCCAGCAAGAGGCTGCTTGACATTTCAAAGCTGCAGCTTGAGAGAAACATTCTGTCCTGCTCATGTTGCCACTGGCTTTGTTAACATCAGTCCATCTATCCACTCTGCAGACGAAAGGGCAGATTTGCCCTTCTTAATCCACATGATTTTTACTTCCTCACATGATATTTTTATTAATTAGCTACTGACACATCTCATAATTTCATTCGATGTTTTTATGCTCAAGTAATGAATCGCTATTTGCCTCATTATAAGACATTTAATTTATCATAGGGTTTTGTCTACGTTTAGCAGAAGAATAAAGCAGTCTTTCCACTAAAAGGTTTGATCACTTGTAAAATTGATGGTGCATAACATCTTGATTCAAAACTCATAATTGGCCATATCATGCACATTTTTCTGGTTGTTGTCCAATTTGGAAAAGCCTCTTTCATTTTCCTTTCATCTGCAAGCTCTAAGATTTTAATACCTCTAAATTTCCTTGACTTAAATTTGAAGACCTTAACACATCTTTCTATTGACATTGCACACAAACACAGCATTTTTAAACTGTCACTGTTGTACTGAGCTTCAGAATTGTCTAAAAATGTCCTTATGTGCTATATCTATTAGCTCATTGAATGTGCAGGAGGAGTTTGTCCTGAAGCAAGTATTTCTTCTTCAAGCTGTCTTACTGCTGGTCACGATTTTATATCTGTGTTATGTGGAGCTCCCAGACTTGGTCAGGATAAGAAGAGGTGGGAGGTCAGCCCCATCCATCAGTTCTGTGCCGCTTCACACACATGTGTCCTTACTATGGGTAGTTTCACCACACAGATCTGTGCCCTACAAATGTCAAAAATTGAGAAATTCTATCTCATTCAACTCCCATCAAAAATAAAAACAACTGTATGGTGCACTAATTATTTTATATGCCATAATACTGACTACATTTCCAATAGAATAAAACTTCCTTTTTTGACTAGGGTCAGAAAAAAACAAAACACTCACTTGAAATTTTCCATGTTTCTGCTGGGTATCGTTATCCATAGATGGACTTCTGGCTCCACACATTGCAAACCTTCTTTCCTCTCTGCTAATCACAGGCTTCCAATGTGAGGTGCTGGGGGCATTTTCTGATCAAGGTTCTACCTCTCCTTGCTGCTTTAAGTGAAAACTGAGGGGGTGGTAGGGCCTTGTCTGGGGCCACTCCTACACCAGTACAGTTTGAGGCAACATGACTAAGCACAGGAGTGAGGGAGAATCACAGGAATGTGTTCCCCTCACCCCAGTTAAATGCATCCCAACTCATCTTCCTCTTAGCCAGATACCAAAATGCCTGGGTCCAACCTACACCATCCAGCAGGTGGTGAATGGGAAGAAGAAAGCCAGAGTAGAAAAAGCAAATGTTCTTAACTGACTACAGTGAAAATACCACACATTTTTTATTGTACAAAACATCCAGCCAAGTAAACCTGTTGCTCAGCCCCAGTTGGAGCCTCTTGTGGGGTTTTTGAAAAGCTCTGTACTTAAACGTCATTAGCATCATGGAAGATCGTCTGGATTTTTATGAGAAGACATTAATATTTTTGTAAGAGTGGATAGGCCAAGGGGAAATGGGAAGGAGGTAAATACACCAGCCACAAAAGTAGGAGGAGACATGGAGAAGAAGTGAGGGAAGGAGAAACTCATGCAGAAGAAATCTGCACGGGCATTGGGACCTGCCAAGAGGCTTTCCGCTGCATGTAAAGAAAGGCCTCAATTTAAAATGGCTTGAATACAAAGGGAGTGCTCTACCTTTCATAATAAGAAGGCCCTGGGTAAGACAGGCTTTAGGAACAGAACTCCCAGCATCTAGCTCTGCTTCCCTGGGATTCTCTCATCCTTACCTTTCTGTTCATGATGCTTCAGCCTTCAGCTGGTAGAAAGGTTGTTGCTACAGCTCCAGACATCACATCATCAACACCAACATCCAGAGGCAGAAAGATCCTAGGGAAAAGCTTCTGTTCCACCCGTCCTTCCTGAATGTGAGTAACCTCCTCCTATGCACTCCTTAGCTTACTCCTTCTTATGCCTCTTTGGCCAGGTCTGGATCACAGACCCACCCCCTAAACCAATCACTGTTAAGAATCTATTAATGCATCATTGATAGTGTCACCAACACTCAGTGAAACCTGTGGATGACCATGGCAATATCCTGGTAATAGCACAAATTTTAACATGATCAAAATGATGTCATCACTAGAGACTACTCAAATAAATTATAGAGCACACACATGATGGAAGAGCTGTTAAGAATTAGATAGCAATAGGACGGGCATGGTGGCTCACGCCTGTAATCCCAGCACTTTGGGAGGCCGAGGCAGGCGGATCATGAGGTCAGGAGGTCGAGACCATCCTGGCTAACACGGTGAAACCCCATCTCTACTGAAAAATACAAAAAAAAAAAAAAAAATTACCTGGGTGTGGTGGCAGGCACCTGTACTCCCAGCTACTTGGGAGACTGAGGCAGGAGAATGGCTTGAACCTGGGAGACTGAGCTTGCAGTGAGCCGAGATGGCGACACTGCACTCCAGCCTGTGCAACAGAGGGAGACTCTGGCTCAAGGGAAAAAAAAAAAAAAAGAATTAAGTAGCAATATATGTGTTAAACTGGAAATAATTTTAATATACTTTGAATATATTATTTTATTGAAAGCAAGGTATATATGGTGTGTTAACATAAAGCTTGCTGTAAAAACAAAAGTAAACACGCATGTGTATGAGTGGCCATATAGACATTTAGACACATATTTACACATATGTATATACACATAAACATCTAAAATATAGGAAAGAAGAGAGGCAAGCAGTCATTTGTATTTATTAACATTGGATATCAGGGAAGAGAGGTGGTAGTGTGGGTAGGGAAATGGATAATTTGGCTTTTGCTTTTCTATATTTAGAATCTTTCTTTTCCATTTGAATATGAGAAAAATGTGTGTGTCTTCTTTCTACCTATTTTTTAGTGTCAGCTAGGAGTGTTTGGGAGATGAGATTATAGGTTATTTCCCCTTGGAGCTTCCCTATGTCTCTGTTTTTAAAACTAACAAATACTGTGGCTGAATGACCTATTGGTGTGGTTGATATGCCCACATATGCCTAACAGCTTATCAACTATGAGTTAATCGGCAGTTTATTTTCAGCATAAGGTGTTCTCACAGCTGGGTACAGTGGCTCATGCCTATAATCCCAGAACTTTGGGAGGCCGAGGCGGGTGGATGATTTGAGGTTGAGAGTTCAAGTCTAGCCTGGCCAACATGGTGAAACCCCATCTCTACTAAAAATACAAAATTTGCTGGGTGTGGTGGCCTGCGCCTGTAATCCCAGCTACTCTGGAGGCTGAGGCAGGGGAATTGTTTCAACCTGGGAAGTTGAGGTTGCAGTGAGCCAAGATCACGCCATTGCACTGTAGCCTGGGCAAAAAGAGTGAAACTCCTTTCCAACGGGGAAAAAAATTGTTCTCACATGCTCCCTGAGTTCTGAAATCCACTTAGTATTTAATAAGTGTTTCCTTGTTTTTCATGGCACTGAATGTTTTCAGATAAATCCTCTGCCAGCTATACTCTGAGCTCCTGGGGAAGAGATGATATCTTAGGTCACATTCCCTACAAAGCCTTCACCACCAGAGAAATCATCACTGCTGTGGACTCAGTGACTGCGATTAGAAGGTGGGCTCTGGCTTGGCTTTAGAGTGCTCCATTTCATCCTCTTTTATTCAACTGTATTCTACTTTCTTTTTTTAAAAAATGTTATTATTATTATACTTTAAGGTTTAGGGTACATGTGCACAACGTGCAGGGTTGTTACATATGTATACATGTGCCATATTGGTGTGCTGTACCCATTAACTTGTCATTTAGCATTAGGTATATCTTCAATTGCTATCCCTCCCCCCTCCCACCACCCCACAACAGGCCCTGGGGTGTGATGTTCCCCTTCCTGTGTCCGTGTGTTCTCACTGTTCAATTCCCACCTATGAGTGAGAACATGCGGTGTTGGTTTTTTGTCCTTGCGATAGTTTGCTGAGAATGATGGTTTCCAGCTTCATCCATGTCCCTACAATGGACATGAACTCATCATTTTTTACGGATGCATAGTATTCCATGGTGTATATGTGCCACATTTTCTTAATCCAGTCTATCATTGTTGAACATTTGGGTTGGTTCCAAGTCTTTGCTATTGTGAATAGTGCCGCAATAAACATACATGTGCATGTGTCTTTATAGCAGCATGATTTATAATCGTCTGGGTATATACCCAGTAATGGGATGGCTGGGTCAAATGGTATTTCTAGTTCTAGATCCCTGAGGAATCGCCACACTGTCTTCCACAATGGTTGAACGAGTTTACAGTCCCACCAACAGTGTAAAAGTGTTCCTATTTCTCTACATCCTCTCCAGCACCTGTTGTTTCCTGACTTTTTAATGCTCCATTTCATCCTCTTTCATAATCCTGTATTCTACTTTCATTGGATGTAAAGAGGAGGTAGTCTGATGCCCAGTTCAGTTGAAAGTAATGGATGTCTAAAGCGAAGAGGTGAGTCTGCTTTTAATTTCAGTGCAAACTCACGGCATTCCATTTACATCTCAGCATCCGTAATTCAAAATTACAATGGTGTAACAGTCAATGATCCCATTAGGAATCAGATGAGTATTATAGAGATGGTGTGTATGTATGCATACACACACTCCTGCACAAATGCACTTGTAACCTTTTGAGTACAATGGAGTTTCTACAAACTCTTTGTGGATTCTCATATTAAGAAGCTTTGTTTGGAAAACCTCACCAGCCATTCCCTACTCCCTTTCTCTTGCCTGCCCCTGAGTGCAAAGGCTGAAAACATCAGGTAATAAACTTCCTAGACCTCCTCACCCCAGGGGGCATAGGACGTACATCCAGGCAATAACATCTAAGAAGGCAGCCAGGTCATCACAAAAAAAAAAAAAAAAAAAAAAAAGCCTATGCTGAATAGAAAAGACAGAGGCCTTGGAAAGAATCCTCCTCTCTCTCTCTCTCTCTCTCTCTCTCTCTCTGTCACACACACACACACACACTCACACACACTCTCTCTCTCTCTCCCTCCCCACACCCTCCTCTCACCCACTGTGACCTCCTCCTGCTCCTACTCCTCACCTTTCTGGCTGTAGTGTGGGACAGAATGTCTCCAACTATGGTGTCTGCCTTTCACTTATTAGCTGTGTGCCCAAGAACAAGAGCCCAATGAATGATGGAGAAGATGGAAGGAAACCACCTGGGCCCCTGCTAAGGACGCTGCACCAACTCTGTGAACACCACCCCCATGGCCTTTGGTGAATCACCAGTGTCATCATGGGAGAGGCAGCCAGTGTTTCTCAGGACTCCCGCTATCTGCAGCCAGGATACTTCTACAAATGATGGAGCTGACACACCACTAAGTGCCAGTCCCAGAGCCAGGGTGGAAAATGAAGCTTATTGTGCAATGCGAACAAAATTTATCTGAAAATTACATGACCTGCCTTATTGTCCCCAAATTCCCTTCTACATATTTCCACAAAATTACAAGGGGTTTATGTTACCTGCCTAGCCTTCCCCATCAGGTGGATCCAAAGAAATTTGGTAAGTGAAATATTTCACCAAGTCCAATAAAAATGGAAGCTTTGGATTTCATTTTGCTAAGGAGTAAGGAGGGACAAATAGTCCCAGCTGAGTAAGAGATTTTCAAGAACAGGTAACTTTCCAGATAAAACACCACTTTTCCAAACAGGTCTCAGGTCTGAAAACATTTGGAACATCCTACCCCTCGAATCCTGAGAAGAGAGACATCCAGTCTCCTAGACAAGAATTGTCTCATCCTCCAAACATTCACAGACCTAACACCCACTGTACTTTAAAAGGCAGGATATTTGTGGTGTGGGTCCTGACTCCACCATCTCTTGGTTAGGGTTCCTGGAAACAGACTCAGATGGAGATTCATAGGCAAGAGGCTCACTGAGGCATGTGCTGGGGAGGCAGGGTCATGGGGTGGGGCAGAGGGAAAAGTCAGGCAGGGGTGCAGCTCAGCAGAGGCCACAGCCAGGCCCATGGAGAGCTCTGCAATGGTGACGGCCTCAGAGTGGTAGCGTATTAGGGCAAAAGAGTCAACATTTTGTGCCCCCATATAGACCTATTATTTAAAATAGGCAATTCCAGGAGGGACATGAACTTGGACAAAGCAGCTTCCTTTGACTCAGATCAATGCCCACAGAAGGACTCAGCTGTGAGCCATCAGTGGCCACACTCCCAGTAGCTGAGAGAATGAAGACTCACTGATAAAGGGGAAACTGGTGGATGGAGCCCCTACTGAGAGAGCGAGGGATGTCATCTTGAGGAGACTCAGTTAACTCATTTGTACAATGGGAAGAATTATAACTATTACTACATATGGTTATTTAAGAAATAAATGAAATTTTGATCCTCTCATGAACTTATTAGCTGATTGCTTTGTAGTTTCTATTGCATAGTTGCTTTACAAGGTCTGTGGACTTTGTCCTTAAGTTCCTTTTATGGTAGCAGGGTTCTTTCTTTTGTTTCCATGTATAGTACTTCCTTAAGAATCTCATGCAAGGCTGGTCTAGTGGTAACAAATTTCCTTCGTGATGGTTTGTCTGAAAAAGATTTTATTTCTCTTTGCTTATAAAGCTTAGTTTGACAGGATATGAAATTCTTGGTTGAATTTTCTTGTCTTTAAAAATGCTGAAAATAGGCTCCCATCACTTCTGACTTGTACAGTTGCCACTGAGAACTTTGCAGTTAGCCTGATGGGGTTTCCTTTATACATTATCTGACATTTTTCTCTAGATGCTTTTAAGATTTTTATTTAATTGACCTTGAAAAGCCTGGTGAGTACAGGCATTGATGTTCATTTTGTATGGTATCTTGCAGGTGTTCTCTGTATTTTTTGTGTCTGGATGTCTATGACACTAGCAAGTTTAGGGAAATTTTCTTGGATTACCTCAAATATGTTTTTCATGTTGTTTATGTTTTTTTCTTCTCTCACAGGAATGCTAACAATTCAGAGGTTTGGTCATTTTATATAACCTCATATTTCTCAAAGACTGTTCATTTTTTTGTCTGACTGGGTTAGTTCAAACTACCAATTTTGAAGCTCTGAAATGATTTGTTTTGTTTGGTCTAGTCTAATAAGTAAAACTTTGAATTGTATTTTGAAATTTCTTTAGTGGAGTTTATCAATTCCACAAGCTCAGAATGATTTCTTTCTAAAATGTGCATCTCTTTCTTTGTCTCCTGGATTGCTTAAGAAATTTGTTTTTGTTGATTTTCAACCTTGTATCTCATTGAGCTTCCTTGTGATCTATGCTTTTAATTCTTTATCTGTCATTTTCGACTTTTCGTTTTGGTTAGGAACCATTGCTGGAGAGATAATGTGATCCTTTGATGGTGTCACAACATTCAGATATTTCATGGTGCCAGGATTCTTGTGCTGTTTTTTTCTCATCTGGACACACTGGCACTTCTAATTTTTGTAATTATTTTCATGCAGACAGAATTTTTTTCTATCTTTCTCTATATCATTGTTTTTCTTTCCATTTCAACCCCTCTCTAGGGGGTGTGACTATAGGGTTTTTGGCTTTGCTTCTATAACCCTATGCAGTTTTGTCAGCATGTTTTATATTCGGCTATGCGGTTTGTCTACAGGCCAATAGACGGCGCTTGTCTGTAAGAGTTGGCTGTGGCTAATGCAGATGGGTATATACTTTATTCTTGTTTACTGGGAGAAGCTTTCTGTTGCCTCTGGCATTGGGCTGATCCTGAAGTGCACCATGGTGTGAGCTCCCTGCTCATCCCTGGATGAGGGGAACAAGATGGACAGGCATAACTACAGGTGCTCCAATAGCAGGTACGGACACCAGCACTGAGTGGGAGTTCCAGTGGGCATCAATTGAGCACCCAGACATGTGCCTAGGCATGAACATGAGAAACCTCATTGGACTCAAGTTCTCTGCAGGAGGTAAAGTGCCTAAATTCCTAATCCAGGGGAGTGGGTGCTCCAGATGCCTGGATATCTGCCTAGGCATGGAGTGCAGTGGGTGCTGTTACACCACAATCTCTGCAGAGGAAGGTTGGGCCAGCTCAGGCTGTTGTTCCAAGTAAGCAGGTGCTCTACAAGTCTGGAGGTCTGCTTGGGCATGGAGCAGAGAGGGCCCTGCTTCACCACTGTCTCTGCACAGGAAGAGTAAGGCAGCAAAGGCTGATGATTTAGGCACACAGGTGCTCTGAATGCCTGAACATCTACCTGGGTATGGAGTACAGAAGGCCCTGCTGCACTACAGTCTATACATAGGAAAGGTGGGGCTGCTTAGGTTGCTGATCTGAGTGAGCAGGTTCTCCTCCCCAGAATCTGAGGTGTCCTTCAGGATTCCAGTGGATTCCCACTCTCCTTCTTGAGTTAAAGCTCACAGAGCTGATCACTATGTACTATTTTGCTGTTTCCAAGTGTTTGAGGCACACTGAAAACTTCTAATCTACCATTGTGGGAAAGAATACACAATGTTTATCAGCATCCCTGACCTCTGTCCACTGAATGCCAGTAGCACGTCCTCCCAAGTAGCAACAACCAAAAATGTCCTAGACATTACCAGTGTGCCCTGGGAAGCAAAATTGCCCCAGGTGAATAACTACTGACAGAGGCACCATGGCCTCCCTGTAGCAATGAATGAGCACAGGCACCACTCGGGATTGCTTTCTGAACTCACCACAGATTTCAGCCAGTACTTCTAGAGTTGGATGAAGGAAAGTATAAAATAGATCTAGAACTTCTTGTTATTAATACATGTGAAGGTAAGGATAGGCTCCAATAATAATGGAAACATGTCAAGAGAACAGAGGAAGCTGCTTAAAGGAGTTCTGGGTAACCAACTGTGAGATAATCTACACATTGGAATAACAGTATTAACAGATTATAACTTCTTGAATAAAATAAGAAACCATGAGTTCAATCTCTGGAGAGAGAGAAGCTAGGTGGGTAGGTATATAGATAAATAGACAGATGAGAAAAGGAAGTTTTCCTTACACTGGAATGAACACCATTACTAAATATAGAAGAAATGATGAAGTTAGAAAACAAAAGTCACAATCATCATAATAACAATCAATTCAGGAAGGAATTATCACTATATACTAATGGTATAAAGTAAAAATTTAATAAGAAGTAGAACATAAACCTATTTTCTAAGTATTGCTCTGTGAAATACTTATTAATTATACAAACAAAAAAATGTAACCTTAGAGTGGAGAAACCTGGAAGACGCTATCTAAATCTAGAGATTAATATTAACATCCATCAGCAATTGGACAATGGTATCCTGGCCTCCCAGAATGATGTACTGAGGGACCCAATATCACTTCTATAATTTTCATCTGAAAAAAATGCATCACCTGAATCTAATCGATTGACGACCCCAACAGAAAACATTCTACAAAATAGCCAGTTATCTTCAAAAATGACAGGGTAACAAAGACAAGAAAGAATGAAGACCTTTTCCCGATTAAAGGCGACTAAGGAAGCTTGGCAAAGAAACACCATTGATAAACTGTCTGAACAATAGACTAGACAAAAGGATGTATCCACATTGGCATCATGGTTTTGCTCATTTCACTGAAGTTGTGTTAGAGAATGTCCTTGTCCTTAGGACACACACATGAAAGTATCTGAGGATAAAAGAGGTCATCTCTGCAATTTGCACTCAAATGACTCAGAAAAACCTATAATAGTTTGTACACGTATAGAAAGAGAAGGAAATAGCATGAGACAAAATGTTAAGAGTGGGAGAATTTGAGTGTATACAGGAGCTCTCTATATTACTCTTCCCACTTTTTGTAAGTTTGAAATCACTGCAAAATAAAACGTGCAAAAAATAAAAATTCAAAATACAGCAAAGTTCCGCGTAAGGATCACCCGACATGCACAGGCCTGTGTTGTCAGCTAGTTGGGAAGTCATGGAAACACCTCCTAACTTCTCAGCCTAGCATACATGTGTCGAGGAAATGGCCAAGCCATTGCATGATGAAGCTTCAGGCTGGCTGGTTACTATGAACACGTTTCACCAGCATCCACACTCTGTACTGTTCCTTAGAGCAGAGATAGGGGGTGAGGCAGAAGGGACTGTGGCACTGGAGAGGATACAGGGGCAGAGGCTGAGGAAGAGGCACCCTCCACTTCCCCCAGATGGTGTCACCTCACAAGAGATGGCCACATTCCCCACCCCTCATCCTACCTGCACCTCTCTTTGCAGTGCAGGCGAGTCAGTACTGTTTCCCAGCCCCCTTCTTCTATTTCCTCTTGAGTTTTCATCATAAAACCCCATCCTGCACATGCACACCTTCATAATTATTTGGCTATGATTCTGATACCACGTGAACCACATTGGGTGGGAGTAGAAGTGAATTCTCTATTAGGAAGAGCTCAGCAATTAATATATAACAAAACACAGACCAAAAAAGGCTCTACCAGGCCATACTCTTTGACCAGCCTGTTTTTATAGAGAATAAACACAAGCCTTTGGAAAGGAGCTTTCCTCATATGGAGGATCCCTTCTAGGGAGACAGCAATTCCCAGATACCACAGGTGGAGCTCAGGAGACTGAAAAAAGTCAGCCTTGTTAGCAAAAGTTTAGACAGCCACTGACAGAATGAAAGCTACAGGCTTCCTGGAAGCATGTGCCATGTCATGGCTCAGAGAAGAGGGGTTTTCCTAGATTCAGGGTGTGTGCCAGGATTGATGGACAGCTGTCTCCCTCACTGGAACAAAACTATACATCCATGCCCTCTGCCAGAAAATGCAGCATAAACCCCCATTGTCTTTGTGCATGGTCATGGGACTTGCTTGGGTCTATAGGATGTTAACAGATGTGATAAGGACAGAGACCGTAACCCTGCAGACGTGAGAGGCGGGTCCTCCTGCTCCCCTTCAAAACTTCATGAAGAAAAACTGACCCAAGGAGGCACAGCCCCTTCAGCATTGGCCCCAGGATGAAGACACAAGGCAAGCCAGACCAGATCTGCTAAGCCCCAGCCCATCTGCAGGCTCCAGAGCGTGACAGGAACAGTTTCTTGCTTTTAGTCCCTAAGATGTTAAGGGTTTTTCCTATGGAACAACAACTGACTCATACACGGTTTATTCCATTTTCCATTGTACACCTTCTCCACTCTTTTCCTGAATGAAATCTTTACTGCCCCCATGACAACCTACCTCCCATAAGCAATTAAGCTGGTGTTTGTAAAGAAATAGAAGCTTTAAAAGTTTCCTTTTGGCAAATACTAAAAGCAGCCCATATATCAGAGATCCAGGACAGCACTTAACTCTTCCCACATATGAAGAAGCAATCCAGGAGGTCTGTGGGGCACAGTATGCTGGTCCTCCGCACTGCCCAGGTCTTGGCTCCCGACTGTAAGACAAGACAGCACCTCAGTGAGAAAAGGGGAGGATCCCAGTTCACCCTGTCAAACAGCACCCTGACCCTAAAGTGACATGCTGAAGAGAGGCAAAGGAGAATGCAAACCACCACTGATTGGCTGTTCCTTTAGAGAGCAAAACAGAATAATCACAGAGGCTGGAATCCACTTTTAGCTTTTATAATCTGATGCACAAGAGAAACAACACATGCAGGAGTGGACACTCCCAGGTTGGCTGCCTTATTTCTGTTTGATTATTTCTCAGATATTTAGAACTTTCATTTTATTATTATTATTATACTTTAAGTTCTAGGGTACCTGTGCACAATGTGCAGGTTTCTTACATATGTATACATGTGCCACGTTGGTTCACTGCACCCATTAACTCATCATTTACATTAGGTATTTCTCCTAATGCTATCCCTCCCCCATAGCCCCACACCACAATAGGCCCAAGGGTGTGATGTTTCTTGCCCTGTATCCAAGTATTCTCATTATTCAATTCCCATCTATGAGTGAGAACATGTGGTATTTGATTTTCTGTCCTTGTGATAGTTTGCTCAGAATGATGGTTTCCAGCTTCATCCATGTCCATACAAAGGACATGAACGCATCCTTTTTTATGGCTGCACAGTATTCCACAGTGTATATGTGCCACATTTTTTTAATCCAGTCTATCATCGGTGGACATTTGGGTTGGTTCTAAGTCTTTGCTATTGTGAATAGTGCTGCAATAAACCTAAGTGTGAATGTGTCTTTATAGTACCATCATTTATAATCCTTTGGGTATATACCCAGTAATGGGGTCGCTGGGTCAAATAGTATTTCTAGTTCTAGATTCTTGAGGAATTGACACACTGTCTTCCACAATGATTGAACTAGTTTACACTTCCACCAACAGTGTAAAAGCATTCCTATTTCTCCACATCCTCTCCAGCACCTGTTCTTTGCTGACATTTTAATGATTGCCATTCTAACTGGTGTGAGATGATATCTCATTGTGGTTTTGATTTGCATTTCTCTGATGACCAGTGATGGTGAGCATTTTTTCATGTGTCCGTTGGCTACATAAATGTCTTCTTTTAACAAGTGTCTGTTCATATCCTTTGCCCACTTTTTGATGGGGTTGTTTGATTTTTTCTTCTAAATTTGTTTAAGTTCTTTGTAGATTTTGGATATTAGCCCTTTGTCAGATGGATAGATTGCAAGAATTTTCTCCCATTCTCTAGGTTGCCTGTTCACTCTGATGGTAGTTTCTTTTGCTGCGCAGAAGCTCTTTGGTTTAATTAGATCCCATTTGTCTATTTTGGCTTTTGTTGCCATTGCTTTTGGTGTTTTAGTCATGAAGTCCTTGCCCGTGCCTATGTCCTGAATGGTATTGCCTAGGTTTTCTTGTAGTGTTTTAAGGGTTTTAGGTCTAACATTTAAGTCTTTAATCCATCTTGAATTAATTTTTGTATAAGATATAAGGAAGGGATCCAGTTTCAGCTCCCTACATATAGTTAGCCAGTTTTCCCAGCACAATTTATTAAATAGAGAATCCTTTCCCCATTTTTGTTTTTGTCAGGTTTGTCAAAGATCAGATTGTTGTAGATGTGTGGAGTTATTTCTGAGGGCTCTCTTCTGTTCCATTGGTTTATATCACTGTTTTGGTACCAGTACCATGCTGTTTTGGTTACTGTAGCCTTGTAGTATAGTTTGAAGTCAGGTAGCATTATGCCTCCAGCTTTGTTCTTTTGGCTTAGGATTGACTTGGCGATGCGGGCTCTTTTTTGGTTCCATATGAACTTTAAAGTAGTTTTTTCCAATTCTGTGAAGAAAGTCATTGGTAGCTTGAAGGGGATGTCATGAATCTATGATTTACCTTGGGCATTATGGCCATTTTCAGGATATTGATTCTTCCTATCCATGAGCGTGGAATATTCTTCCATTTGTTTGTGTCCTCGTTTATTTCATTGAGCAGTAATTTGTAGTTCTCCTTGAAGAGATCCTTCACATCCCTTGTAAGTTGGATTCCTAGGTATTTTATTCTCTTTGTAGCAGTTGTGAATGGGAGTTCACTCATGATTTGACTCTCTGTTTTTCTGTGATTGGTGTTTAGGAATTCCTGTGATTTTTGCACATTGACTTTGTATCCTTAGACTTTGCTGAATTTGCTTATCAGCTTAAGGAGATTTTGGCTGAGATGATGGGGTTTTCTAAATATACAATCATGTCATCTGCAAACAGGGACAATTCACCTTCCTCATTTCCTAATTGAATACCCTTTATTTCTTTCACTTGCCTTATTGCCCTGGCCAGAACTTCCAACACTGTGTTGAATAGGAGTGGTGAGAGAGAGCATCCCTGTCTTGTGGCAGTTTTCAAAGGGAATGCTTGCAGTTTTTACCCATTCAGTATGATATCAGCTGTGGGTTTGTCATAGATAGCTCTTATTATTTTGAGATATGTTCCATCAATACCTAGTTTATTGAGACTTTTTAGCATGAAGTGCTGTTGAATTTTGTCCAAGGCCTTTTCTGCGTCTATAGAGATAATCATGTGGTTTTCGTCATTTGTTCTGATTATGTGATGGATTACGTTTATTGATTTGCGTATGTTGAACCAGCCTTGCATCCCAGGGATGAAGCCAAGTTGATCTTGGTGGATAAGCTTTTTGATATGCTGCTGGATTCAGTTTGCCAGCATTTTATTGAGGATTTTTGCACTGATGTTCATCAGGAGATTTGGTCTAAAATTCTCTTTTTTGGTTGTGTCTCTGCCAGGCTTTGGTATCGGGATGATGCTGGCCTCATAAAATGAGTTAGTGAGGATTCCCTCTTTTTCTACTGATTGGAATAGTTTCAGAAGGAATGGTACCAGCTCCTGTTTGTAACTGGTAGAATTCAGCTGTGAATCGTTCTGGTCCTGGACTTCTTTTGGTTGGTAGGCTATTAATTATAGCCTCGATTTCAGAGACTGTTATTGTTCTATTCAGGGATTCAACTTCTTCCTGGTTTAGTCTTGGGAGGGTGTATGTGTCCAGGAATTTATCCATTTCTTCTGGAATTTCTAGTTTATTTGAGTAGAGGTGTTTGTAGTATTCTCTGGTAGTAGTTTGTATTTTTGTGGGATTGGTGGTTACATCCCCTTTACCATTTTTTATTGCATCTATTTGATTCTTCTTTCTTTTCTTCTTTATTAGTCTTCCTAGCCATCTATCAATTTTGTTGGTCTCTTAAAAAAAACAGCTCTTGGATTCATTGATTTTTTGAAGAGTTTTTTGTGTCTCTATCTCCTTCGGTTCTGCTCTGTTCTTAGTTATTTCTTGCCTTCTGCTAGCTTTTTGAATTTGTTTGCTTTTATGTGTCTAGTTCTTTTAATTGTGATGTTAGGGTGTCAATTTTAGATCTTTCCTGCTTTCTCTTGTGGGCATTTAGTGATATAAATTTCCCTCTACACACTGCTTTGAATGTGTCCCAGAGATTCTGGTATGTTGTGTCTTTGTTCTCATTGATTTCAAAGAACATCTTTATTTCTGCCTTCATTTTGTTATTTACCCAGTAGTCATTCATGAGCCGGTTGTTCAGTTTCCATGTAGTTATATGATTTTGACTGAGTTTCTTAATGCTGAGTTCTAATTTGATTGTACTGTGGTGTGAGAGACAGTTTGTTGTGATTTCTGTTCTTTTACATTTGCTGAGGAGTGCTTTACTTCCAACTATGTGGTCAATTGTGGAATAAGTGTGAGATGGTGCTGAGAAGAATGTATATTCTGTTGATTTGGGGTGGAGAGTTCTGTAGATGTCTATTAGGTCTGCTTGGTGCAGAGCTGAGTTCAAGTCCTGAATATCCTTGTTAACCTTCTGTCTAATTGATCTGTGTAATATTGACAGTGGGGTGTTAAATTATCCCATTATTATTGTGTGGGAGTCTGAGTCTCTTTGTAGGTCTCTAAGGACTTGTTTCATGAATCTGGGTGCTCCAGTATTGGGTGCATATATATTTAGGAGAGTTAGCTCTTCTCGTTGAATTAATCCCTTTACCATTATGTAATGGCCTTCTTTGTCTCTTTTGATCTTTGTTGGTTTAAAGTCTGTTTGATCAGAGACTAGAATTGCAACTCCTGCTTTTTTTTCTTTCCATTTGCTTGGTAGATCTTCCTCCATCCTTTTATTTTGAGCCTATATCTGTCTCTGCATGTGAGATGGGTCTCCTGAATATAGCACACTGTTGGGTCTTCACTCTTTGTCCAATTTGCCAGTCTGTGTCTTTTAATTGGGGCATTTAGCCCATTTACATTTAAGGTTAATAGCGTTATGTGTGAATTTGATCCTGTCATTATGATGTTAGCTGGCTATTTTGCCCATTAATTGATGCAGTTTCTTCCTAGCATGGATGGTCTTTACAATTTGGCATGTTTTTGCAGTGGCTGCTACTGGTTGTTCCTTTCCATGTTTAGTGCTTCCTTCAGGAGCTCTTGTAAGGCAGGCCTGGTGGTGACAAAATCTCTCAGCATTTGCTTTTTCTGTAAGGGATTTTATTTCTCCCTCACTTATGAAGCTTAGTTTGGCTGGATATGAAATTCCAGGTTGAAAATTCTTTTCTTTAAGAATGTTGAATATTGGCGCCCACTCTCTTCTGGCTTGTAGAGTCTCTTTTGAGAGGTCCACTGTTAGTCTAATGGGCTTCCCTTTGTGGGTAACCCAACCTTTCTCTCTAGCTTCCCTTAACATTTTTTCCTTCATTTCAACCTTGGTGAATCTGACCATTATGTGTCTTGGGGTTGCTCTTCTCAAGGTGTATCTTTGTGGTGTTCTCTGTATTTCCTGAATTTGAATGTTGGCCTGCCTTGCTAGGTCTGGGAAGTTCTCCTGGATAATATCCTGAAGAGTATTTTCCAGCTTGATTCCATTCTCCCCATCACCTTCAGGCACACCAATCAAACGTAGATTTGGTCTTTTCACATAGCCACATATTTCTTGGAGGCTTTGTTCATTTGTTTTTACTCTTTTTTCTCTAAACTTCTCTTCTTGCTTCATTTCATTAATTTGATCTTCAATCACTGATATCCTTTCTTCCACTTGATCAATTTGGCTACTGAAGCTTGTGCATGCATCATGTATGTCTCGTGCCATGGCTTTCAGCTCCATCGGGTCATGTAAGGTCCTCTCTACCCTGTTAATTCTAGTTAGCCATTCATCTAATCTTTTCCCAAGATTTTTAGCTTCCTTATGATGGGTTCAAATATTCTGCTTTAGCTCAGAGAAGTTTGTTGTTAGTAATCTTCTGAAGCCTACTTCTATCAACTCATCAGCTCATCAAAATCATTCTCCATCCACCTTTGTTTTGTTGCTGGCGAGGAGCTGCAATCCTTTGAAGGAGAAGTGATGCTCTGGTTTTTAGAATTTTCAGCTTTTCTGCTCTGGTTTCTCCCCATCTTTGTGGTTTTATCTACCTTTTGTCTTTGATGATGGTGACCTACAGATGGAGTTTTGGTGTGGATGTTCTTTTTGTTGACTTTGATGTTATTCCTTTCTGTTTCTTAGTCTTCCTTCAAACTGTCACATCCCTCAGCTGCAGGTCTGTTGGAGTTTGCTGGAGGTCCACTGCAGACCCTGTTTGCCTGAGTGTCACCAGCAGAGGCTGCAGAACAGCAAATATTGTAGAACAGCAAATATTTCTGCCTGATCCTTCCTCTGGAAGCTTTGCCTCAGAGGGGCACCCAACTTTGTGAGGTGTCAGTCGGCCCCTACTGGGAGGTGTCTCCCAGTTAGACTACATGGGTGTCAGGGACCCACATAAGGAGGCATTCTGTCTGTTCTCAGAGCTCAAACCCCATGCTAGGGAACCACTGCTCTCTTCAGAGCTGTGAGACAGGGACTTTTAAGTCTGAAGAAGATTCTGCTGACATTTTTCAGCTATGCCCTGCCCCCGGAGGTGGAGTCTGCAGCGGCAGGCAGGCCTCATTGAGCTGTGGTGGCCTCCACCCAGTTCGAGCTTCCCGACTGCTTTCTTTACCTACTCTAACCTCAACAATGGTGGATGCCCTTCCCCCAGCTAGGCTGCTGCCTCACAGTTCAATCTTGGACTGCTGTGCTAGCAGTGAGCAAGGCTCCATGGGCATGGGACCCACTGAGCCAAGCATGGGATATTATCACCAGGTGTGCCATTTGCTAAGACAATTGGAAAAGTGCAGTATTTGGGTAACAGTGTCCCAATTTTCCAAATACAGTCTGTCACAGCTTCCCTTGGCTAGGAAAGGGAAATCCCCCAACCTCTTGCATTTCCCAGGTGAGGCTATGTCCTGCCCTCCTTCGGCTCACCCTCCATGCACTGCATCCACTGTCCAACCAGTCCCAATGAGATGAACCATG